>NC_000001.11:150684587-151309587 GCF_000001405.40 Homo sapiens | reverse complement strand
GACTAACCCCTGACCCTTTGGTCCCACAGGGTCTTGGACCTTGTTGCTGGGCAAAGACGTGAGAGGAAATGCAGGACCTCTGGGAGTTTGGCTGATTTTTTTTATATTTTCTATTTGATTTGTCTATCAAATCAGTTTTCTCTGTTCTGTGCTAATCCCCTTTCAGTCATGATTCCTATCTCCTCTCATGTGGCAGAGCCTCTCTCTTGAGGCCTGGGGTCACATTTCTAACATGCTCACGTAACTTAGGGGCCCCTAACCCAAATGCTGATTTGAGAATGGGAAGGAATTCTGCCTTTTCTAATCTGAGATGATTATGAATTGGGTGGGGTAGAGGGTCCTTGGGACAGAGATCAGTTGCCATCTGAGTGGATTCAGATGAAGGAAGAAGTGAGTCTTCAAATTTCCTCTTATTTTCTTTCTCTATTAGACCCCCAGGATATTTCCAGGGACCTTAGAAACCCAATTCCATTGTTTTCCTTTTCTTTATCTCTTTTCAACAATGTCACTTAAAGCATTCCTGAAGGATTCAGACACCCTCTTTCAGTCCCTATGTGGCACTCTGAACCATCTCCCAAGAGGCAGAGGCTGGAATGAGCTTTTCCTTTGAATCCTGGCACTGTTGCACATGTAGAGGTAGGCCTGATACTCCCCAGTTTTCAAAAGAAGCTCTTTTAGAGTTCGAGGGAGCAAGGATAGAAATTCTCTCAATCCAGAAACTAAGCAAGACACACGGAAAGGGAGAGAAAGGCTTGGTGAGTCAAATGCTGTTTCTACAAAGGAGGGGAGATGGGATGGGGAGTTGGGTGGCTGTCTTGATAAAATGCCCCTTACGGTAGAAGGGCTTAGACTGGGAAGAGAGCCTTTCTTCGTGTCTAGCTGAGTCCCTCTTTTTCCCCACCTGCACCTTAATTCCAAGACCAACTTTGCTCTTTCTGAGGATGACTGAATTGCCCAGCACAAGGAGCCAAACTCACAGCAGGGAATTAATATGAGGAACCTAGTCACTGAGAGGTAGGGGAAGAGGACCCAAAGAGGAGTCACTAAAAGAGACAGGCCTTCAGGGCCATCATCAAGGGCTAAAAGGAGCTGTTGCTTTCTCCATCTACCTACCTCCTTCCATCTGCTTTTTCTTTCTCCTTGATTAATGCAAAGTCTGCTCATCGGCTCATCCTCTTTCCATCCCCTGCATGTGCATTGACGCCTGGTAAGAGATTGTGGGACGGACAGGGGGATACCATGGAAATCAACAGAAGTAATTTGAATGACGAGCATCTTCCCTCTTTGAAAGTGGAAATGATGTGGGGCTCCCTTCTCTAGCCTTGCGGGACTTGACGGAGCCCCTCGGCAGAGATCTAGCCCAAGGATCCAGATGGGGAGAAGGACAACCCTGTTCTTGAAAAGGGTGAAACAATTCAGGTGTAAGCAGCTCTTCTCTCTGTGGCCCTGGCTAACCTATCCAGATGTCCCCCTGCTCACTCTGAAGCCTTGGTACAGTCCTTAAGGAACCCAAGTCCAGGAGAAGAGGAGTGCATCCCAGTTACCTGGACTCATGGCCTCCCTTACCCTCAAGGGATAGCCTATAGGGAAGGAATGTGCTGGCTATTCTCAATTCAAGTTGTGAAGGGTGGGTGGAAGCTCCTACTAAGACTAAAAAGCAGCTGCTTTCCTGGAGTTCTCCAGATAGTGGGGTCCCCGGCCTGCATGGCCAGGAGTGACTGAGTGGGTGTGCCATTGTATTCTATGGTTTCTTCACCATCTTTTGTCTTACCCCAAACCCCTGTAGCCTGTTCGACTGGCTCCTGAGAGAGAATTCATCAAGTCCCTGATGGCGATCGGCAAGCGGCTGGCCACGCTCCCCACCAAAGAGCAGAAAACACAGAGGCTGATCTCAGAGCTCTCCCTGCTCAACCATAAGCTCCCTGCCCGAGTCTGGCTGCCCACTGCTGGCTTTGACCACCACGTGGTCCGTGTACCCCACACACAGGCTGTTGTCCTCAACTCCAAGGACAAGGTAGATGGGTTCTGGCCCAAACCCCTACCCTGGACGTGACTCTTCACCCATGGTTGTTCAGAGTTTGCGTGTATGACCAGTGAGGCCCTCACCAACATCCTAGACTCCCTTCATAGTTCATGATGCATATGTCAACCATGACTCTGTCTCAGTGCGATTGTGATTTTGAGAGCCCCCCTGTATCCCTTTTTGGGCTTTGTTTTTCTGGACCAAAGAAACCTAATCTTTTTAGCTTCCTTCTTGCTGTATCTTAGGAGAATTGCTCTTCACCCCACCTTATGGTCATTTTGGTAGCTTTTCTCCAGCCTTTCTATAACTCTTGGGCTTTCCAGATACAGCAACCATAAGGATAGAGAAATATTTTGTTTCTAAGACCTTTTCTGATCAGAATGAGCCGACAAAAGGAGAGAAGGATGCCCAATTCACACTGGAGAGAATTAGCTGAATTTGTGTGCTGACTGGAATGAGTATTCATGGTTCAGATTCTTCTTTTTTTTTTGAGATGGAGTCTCACTCTATTGCGGAGGCTGGAGTGCAGTGGCACAATCTTGGCTTACTGCAACCTCCGCAACCCAGGTTCAAGCGATTCTCCTGCCTTAGCCTCCTGAGTAGCTGGGATTACAGGCGCCTGCCACCACACCCGGCTAATTTTTGTAGTTTTAGTAGCGACGGGGTTTCGCCATCTTGGCCAGGCTGGTCTTGAACTCCTGACCTCATGATCCACCCGCCTCGGCCCCCCAAAGTGCTAGGATTACAGGCGTGAGCCACCGCGCCCGGCCCATATTCTTCTTTCAAAGGAAATACTGAAGTTTGGGACACTCCTTGGGACAGTGCCCAGCTTTGTCCCAGTCTTTTTGTCCACTGTAGCTCCCTGGGCCCTGTCTTCAGGACGAGCCCACAGAGGCATCTAGGCCTCCCTTACAGCCTGTAATTGATAGTCTAGAGTGGTTTGGCCCAAGCACATCATCTGTACATTTTGGAGCTCAGTTGAAATATTTTGAAGACTTAAGGATTCTGTCACACAAATTCTTTACATAGGTGATCATAGGACAAGTATCTGCCCTAAATATAGTGTTCATAGTTTCAGAGGACTATTGGATGAAGGCTGGAGCTAGGAGAAAGGACAGCAGGAAGAACCTTGCTAACAGAGTTGAGATTTGGGGGTTAGTGGTGGAAGTAAGTTGCAAATACTGTCTCACTCTTCCCCCAGGCTCCCTACCTGATTTATGTGGAAGTCCTTGAATGTGAAAACTTTGACACCACCAGTGTCCCTGCCCGGATCCCCGAGAACCGAATTCGGAGTACGAGGTCCGTAGAAAACTTGCCCGAATGTGGTATTACCCATGAGCAGCGAGCTGGCAGCTTCAGCACTGTGCCCAACTATGACAACGATGATGAGGCCTGGTCGGTGGATGACATAGGCGAGCTGCAAGTGGAGGTGAGAGGGCTTCAGGGAGGTAATGCTGGGTCACAGGAGCTTTCTCCAGGAGCTTTCACTATATTGGAAACAAGACAGCATATCCCAAGGCAGGGTAAGGCAAGTATCCTAATGAGTGGTGTAGGTAGTGAGGGGTAATATGGGGAAAGCTCTGAACAACTCTAGCCTGGAATAGATTCAGGTGGAGTTCATTTTCCAGGTGAAGGATTCAGATTTAAATGTAAAGAGGAGCTTCTAGGCCAAGGGGAGTGAGGGAAATTTAATGAAAATATTTATTGAACACCTACATAAAGTTGTCATAGAATAGCAGAGGATGAGAAGTCATACATTAATTCATTCAAGAAATTTTTATTGAGGGCCTTCTATGTGCCAGACCTGAGTGCTGTATGCTAGTGAACAAGACTTGGCCCCTGCCTACAAGGGATTTATGACCTAACTGGAAAGAGAACAAGGCCAGTAAGCAAGTAGTTGTAGTGTGGTGAGAGTCAAGTCATGGGGGAAAGGATAGGACATTATAAGAGCACCAGACTTGGGGCGGGCATCACAAGAGATTTCCTGGAGGAAGTAATCTCTCAGCTGAGGCTGGAAGCATGGGTAGGAATTAGCTGGACAAAGAGTGCTGGACAGAGGGAACACTGCATGCAAAGGCCAGAAGACAAGAGGGAGCTTGGGCCATTATAGGAATTGAAAGAAATTTTGCCTGGCTGTGATGTGCAGGTGTGAGGTAAGAAGTGGTGAAGAATAAGACTGGACACGTGGGCATGGACCAGACTATAGGAAGGACCCTGTAAGCTGGGGAAAGAAACTTGAACTTTATTCTGGGGCATGAAGAGCCAGAGCAGAATTTTGTGTAGAGCTATTAACACAGCTGGCCAGGCGCAGTGGCTCACACCTGTAATCCCAACACTTTGGGAGGCCGAGGTGGGTGGATCGCTTGAAGTCAGGATTTCGAGACCAGCCTGGCCAACAAGGTGAAACTCCATCTCCACTAAAACTAGAAAAATTATGCCGGGTGCGGTGGCGCACGCCTGTAATCCCAGCACTTTGGGAGGACAGGGCGAGCAGATCACCTGAGGTCAGGAGTTCGAGACCAGCCTGGCCAACATGGTGAAACCCCGTCTCCACTAAAAATACAAAAATTAGCCGGGCGTGGTGGCATGTGCCTGTAATCCCAGCTAATCGGGAGGCTGAGGCAGTAGAATTATTCGAACCCAGGAGGCGGAGGTTGCAGTGAACCAAGATCACGCCACTGCACTTCAGCCTGGGTGACAAGCAAAATTCCGTCTCAAAAGAAAAAAAAAAAAAAGCCAGGTGTGGTGGAACATGCCTGTAATCCCAGCTACTCGGGAGGCAAGTGATTCTTGAAGCACAAGAATCACTTGAACCTGGGAGGCGGAGGCTGCAGGGAGCTGAGATCACAGCACTGCACTCCAGCCTGGGTGACAGAGTGAGACTCTGTCTTAAAACAAAACAAAACAAAAACACAGCCAGGGCCAGGCGCGGTGGCTCACGCCTGCAATCCCAGCACTTCGGGAGGCTGAGGTGGGCAGATCACCTGAGGTCAGGAGTTCAAGAACAGCCTGACTAACATGGTGAAACCCCGTTCCTACTAAAAATACAAAAAATTAGCCAGGCATGGTGGCGCGCGCCTGTAATCCCAGCTACTCAGAAGGCTGAGGCAGGAGAATCGCTTGAACCTGGGAGGCGGAGGTCGCAGTGAGCCGAGATCACACCATTGCACTCCAGCGTGGGCAACAAGAGCGAAACTCCGTCTAAAAAAAAAAAAAAAAAACACACAGCCAGGTTTCACTTTGCCAAAAGGCAGAATCTCTGTCTTTGAGCTTATAGTCCAATTGCAGAAATTAGACATTTAAGAAAAAAAAATTTAGATATACAACAAAGCAGTGTGTACTAGGTGACAAATGGAGTTGAGAAGAAATGCTCTGGTATGAAGGACAGAAGAGACTTGACATGGGCCTTGGGGTCTGGTAGAATATTCTGTATTTAGAGAGAGATGAGAAGATAAGATTGAATGACTTAGATTGAAGAAACTGTCAGAAGCTAGTCTGCAAAGAGTCTGCTTTGGACCCTAGGGGAGAACGCATCCCTATCCTTGGGGGACTCTCAGTGAGGCTGAAATTTTGAGCTCCTGTAATGGTCATGGCAGTGGTTTGCAAACTTTAGTGCATTGGAAGTCTTCTGGAGAACTTGTTAAAAATTCAGACTTTCAGATCCCATTCCTAGTAATTATAATTCAGATTGATGGTGGGGCCTGGGAATCTGCATTCTGGGTAATTCTACTGCAGGTAGTTCACATGTTGAGAAATGCTGCTCTGGGCAGCCTGGGGTCCCAGTAACCAACATGGTGTGTAAGCAGAGTTTGAAAGAGAGGGATGAGCATGCTGCAGTGATAGCAAGCAAGCAGGAGGGGAAAGACGGGAGACCTATACTTTAGCACTTCTGACCAGCACTCCCCTTTCTCCAGCTCCCCGAAGTGCATACCAACAGCTGTGACAACATCTCCCAGTTCTCTGTGGACAGCATCACCAGCCAGGAGAGCAAGGAGCCTGTGTTCATTGCAGCAGGGGACATCCGGTATGGCCAGATCACATTGCCCCTCATTTTTCATCCCTCTTTCAGGAACTTCCCATCTCTTTGTTACCTTCCTCTCCATCTCAATCATCTGTTGTTGGCCTGTGTCTTTCCCTCTTTCATTCTGTCCTTGTTTGGGGCCACCAAACTTGAGGCAATGAAGGTGTAGGTTGAGAAATTACTTGGGCTACCAAAGAAGGAAATTAAATTTTAAAAAGACTCCAAAGGGATGAAAGCACCAGAGGGGCCGGGCATAGTGGCTCACACCTGTAACCCCATCACTTTGGGAGGCCGAGGCGGGCAGATCACGAGGTCAGGAGATCGAGACCATCCTGGCTAACACGGTGAAACTCCGTCTCTATTAAAAATACAAAAAAATTAGCCAGGCGTGGTGGCGGATGCCTGTAGTCCCAGCTACTTGGGAGGCTGAGGCAGGAGAATGACGTGAACCCGGGAGGCGGAGCTTGCAGTGAGCCGAGATCGCACCACTGCACTCCAGCCTGGGCGACAGAACGAGACTCCGTCTCAAAAAAAAAAAAAAAAAAAAACAAGAAAGCACCAGAGGAAGGAGTTTGAGCAGTGTGTCTCAAGGTGGGGTCTCAAAGCGACTGTGTCAGAATCCAGGGGGAGGAAGGAGGACTTGTTGAAAATGCAGATTCTAGGCTGGGTGCGGTGGCTCACGCCTGTAATCCCAACACTTTGGGAGGCTGAGGCGGGTAGATCATAAGGTCAGGAGATCGAGACCATCCTGGCTAACACGATGAAACCCCATCTCTACCAAAAAAATACAAAAAAAAAATTAGCTGGGCGTGGTGGTGGGCGCCTGTAGTCCCAGCTACTCGGGAGGCTGAGGCAGGAGAATGGCGTGGACCCAGGAGGCGGAGCTTGCAGTGAGCCGAGATCTCGCCACTGCACTCCAGCCTGGGAGACACAGCGAGATTCTTATCTCAAAAAAAAAAAAAAAAAGAAAAGAAAAGAAAAATGCAAATTCTAGAGACACACCCATTCTGAATCAGCCTTGGTAGAGGAATATGGAGGGCCTGGTAATCTTAATTTTAACATGATTACAATCAGTTAGCAAAAAGGTGTCATTGGTTATGTTTTCTTCCATGAGTCCCTTTCAGCCTGGGTTCCTATCTTTGTGTGTCCAGAATCCAGGAGACAGTGCAGGAAATGTCAGTATAGACTGGGCATGGGGCTTGGGGGTAGCTTCTCCAAGCAAATGATGTATTTTCTTCCTGCCAGCCGGCGCCTTTCGGAACAGCTGGCTCATACCCCGACAGCCTTCAAACGAGACCCAGAAGATCCTTCTGCAGTTGCTCTCAAAGAGCCCTGGCAGGAGAAAGTACGGTGAGTTGGGTGTGGGTCTCTGAACCCCTCTCAAAGCTCAGAGGCAGTTGTAAGTGCTCACTGCACCAACTTTATTGTCCATCAGCCTCCAAAAAAATCTGTCAGGCTTCCAGGCTGTCTGGGTCCTTGCCCTATGGGGCGTTTGCTTGGGATTTTTTGTGGAAGCCATGTCTCTTGTCCTCACCCTGGCATCAACCTTTGACACCCTTTACTTCTGTCTTCACAGGCGGATCAGAGAGGGCTCCCCCTACGGCCATCTCCCCAATTGGCGGCTCCTGTCAGTCATTGTCAAGTGTGGGGATGACCTTCGGCAAGAGCTTCTGGCCTTTCAGGTGTTGAAGCAACTGCAGGTAAGAGAAGAGAAGGAGAGGCCAGGCACAGTGGCTGTAATCCCAGCACTCTGGGAGGCCGAGGCGGGTGGATTACAAAGTCGGGAGTTCAAGATCAGCCTGGCCAAGATGGTGAAACCCTGTCTCTACTAAAAATACAAAAATTATGGCCGGGTGTGGTGGTTCATGCCTGTAATCCCAGCACTTTGGGAGGCCGAGGCGGGTGGATCACGAGGTCAGGAGATCGAGACCATCCTGGCTAACACGGTGAAACCCTGTCTCCACTAAAAATACAAAAAATTAGCCGGGTGTGGTGGCGGGCGCCTGTAGTCCCAGCTACTCCGGAGGCTGAGGCAGGAGAATGGCGTGAGCCCGGGAGGCGGAGCTTGCAGTGAGCGGAGATTGCACCACTGCACTCCAGCCTGGGCGACAGAACGAGACTCCGTCTCAAAAAAAAAAAAATAAAAATAAAAATACAAAAATTAGCTGGGTGCAGTGATGGGCACCTGTAATCCCAGCTACTTGGGAGGCTGAGGCAGGAGAATAGCTTGAACCCAGGAGGCAGAGGTTGCAGTGAGCTGAGATTGTGCCACTGCAGTCTAGCCTGGGCGACAGAGCAAGACTCTGTCTCAAAAAAAAAGGAGAGAAAGGGAAACTCAGCCCAACTCCAGCCAACCGGAGGTGACTACACAGATTATTCTGCCGGGGACCACCTTCCTGCCAAGGTCTAAAACAAAAGCAGAGTAAAGAGAAGCTAGTGCAACTTTCCCCTGGGAAGAACAGCCATAGGAACAGCTCCACAGCGGCCTCTTTTGGCCCTTTTGTGACCTGCACCTGTCCTGTTCCAAGTCTGAACTTTAGAGTGCTAGGTTTGCCTTTTAGATCAAAACTTCCAAAATGTCCTGGCACCCTGGCATGGGCCTGTAGTCTCAGCTAGTCAGGAGGCTGAGGTGGGAGGATGTCTTGAGCCCAGGAGTTCTGGGCTGCAGTCCACTATGCCAATTGGGTGTCCGCGCTAAGTTCGGCATCAATATGGTGACCTCCTAGGAATAGGGGACCATCAGGTTGCCTAAGGGAGGGGTGAACTGGCCCAGGTCGGAAATGGAGCAGGTCAGAACTCCCGTGCTCATCAGTAACAGGATCGAGACTGTGAATAGCCACTGCACTCCAGCCTGAGCAACATAGCAAGACCCTGTCTCTGAGAAAAATATGCATTTGAAGAAATCAGCGTTTTTTTTTCCTTATTTTATTTTTTTTGAGATGGAGTTCTGCTCTTGTTTCCCAGGCTGGAGTGCAATGGCGCAATCTCGGCTCACCACAACCTCCGCCTCCCAGGTTCAAGCGATTCTCCTGCCTCAGCCTTCCCAAGTAGCTGGGATTATAGGCATGCGCCACCACGCCCGGCTAATTTTGTATTTTTAGTAGAGATAGGGTTTCTCCATGTGAGCCAGGCTGGTCTCGAACTCCCGACCTCAGGTGATCCGCCCACCTCCACCTCCCAAAGTGCTGGAATTACAGGCATGAGCCACCGCTCCTGGCTGAAGAAATCAGCATTTCTAACTGAAGTGAGCCAAAAAGAAAATTTTGCGGAGGCAAAGTTTAGTGACCCACCTTTTCCTAGTGTTAAGTGTGTGCTAAGGCACATGGAAGACCAATTTATTTATACAAGGCACTGAGATTTTTTCAAGAAATAGCTGTCAAATCTCAAGGTGAAGATCTAAATGTGAACAGTTTACTAATGCACTACTGAAGTTTAAATCTGTGGCACAATCATTGTAAACATGGGGTTCATTTCTCTAAATTGATTTCTAATCTGAAATTACTGGAAAACTTCCTTGCCCGTTTTTGCCAAACTCAATTTTTGGTTTTTGGCATATATCCATTATTCAAACTTAATGCCTCTAATTTTAATGCCAACACAATTGGTTGTAATCAAATTTTTAAATAATAATAATTTGGTCCTCCCCCCTTTAAAAAACAACATAAAAACTTCCCAAATTGGTCTGTAGCAGGTAGGTTATAGTGTGCTGAAATATTGATCTTCTGATACCCCTGGGTTGGTCACCTGCAAGCCACTTAATTGTTTAATACTGTTCTTTATACCATATAAATATTTTCATTTTCCAGAGAAGTCTTCTCTGGACCTAAATCCTTTCCTTTTTTCTTTTTTTTCGTCGGAGAGAGTCTCGCTCTGTCGCCCAGGCTGGAGTGCAGTGGTGCAATCTTGGCTCACTGCAACCTCCACCTCCTGGGTTCAAGCGATTCTCCTGCCTTAGCCTCCTGAGTAACTGGGATTACAGGCATACACCACCACGCCTGGCTAATTTCTGTATTTTTAGTAAAGACGAGGTTTCACTCTCTACTGAGGTTGGCCAGGCTGGTCTTGAACTCCTGACCTCAGGTGATCCGCCCTCCTTGGTCTCCCAGAGTGCTGGGATTACAAGCATAAGCCACCGCACCTGGCCTCTTTTTTCTTATTATTTGAACTTACAGCTCCCATTCTCCCTGCTTGAGAGGGGATAGTGAAGTTTCCTGTTCTCCCTGCCTGTCTTGGGCTTTCTACTTAGGTGATACCTTTTCCCACATACCTGAGTGTAGTTTCTGACTTTGTCAGGCCCTAGACTTCCTTTCCAAACTCCCTGGTCCTCACTGGGTTAAGTGAGTCTTACTCATTTGATGGCTTAGAATTCAATGCTACCAAGGAGAGAGGCTGGAGAAAGGGAAGAGTTTTAGCCTTCTTCTCTAGTTTGGAGAAAGATAAGAGTCCTGTATCCTCCATGTCTCCTCACAGTCCATTTGGGAACAGGAGCGAGTGCCCCTTTGGATCAAGCCATACAAGATTCTTGTGATTTCGGCTGATAGTGGCATGATTGAACCAGTGGTCAATGCTGTGTCCATCCATCAGGTGAAGAAACAGTCACAGCTCTCCTTGCTCGATTACTTCCTACAGGAGCACGGCAGTTACACCACTGAGGCATTCCTCAGTGCACAGCGCAATTTTGTGCAAAGTTGTGCTGGGTACTGCTTGGTCTGCTACCTGCTGCAAGTCAAGGACAGGTAGGTGACTTCTGCTGCTCATCCTAACATTTCTCCAGGGTTCTCTCTGTCCCTTCGTGTGTAGTTCTCAATTACTTATTACTGCCCTCCATGGCAAAGATGTGAAAAATGAAACAATGTATTTTAAGCAGAGACAGATGTGTTCCCATGACATTAAGTCAGGAGGCAGACTAATAAGAACTAGGGTAAAAGGGCAAAGAAATGAAGGATTTATGGGAGGACTAAGGGTTTGAGTGAGCAGGGTCTTCAAGGACAAGGGAAAATGATGACAGAGGAAGCTGCAGGGGAGGTACATCCCAGCTAGAAGAAATAATTGAATGTGATTAAAGCACAGACTGCACTGCATGGCAGTGGAGTAGGAGGTGGTACCATGAGGCAGGTAAATTGAGGCCAGTTGAAGAAGGGCCTTCATTGTGAAGCTTAGGTGTTTTATTTTGCAGGCAGAGGAATGACATGATCCAGTCTGTGTTGATTAAATGCCCTGTGGCACTGTGGGTGAAGGTGGATGTAATTGGGTGTTTAGCAACAAAGCAAGAGATAATAGGGCCTGGCACTAAGGGTAGTGGTTAGTGACTGAGAGCAGAAAGGAGAAACATGATGGAGATGAAGTGGAAACTCTCAGCCATGAACTCTCCTCACTTCTTATTCCAGCATATGATTTCCACAGCTTTTAAGTATCTGTTGTTTTGCCCAGAGCTGTCATTTTTTTTCAATATGACATGACCTTGATGAAAACTAACTACACATATAGGTGAGGCACATAATGTACAAAAATAATTACACCATCTAGGCCCTGCCTTCTAAGAGTATCTCCCAACAGTGACCCAGGGTCTCTGCCCTGAATGCTCCTATGAGTTCCAGCTCTAGACCCTCGGCACAGGGCAGCTGTCCTGGAAAGGTGGAAATGCAATGGCCAGTGCTGCTGGGGCTTCCAGTAACATGGTGGCCCATTAAGATCTAGCTAATAATGGCTGGGTGTGGTGGCTCATGCCTATAATCCCAGTACTTTGGGAGGCTGACACGGGTGGATCACCTGAGGTCAGGAGTTTGAAACCAGCCTGGCCAACATGGTGAAACCCCATCTCTACTAAAATACAAAAAGAAAATTAGCTGGGCCTGGTGGCAGGCGCCTAATCCCAGCTATTTGGGAGGCTGAGCAGGAGAATCACTTGAACCCGGGAGGCAGAGGTTGCAGTGGGCCAAGATGGCACCATTGCACTCCAGACTGGACGACAAGGGTGAAATTCCAACTCAAAAAAAAAAAAAAATTTATATATATACATACACATACATACATACATTAGCTGGGCTTGGTGATGCACACCTGTAATCCCAGCTACTCGGGAGGTAAGGCAGGAGAATTGCTTGAACCCAGGAGGTGGAGATTGCAGTGAGCCAAGATCATGCCACAGTACTTTAGTCTGGGCAACAAAGCGAGTCTCAAAAAAAAAAAAAAAAAATCTAGCCAACAAGGCCGAGGCAGGAGGATCGCTTGAGCCCAGGAGTTCGAGACTAGCCTAGGCAACATAGTTAGATCCCGTCTCTACAAAAAATAAAAATTAGCCAAGCATGGTGGTATACAGCTGTGGTCCCAGCTACTTTGGAGGCTGAGGTGGGAGGATCACTTGAGCAGGAGGTTAAGGGCAACAGAGTGAGACCCTGTCTAAACAAAACAAAACAACTAGCTAGCTAGCTAGCTAACAGAGCAGCTTATTAGAAATGTAGCATCTAGGCTGGATGCAGTGGCTCACGCCTGTAATCCCAACACTTTGGGAGCCTGAGGCAGGTGAATCACCTGAGGTCAGTAGTTCAAGACCAGCCTGACCAACATGGCAAAACCCCATATCTACTAAAAATACCAAAAATTCACCAGGCGTGGTGGCGCATGCCTGTAATCCCAGCCACTCAGGAGGCTGAGGCAGGACAATTGCTGGAACCCGGGAGGTGGAGGTTGCAGTGAGATGAGATCGCGCGACTGCACACCAGCCTGGGTGACACTGAGACTCCATCTCAAAAAAAAAAATAAAAATTAGTCTTAGGCTGGGTGTGGTGGCTCACGCCTGTAATCCCAGCACTTTGGGAGGCCGAGGTGGGCAAATCGCCTGAGGTCAGGAGTTTGAGACCAGCATGACCAACACGGTGAAACCCCATCTCTACTAAAAATAAAAAATTAGCTGGGTGTGGTGGCGGGCGCCTGTATTCCCAGCTACTTGGGAGGCTGAGGCAGGAGAATCACTTGAACCCAGGAGGCAGAAGTTGCAGTGAGCCAAGATCGCACCATTGCACACCAGCCTGGGTGACAGAGTGAGACTTCATCTCAAAAAAAAAAAAAAGAAATCTAGCATCTATTAAGTTCTGCCATGGCCTGACATTCTTATATTTAAACCAGATGAAAACCCTGTCAGACACGTGTTTCCTCATGAGGGAAATAACAGTCAGGTAGCTTTTAGACCCTGTGCTCATTCCACCCTGCGCTCATTCCACCCTGCCAGCCCTACAAATGGACCCAGGCTCTGCATTTGAGAGCTGTAGGAGAATGTAATATTTTTGTGTGTGTGTGTGAGACAGAGTCTTGCTCTGTTGTCCAGGCTGGAGTGCAGTGGCGTGATCTCGGCTCACTGTAACCTCTGCCTCCCAGAGTTCAAGTGATTCTCCCACCTCAGCCTCCTGATTAGCTGGGATTACAGGCATGCGCCACCACGCCCAGCTAATTTTTGTATTTTTAGTAGAGACGGGGTTTCACCATCTTGGCCAGGCTGGTCTCAAACTCCTGACCTCAGGTGATCCTCCTGCCTCAGCCTCCCAAAGTGCTGGGATTACAGGCGTGAGCCACTGCATCCGGCCGAGAATGCAATTATTTATAAGGAATTTGATTGCAAGCTTCAGACTATCTCAAAGTGTCAGGATTTTGAACTCAGGGCCCAGGGAGCCTAGAGCTCAGTCCTGGGATTGAGTAAATGGGTGGCAGGGAAGCTGGCACTAGTCAGGCCCCAGGGCTTTCCTTTAGGGAATTAGTATGTTTGGAAGATGAGAGTCCATCCTCTAAAAAAGAAGGGATAGAGGAGGGCAGGTAGCTGATAAGCCGTTCATAGTACCTCAAAAAAGAATAGATATAGTCGAGCCATGAATGGAATCAACCAATGGAAAGAAGTGGCAACAATGAATGAGGCCCCATACTGGAGTCAGGTTTTAGGATCTCTTTAACTGCTTCAAAAGTAGTCCTAAGCAGCTTTCCAGCTGGAGCTAACTCTGGTAGTGAAAAGAGAGGCTATGGCACCTTGGGCAAGTAAATCACTTCCTCTCTCAGGGCCTCTGTTTTCTTCACCTGTAAAATGTGAGGTTGAACCATGACAACTCCTAGAACCATTCTGGCTCACAAGATTGTGCCTGGATTGCTAAATCTTTAGTGTTTTCCCTGAGTGGGGAAGAACTCAGGTTGGACTAGGTTCTCCTTTTGTCCCTCCTCTTTTGGCCAAACCAACCCCAGAGAAGGTGGCCCTCAGACCATCAGCTCTTAGCCTAACAAAGCCTCTATTGACACTGAGTAGGCCAGTTATGCTGAATAGGCCAGGCCTCACATGCTTAGCATGTTAATTGTTCCTTCTGCTACTGGCCATTCATGTGGGAATCACAAAGACCTGGGATTTATCTCCCTTTAACTCTTCTACAGCTGCCCTGTAGTACTGCCTCATCCTGAGACTTTTTAAGTAAGTGATTTAAAACTTACCCCTTGAAGCCCCCACGCTATTTTACATTTCAGCTCCACTCAGCCTGCTTGCTTCTGTTGTTGTTCCCTTCCAGTGAGGCCTCTGATCTGCAGTGGGCTGACAGGAGTTACAAATAACCCACAGGTAAACAGGCTCAGAATAGAGCCTCCCCTGAGTAGAGCGCTTGGCCTCTGTGACAGCTGGCTGGAGCCTCAGAGGCCCTCTTTCCTTGCTTCTGGATTCTCTACTAGATTGGGATAGTTTGGGTGCCAGAAGTGCAATTTCTGGGAAATTGGGAGAATCTTAAACTATTTTTATTAAATTATTAATAGCAATTTCAGACCCCATAGCCTTTGTTAGCAGTTTTCTGATTTCCTTTCTTTCCACTGATAGCTTTAGGTCCTAGGAAACTGGACAGGAGATTGGAGTTACGGGCAGCAGGAAACATGGCAGGGGACCCCCCTCCCTGGTGTCATGTGGCCAGTGTATTGCTGCTTAAGGTTCCAGCCTCAGTCAGACTGACTACTGCCTCTTCCTCTCCTCTATTCCCCCTCCTCAGACACAATGGGAATATCCTTTTGGACGCAGAAGGCCACATCATCCACATCGACTTTGGCTTCATCCTCTCCAGCTCACCCCGAAATCTGGGCTTTGAGACGTCAGCCTTTAAGCTGACCACAGAGTTTGTGGATGTGAGTCAAGAAGGAGAGGTGCCTCTCGGGGGTCATTGTATTCTTTCTCTGTCATGGGAGAGGGAGCTGATGGGCTCCCTGCAAATTAGGGATGAACAGAACAGGCAGTAATTAGGGGTGAGGCAGGAGTTCCTGGGAGCTTCCTGCCCAATAAGGAAGGGGGAAATAACAGGGCCCCAAGAGGAGGAGGAGTTCTGGTAGGCCAGTCAGGACAGGGACCATCCCCGGTGTAAGACCCCTTGTGCACACAACGCTCTCTTCCCTTTCCAGGTGATGGGCGGCCTGGATGGCGACATGTTCAACTACTATAAGATGCTGATGCTGCAAGGGCTGATTGCCGCTCGGAAACACATGGACAAGGTGGTGCAGATCGTGGAGATCATGCAGCAAGGTGGGGCTGGGGTGAGGTCAGGTGCTATAGTGCCTCAGGCTTCCCCTTTAAGTCGGAGCCCTGGAGCATAAGAAAGCTGATCCCACGAGACTCGGTTGAGGGAGGGGGGTTCCCAGAGAGTTTCTAGCTCTGGTCCAGTGCCTTGTTTCTCCTTTAGGACATTCCTCCTGACCCTGGTAAGGCTAAGTCCAGAAGGCTGGGGAAGGGGATAGCAGCACCTGCCTCCTTGGCATCTTTAGGGAGAAAACAGGCCCATTTACAGCCTCCTGGTCCCTTCTCACCTCCCCACCCCTGTCCAGCTCTGAGTTTCTCAGTCTCCTTCCATCTGTCTTCTCCATTCCACTATGACCTCTGATTGCCCTGTCCTCTGCCACCCTTCAGCTCTGAGAAGTATTTCCCCTCTCATCATTATCTCCTTCCACTACAGTCTTGCCATCTACAGTCTTTTGCCCAGGACCCCCTTCTGTCCTCATCCCCCTCCTCAAGGCTCCAGGTGTATACCAGGTCTGAACTGCCAGTCTCCCCCTCCTCCCCATTCCTGCCCCTACCCCACAGGTTGTCGCCGTTGCTCAGGATCATCCCCATCTGGCCCCATGATGACGGTGGCCCAGGTCATCTGTGAGTGTCAGACGTAGCATAGGCAGAGGTCTGCAACCAGATAAGTGCCCAGCTCAGGGCCCACTCCCTCCAGCCTCCTCCCAGCCTGCCCTCTGGGCCCCTCCACCCTTACTGAGGGAGATGTGGTGTTGGTCCCCTTCCTTCCTCTGCCCACATGCCCTCACCTACAGAAGGGCTTAGGCGTGGGGTGATGAGGGGTTCCTGCCGGTTCCTTCTCTCTGCCCAAGCAGAACTGCACCCACATCATCAAGGACCTGAGGTGGGAGGAAAAGGGCACTTCAGATGCCCCAGCTCTGTATTTGCTATGGCTGACACCACTGCCCCTCCCGTCCATCCATGACCCTGAACTCCGACTGCTTCCCCCAGGTTCTCAGCTTCCTTGCTTCCATGGCTCCAGCACCATTCGAAACCTCAAAGAGAGGTTCCACATGAGCATGACTGAGGAGCAGCTGCAGCTGCTGGTGGAGCAGATGGTGGATGGCAGTATGCGGTCTATCACCACCAAACTCTATGACGGCTTCCAGTACCTCACCAACGGCATCATGTGACACGCTCCTCAGCCCAGGAGTGGTGGGGGGTCCAGGGCACCCTCCCTAGAGGGCCCTTGTCTGAGAAACCCCAAACCAGGAAACCCCACCTACCCAACCATCCACCCAAGGGAAATGGAAGGCAAGAAACACGAAGGATCATGTGGTAACTGCGAGAGCTTGCTGAGGGGTGGGAGAGCCAGCTGTGGGGTCCAGACTTGTTGGGGCTTCCCTGCCCCTCCTGGTCTGTGTCAGTATTACCACCAGACTGACTCCAGGACTCACTGCCCTCCAGAAAACAGAGGTGACAAATGTGAGGGACACTGGGGCCTTTCTTCTCCTTGTAGGGGTCTCTCAGAGGTTCTTTCCACAGGCCATCCTCTTATTCCGTTCTGGGGCCCAGGAAGTGGGGAAGAGTAGGTTCTCGGTACTTAGGACTTGATCCTGTGGTTGGCCACTGGCCATGCTGCTGCCCAGCTCTACCCCTCCCAGGGACCTACCCCTCCCAGGGACCGACCCCTGGCCCAAGCTCCCCTTGCTGGCGGGCGCTGCGTGGGCCCTGCACTTGCTGAGGTTCCCCATCATGGGCAAGGAAGGGAATTCCCACAGCCCTCCAGTGTACTGAGGGTACTGGCCTAGCCATGTGGAATTCCCTACCCTGACTCCTTCCCCAAACCCAGGGAAAAGAGCTCTCAATTTTTTATTTTTAATTTTTGTTTGAAATAAAGTCCTTAGTTAGCCACTTGTGTCATTTCCAGGTTTTCTGGGGGAGTGCAGGGGGAGATGGGTGATGAGGTATGAACGGATGCCTCAGTGTCCAAGATACAAAAGGCACTACATAGAAGTTTGCTTTTTCCCTGCCTGTCTTGGTCACTACCACCTCTTCCCTGAGAAGGGCGGGCCTTCCATGTTCTCTCACCCGCTTCAACTCCACATTGTCCAAGTCACAGAAAAAGAGAGGCCTGAATGGAGATTCGACCACAAACAGTTTTAATGGTCTGGTTTTCTCCCTAGTTCCCCAACTGTTTGTTAGTATTATTATTACTACAAGAATAAAGGATTCCTGAGAGCCTGTCCCCTCCTCTCCTGTGGCCCCCTTGACAGGACTCATCCCTACCAACCCCCCACCCCCCCGCCCCGGATTTCTGGGGAAAAAAAGAAGTGAAAGGCACTGCAGGGGTAGGGGGCTTGAGTGCCAGTGAGTTGGGGTTGGGCGGGGGCGGGGGCGGGGGTGGGCACTAGGGCAGGGCCCGGCCTAGAGGAGGAAAGTTCCAGTCCATGCCTGAAGGAATTGTGGAGAGGTGTGTCCATCCATGACACCCCCATCAGTCCTTCCCTGAACCTGTCTAGCAGGCATACCTAAGTCCCATCCTCCCACCCCCAGGCCCACACTGGGGGTTCTGCAGCAGGAGCATAAAATTAATTAGTGTTGGGCTCAGAAAGGAGGAATGGAGGGTCCACTCTACTAGGACTCCAGGGCCAAACCCAAAGGGAGGTTGCAAATAACTAGAATAATCCTCAAATGCTCTTCTTCTTCAGGTTGGAGAGACAGGAATTAACAAAATATTAATGTTAATGAAAACTCCCCAGCCGAGGGATCAGGCAGCAGTAGGGAAAACCAGGCTCCAAGAGGAAGGGGCTGGTCAGTCCCAGGCCTTGGAGACTAGTTGTCCCCAACAGCCCCCTGCCGAGCCCTGATGAACGCCATGCCATGCGTGCGGAAGTGGGTCTTGAGGTTTAGAGGGCTGTCGCAGCTCTTGCCACAGACCTTACAGGTCAGTGGGCCTCCAGAAGCAGGCAGGGGTGAGTCTCCACCATCGGGGTCAGACCTTGATGGAGGGGCCTCTTCCTCCCCATCCCCCAGCCCCAGGGCACTGGCTTTACCCACACCCCGTCTCTTCTTGTGGCTGATGAAACGGTGTCGGCTCAGGGAGCCAGGGGAGGCAAAGCACAAGCCACAGTCGAGGCACTGCTGGGCACCATCCTCCACCCTCAACCCCATCATGAGGCTCTGTTCTGTGGAGCTGCTGCTCCGGTAGCGCAGAGGGCCATGGCCTCCAGATCCAGGTCCGCCCCTGGGGGACTTGGCTGGCGGTGTCGTGCTGTCAGGCTCCTCACTGCAAGAGTCAGAAGACTGGCGGCGTTTCCGACCTGGCCCCTGAAGAAAAGTGGAAGAAACTGGGCCTTACCACCACCCCTACTGTCCCTGGCACCCCCATGCTCGCTTCCTGAGGCCATGGTCTCTGCCTTCCAGTTTCCCACTCAAAGCCCTAGCACAGCAGGCCGGGCCTCTGCCTACCTGGGCTCTGGCACTGGAACCCCGAGCCAAGGTGGTCCCCCGGCCAGGGGACTGGGCCCCAAGCTGCAAGCCGTGCCGGACCTGGACATGTTTCTCTAGGATCAGGCGGCTGCTGAAGGTGCGTTTTCCCTCTGTGCAATACCTGAAATGGGAGAGGACAGGATGGCAGCAGCGGCACAGCCCGAAGGCCAGGGCCCTTGCTTCTGAGGAGGGGGCTGCCAGAGCAGAGGGAGACCCCAACCATCAGGCCACTTAGACACGTCGCAGGTGCACAGGTACTTTGGCATACAGGGAGAGTCACGTGCTGGGCAGGAAGAGGAAGCGGGGAGCAAGACTTACCTGCAGGGGTAAACTCGCTTGATGCCCTCGTGATTAACTCTGACATGGCGCCTCAGGCTGGGGGCGGAGCAGAAGGAGCGCTCACACAGGCGACAGGGGAACTTTTTCACTGACTAGGAGAGCAGGGGTAGATGTCAGAGCCAGGCTCCAGGACCCCGTCCCCACTGTCACACTGGCAGTCCCAATGCTGCCCCCAGCCCATGGTACTCCCCTTGGGGCCCACTCACCTTGCCATGCTCCTTCTTCATGTGGGCCACGTATTCATCACGCTCAGGGAACCAGGAGTGACACAGGCCACAGGTCCAGCCTCCAGGCCCCCCACCCCCACCCTTGAGGCCTTTGCTCCCTAGTTCCCGCCGAGGCCGTTTGGCTGGACGGGGGGGCTCAGGGGAGCTGGGTACTTCCTCCTCTTCTGAAGATGAAGACGACTCCTCAGTAGCAGGGGCTGCCCCTCCCTGAGAAACAGCCAGCTCCTCAGGCTCAGTCTTGGGGGTCAGCAGGGCACCCCCGGCCCCTTTCCCAGCAGTCTCCTCCAAGCGCCCAGACTGATGGGTGTTCTGTGAGAGGAGACAAGGGAGGTTGCTGTTGTGGGGGAGGGCCTGGCTATGCCAAAGCCCCCCACTTCTGAAGTATGTGGCCCCAGCCCCAGGTCAGTACAGCTAAGCACCCATTCCCCATCCCTCTGCTCCTGTACCTTGAGATGTTCCAGCATGGTCCTTTTTTGGGCAAAGAGCAGAGGACAAGACGGGCACTTAAAGACACTGACACGCTGGGGCAGCAAGTGCTGGTCGAAGTGTGAGGAGAGGAGGGGTTTGTGAGTGAAGACTGTGTCGCACATGGCGCACTTGTAGATCAGCCTGAAGTGAGGACAGTGCAGACATCAGGCAGGGTTGGGTGCAGCCCCTCCCCTCCTGCGCCCCACCAGCCCTCCCTGGCCCAGCCCGGCCCTCCCCCGGGCCTCACTTGGCCTGCTGAGTTTGGAAGCTGGGATGCTGGGAGTAGAGGTGGGCATGGGCACTTGGCCCAGACTTGAAGGCCATGGGGCAGATGGGGCACTTGTGGAAAACCTCGCAGTGCGACGTCTGGATGTGGGACTTGATGGAGTTCACACCCCCAAACACCACTGAACAGCTGGGGCACCTAGGGAGGAAGCAGGAGGCCCTGTGGTGAGGTGGGAGGCATCTCCATGCCCACCCCGGGACCATACATTTATTCTCTGGGACTGGGTAGACTACAAGAAGGAAATCAGTAGTGGAGCATGAGCAGGGTGGAGAAAGGAGAGAGGTGCAGAGGCTGTGCCCCAAGGGAGGCTGCCAAGGGAGAGCTGGAGCTCCAGAGGTGGCCCTGCTTCCCCCCATCTCCATGGGGGACGACGGGAAGGCAGGACGTACTATCTCAGGGTTGAGTCTGGCAAAACAACAGGGCTGAGGGATATAGCAGGGAAGATAGGGGATCTTGAAAGGCCATCTGAGGCTGAGGCTAGGACACACGAAACCCTACAGTTCTATGGAGGAAGGGTCCGAGGCACCTGTATCCTACACGGCGAGAGACGTGCAGACAGGCCTCCCGGAGATGGGTCTGAAAATTGGCTTGCAGGAAGTTGCCCCCACACTCAGGACAGACATGGGGGGGTCGATTCTTATGCATGCGCTGGTGGGCGCTGAAGCTGCAGCGATTGGGGAGCATCATGGGGCAGGTTGGGCACACCTGTCGAGTGGGTTAAACAAGGAAAGTCGGTGAGGAGTGTCCTGTCTCCATTACTTCTAACCAAGCCCCCAACGCCTTCCTAGATCCTGTCCCCACAGAAGGGCTGTGAAAGGTGACTCACATTGCTGGTGGCCCCAGGGGCAGGGGGGCCGAGCTGCTGGAAGTGAGCTGCCATGCCAGCCTTGTCCCGGCACTGTTCCTTGCACTCCAGGCAGCGAAAGCATGTGTAAGCAGAGGTGGCCGGGGCAGCAGGCGGCTCTGTGGAGAGCGGCAGGACAGGGGCCTCAGCAGCAACTGTAGTAATGGCAGAGGAGGTGATGGCCCCCTCACCCTTGCCCAAGGCAGGCAAGGCCAGAGGTCCAGAGACAGGTGGGACAGCTACAGGCAGCAGCGGTGTGATGTCCGGCTGCCCCACCATCTGGTCAAGGGCTACAGGCCTCATGACCAAATGTGAGCACTGCATGACGAGCCCCTTGTCCTTGTGTTCACGTGCATGCAGGAGCAGGCTGCACTTGTTGAAGAAGACCAGGCGGCGGGCGCAGTGGTTGCAGGTGACCTCGATGCGCATGCTCCGACGGTCATAGTGCCGTGCCAGGCTCTTCTCCAATGAGAAGGCATCCCCACACTCCAGGCAGCGGTAGCCGGTGGGAGGCAGGGCCAGCCCAGCCTCAGCTGGTGGGCTCAGGTTTGGCCTATAGGCAGGGAGCAGGTTCTTGCTGTTGAGGATCTTGTTGAAGGCCTCCACCAGGCTGGACTGGGTCCGTGATATCACTGTGCCGCCCCCTGTACTTGGCCCAGTAGCTGTCTTTGAAGGTTGCACCATCACCACCGAGGCACCATTCACCTTCTGTCCCCCAGTCCCCAGCCCTGCCCGCCCGTCAGCCTTAGGCAGGGCTTGGGGCACCAGGCCTAGCACGTTCTTAGCAATCATCTTAGGGCTGGTGGCAGTCCCCCCAGGCAGCACCACAGCCTTGCGAGCCACACTGGCTGCCATCAGCATGGCAGTACTGGCGTTCTGGATGGTGGCCACAGGCAGCACAGTGCCTTTCAGCCTTGTACCATCACCCAACTGTACGCTCACCACCTTTGGACCCTCAGAAGTAGGTGTTGCAGGGGACAGCTTCAAGAGGCTAGCCTCAGCCAAGAAGGCCCCCTCAGCCAAGGGGGCAGGTGGATCAGGATCTGAGGGGACCTGAGTTACAGTCCTTGTGATATTCCCGCAGGATGTTTTAATGGTCTTGATCCGCACCTTAAGAGGCCTAGAGGAGCTGGAGGCAGGGGAGTCATTGCTGTCCTCATCTGCAGCCTCGGCCCCACTAGAGGGACTCTGGGGACTTCCTGGGGAAGACTTGTCCACTGGCCCCTCATCATCATCTTCTTCCTTCAAGGGCTGACAGACGGGCACTTTGGGGGAGGCAAGAGGGCTCTGGTGCCCTGGAGACTGCTTGAAGAAGGGCACCCCAGCAACTGGGGGAGGCGAGGCACTGGCAGGGATGTCCGTGGCCTTAGGGCTGGAGCCTGAGCCTTGTTGGGCTAGGACCTGGGGATGATGGGGGCTGCAGCTCTCCTGCTTCAAGGCCCCCAATGGTGGGGAAGAAACAGGTGGCTGCATGCCTGGGCCATTCTCCTGGGCCAGCTCAAAGGAAGAGGGGAAAGGAGGCGGGGTCAGAGCCCCCTCCCGAGTGGGAGAGGGTGCAGAGGGAGGCAGCGGATCTGAGTGGTCCCCTGGCTCAGGGCCAAAATGAGCAAACAGGTCCAAGGGAGTTTTGCCTTCCATGCCTTTTTCTTTCCAGGTGCCCCCACTGGGAGGAGCAGGAGAGTGGGGAGTTCCTGGGAGGGAAGGTTCAGGGCTCCCAAAACCATTCTGCATTCGATGAGGCCCCACAGGCCCTTCTTTAGTTACCCCAGCAGCCTGGGCCCCGTCTCCTGCTGAGCCTCCAGCCAGGGCCTCAGACTGCTCGGGACACACAGTGTTCTTGACAATGACACTGACTACAGAAATGTCTGGCGGTGGCAGGCCATGGTCAGAGGCCTGGGCTGGAACTCCAGGGCCATCCCCAGCAGAGGCTGCTGCTGTGTCTTCAGATTCACTTCCTACACCTGGTTCTGGCTTCCCTGGGCCTCCAGGCCCCTCATTTTCTTCTGGCCCAGAATGGATGGCTTCATTCGCATCAATGTCAGGGATGTCAAAGGCAGCAAGGAGGTCATCAAAATCAGGGGTCTTCATATCCCCCATATCGGCAGATCCCAGACCTGATGAAAACAGGAACGAGGAGGAGAAACTGAGATGTCTAGAAGAGAGATCCTGGAGCTCTTCCCTCAGCATCTCCATATTTATCCTCTCTCAGAACCCACATACACTCCAACTTAGGTACACCTCCGCCACGGCATGAATCCTACAGAGCTGCTAGGTTTGCCAAACCTTAAAATCAGAAGAGGATTAGTGTCCATACCTTGGTGGGCTCCAAAATCCAGAGAAAGCAGGGGAAAAGAGAGTTCTTAGAAATACAGGGAAGGGGCCAGGTGCGGTGGCTCATGCTTGTAATCCCAGCGTTTTGGGAGGCTGAGGCAGATGGATCACTTGAGGTCAGGAGTTTGAGACCAGCTTGGCCAACATGGTGAAACCTTGTCTCTACTAAAAATACAAAAAACTAGACAGGTGTGGTGGCACATGCCTGTAATCGCAGCTACAAAGGAGGCTGAGGCAGGAGAATCGCCTGAACCCATGAGGTTGAGGTTTCAATGAGCCAAGATCACGCCACTGCACTCCAGCCTGGACAGAGCGAGACCCTGTCTCAAAAAAAAGAAATATAGGGGGCTGGGCATGGTGGCTCACGCCTGTAATCCCAGCACTTGGGGAGGCAGAGGCGGGCGGATCACGAGGTCAGGAGATCAAGACCATCCTGGCCAAGATAGTGAAACCCCGTCTCTACTAAAAATACAAAAATTAGCTGGGCATGGCAGCACACACCTGTAGTCCCAGCTACTCGGGAGGCTGAGGCAGAAGAATTGCTTGAACCTGGGAGGTGGAGTTTGCAGTGAGCTGAGATCGTGCCACTGCACTCCCACCTGGGCGACAGAGCAAGACTGTCTCAGAAAAAAAAAAAAAATACAGGGAACAGGGAAGGGTAATAGAGCTCAGTGAGCATTCTGGTGGAAACCATCTCATCCCCTCCGGTCCCCAGCATAGAACCAAATAATCAATACTATTATTAAGGAGGATGATGTACATGATGTTCTAGGTTTAAGGACTCATTCATGTCCGCATGGAATCAATTCATATTCTTCACGGATCTTCTGGGGTCCACACAGATCTGAAAGGCTGCATGTACAAAGGGACAATGCCATAAGCCAAGACTTAAGAAATGATCCTCGTTCAGCTTTATCAGGGGCGTGCAGTACAAGCAAGTTTCTTCAGTGCCTTACTTTTGCTGTTTGAAAGAGGACACAAATGGCCGGGTGTGGTGGCTCACATCTGTAATCCCAGCACTTTGGGAGGCCAATCACTTGGGCCCAGGAGTTCAAGACCACCCTGGGCAACATGGTGAAACTCCCCAGGCATGATGGCACGTGCCTGTAGTCCCAGCTATGCCTCCCAGCTGACATGGGAGGATCCCCTGAGCCCGGGAGGTCGAGGCTGTGATGGGCCATGATCATGCCACTGCACTCCAGCCTGGGTGACAGAGTGATACCGTCTCAAAAAAAAAAAAAAAAAAAAAAAAAAAGACAAGACAAGGCAGAGAGCACAAGTGATCTATGTATCATAGGGTTATTCTGAGCATAATACAAAATTGCTAATGTAAGAATCCCACCAAGAATACGATTTACTATTCCAGATGAACCAAGCAAGGACATGTCAGGTCAAGGAGGAACTGGAAAGGAATAAGCACTGGAACTCTAGGGCTGGGGTCGGAGGCAAGAGTCAGGGGTCATGCAGGATCAAGTCTAGGGCACCTGGGCCATCACTGGCACCTGGAGATCTAGCTTGGTCAGCAGGGAGAAAAGGACTCAAGGAAATTACCCAAGAGACCAAGATGGAAAGAATAAGACACAGGAACAGAAAGAGACAAAGAGAAGAGACAGAGGGGAAAATGGTGATGGCAGCCTGGTCACAAGGGCCCCAGCCTAGACCTCTCCTGTCACAAACACCTGCTGCTCGCTCACTACCTTCCCCAGAGTGCCTGGCCCTCCCCTAGCCAGCCCTTCCTTCTCCACCCCTCCCCATCTTGCTTTCCCGAGGCTAAAACTCCCAAGATACATACACATTTCTCCAGCACAGCTGCCACAGTGGGAAAAAGCCAGGCTCCCTCAACCCTCACCCATCATTTCTGCTCCAAGCTCCTCACCCCATTCCATCCCCTAACTTTAACTCCTCACCCTTTCCATTTTCCTGTGGCAACAGTAGCCCAGGAAGTTTCACCTAGCCTCAACCTGGCCAAGTGCAAAAAATAAAATTAAAAATCCCACAAGAATTATGTGGCACTAATCCAACAAGCAGGCCAGCTCAGAGTTTGTGGGAGACCCAGGTCTGTCCCCTACCAGTGTCTCCCCATGAGTGTTTCTGTATCTACGAAGAAGCAACTAAAGAGTCTATCCCTATCCATTCCCTGCCCAGGTTGCAGGCCATTTCCCAGCCAGCTCTCCCACCTCTCTCCAGTCTTCAGACTGTAACTAGAGACAGTCCCAGCAAGTGGCAGCTGGGATTGCTGGGACCAAGGTTGGGGTGGGGGCAAAACCAAAGGGGGAGTCCTCCCCTCACCCCCACCCTATTCAATTCTGCAGAATCTGGGTTTAAACAAAAACCCTTGTCTCTATAGGCCTGGCTCCTAAGCCTGGTTCCCTCCTGACCAGAGGCCTGAGCTACCTTCCACTCAGGTACTCAGAAAAGTGGACTGCTACAACGAAGACCAGCGGGGACTAGGAGAAAACACCTGCGAACTCACCCGCCCCCACACCCCGCCAGCCACCTCCCTCTTGGGTGCCCCAGTGACTTAGAGGTCATCCGATGGCCACCCACCCAGAGCAGACAGTCGACCAAGCAAGCCGCCAAGCTCAAGCCAAGGAGGATCAGGCCTTCCTGCGACTGCTGAGCCCTGTCTCTAGGGCTCCTATCTCCCCCGCCCCCTTTCCCTCTGTGGTTCCCCAAAAGCCAAAGAGGCTGAACAGGAAGAGGCTGAACAGGCCCAGGTCGAGTGGGGGCTCCACTGACCTTTGCCCGGGCCCAAGGCCTGCAGCGCAGAGGAGGGCGAGGGGCTGGCGGCGATTAGGTTGAGGCCAAGCTGGGTAGCAGACGGAATTAAGTCCCTGCCATCTGCCGAGGGCTGGCGCGGGGAGCAAGTCCTGGGTTTCGAGGAGGGGGCGGGGTGTACACATGAGAAACTACAAGGGAAACTGAGGCGCGCGGCCCTTCTCTCACTCGCACCGGCGTGCGAAGCGAAGGCCGGGCCTCAGCCAGGCCAGGCCCTTTGGGAGCTGCTGCGCAGCACCTGGGGACCCAGGACTACACAGGATAGGGTGGGGAGCTGGAAAGAGGGGAGGAGAGAGGGGACGGTCTCTGCGCGACTCTCAGCTCTCTAGCTGGGGTCCGTCCCAACTCGGACCTCGTCCCCTCCCCTCCGGGCGCAGCGGAGCCTCCTCCCGCCGCGCACTCCCGGAGGCTCGCTAGAGACTGGAGACTGATCGGGGGGTGCGCAGGGGGCCGGGGGCGCAAGCCTGAGTCTTGCCCGGGCCCGGACGCTGACCCGCACCCAGTCGGGGTGCAGGTTCTGCTCCGGCCTGGCCCAGGTCCCCCGCCCCCATCCCCGGGAACGGACACCATTTTAGGTCGCGACATCCCGCAGCCTTCAATCTCCGGGCCGCACTTCGGGTGCCTCTCGAGCCGGGGGCGCCAGGACCTGGGGTTCTCGACCCTCCTGGGGGTTTACCCGGCTACGGACTGTGCTTACAACAGGCCAGGAGTTTCGCCCATCCGCCCCAATGGATGGAGGCGGTGTCTGGGCCTTCCTAGAAGCCGCCCCAGGGGGCGGCGCGGAGAAGGGGGTAGTTGACCAAGTGGGGGAGGGGCGGGGGTATTTACCCGCCCCCCCCAAGGGGGCGGAGCCAAGGGCGGGTATTTACCCCAGGCACGCTTACTTGTTCCGCTCCTGGTGCGGGCCGAGACCCGGCGGTCTCTACCCCGCTCCAGCCGCTGCAGCCACCGCCGCCCTCCCCGCGGCCGCCGCTACTTCCTGCTTCTCTCCGGTTCGGCCTCCCCACTCCCTCTCCTCCCTCCGCGCTCCAGGTCTGGGCTGCCCGTTTTCGCACTCGCCATTGGCCCTTGCCCCCGTCGCTCAGCCCTGTGCCCCTTCCAGCCCCGCACTGGGTTGGCCCTAAATACTGCCGCTCGGAACTAGCCCCGCACAGTCCTCTTATGCTCATTGGGCAAGGGGCCGAGGCCCTCTGAAGATACCTCTCCCCATTGGCTGCGCCGGGGTCCGTCTGCCCCATCTACGAGTCTCGTAAACGATTGGCCTCCGCCACTGTCGCTTAGAAAGAAGCCAGCCTGCTTCCCAGCTTGCCTACTGGAAGGGGGAGCACCCAGGTGCGTCTCCGCCCCTCGCTCCCTACTGGCCGCTCGAAGCTTGAAGCTGCAGTTCACTTTCGCGAATGTAAGGAACCCAGCTTCTGTGTGGTGGGCACTGAGAGCAGAACCGCATTGAGTCGGAGTGGAGCACAGAAGTGTAGGTCCTTTTGCGCTGTTTCAAGCTAAACCCGTGTCACTGATGCCGTACAGAAGTTACAGAATGGGACGCCACCCCAAACATTACGTCATCCGCTGACCATTTCCTTGCGGTCTTCCCACCGTCTAAATCGCCATATAATCTGATGGATGGGGTCCTCGCGCGGTTCAGCTCCTGGGCGACAGCGTAACCCGTCGCTCCTCCCTCTGCGGGAGGGCGTGGACGGGGCACGGGATTTGGAGCATGGAAGGAATCGGGACCTAAAGGTTGGGAAGGGCTCGCGGACCGGAAGCGGGGGAGGTGACGTAGGAGTGCTGGCGTGGCCGGGCCATTTCCAAAGAGGCATTAAAGGAGCAACTGATAGGCGTCCTAAGTATGGGCTGGGGGGGGAACCGCCAGCTCCATTTCCCATTTAAGGGCTCCCCTTTTCCCCGCCCCCAGCATGGAGTGGGGGTGGGGTCAAGGTCGAGTTTTCCCGCGCTTTGTTGCCACGCCCCCTGGAGGCGGGGGAAAGGGAGGAGTCGCTCGGAAAATGAATCTCCTTGATGCTCTAATAGCACTCACTGGCAGAATTCGTATGCAAGCCCAGTGTGCCACCTCGCGCACGCAGCCGCTCGTTAACGGCGTGTTTTTATTTTTTAATTAATTTTTTTGAGGCAGAGCCTCACTCTGCTGCCCAGGCGGGAGCACAGTGGCGCGATCACGGCTGACTGCAGCCTCAACCTCCCAGGCTCCAGTGATCCTCCCGCCTCAGCCTCCTGAGTAGCTGGGACTACAAGTGAGCGCCAAATCGCCCTGCTAACTTTTTTATTTTTTGAAGAGACAGGGTTTTGCCATGTTGCCCAGGCTGGTCTCAAGCAATCCTACAGACGTGAGCCACTACTCCCTACCTTGGCGAAGTTTTTTATTTTTTATTTTTTGAAACGGGGCCTCATTCTGTCGTCCAGACTGGAGTGCAGTGGCGGGATCTCGGCTCACGGCAACCTCCGTCTCCCAGGCTCAAGCAATTCTCCTGCCTCAGCCTTCCGACCAGCTGGGATTACAGGTGTGCGACACTACCCGCCCGGCTAATTTTTGTTTTTTTCTTTTTTTTTTTTTTTTGAGACGGAGTCTCGCTGTGTCGCCCAGGCTGGAGTGCAGTGGCGCGATCTCGGCTCACTGCAAGCTCCGCCTCCCGGGTTCACGCCATTCTCCTGCCTCAGCCTCCCGAGTAGCTGGGACTGCAGGCGCTCTCCACAATGCCCGGCTAATTTTTTGTGTTTTTAGTAGAGACGGGGTTTCACCGTGTTAGCCAGGATAGTCTTGATCTCCTGACCTCGTGATCCGCCCGCCTCGGCCTCCCAAAGTGCTGGGATTACAGGCATGAGCCACCGCGGCCGGCCATTTTTGTATTTTTAGTAGAGACGGGGTTTCACCGCATTGGCCAGGCTGGTCTCGAACTCCTGACCTCAAATCATCCATCCGCCTTGGCCTCCCAAAGTGCTGGGATTACAGATGTGACCCACCGGGCCCGGCAAAGTTTTTAAAAGTGGTTTCGTTACCCTGCCCAGGAGTCCCAGGACACCGGAACCAGGACTCCCCGGCGCACCCGGAGAGTTTCCGAGCTCCTTTGAAGTATGAATCAGAACTTCTGGATGGGAATCCTGGAGCCACCACTTGCCCTATGGTCGCAATGGGCAAGTCGCTCAACCTCCCAGATCCTGTTTTCTCATGAGTAAAACGGGGATTATAATACCCACCTGACAATATTATTTTTGTGAGAATTAAATGAGTTTAGAATGTAAACACGCTTTGTAAAGTAATTGGCAGTTGGGATTAGTGTGCCCTTTCTCCCGGAGCCTTGCATCCTGTGCATTTGCTCAGGTGCTGTTCCTTCTCTGAGCAACTAATTAAAGGTCCCTAACCCGATGTAACCAACCGGCATTCCATTTCCACCTCCTCTTCTGGTCTCCCTATGCGGAATAACAATTACTACTCATATACACATAATATTTTGGGGGGCTCACGCCTGTAATCCCAGCACTTTGAGAAGTCTAGGTGGGTAGCTCACTTGAGCCCTGGAGTTCGAGACTAGCCTGTGCAACACAGCAGGACTCTGCCTCTACAGAATATTTGGAAAAAAAAATTAGCCAGGGGTGTTGGCAGGCACCTGTGATCCCAGCTACTGGGGAGGCTGGGATGGAAGGATCGCTTGAGTCCAGGAAGTCAAAACTACAGTGAGCCGGGATCGCACCACTGCACTCCAACCTGGGAGACAGAGCGAGACTCTGTCTCAAAAAAAAAAAAAAAAAAAACACACACACACAGAAAAACTTTATTTATTTTATTAATAAACATATTATTAATAACTCACGTAGTCCTTACCACAACCATGGAAGGAGGTACTATTTCAGGTACTGGAGATGTAGCAATGAACAAAGCAGACAAGAAGCCCTGTCATGAAACACACATTCCTAAAGAGAAGACAAACAATAAATATTAGAAATGGTAGCTGCCAAGGAATAAAATAGAGTTATCAAGCCATGCAAAGACAGAGGAATCTTCGATGCATATGACTAAGTGAAAGAAGCCAATCTGAAAAGGTTGCATGCTGTATGATTCCAGCTATGTGACATTCTAGAAAAGGCAAAACTATAGAGAGTAAAAAGATCAGTGGTTGGTTGCTGAGGGTTCAGGTGGAGGGAGAGAGATGAATAAATAAATGGAGCACAGGGGACTCTTACAACACTGAAACTATTCTATGTGATACTGTAATAGTGGATACATGTGTCAACAGCCATGGAATGTACAACACAAAGAGTGAACCCTGTGAGCATGGTGGCTCACACATGTAATCCCTGAACTTTGGGAGGCCAAAGCGGGAGGATCAACAAAAAATTTGAAAAATTAGCCGCGTACAGTGGCGCACACCTGTAGTCCCAACTACTCAAGTGGCTGAAGCAGGAGAGTCCCTTGAGCCCAGAAGTTTGAGGCTGCAGTGAGCTACGATCCTGCTGCCGCACTCCAGCCTGGGCAACAAAGTGAGACCCTGTCTCTTAATAATAATGTTTCCATATTGGTTCATCAATTGTAACAAATGTACCACACTAATGCGAGATATTAATAAATAATAGAGTAACCTGAGCAACATGGAGAGACCCCATCTCTACAAAAAAACTTTTTTTTAAGTAGCGTGGCATGGTGGTGCACACCTGTGGTCCCAGCTACTTGGGAGGCTGAGGAGGGAGAATCACCTGAGCCCTGGAGGTCAAGGTTGCAGTGAGCTGTAATCACACCACTACACCCCAGCCTGGGCAAAAGACCAAGACCTTGTCTCAAAATAATAATAATAATAGGGGAAACTGGAGAGAGAGGATGTGTGGGAACTCGCATTTTGTGCTCAATTTTTCTGTAAACCTAAAAATGCTGTAAAAAATAAAGTGTATTAATTTAAAAACAAAAACAATTTAAAAAAAAAAACAAAGCAGGCGGCTGGGCGCAGTGGCTCATGCCTGTAATCCCAGCACTTTGGGAGGCCGAGGCGGGTGGACCATGAGGTCAGGAGATCAAGACCATTCTGGCTAACATGGTGAAACCCTGTCTCTACTAAAAATACAAAAAATTAGCTGGTCATGGTGGCACACGCCTATAGTCCCAGCTACTTGGGAGGCTGAGGCAGGAGAATCGCTTGAACCCGGGAGGCAGAAGTTGCATTGAGCCGAGATCGCACCACCACACTCCAGCCTGGGTGACAGAGCAAGACTCTGTCTCAAAAAAACAAAAACAAAAGCAAGGAAAGATGACAGTAAGTGTGGGAGGGTTGCAATTTTAGGTAGGGTGGACAGTAAAGGCCTTTTCGAGAAGATGGTGGTTAAGTAAAGGTCTGAAAGAGATGAGGGAGTGAGCCATGCAGCTATCTGGGACAAGAACATTCCAGGAGGAAAGAACAAGTACAAGGTCCTCAGGAGGGGAGTGTGTTCCAGAGGGGGTGGGAGGAGTGAATTGGGTCATGGGATGCTTTGGAAGCTATGGGAAGGTCTTTGGCATTTTCTCACGGTGGGTTAGAAAGCCATCAAAAGGAGACAGATGACATGGTGGCCTGACTTAAACGTTTTAAAAGGGTTGAAAGTGGGGTGTGGAAGAAAGAAAAAGACTCCAAAGCATGGAGGCTGAGGAAGTAGAAGCATGATGTTGCCCCATTTCTTGAGCTGAGAAGACTACAGGAGATGCAGGTTTTAGGGGTTAGGTCGGTAGCTCAGTTTTAGTCATGTTGAGGTATTACACATCCAAGTGGAGATACAAATGTAGGTGTCATCAGCTTATAGATAGTATTTAAAACCCAGGTCAGAATGGATGAGATCACCAAGGGAGGATTGAGGCATGGGAAACTCCGAAGTTAAAAGGTCAAGGAGATGAGAAGAACAGCAAAGAGGAAGGAAGGAACCAGGAGAGTGTTGTAACCTTCAAGCTAAATTTAAAAAGTATCTCAAGAAAGAGGAAGAGAGAATGATAGTCAGATGCCACTAAAATATCAAATAGGATGAAACCTGAGAATTGACCAATGGATTAAGGCAAAATGGAGGTCACTGGTGATCATGATGAGGAGAGAGTTGATGGACTGGTGGGGACAAAAGCCTTCATGGAATGGGTTTACAAGAATGGAGGAGGAAAAAAGAAAAGTCACTATAAAACTCTTTCAAAGGAAGGAAGGAGAAAAAAGATGGTAACTAGAGGAAAAAGAGTGACCAAGAGGACTATTTCTTTTAATGGTTACATTTTTTTCTCATCAGGTTCTACTGACCCAAGGAAAGGACTGTTTGAAGATGAAGAAGTTGTATGTCAGTACACGGGTGGGGAGGATCCTGTAGACAGGAAAAACCGAAGTTGTAGCAGAGCGATAGGGAAAGTTTCTGGAGTCATGTTCTTCAGAAGGTGAGCGAGAGGGTCAAGTTCACAAACAGAGGAATTGCCTTACACAGGGGCAGGGACAGTTCCCGAATAATAATTGGGAGAGAAGGCAGAGTGAGCGGGCATGGGTCGAGGGAGCTGGGGAGCTGTGGGATATCTCTTTGTTGCTTCTGTTGTCCAGTGGTATAAGAAACAAGAACATGTGTTGTCAAACTCTTCGTGGGAATAAAAAATCAAGATCACTCTCTAAGAGTGAGGATGAAGAAGAAACTAGGAATTTGAGGAGCAAAAAGATAGGAAATAGGCATTCAGGAGAGAGGAATGGACTAGGAGGGGAGATCAAGAGACTGAGAGGCCAGTGGCCTGGAAGATTCATTTACCTGGATATTTAAATCAGCAGGAATGGGCCGGGTGCAGTGGCTCACTCCTGTAATCCCAGCATTTTGGGAGGCCAAGGCTGGTGGATCACCTGAGATCAGGAGTTCAAGACCAGCCTGACCAACATGGAGAAATTCTGTCTCTACTAAAAATACCAAAATTAGCCAGGCTTAGTGGTGCATGCCTGTAATCCCAGCTACTCGGGAGGCTGAGGTAGGAGAATCGCTTGAACCCGGGAGGCAGAGGTTGTGGTGAGCCAAGATTGTGCCATTGCACTGCAGCCTGGGCAACAAGAGTGACACTCCGATTCAAAAAAAAAAAAAAAAAAGAAAAAATTCTTGAACTTCACATAGAGAGTAGGATTCTATTTATGTATATATATACTATAAATATATAGTATGATTCCATTTATATAAAGTTCAAGCTGGGCGTGGTGGCTCACACCTGTAATCCCAGCACTTTGGGAGGCTGAGACAGGTGGATCACGAGGTCAGAAGTTCAAGACCAGCCTGGCCAAGATCCTGAAACAAAACAAAAATTAGCCAGGCGTGGTGGCACGCACCTGTAATCTCAGCTACTTGGGAGGCTGAGGCAGGAGAATCGCTTGAATCCAGGTGGCAGAAGTTGCAGTGAGCCGAGATCATGCCACTGCACTCCAGCCTGGGCGACAGAGCAAGACTCTGTCTCAAAAAAATAAAATAAAATAAAAATAAATAATAAATAAAGTTCAAGAGCAGGCAAAGTAAATCAATGGTGATAGTAGCAGAATTGTGGTAACCATTGCCTAGGAAAGAGTAAGAGGAATGTGTGTGTGTGCATATATATATATATATATATATATATATAGATAGATAGATAGATAGATATATGCACACACACTCACACACACTTTTTTTTTTTTTTTCTAAACAAGGTCTTGCTCTGTCACCCAGGCTGGAGTACAGTGGTGCAATCACGGCTCACTGCAGCCTCAACTTCCTGGGCTCAAGCGATCCACCCACCTCAGCCTCCCAAGTAGCTGGGGCTACAGATGTGAGCCACTGCGCCTGGCTAGTAGGAGGAATCTTTGGAGATGCACACACAGACACACATACCCCCAGATTAATGGCGCGGCACCTTCTGTTAATAGCACCCACCACCTCTCCTTGTTGCAGCCATCTTCTGCCTCACCCCACTCTGTCCTATACTACTCCTATCCTCATTCTTGATTATTATTATAATTTTTTTTTGAGACTGAGTCTCGCTCTGTCACCCAGGCTGGAGTGCAATGGCACAGTCTCAGCTCACTGCAACCTCCACCTCTCAGGTTCAAGCGATTCTCCTGCCTCAGCCTCCCGAGTAGCTGGGATTACAGGTGCCCACTACCACACCCGGCTAATTTTTTATGTGTGTTTTTAGTAGAGACGGAGTTTACCATACTGGCCAGGCTGGTCTCGAACTCCTGACCTCGTGATCTGCCTACCTCGGCCACCCAAAGTGCCGGGATTACAGGCGTGAGCCACCATGCCTGGCTTTTTTTTTTTGAGAGAGGGTCTCACTCTGCTACCCAGGCTGGAGCGCAGTGGTACAATCTCGGCTTACTGCAGCCTTGAGCTCCTGGGCTCATGTGATCCTCCCACTTCAGCCTCCCGAATAGCTGGGACTACAGGCATGCACCACCACGCCCAGCTAATTTTTTTATTATTGGTAGAGATGAGCCACCACATCTACCCTATTTTTATATTTATTTATTTATTTATTTATTTAGCGATGGAGTTTCACTCTTGTTGCCCACGTTGGAGTGCAATGGTGTGATCTCAGCTCAGTGCAACCTCCGCTTCCCAGGTTCAAGCAATTCTCCTGCCTCAGCCTCCCCAGTAGCTGGGATTACAGGCGCCCGCCACCACGCCTGGCTAATTTTTATATGTTTAGTAGAGACAGTTTCACCATGTTGGCCAGGCTGGTCTCAAACTCCTGACCTCAGATGATCTGCCCGCCTCGGCCTCCCAAAGTGTTGGGATTACAGGCATGAGCCACCGCACGCGGCCTGTTGCTCTTCTTTCACCCTCCCTTCCCTTCCTGCCTCTGGCTTCTCCAGAGTTGGGATGGTGCGAGGAAGGAAAGGAGTCAAGTTTTACATGACAGGGGCTGTCAGAGCCCTCTGTGTGACAGGTTCCTAAATGCTCGCTTTCTCTTGGGTGGAGCATATTTGAAGGTCCCTGGGAGACTTACAGGACCTCTCCACTGCCCTTTTCTCTGGCATCTGCAGTGCACTCTCCAGGTGACCTCTTGCACAGTGCCCTGCACTTTTGCCCCATGGCATCTTACCATTGGGCTCTTCTTGCCCTTCAGGAACTCCTTTTGGGCAGGCTCTATCTGGATGGCTCAAGCTTGGGTACTTTCCATGCTTTCCTCTTGGTCCGTGGGAAACTCCCACATTCTTAGCATGCCAGGTGCTGAAATAAAGTCTACCCACTAGTGCCACCATTCCAGGTCTGGGCTCCAGCCAACCTCCCACATGTCCCATTCAGCAGACATTGGTCTCTATGTTCATTTATATCTCCCAAATACCAGTAAATTCATGTCAGGCTCTTCCAGAACTCTCTCTCAGTGACTTGCTTGTGGTCTTTGACAACACTGGGTCAGGAGTTCTGCCACCCAGGAAACATCCAGCCAAGGACTCAGATGCCCATCTGTTTCTTACAGGCACTCCCAGTCTCTTGGTACTGTCCTACCTTGGTCTGCGTCCTCCCCTCGCCCCTAAAGAACAAGAAACAGGGAATACCAAAGGACTCCAGAGAGATCAGCAATCAACAACAGATCTATCTCCATGAGCGTGCTCTCTTTCCTGTGTCAAATGTGTCATCTCATAGAGGCTGCAGGTGGCAGTGGGGGCCATGGGAGCTGGAGGAATTGTGCTGTCTTTTGCGTGGCTGGAAAAGTATTTTTCTACAATGTGGGGGTACCTGTGTACACTTCTGTCCTTAAGACTCAGCTCAAACTCCAACACAACCAGGAAAACCTTTCAACATCTTGTTACACACAGCCACCTTTAATTTTTTTCTTTTTTTTTTTTAAACTTTTATTATCATTCAAATGATTTGGGCAATTTCATCATATACTACATCCTTTCCAAGGCATGTAACCTGATCATGAAATAGAAAATTAATGCTTCAATAACAATAATTTATACAGAAAATTTTCCTGAAAATAACATGTAGACTATTTTCCTTGGCCTTTGTATTCAAACAAAGATGAAAGAACTAAGCTGTTAAAAAGCTAAGCTGGGCTGGGCGCAGTGGCTCACGTCTGTAATCCTAGCACTTTGGGAGGCCAAGGCGGGCGGATCACGAGGTCAGGAGATGGAGATCATCCTGGCTAACACAGTGAAACCCTGTCTCTACTAAAAATACAAAAAATTAGCCAGGCGTGGTGGCGGCCACCTGTAGTCCCAGCTACTCGGGAGGCTGAGGCAGGAGAATGGCATTGTGTCCGGAATTGGTGGGTTCTTGGTCTCACTGACTTCAAGAATGAAGCCGCAGACCTTCGCGGTGAGTGTTACAGTTCTTAAAGTCAGCGTGTCCAGAGTTTGTTCCTTCTGATGTTCGGATGTGTTTGGAGTTTCTTCCTTCTGGTGGGTTCGTGGTCTTGGGGGCTCAGGAGTGAGGCCACGGACCTTCGCGGTGAGTGTTACAGCTCTTAAGGCGGCGCATCTGGAGTTGTTCGTTCCTCCCGGTGGGTTCGTGGTCTCGCTGGCTTCAGGAGTGAAGCTGCAGACCTTCGTGGTGAGTGTTACACCTCATAAAGGCAGTGTGGACCCAAAGAGTGAGCAGCAGCAAGATTTATTGCAAAGAGCGAAAGAACAAAGCTTCTACAGTAGGGGACCCAAGCGGGTTGCCCGCCACCTTTAATTTTCACGACCACCTTGTGAGTTAGAGGAATTAGGTAATTGATCTTAAAGAAGTAAAGAGCTTCTGGTTATATGTGGTGAATTGAGCTTATCTCTGCTCACCCTAGAAATCACGTCAAAATAAGAGTAAAGAAGTGAAAAAGGGCAGGCATGGTGGCACGTGCCTGTAGTCCCAGCTACTGGGGAGGCTAAGGTAGGAGGATCACCTGAGCCTGGGAGGCCAAGACTGCAGTGAGCCATGATGGCCCAACTGCGCTGCAGCCTGGGCAAAAAAGTGACCCTGTCTGAAAAATAAAAAATAGCCGGGCGCGGTGGCTCATGCCTGTAATCCCAGCACTTTGGGAGGCCGAGGCGGGTGGATCATGAGGTCAGGAGATCGAGACCATCCTGGCTAACACAGTGAAACCCCGTCTCTACTAAAAATACAAAAAATTAGCCAGGCGTGGTGGCAGGCGCCTGTAGTCCCAGCTACTCAAGAGGCTGAGGCAGGAGAATAGCGTGAACCCGGGAGGCGGAGCTTGCAGTGAGCCGAGATCGTACCACTGCACTCCAGCCTGGGTGACAGAGCGAGACTCCGTCTCAAAAATAAATAAATAAACAAATAAATAAATAAATAATAAGACATGAAAAAGCACAAGGACAAAGAGAAGACTACAGCAAATGAGAGACTGATTTAGTTTGATACAGATGTGCAGATAACTGACACAGGATTTCTGCACAGGATGTGCAGAAAGCCAGATGTGCAGGATAACTGACTTAAGTTTGGGGATTTTTCCATTCTACTCATAATGTAGGGAGTGAAGAGCCAACAAAGAACAAAATAATCAGTCTTAGATCCCAAAAAGGCTCAAAAACAGAAAAGTCCTTGGGCCTCTGAAAGCAGGGGAAGGAAGATTGGAAAATTCCTTGTTGGAGATAATGACTGACTCAGGAGAAGAAGCCAACAGGAACTCAAATGCTGCTCCCTCCCTCCTTACTCCCAGGGAGGCCCACATATGACGGTCTCTGCTCACCCCACCCATGGAGTTTCCAGGCAGCTCTCTCTTAAGTGGGGACAGACAGCCAAGGATCATCTGAGAGTTGAAGGCAGCCTCCAACATAAAAGAAGCCAAAAGAGGAGGAGCCCAGAGAGTAACAGATAATGAAGGGACCGGAAGAAAATATCCTAAAACTGCAATGACTATACTTAGAAATATAAGATTGGCTGGGCGTGGTGGTTCACACCTGTAATCCCAGCACTTTGGGAGGTTGAGGCAGGTAGATCATGAGGACAGGAGTTCAAGACCAACTTGGCCAAGATGGTGAAACCCTGTCTATACTAAAAATACAAAAATTAGCTGGGCGTGGTGGCACATGCCTGTAGTCCCAGCTACTCGGGAGGCTGAGGCAGGAGAATTGCTTGAACCCCGGAGGCAGAGGTTGCAGTAAGCTGAGATCATGCCACTGCACTCCAGCCTGGGTGACAGAAAAAGACTCTGTATCAAAAAAAAAAAAAAAAAAAAAGAAAAGAAATAGAAGATATTGCACCCATGATACAAAAACAGGATGCTTTTTTTGTTTGTTTTTTGGGACAGTCTTGCTCTGTTGCCCAGGCTAGAGTACAGTAACGTGATCACTGCTCATTGCAGCCTGGACCCCTTAGCTCAAGTGATACTCCCACCTCAGCCTCATGAGTAGCTAGAACTATAGGTGCACTGCACCACAGCCAGCTAACTTTTTTTGTTTTTTTGTTTTTAATTAAGAAAATGTGGGGGAATGGGGTCTTGCCATGTTCCCCAGACTGGTCTTGAACTCCTGGGCTCAAGTTATCCTCCCGCCTTGGCCTCCCAAAGTGCTGGGATTACAAGCATGAGCTATCACACCCAGCCCTGGTTTCTTAATAATACACCCTGAAAACTAGAATACAGGCCATGGGCAAGGTGGCTCATGCCTGTAATCTCAGCACTTTGGGAGGCCGAGGTGGGCAGATCACTTAGGGTCAGGAGTTCCAGACCAGCCTGGGCAACGTGGTGAAACACCATCTCTACAAAAAATACAAAAACCACCATCTCTACAAAAAATACAAAAACCAGATGGGTGTTGTGGCATGCACCTGTAGTCCTAGACAGTTGAGATAGTGAGGCAAGAGGACTGCTTGAGCCTCAGAGGTAGCGGCGGCAGTCAGCCTGAGCCGTGTTCCTGCCACTGCATTGCAGCCTGGGTGACAAAGTGAGACCCTGTCTCAACACCAACAAGCATTCCTCTGGATGCTGAAACATTGAGAAAAAGAAAAAACAAACAAGAAGAAAACTGAAAACAATGAGGCAATGCCTTCAAAATTCTAAAGAAACATTATTTTAAATGTAGAATTCTATACTCTGCCAAGATGTTTTCAGACACACAAAAAATAAACTTGCTGTGCTCCTTTCTCAGAAAGCTACTGGATGACAAATTCTACTAAAACAGAGGATGAAACAAAGGAAAACCAAAATATGGCATCCAGGAAATAAGTGAGTCCCAGGGTGAAGGTGCAGGGAAGGGCCAGAACTAAAACTTTGCAGCAGGTCGAGGACAACCAATCCACATTGGAGCAAGCTCAGGAGGCCATCACGTGAGGTTAACAGGTTACCTACTGTATTTGACCAATGAGAGGAGGTTTCTATTTCTCATGGTAAAAGAATAAAAACAAAAACAATGGGCCGGGCGTGGTGGCTCAAGCCTGTAATCCCAGCACTTTGGGAGGTGGTGGCTCAAGCCTGTAATCCCAGCACTTTGGGAGGCCGAGGCGGGCGGATCACAAGGTCAGATCCAGACCATCCTGGCTAACACGGTGAAACCCCATCTCTACTAAAAATCCAAAAAATTAGCCGGGCGTGGTGGCGGGCGCCTGTAGTCCCAGCTACTCGGGAGGCTGAGGCAGGAGAATGGCGTGAACCCGGGAGGCGGAGCTTGCAGTGAGCCAAGATCATGCCACTGCACTCCAGCCTGGGTGACAGAGCAAGACTCCGTCTCAAAAAAAAAAAAAAAAAAAAAAATGCTAGGTGTGGTGGTTCAGGCCTATAATTCCAGCACTTTGGGAGGCTGAGGTGGGCAGATTGCTTGAGCTCACGACCAGTCTAGGTAACCTGGCGAAACCCCGTCTCTACAAAAAAAATATAAAAATTAGTCAGGCGTTGTAATCCCAGCACTTCAGGAGGCCGAGGCAGGTAGATCACGAGGTCAGGAGTTCAAGACCAGCCTGGCCAAGATGATGAAACCGTCTCTACCAAAAATAAAAAAATTAGACGGGTGTGGTGGCACATGCCTGTAATCCCAGCTACTTGGGAGGCTAAGGCAGGAGAATCGCTTGAACCCAGGAGGCGGAGGTTGCAGTGAGCAGAGATCGTGCCATTGCACTCTAGCCTGGGCAACAAGAGCGAAACTCTGCCTCGAAAACAAAAAAAAAACTAAATTATAATATTCTATAGTAAACAGTATAGATAATGGCTAAAATGGAAAAATTAAGAAATAGCCATATAAGTTCATTCTTTGGGAATAAGGAAGTAAGCACAGGAAGAGCTAGCTAAAGAAGTTAAATTGATTACTTCTGGGAGTAGACCTCAAGAGTGCAGAGGGGTAGGGCAGGACCCTACCAATTTTTATTACAAATCTAACTTTTAAAACTATATAGGCCAGGCACGGTGGCTCACACCTATAATCCCAGCACTTTGGGAGGCCGAGGTGGGAGGATCACTTGAGCCCAGGAGTTCAAGACCAGCCTGGGAAACATAGACCGCATATCTATAAAAAAAATTAAAAATTAGCCAGGCATGGTGGTACATACCTATAGTCCCAGCTACTTGCGAGGCTGAGGCATGAGAACTGCTTGAGCCTGGGGGGCAGAGGTTGCAGTGAGCCAAGACAGTGCCACTGCACTCCAGCCTGTGCGACAGACTCCATCTCAAAAAAAAAAAAAAAAAATTAGCTGGGCGTGGTAGTGTGTGCCTTAGTCCCAGCTATGCAGGAGGCTGAGGCAGGAGGATCCTTTAGGCTAGGAGGTTGAGGCTACAGTGAGCTATGATCACACCACTGCACCCCAGCCTGGGTGACAGAGCACAGACTTTGTTTAAAATAAATAAAAATATATATATATATTTTTTAATTTTTTATTTTTTGAGAGTCTCCCTCTGTCGCCCAGGCTGGAATGCAGTGGCATGATCTCAGCTCACTGCAACCTCCGCCTCCTGGGTTCAAGCAATTCTCCTGCCTCAGCCTCCTGAGTAGCTGGAATTACAGGCGTGTGCCACCACACCCGGCTAATTTTTTTTCTATTTTTAGTAGAGACGGGGTTTCACCATATTGGTCAGGCTGGTCTCAAACTCCTGACCTTGTGATCTGCCCACCTCGGCCTCCCAAAGTGCTGGGATTACAGGTGTGAGCCACCGCACCTGGCTGAAAAAAAAAAAAACTTTAAAAAAAATTATAAAGGGAATAGATGTTCCTTGTAAAATAATATTTAAACCGTATAATATAAAGTCTCAAGGTAAGGTTACTTGTAGAGTGGATTTTATGCATGTACACTGAGAGGAAAACGCCAGCAGGGTGTTTAGGACAGCAGAGACTCAGGAGACAGCATAACTGATGCAGGGAGGTGCTGGCAGGAGGGAGGGAGCCAGAACTTCCTGCCTCACGGCCTTGACTCTCTGTAAAGATGTCAGGCTTCTGTTGAGAGTGATCGGGGAGTAGAGGAAGGTATAGTAGTTGCTACAAGGAACTGACTTGCAGGGCTGAGCAGAGTCACTGAAGGCAGCTGACCAATGGGAAACTACTGTTTGGTGGTGATTCAACTCCTGGCGAGACAGGTCTGAGACAAGTTTGGATTTTGATCCTGGTTCTGCCTCTTCATTAGCTAAATATCCTTGGCCAAATAACCTAAACTTGCTGAACCTCAGAAGTCCACATGAAAAAACTGAAAAGGTTGAGTATCATTCCATGCTTGGGGTTCAGCTGTGTGAGTGCAGAGTAAAAGTTATTGGCAAGAAGGTGGTTTAAATAAGGTCTTCGTTCATTAGAAATGGAAACCTGGCTCCTGGGCCTGTAATCCCAGCACGTTAGGAGGCCCAGACAGGTGGAAACAGAGACATAGAGAACTCAACAAGGAAGGTTCTCCTTCAGGCCAGGGACTCCTCCCCTCTCTCACACTCAAAACCATCAATATTTGAAGCAAAAAAGGAAAAAAAGTTGCCAAGCTTTATTTAGGCTGTAATGGTTACAGATAACACACATCTAACCCTATATTCCGTGCTTCCCATGCAGTCCCCTAAGCAGACTCAGCTACCCTTTCCCTCCAGTCTCACTTCTTGTCTTCCTCCTTCTTGTCCTTCTTGCCGTCCTTGGTGGCCTGGGAGGCCAGGGAGCCCATAGCATTTCGAATGGCTTCATTGTTGGGATCCACACCTGGGAGGTTCTCTAGGACACTCTGAAGGAACTCGGGGTCCTGCATCACGTCGTAATCATCCTCCTCCTGCAAACAGGCAGTGTGAGCTCAAGGGAGGGTATGGAGCGGCAGGAAGTAAGCAGGTGTTAAGGACAGGAGCATGCCGCTGCCAGAGGCCCCCTGCCTTCTGACTGTGTGGGGATCTGGGCACCTCTGGTCGACGTAAGGAAAGGACAAGTCAGCAAAATCCTTTATACAGCATGAATGCAGTTATTACTAACCAAATAGAGGGGCCTGCTGAGAACTCTGTTAATTGAGCTCTGAGGAGAAAAACAGATGCCATCACATTGAGGTTTCCTGCTCTCAAGACACCCAGTTCTCCTTTTTCTTTTTCCCAGACCCGCTTTTTTCCCTCCTGGGAAGACATCCTAGAGAACTGCCCAGGCTGCTCCCACCAGCAAGAAAGGAAAATTACAGAACAAGAGGACATTTCTCCAACTCTGACCATTAGCATTGCTACCTTAGCAAGGTTTACATGTAAGAAATGCAAATCCATGTGTTTCCCTCTGCTCCTCAAAGGACTTAGCTATGGTAGAAATACTCCCAGCCCCAGAGGGATGAGGATCTAAATTCAAGGACTTTAAACCTGATGGGGGCAGGGTTGGGTCTCACCTTGGCTGGCTCAGATGTGTCCATAGCTGAGCTGGCATCAATGTCTGCTGATTCCGCCTGGCCAAACTCTGAGGAAGAGAGGTCAGTCTGTTCAGTTACACTTCCTCACCCCAACCTCTGCCTAGGCACCACCCAGGCTCTGGCTCACCTGCTCCCTGCAGGGACATCTGCATGGCATAAGCAATCTGCTCTTCCTCAGTCATACTGCTTAGGTCAGGAAGCCCAGTGCGGCCAAACTCTTGCTGGCTGATGGTCATCTTCAGCAGGGCATCGTCTGAGTCTGGGAAAAGGAAAAGAGGAGCAGGGTAGAATTGGTGCCATATCCACACAGGCCAGCCTCCAAGGCCATTCCTAGCCCAGCCCTCCCACATATTCCTACCCTGTCAGACCTCCACACTCTCCCTGCAGTGCCTACACCCAGCTTTCAATGTTTAGCATCCCGCAGTCCCAGGACTTCGGATTCCACCTCTTTCACCTTCAGTCCCAGTCGTAGCAATCCCGGCCTCAGCAGCAGAAGCTGCAGCTGCCCGCCGGGCCTCCTCCTCCTGCCGCTGCCGCTGCTCTTCCATAGATACACGAAGGGCCTGGTGAAGGGCAGGGCATAATCAGGGCTCCCCTGCCCTCACTCCTACAGGGAGCTGGGAAAGTCAGTTGGGGTGTGGGAAAGGAACATAAAGGGGCAGCTTCTGGTTTATCACACAGAGAAGAAGCTGGAGGGATAAGCAGTGGTACGGGATTAAAAAGTAAGGACTTGGGAGAAGCCTCGGTTTTCATCAGAAGTGAACAAGAAAGCATCTGACACTGGTGCCCCTAGAGATCAGACAGCATTATAGGGAAGAGGCGGCAAAAGGAGGTCTTGGAAAATGAGTGATTGGTAGTGTCTAGGACTATCCAGCCTGATAGAAGCTCTGTGATGTGTGTGCCAGAAGAGAACAAAGAGGGACCTTTGGACTCTACCTGGGGTCAACATTTGCTCACCAAGGCCAGCTCAGGATCAGCACTGGGATCTACTCCAAATTCAAAGTCACTGGCACCAAGACCCAGCATGGCACCACCTTCACCAGCCAAAATCGGAGAACTGATGAGAGCATCAGCCAAACTGGGCCCAGGAGGCACTGTCACCAGATGAGAACCGGTTCCATCTTTGCCATTCAACGTGTTTACAAAGGCTGTCAGCTTTTCTGTGTTCACCTCCTGGGGAGGAAAGAACACATGATGCCCTTCTTCAGGCCTTGCTCCCTGTTCTTTCCCATTTCTGCACTACTCTGCCACAGTACCCGCACTCCTCAGGGTTAAGGACCATTCTGTTTATGACCAAATTAAGTCAATGCCCTCCAATCAGTCCCTACTCACCTCTTCCCCAAAATTGATAATGTCAACATTTACTTTCTCCTTCTTGAGGCGTTTAGCCAGTTTCACCAGCTGGGAAGAAGGGGAGAAAAATCAAGAAATCTGTTCCATACTCGAGGGGGGGAAAGGACCCGCCGCATAAAAGCATACAGAAATCTATTGACCTCCCCAAGGTCCTCCAACAGAATCACTGAATTCTCCACATTCACCTTTCCCCAAAGTGATGAGCCTGATGCCTCTGCCAGGTTCTCCTGAGGGCTGGAAGACCTCAGTCCCAAACATGGGCTCCCCACATTCCCCAGCTGCCACTTGGACTCACATCCTTCTCATTGTCCTCCACTGGGCTTCCCACAAAGGCAATGATGCGCATCTTGTGATTCTTGCCTTGTCGGTGCTTCAGAGCCAGCTTGTAAAGGGAGAGGAAGTTCTCAGAGTTAACCAGAGGAATCACTCAGCTCTTTCCTCTGTCACTCGGTTCCCTTTTTCTTACAGTTTCTTTGTACCTGAAGTACACCATCTACCATCACGTTCACACAAGATTTAACACCCCCACCTCCTCCCTTTTTGCTATGACTCTCTGTGCATAAAGAAGGGAGGTTAATTCTCTTTCTCTCTTTTTTTTTTTTTGAGATGGAGTCTCGCTCTGTCGCCCAGTCTGGAGTGCAGTGGCGTGATCTCAGTTCACTGCAACCTCCACCTCCCGGGTTCCAGCGATTATCCTGCCTCAGCCTTCCTAGTACTGGCTAATTTTTATATTTTCAGTAGAGATGGGGTTTCACCACGTTGGCCAGATTGGTCTCGAACTCGTGACGTCAGGTGATCTGCCCGTGTTAGCCTCCCAAAGTGCTGGGATTACAGGTGTGAGCCACCGCGCCCGGCCTTTTTTTTTTTTTTTTTAGAGAAACAGGGTCTCCCTATGTGCCCAGGCTGGTCTTGAACTGCTAGCCTTCAGCAATCCTCCTCCCCTGGCCTCCCAAAGTGATGGGATTACAGGCATGAACTACCACGCCCAGCCTTAATTCTCAATTCTAGGGATTTTTCCCTTCACAACCCTCAACTACCCTGGGATTCATCCCCCATATCCTTTCTACTCCAAGTTAGCTTTCTCTTGCTCTGGTCCTAGCTCAGGATTCCAGGGGAGAAATGAGTATGATGGAGGCAGGACCTCAGAGCAGGGAGGAAAGGTCCAGGGAACCCAGTAGGACTCACATGGGCCACGCGGATGCCCGTGCAGAAGGTGATCTTGCCCTTGGGTTGGACAGTATGTAGCTTGGACAGGATACGGCCAGTGTCTGGGGTGAGTGTGGTCAGCACTTCACAGTCACTGGGATGTAGGAAAAGCATTTCAGTGAATTCAGGTCAGCACAAGTACCTCTAAACTGTGTCTAACTTTTATTTATTTATTTTTTAGACGGAGTCTCACTCTGTCACCCAGGCTGGAGTGCGTGGCGTGATCTCGGGTCACTGCAAGCTCCGCCTCCCGGGTTCACGCCATTCTCCTGCCTCAGACTCCCAAGTAGCTGGGACTACGGGCACCCACTACCACGCCTGGCTAATTTTTTGTATTTTTTTTAGTAGAGACGGGGTTTCACTGTGTTAGCCAGGATGGTCTCGATCTCCTGACCTCGTAATCCGCCCACCTTGGCCTTCCAAAGTGCTGGGATTACAGGCGTGAGCCACCGCACCTGGCCTGTGTCTGACTTTTCTTTAAAGACCTGGATAATAACCATTATTTCTATTCTAATTGTAATCTCTATTCTTCTTTTTTATTTTTTGAGACAGAGTCTCGCTCTGTCACCCAGGCTGGCGTGCAGTGGCGAATCTCAGCTCACTGCAACCTCCGCCTCCCGGGTTCAAGTAATTCTCGTGCATCAGCCTCCTGAGTAGCTGGGATTACAGATCTACACCACCACGCCCGGCTAATTTTTGTATTTTTAGTAGAGACGGGGTTTTGCCATGTTGGTCAGGCTGGTCTCGAAATCCTGACCTCAAGTGATCCGTCTGCCTTGGCCTCCCAGAATGCAGGGATTACAGGCGTGAGCCACTGTGCTTGGCCTCTATTCTTCTCAATCAAACATCTAGTATTTAATGGAAACCAAGCACAGAAATAATTAAGTGGCTGGCTTTGTAAGAAAGCTGCCCTCTACTTCCAAATATTTTCCCCTAACTCCTTTTAAAGGCTCACAGGGCCCTGAGAATCCACCAAAATAACGATGCTAATTTGTATCTCTCCTGTCCTCTCCACCTCCAGACCCATTCTCCTAGCTAACAGTATGTACACTGGAGTGGGAGGCTACTCATTTAAGAATTATCAGTTCCTAAAACAAAACACTTTCAGGGTAAAAGGATGAGTGATATATGCCCAGGGGCTCTGATCCAAAAATTACTTTTTTCTTTTTTTTTGAAATGGAGTCTCATTCTGTCGCCCAAGCTGGTGTGCAGTGGTGTGATCTTGGCTCACTGCAACCTCCGCCTCCCGAGTTCAAGCGATTCTCCTGCCTCAGCCTCCTGAGTAGCTGGTATTACAGGTAGCCACCACCATGCCTGGCTAATTTTTGTATTTTTAGTAGAGACAGGGTTTTGTCCTGTTGCCCAGGCTGGTCTCAAACTCTTGGGATTACAGACATGAGCCACTGTGCCCAGCCCAAAATCACTTTTCACTGACTTTAAAATATATTATGAAATTTCACCCCCTACCCTAGCCCTGCCCAACAAACAATAAAAAGAAACAGAAATTTCACCCCAGGAGATTTAGCTTCCGTACTACATTAAATACAGGTTAATACAAAAAACAAGTTGCTATTGACATTTACACTAAATAGTGCAGAAGGCAGTCTAGGAAGGTGATGGGCAAAAGCAGCTTCATGGAATCTAAAGAAGAGTAGCATGTAACAACCACCCACCTACTGAGTCCCCTCCTCCTCTGTCCCCCATACTTAGCCAGTGTGATAAGGCCCACGTTGTTCTCAGGGTTGCTGCGGGTCTTTGAATGACAAACTATGTTGACAGCATCCTGCTGGGCCTGCAGCCTGGTGGGTAAGAAGTCTCCATTCCGCATATACTCACTGTTGTCCACACTGTCAGATTAGGGTTGAAGGACAAGAGAGAAGAAATGTAGAAGTTTTCCAAAACCTTCTCTCCAGTTCCAGAGGCCCCCTATAGCAGCAGTCTTCATAGCATCACCTGTAGCTTTTTTTCTTTTTTAAATATACAGATGATCAAGCCTTAGCCCACATTTATTGACTCAGAATAACCAATGAGGAATTTTTTTTTTTTTTTTTTTGAGATAGGGTCTTGCTCTGTCACTCAGGCTGGAGTAGAGTGGTGCACTAATGGCTCACTGCAGCTTCCACCTCCTGGGCTCAAGTGATCCTCTCACCTCAGCCTCCCAAGTAGCTGGGACTATAGGTGCAAGCCACCACGCAGCTACCTTTTAAATTTTTTTTGTAGAGACAGGGATCTAGCTATGTTGCCCAAGCTGGTCTTGAACTTCTGAGCTCAAGAGATCCTCCTGCCTCCACCTCCCCAAGTGCTGGGATAACAGGTGTGAGCCACCTGGTGCCCAGCCGAAAAAATTTTTAAATCCTTACAAAATGATTCTGATGAGCACCAAAGGTGGTGATCTACTGATGAACCACAGCAATTTCTTACAAGCTGCACTTAAGTGCTACTAAGCTTTGTCATGGATAAATACTCTAAGTCTGCCATTAAATGGCAGTAATCCAAATATAGGAAATGAAGAAGGTAACTTAAAAATATCTATAGCTGGGCGCGGTGGCTCATGTCTGTAATCCCAGCACTTTGGGAGGCCGAGGCAGGTGGATCACCTGAGGTCAGGAGTTCAAGACCAGCCTGACCAACATGGAGAAACCCTGTCTCTACTAAAAGTAGAAAATTAGCTGGGCGTGGTGGCACATGCCTGTAATCCCAGCTACTCGGGAGGCTGAGGCAGAAGAATCGCCTGAACCCAGGAGACGGAGGTTGTGGTGATCACACCATTGTACTCCAGCCTGGGCAACAAGAGCAAAACTTCGTCTCAAAAAAAAAAAAAAAAAAAGAAAAAGAAAAAAAAAATCTATAAAATAGGCTGGGCACAGTGACTTATGCCTCCCAAGTGCATCCCAGCACTTTGGGAGGTGGAGGCGGGTGTATCACCTGAAGTCAGGAGTTAGAGACCAGTGTTGGCTAACATTGTGAAACCCCGTCTCTACTAAAAATACAATAATTAGCCAGGTATGGTGGCGCACACTTGTAGTCCTAGCTACTCAGGAGGTTGAGGCAGGAGAATTGCTTGAACCCGGGAGGCCGAGGTTGCAGTGAGTCAAGATCACGCCACTGCACTCCAGCCTGGGTGACAGAGTGAGACTCCATCAAAAAAAAAAAAAAAAATCTATAAAATAGGGCCAGGCATGGTGGCTCACAACTGTAATCCCAGCACTTTGGGGGGCCGAGGTGGGCAGATCTCTTGAGCTCAGGAGTTTGAGACCAGCCTGGCAAACATGGTGAAACCCTATCTCTACTAAAAAATATAAAAGTTAGCCGGGCGTGGTGGCAGGCACCTGTAATCCCAGCTATTCGGGTGGCTGAGGCAGGAGAATCACCTGAACCTGAGAGGTGGAGGCTGCATTGAGCCAAGATCGTGCCACTGCCTCAAAAAAAAGAGGTCTATAAAATAACACACACTTGGCAGCACTGAGTGCAGAAAAGTACAATGCAATCATCTCATTAAATGCTTAACAGCTTTGACAGCTGAACTGAACGGTAAAAATGAGGTTTTGTGGATCTGAAGTCTCACCTCTTAGATCCCTGCAACTTTTCATGATCTAAAAGTATCCAGCTAATGTGAAATATAATCTCGAGTTTCCCAAAGACCAGAAGAAGGCAGGTAAGTGATGCAGTTATATAAGCTCCTGTAAGGATCAATTCTTGATGACCTCTGAGGTCCCTGAGAGCTCTAATAGTTAAGGTTCTACCTGTGCTAATGGACGGAAGCAGTGCCTTAGATGAGATACCTCATTTCTTTCTTTTTTTTTTTTTTGAGACAGAGTTTCGCTCTTGTTGCCCAGGCTGGAGTGCAATGGCTCGATCTCGGCTCACCGCAACCTCCGCCTACCAGGTTCAAGCAATTCTCCTCCCTCAGCCTCCTAAGTAGCTGGGATAACAGGCATGCAACCACCATACCCGGCTAATTTTGTATTTTTAGTAGAGACGGGGTTCCTCCATGTTGGTCAGGTTGGTCTCAAACTCCCAACCTCAGGTGATCCACCCACCTCAATCTACCAAAGTGCTGGGATTACAGGCATGAGCCACCACACTTGGCCCTCATTTCTTCTTTTTAGAATTTTATCTATTTTTTAGGCTGGGCATGGTGGCTCACGTCTGTAATCCCAGCACTTTGGGAGGCCGAGAAGGGAGAATCGCTTGAGCCCAGGAGTTGGAGAACAGCCTGGGCAACACAGGAAGACCCAGTCTCTACCAAAAAAAACCACATTTTTTATTTATTTTTTATTTTATAGAGATGGAGTCTCACTTTGTTGCCCAGGCTAGTCACAAACTCCTAGACTCATGTAGTCCTCCTGCCTTGGCCTCTCAAAGTGCTGGGATTACAGGTGTGAGCCACGGCACCTAGCCAAGACATCTCATTTCTATTGGCAAGCAAAATGTGAGCCTGGGGCAATTTTTTTTTCTTTAGTATGCTTTGTTTGGCAATAAACCAAAAATGGTAAAGAGAAGTAATTAAGAAGGTACTGGAAAACAAGTATTAACAGAAAAGGGAATATATAGGTTAAGTACACTTAATCAGAAACTCTTGAGATCCGAAATGCCCCAAATCAGAAAGTTTTTGAGTTTTGAGTGCTGACATGATGTTCAAAGGAAATTATCACTGGAGCACTTCAGACTTCCAGATTAGGGATACTCCGCTGGTTAAGTATAATGTACATATTCTAAAATCTGACAAAAATCCAAAATCTGAAACACTTATGGTCCTAGCCATTTCAGATAGGGAATACTCAACCTGTCTAGGGTAGTATTCAGGCACAGGTTCAAGCGCAGGCACAGGTTCAAGCGCAGTCACAGCTCACTGTAGCCTCAACCTCCCAGGCTCAATAGATCTTCCCACTTCAGCTTCCCGGGTAGCTGGGACCACAGGCGTGCACCACCATGCCAGCTAATTTTTGTATTTTTAGTAGAGACGGGGTTTCACTATGTTGGCCAGGTTGGTCTTGAGCTCCTGACCTCTGATGATCCGCCCACCTCAACCTCTCAAAGTGCTGGGATTACAGGTGTAAGCCACCGCACCTGGCCATTTCACATATTTTTTTGAGACAGGATCTTGCTCTGTCACCCAGGCTGGAGGCCAGTGGTGAAATCATAGCTCACTGTAACCTCAAACTCCTGGGCTTAACCCCTTCTCCTGCCTCAGCCTCCTAAGTAGCTGGGATTACCGCCAAAACCTTTATTTTAAAAGAGAATACAGGCTGGGTGTGATGGTTCATGCCTGTAATCCCAGCACTTAGGGAGTCCAAGGAGGGAGGCTCTCTTGAGCCCAAGAGTTCGAGACCAGCCTAATCAATATGACAAAACCCCATCTCTACAAAAAATACAAAAAATAGCTGGGCATGGTGGTAAGTGCCTGTAGTCCCAGCTATTCAGGAGGCTGAGGCAGGAGGATCACTTGAGCCCCGGAGGTCGAGGCTGCAGTGAGCCAAGATCACACTACTGCACTCCAGCCTGGGTGACAGAATGAGACCCTGTCTCCCCCAAAAAAAAAAAAAAAAAAAAAAACACTCGAAAAGGGTAATACAATGGCACATGTGCAAGGCAGTCACATCAACAGCAGGTTCCCCATGATGCACTACATGGGGCCAAGAACTATGTGCATACTGCCACAAAAAGAATAAAATACCTTGGCTGGGTGTTGTGGCTCATGCCTGTAATCTCAGCACTTTGGGAGGCTGAGGCTGGTGGATCACCTGAGGTCAAGTGTTCGAGACCAGCCTGACCAATATGATGAAACCTCATCTCTACTAAAAATACAGAAAAAAATTACCCGGGCATGGTGGCACGCACCTGTAATCCCAGCTACTCGGGAGGCTGAGACAGGAGAATCATTTGAACCCGGGAGGTGGAGGTTGCAGTGAGCCGAGATGGCGCCACTGCACTCCAGCCTGGGCAACAAAAGCGAGACTCCATCTCAAAAAAACAAACAAATAGACAAACAAACCTAGGAATACAACTAACCAGGGAGATGAAAGAGCTCTACAATGAGAATTACAAAATACCGCTCAAATAAATCAAAGAAGATATAAACAAGTGGAAAAACATCTCATGCTCATGAATAGGAAGAATCAATATCATTAAAATGGCCATACTGCCGAGCATGGTGGCTCACACCTGTAATTCCAGCACTTTGGGAGGCTGAGGTGGGCAGATCACTTGAGGCCAGGAGTTCAAGACCAGCCTGGCCACATGGCCAAACCCCATCTTTACTAAAAATACAAAAAAAAAAAAAAAAAAAAAAGAAAGCCAGGTATGGTGGCGGGTGCCTGGAATCCCAGCTACTCAGAAGGCTGAGGCACAATAATCACTTGAACCTGAGAGGCGGAGGTTGCAATGAGCCGAGATCACACCACTGCACTCCAGCCTGGGAGACAGAGCAAGACTCTGTCTCATAAATTAATTAATTAATTAATTAAAATTGGCCATTCTTCCCACAGCAATTTACAGATTCAATGCTACTCCTATCAAACTACCAAAAACATTCTTCAAAGAACTAGAAAAAACTATTTGAAAATTCATATGGAACCAACAAAGAGCCAGAAAAGCCAAGGCAATCCTAAGCTAAAAGAACAAAGCTGGAGGCAACTTTACCCAACTTCAAACTATTACTTAGGGCTACAATAACCAAAACCGCATGGCACTGGTACAAAAACAGGCACAGAGACCAATGGGACAGAATAGAGAGTCTAGAAATAAAGCCGCACACCTATGACCATCTATTCTTTGACAAAGCTGACAAAACAAGCAGTGAGGAAAAAGAGTCCCTATTCAATAACTGGGGATACTGGCTAGGCTAGCCATATGCAGAAGATTGAAGCTGGACTCCTTTCTTATACCATACACAAAAATTAACTGAAGATGGATTAAAGACAAGGTAAAACCCAAAACTATAAAAATCCTGGAAGACCGGCCGGGCACAGTGGCTCACGCCTATAATGCCAGCACTTTGGGAGGCTGAGGCGGGCGGATCACCTGAGGGTGGGAGTTCGAGACCAGCCTGACCAACATGGAGAAACCTGGTCTCTACTAAAAACACAAAATTAGCTGGGCGTGGTGGCGCATGCCTGTAATCCCAGCTACTAAGGAGGCTGAGGCAGGAGAATCGCTTGAACACGGGAGGCGGAGGTTGCGGTGAGCCGAAGGTTGCGGGGAGCTGAGATTGTGTCATTGCACTCCAGCCTGGGCAATAAGAGCGAAAAAAAAAAAAAGTGGGCAAAGGAGCCGGGCACAGTGGCTCAACGCCTGTAATCCCTGCACTTTGGGAGGCTGAGGCGGGTGGATCACCTGAGCTCAGCAGTTTGAGACTAGCCTGGCCAACATGATGAAACCCCGTCTCTACCAAAAATACAAAAAAGCTGGGCGTGGTGGCGGGCACCTGTAATCCCAGTTACTCAGGAGGCTGAGGCAGGAGAATCACTTGAACCAGGGAGGCGGAGGTTGCAGTGAGCTGAGATGGCGCCACTGTACTCCAACCTGGGCAACAAGAGCAAAACTCCTTCTCAAAGAGAAAAAAAAAAAAAAAAGTGGGCAAAGGACATGAACAGACATCAGACACTTTATTTTTATTTATTTATTTATTTATTTATTTATTTTATTATTATTTTTTTTTTTTTGAGAGGGAGTCTCACTCTGTCGCCCAGGCTAGAGTGCAGTGGCGCCATCTCGGCTCACTGCAACCTCCACCTCCGGGGTTCAAACGATTCTCCCACCTCAGCCTCTGGAGTAGCTGGGACTACAGGCGTCCACCACCACGCCTGGCTAATTTTTGTATTTTTAGTAGAGATGGGGTTTCACCATGTTGGCCAGGCTGGTCAGTAACTCCTGACCTCAGGTGATACACCCACTTCAGCCTTCCAAAGTGCTGGGATTACAGGCCTGAGCCACGCCCCAGCCAGACACTTTTCAAAAGACGATATACATACAGCCAACAAGCCTATTAAAAAAACCTCAATATCACTGATCATTAGAGAAATGCAAATAAATCAAAACCACAACGAGATACCACCTAACACCAGTCAGAATGGCTATTACTAAAAACTAAAAAAATAACAGATGCTGGCAAGGTTGCGAGAAAAGAGAACACTGTTCTATCGTTGGTGCAAGTGTAAATTAGTTCAATCACTGGGAATCACTTGAACCAGGGAGGCGGAGGCTGCAGTGAGCCAGACTGGGCCACTGCACTCCAGTCCGGGAGACAGAGCGAGACCGTCTCAAAAAAAAATTATTCATCGTTTATCTGAAACTCAAATTTCACTGGGCATCCTGTATGTTATCTGGCAATGCTATGCTCCCCCGAGAAAATAAAAAGAAGAAATCTCATAGGTGCCTGTTTCACCCAATCGGTGATTTGTGTTCGTCAACTATTCTGTATTACATTCAGTGATTACACTTAGAAGGAACTCTTGAAACCCTGCAAAAATTTATGTCCTCCTCTTCTAATGTGACTCGTAATAGGTACTCAGCCCAAGCCTGAAACTGACAAAGAGAGCTACCTCACCGGATAAAGCCTTTGTGTCAGACAGCCGTGGGTTTAAATCTTGACTCCACCACTTAACTAGCTGTATGATTTTGGACAAATCACTTAAAATCGCTGAGACTCGGTATCCTGAACCGTAAAATGGAGAGATAATTTACCTTAAGGTGTGGTTGTGAGGTATAAGTGAGATAAACAAAATGACTGATACATAAAAAGCAATCTGTAAATGGTACCTTTGAAGATGATACAGGGAAAGGTAATGAAGTTAGAGACGAGGGAATGGGGAGAGGAAGGGATTAATAATCTATTTTCCTAATAGACGTTATTTTGCAAAGAAAGGAGGGCAGAAAACTATTACGATGAGTCCGAAAAGCAGAACTGTAGCTAAAGACAGACCCGGGCTGCTCTAGAGAAGACGGCGCTAGAACAGAGAAAGGAAGCAGGAATGACCAGTCAATGACCGTCCCCCTGGGGGTAACAGTGGTAACCCGGGACTATCCGCCACTCCAGGGCCCCGGGATGACTCAGGGAGTCCAGCGGGCTCCTTACCTCCGGGGCCAGGGCCGCCTCTCGCCCATGAGCCCCTGGCCCCCACCCCAGGCCCTCCCTGCCTTGGCGCTACACGCGCCCGGAACCCAGCTCTGCCCCTCCTGCCCCGAAGTAGCTCCTCACCACACCATAGTGCTTTCCAACACCATCTTGCCACCTTCCTCCCTCCCGACCGGGTCTCCGGGACGGCCTAACAACAACTCCTCCAATTGGCCCGTCGCTCTTCACCAATCACAGACCTCGGCTTGGCCAGCTGCTTCCGCCTCCGTCCCCCACGTTGCGTTCTGGGAGTTGTAGGTGCCGCCAAACAAATTTGTAGGCGTCTTGAGGGTAGTTGAAGGGAATCGCGGTAACACAAAAAACAGGATCTAGCCTCCACTTTCCCTGCCATTGCAGTTCTCAGTTGGGGTTTCCCGCTGGCCGGATCTCAGGGGAGCTATGGAGGAACCTTTGAAAGTGCTGTGTCGATTCCGGCTTCGGCATTTTAAAAAAGTGTCGGGATCGGCCGAGCGCGGTGGCTCACGCCTGTTAGCCCAGCACTTTGGGAGGCCAAGGCGGGCGGATCACGAGGTCAGGAGTTCGAGACCAGCCTGGCCAGCATGGTGAAACCCTGTCTCTACTAAAAATACAAAAAATTAGCCGGGCATGGTGGCGCACGCCTGTAATCCCCGCTACTCGGGAGGCTGAGGCAGGAGAATTACTTGAACCCGGGAGGCAGAGATTGCAGTGAGCCGAGATCGCGCCACTGCACTCCAGCCTGGGGGACAGAGTGAGACTCCGTCTCAAAAAAAGAAAAAAAAAAGTGTCGGGATCGCTAATGACTTTCTACAGCCCTCAGTTCCCTGTAGAATTTTAATTCAACAAGCCCTTATACCCTTCAATTGAATTTATTTGTATATTTATCTCCTCCCTCGTTTAACTAAGGGTGGGCAACGTGCCTTTTTTTTTTTTTTTTTTTTTTTTTTTTTTTTTTTTTTTGAGACGGAGGAGTCTCGCTCTTTCACCCAGGCTAGAGTGCAGTGGCTCGATCTCGGCTCACTGCAACCTCCACCTCCTGGGTTCCAGGGATTCTCCTGCCTCAGCCTCCCAGGTAGCTGGGACTACAGGGGCATTCCACCATGCCCGGCTAATTTTGTATTTTTAGTAGAGACGAGGTTTCACCATGTTGGCCAGGCTGGTCTCGATTTCCTGACCTCAGATGATCCACCCACCTCAGCTTCCCAAAGTGCTGGGATTACAGGCGTGAGCCACCACACCTGGCCGGCAACGTGTCTTAATCTTTACAATTCCCTAAGCCCAGTACAGAGCCCGGAAAAGATTTGACAACTCAATTATATTAACTAATCTGCCAAAGAACAAACCACTAAACCGTTTTGGTTAATCAAAAATTACATTCAAGGCCTGATGCAATGGCTTAGGTTTTATAATCCCAGCGTTTTGGGAGGCCCAGGCAGGAGGATCAACTCAGGCTAGGAGTCTGAGACCAGCCTGGACAACACAGCCAGACTCCGTCTCTACAAAGTTTTATTGTTTGAGACAGGGTGTCGCTCTGTTGCCCAGATTGGAGTGCAGTGGCCTGATCTCGGCTCACTGCAATCTCCACCTCCCGGGTTCAAGCCATCCTCCTGCCTCAGCCTCCTGAGTAGCTGGGGCTATAGGTGCATGCCACCAAGCCCAGCTAATTTGTTTTTAATTTTTTGATGTGGGAGGATGGCTTGAGCGCATGAGTTCGAGACCAGCGTAGGCAACATAGCCAGACCCCATCTCTGAAAAAAAAAAAGTCTCAAAGTGTTGGGATTACAGGCGTGAGCCATCACATCAGCTGGATATTTGATATTAAGCAATTTTTTTAGGCATGATAATAGTGTTAAAGTTATCACCCTTATAAAAGTAGGCTTTATTAAGGGTTATATGTTGTATTCATAGATAAAAAAAGTATATGAAGTTTGGGATTTAACTTAATCCTCTGGAAGAAACAAATAGTTTTGTTTTTTGAGACAGGGTCTCAAAGTAAAACAAAAGAGACAAGGTCTCACTGGGCTGGAGTGCAGCAGTGGTGCAATCATACATAGCTCACTGCAACCTCTAACTCCTGGCCTCCCATCTCAGCCTCCGAAAACTGGGATTACAGGCTTGAGCCACTGCACCCGGCCACGCTGGTCTTATTTATGTTGATAATTATTGAGGCTGGGTTATGTGTACATAGTGGTTCACCATACTACTCTACTTTTGGTTTGGAAATTCCCATAATGAAAAAAAGAAGGCCAGCTGGGCACGGTGGCTCACGCCTGTAATCCCAGCACTGAGAGGCCGAGGTGGGCAGATCACTTGAGGTTGGGAGTCCGAGACCAGCCTGGATACCCCCGTCGCTACAAAAAAATACAAAAATTAGCTGATTGTGATGGTGCCAGCCTGTAGTCCCAGCTACTTGAGAGACTGAGGTAGGAAAGTCGCCTGAGCCCAGAAAGTCAAGGCTAGAGTGAGCTGAGATTGCTCTGGGTAACAGAGCAAGACTAAAAAAGAAAACCAAGGCTGGGAAATCTCAGCACTTTGGGAGGCCGAGGCGGACGGATCATAAGTTCAGGAGATCGAGAACATCTTGGCCAACATGGTGAAATCCCATCCTACTAAAGATACAAAAATTAGCCGGGCATTGTGGTGGGTGCCTATAGTCCCAGCTACTCTGGAGGCTGAGGCAGGAGAATCACTTGAATCCGGGAGGAAAAGGTTGCAGTGAGCCGAGATCGTGCTATTGTACTCCAACCTGCGCGACAAGAGTGAAACTCCGTCTCAAAAAAAGAAAAACAAAACTAATAAAGAATGAGACTTCATCTCTGAATACATCTCAGAATAGCTGAGATTGACATGCTTAAGGGTAAAATATCAGACCAGATGACGATTTCCAACTTTATTATCCTATGATTTTAATTTCTCTTTTAGTTAGAAGTTTTACACTAATAGACCCTACTTGTATCTGAATATAAATTAGAGCATATAGCTAGAGAATAAGCACTAGTCGCTGCTCACCGCTAGAGGGACCCTCTGATCATAAGAGGATTATCTACACCACCCATTCAGTAGTTTTGAGTACACTCTGAGTGACAAGGTCAGGGATGCAGAACATTTATGCCTAAAACATGTTAACCTCCAATTCCTATTAGGGAAAAAAGTTTTCTCCTTATCCAGACAAAAGGAGGACTGGCTGGGGCTGTGGGAAAATCAAATTCAAAACTTTGAGAATCTGGGCCGAATGCAGTGGCTCACGCCTGTAATCCCAGCACTTTGGGAGGCCGAGGTGAGCGGATCACTTGAGGCTAGGAGTTTGAGACCAGCCTGGCCAACATGGTGAAATCTGTCTCAAAAAAAAAAAAAAAAAAAAGAAAGAAAGAAAGAAAAAGAAAAGAAAAATGAAAAGAAACTTTGAGAATCCCCCATTCCTCTTCCAATCCAAGTACTTGCTTTTTCTTTCTTCTTTTTTTTTTTTTTTTTTTTTTTGAGATGGAGTGTCACTCTGTTGCCAGGGTGGAGTGCAATGAATGGTGCAATCTCAGCTCACTGCAACCTCTGCCTCCTGGGTTCAAGCGATTCTCCTGTCTCAGCCTCCCGAGTAGCTGGGATTACAGGCGCCCGCCACCATGCCCGGTTAATTTTTTTTTTTTTTTTTTTTTTTTGAGAAGGAGTTTCACTCTTGCTGCCCAGGCTGGAGTGCAAGGGCTCGATCTTGGCTCACCGCAACCTCTGCCTCTCAGGTTCAAGCGATTGTCTTGCCTCAGCATCCCAAGTAGCTGGGATTACAGGCGTGCACCCACCACGCCCAGCTAATTTTTTGTATTTTTAGTAAAGATGGGTTTTCTCCATGTTGGTCATGCTGGTTCTCCCTGTTGGTCGAACTCCCAACCTCAGATGATCTGCTCGCCTCGTCATCCCAAAGTGCCGGGATTACGAGCGTGAGCCACCGCGCCTGGCCTAATTTTTGTATTTTTAGTAGAGATGGTGTTTCGCATTGTTGGCCAGGCTGCTCTTGAACTCCTGGCCTCAAGTGATCCACCCATCTTGGCCTCCCAAAGTGCTGGGATTACAGGTGTGAGCCACTGGACTTGGCCAATCCTCTGTTTAATTCTGATGGAACTTTGTTAGTCTCTCAATTATTTTGTATCACATCCTATTGGGGCAAAAAATATTTCAGGGTTCCCAATATTGCCTCTAACTATACTTATTCCAATATTCTCATCATGATCTCTTCCTTGTTCTCAAAAACAGACCATTCTCATGCATCTAGGTCCTTGTGCTGAAGTGAAACATTCTCTTAACACTTCTTTCGCACGTAACTGCTAATTTTTCCCCCTTTTATGTTCTGTGCCACCTTCAGAGAGCTTAAGTAGCTGTCTCACATATAACATATTGTTTTTGTGATTTGTGTTCCTCCTGGAAACTAGAAACTTTTGAAGGACAATTATTTCTTTGATCTCCATCTACTCCATGCATTGCTCATTAGCTGCTATATAAATATTTGGAGTGCCCTTAACAAGATAGGGAATAGTGGTATGAAAAGCAGCTGTTTGCTTAACTGCTTCTCTCCAAAGGTTCCCTATCTTCATGCCTCAGAATGAACCTCACCGCTCCTTTTTTTTTTTTTTTTTTTTAGACAGTCTCAGTCGCCTAGGCTGGAGTGCACTGGCGCAATCTTCGCTCACTGCAACCTCTGCTTCCCAGGTTCAAGCAATTCTCCAGCCTTGACCTCCAAAGTAGCTGGGACTACAGGCGCATGCCACCATCCCCTGCTAATTTTCAATAAACGGGGTTTTGCCATGTTGGCTGGGCTGGTCTCGAACTCCTGACCTCAGGTGATCCACCTGCCTCCACCTCCCAAAGTGCTGGGATTACAGGTGTGAGCCACCGCGCCTGGCCCGCCCCTACTTTTTTGTCTAGTTTCCTATCAAAGGAGCCTTAGCTCAACCTCACAAAAGAAAACAGCTAAAGAAAGCAATCTCTATGATCTTCTAAGAGTGACGCCCTAGGGCCAGGTCAAGAGAACGAAAGGGAGGGAATCACTAGGGCCAGCTAACCTCAAACTTACTTTTCCCACTGTCCCTCTCCTTTCCTCACTTAACTGAGTAAAGTGAGTTTTGAACCTCAAATCCCTGTTAAATTGGGTTGCAACCTAGGCAAGAGACCTACAGTAACTCCCCTCATATTCATTCACTGCTTTTCCTCGTGAAGATAATGGGGTTGCTGAGGAAGAGGATATAAGGACATAAAGCCTTAAGAGTGAAGCTGGAGTGTTGCAAGCTGGAAAGTATGCAGCCTTTGTTTAGGGCAACATGAACAAAACTGAGCCTGGGTGGTGGAGTAGGAGGGTGAGCAGATGGTATATGAAAAAGAATCAGAAAAAATAAGAGGTCTAAATAACTCATTAAAGTTTATTACATTAAAACCATATATCACTTTTATATTGTATTTGCCATTTCTGAACAATACAAAGTAGAGGCAAATAGTAACACTTAATAAAAATGTTGCTTCCCCATTCCTTTCCCTAAGACCCAGCCCTCCCTCAAATATTCCCTCCCACCCCTAACAGAACTCTGTCCTTAATAAAACACTTAAATACATCATAAATAGTAAATTATGAAAAAAAAATAGCAAGAATTCTTTCCTTCTTGTAAAAAACATGGCAGCAAAGACAGGCAGCCAGAAACTGGCTGGGGGTGTCTAATATAGACAGTTATTTGGGGTATGGGCTAACATATTATCAAGGCAGGGTGGGATAGAGAAGGGATAGAACAGGAATTCAACAATCTGCCTGAGATACCAGGCCCCCTTCTTCCCCTGACAAGAGTGGAAGGATCAGATGGAAAACCACAACTCTTGTAGACGGGGAGGAGAGGGCATATGTAGCCCCCATTTCCAACTTCCCTGCATGAAGACAGGGGGGTAGGACATATGGCACAGCAATGACCTCACCAAGGCAAGAATCTGCTGTCTCCCCATGAGTTTAAGAAAATATTTGCTGGCCTCACAGATATGGACTGTCTGTTAAACAGACAGAAGTGTCCCCTCTTTACCTTAGCTCCACAAACAGGAGAACACTGTTGGAAAAGATGAGAAGAGCAAAAAAAATCTCCTCTGGAGAATGATCTAAAATTCATTTGGTAAGTCTTCACATTTAGAAAAACAACCAGAATATATTTCAAATTGCAAAATAGTAATAATTACTATAGCCTGGCAGTGAACAGGATTCTGCCTAGGAAGGGCTATGATCTCCCAGCCCATGGCTGCCTCCTGTTTTAACAAAAGGGATAAAGATTACCCCATGTCCCACTCTCTTCATTCCTTCAGCCTTAAGAAATTCATCAAGAGAGGAGGAGTTTAAAGAGGAGCTGCTTCTGGCAGAGCAATCACTACTCTTCTCTTCATAAACACCATGGCTCTTCTGAGGGAACTCTACGAATAGGCATCTTGTCAACACTTCTGGAGTTCTGATCTGAAAATGGCTTGAAATTGTGTGCTGTGTGCTTTTTCCTTTTTTCAGAAAAAAAAAAAGAAGAAGAAAGCTGGGAGGTGGTTAAACACCCTTATCCCCCAAAAACCTTTACAGAGATTACAGGAGTATTCTTCCAGGAGTCAGAGAGAAAGAACTAAGGTAGGGATAATGTGCCAGCTAGTCTGTCCTGAGGAAATTAAGAGTCCGGTTCCTAGTCAAAGACGAGGGGAAAGAAAGCTGCCAAGTCCAGCAATCCCATTTCCAGCATGAAGAATGGGGGTCTGAAAAAAATTCAATAGTGGAGGCAAAGGGTTGGCCAGTTGAAAATCCATACCACCCAACTCTGGAGTGGAGGGGATGCTGCGGTCCTCAACTCTCTGAGGCACTAAGGCCCATTCATGAGGAAGAGGAAGGAGAGAAGGTTCTTCTTCAGGAAGAAGATGGAGGAGCAGCTCCCCTCACTTCTATTACACTCCTTTTTTGATGACCAAGTAGAAGAAAATTCAGCATTGCTGGGGCAAGGGCTGACATCTTGGGATCACAGAGATGGCAGAATCTTGTTCCAGGTCTTCTGAGGCTTTGCGCTTACTGAAAAGGGAGAGTGTAAAGTTAAGGATGTGGAGTATGAGATTAAGCAGAAATGGAATTCAAGCGTTAAGAAATTTCTATTTCAGCCTCAGCCTCCAAGTATGAGGTACCAAAAATATTTTTTAAAAAACAAGATGGCGGCCGCGCATGGTGGCTCACACCTGTAATCCCAGCACTTTGGGAGGCCCAGGCAGGTGGATCACGAGGTCAGGAGATCGAGGCCATCCTGGCTAACACGGTGAAACCCTGCTCTACTAAAAATACAAAAAATTAGCCGGGCATGGTGGTGGGCGCCTGTAGTCCCAACTACTCAAGGGGCTGAGGCAGCAGAATGGCGTGAACCTGGGAGGCGTAGCTTGCAGTGAGCCGAGATCGCGCCACTGCACTCCAGCCTGGGTGACAGAGCAAGACTCCGTCTCAAAAACACAAACACGATGGCTGGGTGCAATGGCTCACGGCTGTAATCCCAGCACTTTGAGAGGCCAAGGTGGGCAGATCACGACGTCAGGAGTTCAAGACCAGCCTGTCCAATATGATGAAACCCTGCGCCTACTAAAAAATAAAAAATTAGCCGGGCGTGGTGGCACGCACCTGTAGTCCCAGCTACTCCAGAGGCTGAGACAGGAGAACTGCTTGAACCCAGGAGGCAGAGGTTGCAGGTGAGCTGAGATTGCACCACTGCACTCCAGCCTGGGCAACAGAGTGAGACGCCATCTCAAAAATAAATAAATAAATAAATAAATAAGTACAAAATAAAAAAATAATAAAAAATAAAAAACAAGATTTAGGAGGTACCCAGATCCTCTAATCTTGACAATTAACTTCCTGCTCCAGGCCATCAGTGATCCTCTTTATACCTTGCAAAACGTTCACCTCCCACACATCCCAGATACTCACATGGGTGAACTCTGACTCTGCAACTTCAAGCTTTTCCAAGGTTGTACTAACAGGAGAAAAAAAATGGAAGCAGAGAGAAAAAGAATTAGAAGACAACAACAAAGGACTCTCCTTTTAAATCTCATACTGCTTCTCTAATTTTCACTTTGGAATCAATTTAGAATTTGGAAAGAAGAGGCTGAGAAGCTACTAGATTTAGAAGCACACTGTTTTAATTAACCATATTTAGCTTCTTGAATACTATAAAATATTTCCCAGTACCCTGCCCTCTTCTGTTTCAATCTCCAGGTGTCGTAGGTACCCTCTAAGATTGCCCCCAATAATCCCTGCCTCCTGAGATCCATGCCATTGTGTAATTCTCTCTCAAGTGTGGGCTGCATTTAGTGATTCTCTTCTCATGAACAGAATGCAGCACAGGAGATGGAATGTCCATTCTGAGATTAGATTACAAAAATACTGTATCTTCTTCTTGGACTCATGCTCTAGCCCCTGCTTGCCTGCTCTGAGGAAAGCCAGCTCCTATGCTATGAGCTGGCTATGGATAGGGCGATGTGACAAGGAACCGAATACTGCCAACAACCATATAAGTGAGCTGAGAAGCTGATCTTCCCTCAGATAAGCTTTTGGACTAATAGCTTGACTGTAATCTCGAGAGAACCCGAGCCAAAGGCATCCAGCTAAGGTACAGAAACTGGGATAACAAATTTTTGTTTTCTTTTTGAGACAGATCTCGCTCTGTCGCCCAGGCTGAAGTGCAGTGGCACTATCTTGGCTCACTGCAACCTCTGCCTCCCGGGTTCAAGCAATTCTCTCGCCTCGGCCTCCTGAGTACCTGGGATTATAGGCACAAATCACCACACCTGGCTAATTTTTCTATTTTTAGTACAGATGGGGTTTCATCATGTTGGCCAGGCTGGTCTCGAACTTCTGGCCTCAGGTGATCCGCCCTCCTCGGCCTCCCAAAGTGCCAGGATTATAGGTGTGAGCCACCACACCCAGACTGAGATAACAAATGTTTGTTTTCAACAGCTAAGTTTGGGGGTAATTTGTTACACAATAATAGATAATACAGACTTTTGTACCTGGAATTGAGGTGCTGCTATAACAAAAATCTAAAATTTGGGGGTGGTGGCCTGGTGCAGTGGCTCATGCCTATAATCCCAGCACTTTGGGAGCCTGAGGCAGGCAGATCATCTGAAGCCAGGAGTTCAAGACCAGCCTCAGCAACATGGCAAAACCACGTCTCTACCAAAAATACAAAAATTAGCCAGGCATGATGGTGCACGCTTGTAATCCCAGCTCCTCGGGAGGCTGAGGTAGGAGAATCGCTTGAACCTGGGAGGCGGAAGTTGCAATGAACCAAGATAGTGCCACTACATTCTAGCCTGGGTGACAGAGGGAGACCCTGTTGGCAGAGACTGCAGTGAACCAAGATCGTGCCACTGTACTCCAGCCTGGGCAACAGAGTGAGACTCCATCTCGAAAAACAAAATCAAAACAAAACAAAACATTGGGGGTGGCTTGGAGGAGCATTTTAGTGAAAAGGTAGTGTCCTGAATATGCTGTTTATAGAATTTTGGACTTAAAGGGGGTTACCAGTGAGGGCTTAAAGTGAGAAAAATTTTATTGGAACTTGAAGGAAAGGAGATCCTAGTAAGGCAGCAGCACAAAGTTTAGCAACAATGTGATTTGTGATTATGTGAGAAGTAGAATATGTGCCTAATGAATTGGACAATCTAGCTACGGAGATTTCCAAGCAAAGTCCTGAAGGTGCCACCTGGTTTTCTCTTGATGCTTATAATAAAATATAGGAGAAGATAAAGAAATTATGGGAAGGACTATTAAACAAAAATGCCAGAACTTGATAAGTTTTGAAAATTCTAAGCCTCTCCAGAGAGCAAACGATGCTAAAATTAAGAAATGGCAGGCCACATACGGTGGCTCACTTCAGGAGGCAGAGGGAGGAGGATTGTTTAAGACCAGCCTGGTTAACACAATGAGACATCTCTACCAAAAAAAAAAAAAAAAAGGCTTTTGAGCAAGGATAAGCTCCAGAGCACTGCCAAGAAAATGTGGTCTAAAGATGAAGGCAAACATATGACTGTGAAACATCTTATTAAGACCTCAGAAAAACAAAAGGTATTGGTTCAGAGTATAGTCATCCCTCAATATCTGTGGGGGACTGGTTCCAGGACCCCTCCTTGAATATCAAAATCCACAATGCACAAGTCCCTTATATACAATGCTATGGTATTTGCATATAACTCACACACATCCTCCATATACTTTATTTTTATTTATTTTTCTTTTGAGACAGGGTCTCGCTCTGTCACCCAGGCTAGAGTCCAGTGGCGCGATTTCGGCTCACTGCAACCACTGCCTCCGGGGTTCGAGCGATCCTCCTGCCTCAGCCTCCTGAGTAACTTGGACTACAGGAACATACCACCACGCCTGGCTAATTTTTTTGTATTTTTGGTAGAGATGGGGTTTCGCCATGTTGCTCAGGCTGATCTTAAACTCCTAGGCTCAAGTAATCTGGCCGCCTCTACCTCTCACAAGTGTTGGGATTACAGGCGTGAGCCATCACGCCTGGCCCTCCATATACTTTAAATCATTCCTAGATTATTTATGATAACTAATACAATGTAAATGCTATGTAAATAGTTGTTATACTATATTGTTCAGGGAATAATGACAAGAAAAGTCTGTACATGTTAAGTACAGGCCTAACTGTACAGTACATATCAGCAACAACATAACATTTTCACGACTTTTTTTTTTTTTTTCAGTATTTTTTCGTTTCTTTCTTTTTTTTTTTCAAAGGGATGGGGTCTCGTTATATTGACCAGGCTGGTCTCAAACTGCCTCAAGCAATCCTCCCACCTCAGCCTCCCAAAGTGGTGGGATTACAGGCATGAGCCACCACACCAGGCTCTCAAGTATTTTCAGTCCACAGTTGGTTGAATCTGGGATGTGGAACCTGTGGATACGGAGGGCTGATTGTGCTATTCAGTCATACAAAAGGCTGTTCAGAAGATTATGTTTCACAGATCCTTTCAACCGAAAAACAGAGTCTGTAAGAAGCTTAGGTCTCATAAAGAAGATATTTATGAGTGTGGCTTTTGTCTAATGGAGTAAATCCCAAGGAGAATCACAGGAGGCCCACAAAATCTTCTGTATCAGTAGAAACACTGCCATCTTGGATCAAAAAGGACAGAAACAGTACAAAATAGAGACCACTAGTTCCCCTAAAATTCTACTGGAAAGAAGCAGCCTGAGAAAAGAACTCAGGTAAAAACACACTCTAGCTTTGATGAAAAAGGAAGACTCAGAAGACAAAACCAAGAGTCTAGAGGGTAGAGCCAAGAACCACGGAGAATTATTCTTCTGCTTTGAGGCCTGATAAAAGAAACTCCAACATTTCCTGGATTTTGGAACAGCAAATAAAATCAATGACTCCTTTTTGTGCCTCCCATTCTCCCCTTTTATGTACAGAAATGTGTATATTGGTTATCTAATGCCTGTCTCACCATTGTATGCTAGGTACATGGGGAAAGGATAACTTGTCTCTTTGGTTCCACAAGTTCACAGATTGAGAAGAACTGTACTTGAGGAGCTGTGCTTAAGGAACTATACCTGGGGGGCTCATCCAACCGGACCTAATTTAGGTAATAAAACTCTGGACTCTGAGCTAACGCTACAATGGGATGAGACCCTGGGAGGGGGTCAGTGTATTTTCGACATGGAGGTATGTAAATTACTGGAGACCAGAGAGCAGACTATGACAGGCAGTTTCTAAGATGGCTCACAATGATCCCTGCACCTCCTGGTATTCACACCCATGGGTAATTCCTTCCTCTTGAGTGTGGGCTGCATTTAGTGAACAGAATGTAGCACAAGTAGAATGTCAATTCTGAGATTAAGTTATAAGAGGCCATGGTTTCTGCATAGGCACATGCTCTCTTGTTCACTTGTCAGATAGCCCAGGTGCCATGTTCTGAGCTGTCCTATGGAGAAGTCCATGTAGCAAAGAACTGAGGGAAGCCCCCAGACAACAGCCAGCAAGGAACTAAGGCCCTCAGTTCAGCAACCCACAAGGAACAGAATCCTACCAGTAACCACATAAATAAGCTTAAAAGCAGATCTTCCTGTTTGAGCCTTCAGATGAGACCCCAGCCCTGGCCAACAGCTTAAATGCCACCTCATGAGAAATCTTGAGCCAGAGGACCCAGCTAAGCTGGGCCTGGATTCCTGACCCACAGAAAGTATGATATATGTTTGTTATTTTAAGCCACTAATCTTTGGGGTAATTTATTATGATGCAATCAAATTATAGAGGTTTCCAAGGACTTGAAAAGAGAGATAAGATTATATGGAGAAAGGGGCCAATAAACCAACCTTGTAGTTAGCATTTGCAAAGTCTCTCCAACTAGAGGTGAGAAACTGGGGTCAGGAATAGGCGAGCCCTCACTGATTTCCTCCAAAGGTGGAGTCTGAGGTAAAACATCAGGACGACCAAGGTGAACGCCTGGAAAAAAGATAGAGAAGATGGGGTACAGTAAATACAAGGAAAAATATGTAGCAGCTAGGCTTCCTGGATAGAAATGGGAGCAGAGGTCCTGGCCAGACAAGATAAAGGCTCAGAAGGAAGGGAGGGAGTACCCAATCACATGGGGACCCCAGCCCTAGCGCTGACCTGGCTCCACTTCTGCCTTTGTTGTCACTTGTGCCTTGTGTTCCCCAGAGACCGATGGCTGGTAAGTAATGCAGGAGTTGCCACTGGAGCCTGCTCGCCGAGAGAAAGATGAGCCAGACCGAAACTTTTTGGAAGGAGAAGGCTTCACTTCAAAAGGGAAAGAGAGAGCCTACTTAGCAACTACCTTAGCAACTATTACCAAGACATAGATACAAATAATTGCTAGTATCCCCAACACACACCCAAAGTTGGTCTGAAAAGTGAAAAGGCTAATGTCAACAAAGACAGGCCTATGAATTACTATTCAGAGAACAAGGTGTTAGCTCACTTCACTTTCCAAGAGGCATGAAAACCTAGAAGAAAGGAAACATATCCACACCTAACCCCCCAACATGGAGCCTTGATGACTGCTTTACTTCCATCAGATGAAATGTACCCTATTGCATAATTCCTTTTTTTTTTTTTTTTTGAGATGGAGTTTCGCTCTTGTTGCCCAGGCTGAAGTGCAATGGCGCGATCTTGGCTCACTGCAACCTCCACCTCCAGAGTTCAAGTGATTCCCATGCCTCAGCCTCCTGGGTAGCTAGGATTACAGGCATGCGCCACTACACCCAGCTAATTTTATATTTTTAGTAGAGACGGGGTTTCACCATGTTGGTCAGGCTGGTCTCGAACTCTTGACCTCAGGTGGTCCGCCCACCTAGGCCTCCCAAAGTGCTGGGATTATACGTATGAGCCACTGCCCTGCCCCCTTTTTCTTTTTCTTTGACGAGAGTCTTGCTCTGTCGCCCAGGCTGGAGTGCAGTGGTGCCATCTTGGCTCACTGCAAGCTCCGCCTCCCGGGTTCATGCCATTCTCCTGCCTCAGCCTCCCAAGTAGCTGGGACTACAGGAGCCCACCACCATGCCCGGCTAATTTTTTTTTGTATTTTTAGTAGAGACGGGGTTTCACCGTGTTAGCCAGGATGGTCTCAATCTCCGGACCTTGTGATCTGCCCTCCTCGGCCTCCTAAAATGCTGGGATTACTGGTGTGAGACACTGCGCTTGGCCCCCCTTTTTCTTTAATAGTATCCTATAGTAAAACCTGAGAAAGATAACTTTTTTTGAGATGAAGTTTCCTCTCTTGTCACCCAGGCTGGAGTGCAATGGCACTATCTCAGTTCACTGCAACCTCTGCCTACCGTGTTCAAGTGATTCTCCTGCCTCAGCCTCCTGAGTAGCTGAGATTACAGGTGCTCACCACCACCCGGCTAATTTTAGTATTTTTAGTAGAGACAGGGTTTCAACACGTTGGTTAGACTGGTCTCGAACTCCTGACCTCAGGTGATCCACCTGCTTTGGCCTCCCAAAGTGCTGGGATTACAGGTGTGAGCCACCGTGCCGGGCCAAGAAAGATAACTCTTTCACTCTACATTTTCTTAGCATGTATGTGCCCAGCACTAAATAATTGATACTTGTAATTTTTATCACTTTGTAAAGATTTTTTTATCTTTTTAAAATTTGTTGTAGAGACAAGGTCTCATGATGTTGCCCAGGCTGGTTCCAAACTATCGGGCTTAACCGATCCTCCTGCCTTGGTCTCCCAAAGTGCTGGGATTATAGGTGTGAGATACTGCACCCAGCCTGGTTTTTCCATATCCCTTAAGACTGGCATGCCTAGGTCCCCTCTCCCTCGCTATGGGAATAATGATGCCTAATATGAGAAGAAGGGAAAGAGAAGCTAGAATTTGCTATGGCAGCAGCATGGAAGATTTGCAAAAAAATATTGGCACTTCCTAAACAAGAAAGTTGAGAAAAGAGACTAAAAACATGTGCTAAGCAGAAATCAGTAAATGCTTCTGTAACCACCTGAGATAGTCTAGAAGACAAAACAGAACACCATTAACCTCACTGCGTATCTCTGTACATAGGCTCTGCCTATCTCTGTGGCATGGATCCTACATCCACAACTACACATTATTTATTTATTTATTTTTTTGCAAATCCCAATTCCCCAGAAATGGTCCTCACCTCATTGACATATGCAGGAAGAGCCAAGGGGGAAACAGCAACTTGGAAATGACTATGACAGACTAACACAAAGGACAAGAAATGGCTCTCATGGGATGTAGGTGGAAGGAGAGGCCTCTGGCATTGGCAGCTCCCTACCAGAGGTGTCCTGCCCTCTGTTCTCTTGGGGTAAGGGAGCCACTGGGCAGGAGTAGGCAGTCAATTGGTAGAAACCACTTACAGGGAATCTTCTTAAATACTGTGTTGCACATGAAGCGCTGGAACCGTTCAGCGTAGAAGCCTGGGCGATGCACTGAGACAGTGTCCTGCAGAGCAGAAGAAATGCTATAGAGTTAGGAGGCCCGGCAAGAGGAACTCTAGTCCAAGGGCCATCTTCCCCCAGACTGAGCCCCTAGCAGAAGGGTAAAACCTACAGATGAAATAAACGGAAGGGGCCAGACGTAGTGGCTCACACCTGTAATCCTAGCATTTTGGGAAGCTGAGGTGGGCGGATCACCTGAGGTCAGGAGTTCGACACCAGCCTGTTCAACATGGCAAAACCTCATCTCTACTAAAAATACAAAACTTAGCCATGCATGGTGGTGGGCACCTGTAATCCCAGCTACATGGGAGGCTGAGGCATGAGAATTGCTTGAACCTGGGAGATGGAGGTTGAAGTGAGCTGAGATTGTGCCACTGTACTCCAGCCTGAGTGACAGAGCGAGACTCCATCTCAACTCAGCACTTTGGGAGGCCAAGGTAGGCGGATCACTTTGAGGTCAGGAGTTTGAGACCAGCCTGGCCAACATGGTGAAACCCATCTCTACTAAAAATACAAAAATTAGCTGGGCGTGGTGGCACGCGCCTGTGGTCCCACCTACTCGGGAAGCTGAGGCAGGAGAATCACTTGAAACTGCGAGACGGAGGTTGCAGCGAGCCGAGATCACGCCACTGCACTCCAGCCTGGGTGACAGAGTGAGACCCTGTCTCAAAAAAAAAAAAAAGAAAAAAGAAAAAAGAAAAAATTGCAAGAAACTGAGGCCAATCAGAAGTGATGGAGGCAGAAGTGTACGGTAAGAGAGCCTCTAGTATTACTACTTACTCCGTCATGTACCAGGGCTTTCCAAGAGTGCTCCAACTTCTTAACAAACCTGCAAGAAAAATGTACATCACCTACTCACGTCATTTTTAAATAAATGACCTTAATAACTTTATATTTTAGGGGGTTAAAGGGGTAATAGAAAATCTTGAAAAGACAGAAGCTGAGAAAGCACATCTACTGGTACACTGGTTTTCCCAAGAACAGGCATGGCAGTGCTGGTTCATCACAGAGACCAATGTTGTTTCTAGGTAAGTCAATTATTCCCCCCATGGGAAAAGGGCAATTTATGTCCCTGACAAATCAGGAACATGAATATTTATTATAAAAGGAGAGCTGAAGGAACAGATGGGCAAGACTGGAAAGGGTAGTTAAAACTGGATGATAATACTGAACCAACAAATCAAGTACCGTCCAGTCCTCATTAGTATTTAAAACCTTACAGGAACAAAACTGGGGTCTAACAATTCCAGCTCCTCCCTGATGATCACTCCATTGCCTCTTAGTTCCACAGTCTAATACATTTTACAGAACACAGTGACCCTCCTGTTTTTCCTCCTTGGAAAAGGGTAACGTTTCCAGTTGTATCCCCATGTGGAACATGACTCATCTCATAGGTTTTTGCAAAGAGCCAGACAGATGGCATATTCTACCCTGGTGCTTCCAAGGACTGACTCAGCTTTCCACAGAAGGTATACATTATGTCTGGGGAGATGGGGGAGGAAGGGTTATAAAGGCCGGGGAAAGAGGCAAAATCAAGGAAATAAACCATCTGAAAACTAATGAAGTAAGTAGCCAGACTGCAACTCACTGTTCTTGCTTCCGGAAGAACTTGGTAACAAACCTATCTAAAAGAGAAACGTGACTGGTTATCTGTATCCACCCTCTCTTAATTTGGGATCCATATGCTCCTCACCTGTAAGACTGTAGAATGTCAATGATGCCAATATAAAGCAGAAGCCTTTCCCCTTTACTATTCCGGGCAGGGATGCCACCCATACTGGAAAAGGCAAAAAGGAAAGGGTGAGAAAATCTGTTGGCTAGTTTAGTCAGATCAGGATGGGGAAGTGAAACCTACACATAACTGCCTCATCCTCCATAAACCAGAAGGTCAGATAATAAGTGATCAAGAAAACAAAAAGAGAAAAAAATACATTAAAAAAACAGGAGAAAATGAGATCCTTCCTCTAACCCCAGGAACTCTCTACAGTATGTATTATAATCTAGTTTTCTCCAAATCTTCTTGCCTACCTCTTCCACTCTGATTCCACCAAAGAGAATCTAAAATTGCCACTACTCAGCAATTTTGGGAATGCTCTCCTAATTAACTCAACTTCTTCAGTACTTTTGCTATCTTAATTTATGCCCACTAAGACACTCTTCTTGAGAGTCATATTACAGGATACCTTAAAAAAATGAAACAATCTAAGATATTTGTGACACTTCAGTAATTACACTTACTAGGCATGATGAAGAAGGATGCCTTCCACAAAGAAGTCTATAACAATTTTTTTTTTTTTGACACAGGGTCCCATTCTTTTTGCCCAAGCTGGAGTGCAGTGGCATGTACAGTGGCTCACTGCAGCCTTGACCTCCTGGGCTCAAGCAATTCTGCCTCATCAGCCTCCTGAGTAGCTGGGACCACAGGTGCTCACCATCACACTCAGGTAATTTTTGAGTTTTTGTAGTGATGAGGTCTCATCATGATGCTCAGGCTGATCTCAAACTCCTGGACTCAAGTGATCCGCCTGCCTCAGCCTTCCAAAGTGTTGGGATTACTGGCATGAGCCACTGTGCCCAGCCCTAATAAAGTTCTAATATAATTTGCAGACATGCATTTAAGACTATAATTTTTTAAGTCTTTAACTCTTGAACAGCTCTCCTTCCCACATATACTATAAACCCGAAATTAATCTTCTTTTCATTTTGTATTAAGAAAGCTCGTTCAAGCTCATTCTATACTTCTGTCAACAATAATGTTACTGATCCAACTGCTGAGTCAAGGCTACTCCTTTCCAGAAGCTGGGTCCCTTCCTAAAGAAAAAGTGCTGTGGCCGGGCACGGTGGCTCACGCCTGTAATCCCTGCACTACGGGAGGCCAAGGCGGGTGGATCACCTGAGGTCAGGAGTTCGTAGACTAGTTTGCCCAACATGATGAAACCCCTTCTCTACTAAAAATACAAAAAATTAGCTGGGTGTGGTGGCAGGTGCCTGTAGTCACAGCTACTCAGGAGGCTGAAGCAGGAGAATCGCTTGAACCCAGGAGGTGGAGGTAGTAGTAGGCTGAGATCGTGCCATTGCACATCAGCACATCAGCCTGGGCAACAAGAGTGAAACTAAAAAAAAAAAAAAAAAAAAAAGAAAAGAAAAGTGCTGTGGGCCTATGTTCTCCCCCCTAGTGGCCCTGAGCCCACTTACTGGTCATCAGTCTCCATGGTACCACCCCGTCGAGCCTCTCCCTGGATGGATTCCATGGCTGTGGAATACAGAGCCTTTTGGGGGGCCGGTCTTCGAGTATCAACTGAGTACTGTGTTTCACTGCTTAAGGGCTCTCGTTGTGCATGATCTATATTATGGATTGACATCAAGAGGCTGTAATCCATTATCTTGAAGCTCTGCAGCACCTAATGGAAGGAAAAAAACATGATCTGAGCCTTGGAAGAAATAAAAATATTTTTCAGGATCTCACAATTTTTTTGTTTTTTTGAGAAAGGGTATCAATCTGTAACCCAGGCTAGAGTGCAGTGGTGTGATCTCGGCTCACTGTAGCTGCAACCTCCCAGGCTCAAAATATCCACCTACTTCAGCCTCCCAAGTAGCTGGGACTACAGGCACACACCACTACACCTGCCTAATTTTTTATTTTTCATAGAGACGGTTTCACCATGCTGCCCAGCTGGTCTCTAATTTCTGGGCTCAAGGGATCTGCCTATCTCAGTCTTCCAAAGTGCTGGGACTATTGGTATGAGCCACCACGCCTGGCTTGACAGCTTTCATGATGTAATTATTTAATTTAGCCTTACAGTGAACCTGTAAGGCTAAATTTTTTTTTTTTTTTTTTTGAGACGGAGTCTTGCTTTGTCGCCAGGCTGGAGTACAGTGGCGCGATCTTGGCTCACTGCAACCTCCAACTCCCTGGTTCAAGCGATTTTCCTGCCTCAGCCTCCCAAGTAGCTGGGATTACAGGCACGTGCCACCACACCCAGCTAATTTTTGTATTTTTAGTAGAGTTGGGGTTTCACCATGTTGGCCAGGCTGGTCTCGAACGCCTGACCTGGTGATCTGCCTGCCTCAGCCTCCCAAAGTGCTGGGATTACAGGCGTGAGCCACCACGCCCGGCCTGGTTAGTCTTTATTTACATACCCTTAGCTTTCTCTCATTTGAGTTAATATAATTTTTCCAAGTCCCACTGCCTAGCCCACAAGACCATCTTTGTTCTTTCCATGTATGTCTCCATGAAGAGAACACTACCTTCTCAAAAGAACAAGGAATACATATTTGTGCTGTGAAGATTCCACAATGAGGTTCTGGTAAAGTACACTTTGTGACAGAACAGATCTGTGGTAGGACCTTGTATGACTAGCTTCAATTCAGTTAAACATTTACTGAATCTCCACCATGTAGGCACTGTGCCTCCTTACAGAGATATAAAGATATTAAAGAGAGAGTTTCTGTCTTCAAGGACATTATACATTTAGAAAGGGATACAAATGTAAAATAAACACAATACAGTTTAATATGTGCAACAGTGGGAAGTGTTCACATGACAGAAGAGTACAGAGGTCAAGAGTGATATCTAGGCCGGGTGCGGTGGCTCACACCTGTAATCCTAGCACTTTGGGAGGCCAAGGCAGGCAGATCATTTGAGGTCAGGAGTTTGAAACCAGCGGGACCAACGTGGTGAAACCCTGTCACTACTAAAAATACAAAAACGACCCAGGCGTGGTGATGGGCGCCTGTAATCCCAGCTACTTGGGAGGCTGAGGCAGGAGAATCGCTTGAATCTGGGAGGTGGAAATTGCAGTGAGCCGAGATCGTGCCATTGCACTCCAGCCTGGGTGACAAGAGTGAAACTCCATCTCAAAAAATAAAAAATAAAGTAAAATGTAGATACATTTATCCATTGGTGACAGGGGCAGCATGAGAGGATGAAATAGGATAAAAAGTTAAGGTAGCTTGTTGAGAAACAAAGCTAGGGAGATGAGAGTCAGAAAATGGTTTGATTAGAATGCCAAACATCTGAAATCCCTATTGAGAGCAACAGCAAATGGACTGAAGATCGATATTGAAAGCCCAAGTGGGGTTGGATATCATAATTCTGTAGATGCCAGTATACACGGTTGTGTAATATTCTTCAGCAGCACTCAGCTTCCAAAATATAAATTTGGATTTGGCAGCCAGGACCAAAATCTGAGGAAGGATGATGTTGGTATGAAAATAAGCAGAACATTTGACTGTGAGGCCCAGGCTAGCTAGAGAAGGAAATAAATCCCATTGTGGGAGGATAAACGGGGAGAAAGTAAAAATGTAAAGGAATGGCAATGAACTAATTAAGACTTATTTTAAATACAGCCCAGGACATACAGTGCTAAGGAACAGAGTTCCATCTCCCACAAACTTAATGCCTAAGAACAATCAAGCTGTTTTAGTAACTGAGATTTTTGATGTCTAAGTAACAAACTCACCAAACAGTCACGCTGCAGGGTCTTACAGAGAGCGTTGTACATGTCAGCATCCAAAAAAAGACCATCAGGGATGTCTTGTAAGAAGTCTAGGTCTTTAAATGTGGGAAGAGGCTTCTCTCGCTCTTTCTGGGAAGCCCGCCGTTTGTAGGTTGAGCCTTTGAGGTCATATTTGATATGCATTTTTACCGATCTTGGTAAAAGATTGTTCATCACCACAATCCGAATGTTCTTGCCACCTGCCTGCACACAGTACAGTCCATAGAATTTAGGCAGCAAAGTCCGAGGGTTCTGGTTGAGGTTCTGAGAACACAAAAGGAAACAGAAGTAGGAGAACAACTTAGCTGATTTTCAGTGAAACTCACCAGTAAAAGTTACCACCCATCCTCCCTTTATCTCCTATATGAGATTTAGACACAATGTGTCCATAAACCTACATCATATATGCTTTACATTTCCCTATGCATCTATTTCAATGGTAAGTTCACCATCAAGCTGTGCCACAGACTCTCCAATACAGAAATCAGCCAGGATACCAATATAAGATGGATATATTTCTTCAGAGAGATTTAAGAGAAGACGACACTCTCTGCCCTGGGTATAGTATATTCTTGGGGATGGTAAGGCAGGTAAGGAGAGTTACCTAACTTCTCCAGAACCTCCAATAGCAATCAGAGTAAGGCTGCAGAGAGTATTACCAAGGGAAATAACCTACCTCATTCCCCAAACTAGAAGCTGAACTAAGAACAGAAGACGAAAATAGCCAGGTGCAGTGGCTCATGCCTGTAACCCCAGCACTTTGGGAGGCCAAACAGGAGGATCACTTGAGCTCAGGAATTTGAGACCAGCCTGGGTAACATAGCAAGACCTCATCTCTACTAAAAATTTATAAAAATTAGGCCGGGCACGGTGGCTCACGCCTGTAATCCCAGCACTTTGGGAGGCCAAGGCAGGCGGATCATGAGGTCAGGAGTTCAAGACCAGCCTGACCAACATGGTGAAACTCCATCTCTACTAAAAAATAAAAAATTAGCTTGGCATGGTGGCGCATGCCTGTAATCCCAGCTACTCAGGAGGCTGAGGCAGGAGAATTGCTTGAACCTGGGAGGCGGAGGTTGCAGTGAGCCGAGATTGTGCAACTGTACTCCAGCTTGGACAACAAAGCGAGACTCCGTCACGAAAAAATAAAAGAAAATAAGTTTATAAAAATTAGCCAGGTGTGGTGGTGCGTGCCTTTAGTCCCAACTACGTGAGAGGCTGAGGTGGGAGGATCACTTGAGCCTGGGAGATCAACAACACTTAAAACAGAACAGATAAACAAAACCCCTTTTACCATAGAGAGGCAAAAGAAATGGGGTGAAAAGCACAAAACTGAACAACATTTTTTTTTTTTTTTTTTTGAGACGGAGTCTTGCTCTGTTACCCAGGCTGGAGTGCAGTGGCAGGATCTCGGCTCACTGCAAACTTCGCCTCCCAGATTCACGCCATTCTCCTGTCTCAGCCTCCTGAGTAGCTGGGACTACAGGCGCCCGCTACCACGCCTGGCTAATTTTTTGTATTTTTAGTAAAGACGAGGTTTCACCATGTTGGCCAGGATGGTCTTGATCTCCTGATCTTGTGATCCTCTTGCCTCGGCCTCCCAAAGTCCTGGGATTACAGGCATGAGCCACCGTGCCTGGCCTGAACTACACTCTTAAGATAGAAGTGCTGACACTGTTTTACCCTGCTGAAGACAGCCTCCCCAGCCTTGCCCAGAAGTGAGCAGCACAGGTGGACAGTGCTTCTCTCTCCCTTACCATGTAGTATCCTGGAAGCAGCTTCTGCAGAAATTCCGCCTCTTTATGTTGGACTGTCTTAATAATGAACTCATCGTCGCTGGACACATAGAATAGGGAACCACTAGCTCCAGAGCTACAGAGTTCAATCAGCGGCTCACTGCAGAGGGAATACTGGGGCAAACAGAGAAGAACTAAGAGATTTAGACACATCAGGGCCTTGCCCAACACAAAAATCAACTACAGATGCAATTCTTTTCTAAATAAAAACCAGAGCGAGACTGTGGAGAAAAGGGGCCTTCCTTTGGGAATATCCCTCTGATACTGGAGTCACAGTGTCCTGATATCCAGATGCTTACCAAGTAATCATCGGGCCGGATACCAAATAGCTCCCGGAAGTAGCGGAAGGCAACAGGTGCATAGGTCTTGAAACGAAAGTCATTGTAGTGATGAGCAGGGGTCAGGTTGCTCCCTTCACTGTGGGGTTAAACAGAGGTAGCCATAACTTGCCAGTCCCTATCATCCAGAGAATCTACCTTGCGAAGACACTCAGAGTCACCTCATGGTGGGGGGAGTGGGGGAATACATTCCTCCTAAGATAATCACAGCCCTTCTTAGATGAGTTAGTGAGACAATGGCACAGCATGGACAGCAAGACATAAGAAGAAGAAGAAATCACACTGCCTCCTATCCAATGCATTAGGTTGTTTTTTACGGGTCAATCCATAGGACAGAGGCTAATGGAAGCATCTAGAGGACAGTATCTGCTCTCCGAACTCTCTAGTCCCACATCGCCCTGATTGTAACCAGGTTAAGAAATGGACACATGTCTAAATTGTCCGACCTGAACCCCTAAAACTGCCCTGGGCTGATTTGAAAAGGCCACATTTCCAGGACATGCTCCTGAACATTAAACTCTGTACCTGGGAAAGAAGATACTCTCAACCACGTAGAAATCTTGCATGAGGACATCACGCTCTGGTTTGGTACTCAGGCTCCCCACAGTGTGGGTAATGCCTAACTGGATGGCACCTTTCAAGGCTGATGAGGTTGTCTGAGAAACAAGAGAAATGAGAAGAAAATTCCTAGTATAAGTAGGATCATAACAATAAAAATTCAGAAAGGGGAAGCTAGAAGGAACACTTTAAAACAAACATCCTTTAGTCTGAGCAATAGTTCAGATAAAACTGGGACAATCCAGTTTCCCCATCCCTATGCTGTACTCTGCAATTAAGCTTAGTAAAGATTGGAAGGACAGTGAGGATACAGAGTAGCAAAGCTGGGACTCTCTGAGCCAGCCTCAGCTAGGCAAGGTGCTCCCTCCTGTTGGCCTGCCTAAACAAGAGTTCCATATTTGTATTTGGAAGATACATTGTATTGACACAACGTTCTTAGTTCTCACTCCTAAGGTTTCTGCCCCCAGAGTGTATCTGGAGCCCTCTAAACATTTCCTTCATCTGATATCGAATGTAACTAAAATTAACCAATATTCCTTTTTTTTTTTTTTTTTTTTGAGACTAAGTCTCACTCTGTCACCCAGGCTGGAATGGAGTACAGCAGCATGATCTCGGCTCACTGCAAACTTTGCCTCCCCGGTTCAAGCGATTCTCATGCCTCAGCCTCCCGAGTAGCTGAGATTACAGGCATGCACCACGACACCTTGCTTATTCTTTATATTTTTAGTACAGATGGGGTTTCACTATGTTGGTCAGGCTGGTCTCAAGCTCCTAACCTCAGAACTCCCAAAGCTCTGGGATTACGGGCATGAGCCACCATGCCCAGCCCTAAAATTAACCAATATTCTGATCTGACTGCCTGGCGGCAGAAACTTCAGTCCTCTAAGGAAGGGCCTGACTAGTGTGTCTCAAGGCCAACAGGGTGGGGTGGGCGCGGGCGGAGGCTCACGCCTCTAATCCAAGCACTTTGGGAGACTGAGGTGGGCAGACCACTTTAGGCCAAGAGTTCGAGACCAGCCTGGCCAATGTGGTGAAACCGTCTCTACTAAAAACACAAAAATTAGCTGGATGAGGTGGTGTGCACCTGTAGTCCCAGCTACTCAGAAGGCTGAGACAGGAGAATTGCTTGAAGCTGGGAGGCGGAGGCTGCAGTGAGCCAAGATCACACCACTGCATTCCAGCCTGGGTAACACAGCCAGACTGTCTCAAAAAAAAGGGCAACAGTGTGGTAAAAGAGCTCCTAACTGAAGAAGAAAGCATGAAAGACTCAAATTATTTCTGAGAGCAGTATTCAGACTTAGAATTATCAAACTTGGTCAAAACACAAATACAAGAGCCCCACTCTTACAATCCAGGATTCCAAGCCCGTGGGAAAGTATCGCATCATCTAGATCTTTGCTGTCTGATAACAGTAGCCACTAGGTACACATGGCTATTTAAATTTAAGTTAACTCAAATTTAAAACTTCATTTTCTCAGTCTTACTACTTACAGTTCAAGTGTGGCTACTAGCTACCATATTGGATAGCACAGATACAGCACATTTCAATCACTGCAGAAACTTTGATTAGATAGCTTTGCTCCATTTGCCTCATCCCCAACCTCGGCCAGGCATTACTTATATTTCTACTTGGTCCTCAATGGGCAATAAATTACAACTAGTTTTTTGTTTTTTTTTTCTTGAGACGGAGTCTCGCTCTGTCGCCCAGGCTGGAGTGCAGTGGCGTGATCTTGGCTCACTGCAAGCTCCGCCTCCCTGGTTGACACCATTCTCCTGCCTCAGCCTCCTGAGTAGCTGGGACTACAGGCGCAAGCCACCACACCCGACTAATTTTTTGTATTTTTTTTTTAGTAGAGATGGGGTTTCACCGTGTTAGCCAGGATGATCTCGATCTCCTGACCTCGTTATCCACCTGCCTCGGCCTCCCAAAGTGCTGGGATTACAGGCATGAGCCACCATGCCCAGCCTACAACTAGTTTTTTTCATGTACAAATAGGTCAAAGGAAAATAAATTATTAGTTTCTTTTTTTTTTTAAGTACCTGCCTCCCCAGTTATAATAGAAACTCATCTTTTTATCTTAATGTTCAACATATAAAAAGAGCTAAATGGCCGGGTGCTGTGGCTCATGCCTGTAATCCCAGCACTTTGGGAGGCCGAGACAGGCAGATTACCTGAGGTCAGGAGTTCAAGACCAGCCTGACCAACATGGAGAAACCCTATCTCTACTAAAAATACAAAATTATCCAGGCATGGTGGTGCATGCCTGTAATCCCAGCTACTTGGGAGACTGAGGCAGGAGAATCGCTTGAACCCGCAAGGCAGAGGTTTTGGTGAGTGGAGATCACGCCATTGCACTCCAGCCTGGGCAACAAGAGTAAAACTCCCTCAGGAAAAAAAAAAAAAAAAAGCTAAATAAGCCAGGTGTGGTGGCTGAGGCCTGTAGTCCCAGTTACTTTGGAGGCTGAGGTAGGAGGATGGCTTGAGCCCAGGAGTTCAAGGCTGCAGTGTGCCATCAACGCACCCACTGCATTCCAGTCTGGGCAACAGAGCAAGATCCTATTTCTTTCTTTCCTGTTTTTTTTTTTTTTTTTTTTTTTTTTGAGACGGGGTCTCGCTCTGTTGCCCAGGCTGGAGTGCAATGGCGCGACCTCGGCTCACTGCAACCTTCGCCTCCCAGGTTCAAGCTATTCTCATGTCTCAGCCTCCTGAGTAGCTGGGATTACAGATGCCCACCACCGCGCCCAGCTAATTTTTGTATTTTTAGTAGAGATGGGGCTTTGCCATGTTGGTCAGGTTGGTCTCCGACTCCTGACCTCAGGTGATCCACCCGCCTCAGCTTCCCAAATGCAAGATCCCATTTCTTAAAAAAAAAAAATTTAAAAATGAAGAGCTCAGTAAAAGTAATTGACATGAGCCACAGAGTCCATTCTGGGGACTGTCAGGTCCTTGACTGAGAATGAGTCAGTCCACCTCTGCTACTTGGGACAATGAAATAGAGAATGAACACAAAATTTACATAGGCCAGAAACCTAGAACTCCAAGAAATCTTCACATCCCATATTAGACAAACCACAGATGCTAAATGGGAGACTGAACACTGTCCCTCAGGAAGCCTAAACCATCTGAAAACCAGTCCAGAACTCAAGAATTTGGATCCCTCAAGGATCCAGGATGCTTCTGTTTTCCCTTCACCAGCCCAATTTCCACTTTTTCACTATTACTGCTCCTTTCCAGTCCATTTGATATTCAGAGCTCAAAAAAGCAGATGTCCTAGGTACTATTCGCCAGCTAAATGACTGTCTTTGTGGAGGAAAAGGGGGTGAGACACGGTCAATCACCCCTGTAACTCCAGCACTTTGGAAGGTTTAGGTAGGAGGAATGCTTGAGGGCAGGAGTTTGAGACCAGCCTGTGCGACACAGCGAGATCATGTCATAAAACTAATTTATTATTATCCATGTGTGGTGGTGTGCACCTGTAGTCCCAGCTACTCAGGAGGTTGAGGCAGGAAGATCACTTGAGCCCAGGAGTCGGAGGTTACAATAGCCTCCTGCTACCGGCCAATGATCATGCCACTGCAATCCAGCCTGGGTGACAGATTGACACCCTGGCTCTAAAAAAAAAATGGAAGAGAAAAAAAAGTCTGACCTATTGTGTATATTTGTATCAACAGGCTGGGCTGGGACCTGGCCCTCTATTGATATATACCCAGCAATGGACAAAAAGACAGAAAGACTGCGAGAGACATGGTTCCCTGTGGTAAGATAAGAATGGCTTTCATGGCCTTGTTACATATTTATACCTAACAGGGAAACCCAGTTTCTTCAGCTCAGTAAAATAGCAACCAATGCCAGATTTGTTCACTAATTTTTTTTTCTTTTGAGATGGAGTCTTGTTCTGTCACCAAGGCTAGTGCCACCAAGTGGCACAATTTGACCTCACTGCAACCTCCACCTCTCAGGTTCAAGCGATTCTCGTGCCTCAACATCCCGAGTAGCTGGGACCACAAGCGTGTGCCACCCAGCTAATTTTTGTATTTTTAGTAGAGACAGAGTTTCATCATGTTGGCCAGGTTGGTCTTGAACTCCTGGCCTAAAATGATCTGCCTGCCTCGGCTTCCCAAAGTGCTGGGATTACAGGCCTGGGGCACTGTGCCCAGCCAAAAAAAATCTCATTTAAACATTCATATACAAAAAGGAGACAATTTACCCTTTGAGAAATAAATCTAAAGTCTAAGCTGTATTATGTGCAAAAGCTTAGGAGATCAAGAAACAGGACAGTACATGGAGAGTAATTTCAAGGAGACTGAGTTCCCAGAGTAAGCTGCTGAGCTCCTGGAGTAAGATGAGACGGTTTCATCCAGACACACCTTTTTATATGTTGTCTCTCCTGAGGAATCAACACTTCTATGGCCTATTTTCTTGATGGGCATGCCAGAGGCATAAGGCACCTAGAAGAAGAGTCAAGATTATAATACAATTCCCATGTAAGACACCAAATAGCTACCACAATGGTACATCAAAACAAAATAAACTGAAACAACATATTCTTTCTAGATTAAAAACATTTTACAAAATCTTCAGATCTATCCCATGCAAATATACAGCTATAATGTTGGTTCCCAATGAATTAAGTGGCTAAAAGATCACAGAAGAAAACTCCAAGGGACACATATTTTCCCTTTGGTCCTCAGAAAGAAGACACAGAAAATAAAAGTGAGTATTTTTACTCTTTATTTTTTTGAAACAGAGTCTCGCTCTTGTTGCCCAGGCTGGAGTGCGGTGGCACAATCTCAGCTCACTGCAACCTCCACCTCCTCGGTTCAAGCAATTCTCTCGCCTCAGCCTCCCGAGCAGCTGGGATTATAGGTGCACACCACCACACCTGACTAATTTTTGTATTTTTAGTAGAGATGAGGTTTCACCATGTTGGCCAGGCTGATCTCAAATTGCTGACCTCAAGTGATCCACCTGCCTCAGCCTCCCAAAGTGCTGGGATTACAGGTGTGAGCCACCATGCCCGGCCAGAAAATAAGAGTACTTTTTTTTTTTTTTTTGAGACAGAGTTTCGCTTGTGTCGCCTGGGCTGGAGTGCAATGCCACGATCTCGGCTCACTGCAACCTCCACCTCCCGGGTTCAAGCGATTCTCCAGCCTCAGCCTCCCGAGTAGCTGAGATTACAGGAATGCACCACCACACCCAGCTAATTTTTTGTATTATTAGTAGAGATGGGGTTTCAACATGTTGACCAGGCTAGTCTCGAACTCCTGACCTCAGGTGATCCACTCGCCTTGGCCTCCCAAAGTGCTGGGATTATAGGTGTGAGGCACTGCACCCAACCAAAGGTGAGTATTTTTAAACAGTAGTAGAAACACAGCTCGGCGATGGCCGGGTGCGGTGGCTCACACCTGTAATACTAGCACTTTGGGAGGTGGAGGCAAGTGGATCACGAGGTCAGGAGTTCAAGACCAGCCTGGCCAAGATGTTGAAACCCTGTCTCTACTAAAAACACAAAAATTACCCAGGCGTGGTAGTAGGCACCTGTAATCCCAGCTACTCGGGAGGCTGAGGCAGAGAATTGCTTGAAACTGGGAGGTGGAGGTTGCAGTGAGCCGAGATCGCACCACTGCACTCCAGCCTGGGTGACAGAGCAAGACTCTGTCTCAAAAAAAAAAAAAAAGAAAAGAAACATAGCTGGGTGGTGTGGCATGCACCTGTAATCTCAGCTACTCAGAAGGCCAAGTGGGGAAGATCACTTGAGCCTAGGAGTTTGAGACCAGACTGGGCAACATGGCAAATCTCCATCTCCAACTAAAAATACAAAAAATTTGCCTGGCGTGGTGGCGTGCATCTCTAATCCCAGCTACTCAGGAGGCTGAGGCGGGAGAATCACTTGAATCCAGGAGGCAGAGGTTGCAGTGAGCCAAGATCATGCCACTGCACTCCAGCCTGGGCGACAGAGCGTGACTCTGTCTCAAAAAAAAAAAGAAAAAAGAAAAGAGGCCAGGCGCAGTGGCTCACACCTGTAATCCCAGCACATTGGGAGGCCAAGGCGGGTGGATCACCTGAGGTCAGGAGTTCAAAACCAGTCTGGTCAACAGGGTGAAACCCTGCCTCTACTAAAAATACAAAAATTAGGCGGGCATGGTGGCGTGCACCTGTAATCCCAGCTGCTTGGGAGGCTGAGGCAGGAGAACTGCCTGAACCTGGGAGGCAGAGGACATAGTGAGCCAAGATCGAGCCACTGTACTCCATACTGGGCAACAGAGCAAGACTTCATCTCAAAAAAAAAAAAGGCAAGAAGGGAGGAGTAAACCAGTATAGCAGTCTAGAAAGTTATCCCCAAGAGCCAAAATGCCAGAGCAACAGACATGAAGTTACTCTTCATAACATCAATACTCATTAAGTTTATAAGCCAGAAGGCTGAGAGACTAGTGGAAACAGGGTATCACAGTTTTTTTTTGAGACAGGGTGTCTCTGTCACCCAGGCTAGAGGGCAGTGGTGTGATAATGGCTCACTGCAGCCTCAACCTCCTGGGCTCAAGCAATCCCGAGTAGCTGGGACTATGGTGTGCACCTGGCTAATGTTTTATTTTTTTGTAGAACCAGGGTCTCACTATGTTGCACAGGCCTGTCTCGATCTCCTGGCCTCAAGCAATCCTCTCACCTTGGCCTCCCAAAGTGTTAGGATTACAAGCATGAGCAACCGTGACTGGCTGGATGTCCCAATCTTAAGACCTGATATTCAAGTTCTATTCTTTTAGCCAAGGCCCTTAGTACCAGAAAACTCTCAGTATATCACCTGACAGATGCTGGAAGATGTTCTGAGAGAAAGTTTGAAGTCCCAGGTCAAAAGGGCCTGCATTCTGAGGCCCCTTTCACAAAACCCAGGGGAGAGGCAAGAAGTGAGAAGAGGGTTAGGAAATACACCATGGGAAGAAAGTTGAGCAAAATGGCGATATTCTGGACAAAAAAGAGAAACTTGTGAAACTAACAGCTTCTGCATGGCTAAAAGTTCTTCATATTCATCGAAGGTATGCAATCAGGAGGCCATAACAGCAAAACAAAGAAAGTGAGCTTTAGTGTCAGACTGCCTGGGTTTGAATTTGAATCCCAGCTTTACTAATCCCACTTAGTAACTATGCAATCCTCACTTTCTTCATCTGTAAAACAGATAACAGTATTTGCCTCACTGTAGTTGTTTGAAGGATTAAATAAGAATATCTTAAAGGGCACTTAGGTACAGTATTTACTTTTTGGTATATATTGCATTTGGTACATTAAAAATGCTCAATAAATGTGAGATATTGTTAATATTTAAAATAAACTACAATAAAAGATGAGTTGCATAATTTCTAGCCTACCAATGAGATGTAAGAATCCTGTCTAGCTTCCAAGACCTAAGTAGAGAAAAAATAAAAATGTCATAAACAGGTTCCTTCTATCCCAGAATTAAGGTTTTAGTAACCATTGTATCAGTATGAAACTCACCTCAGATGCCATGGGTCTCTTGATTCCAGATGCTGCTAGGGGGGAAAAAAAAACAATCATAAGAGTGTATCACACACTCACATCTCTGTCAAGCATACTGAAACCATCAGAGTTTGAGTCAAACTAAACATAAGTATAAACTCCTGCCTCTTGCTCAGTAATACCAGATCCTTTTGGATAGCAACTGTGTATGTCCCTCTCTCCTTCTCCATACTCACATAGGCCTCGTGCATATTCCATTTTTATTCTAGACCCCTTTCTTATTCAAATATCCATATTTTCTCTGGGAAATATAACTTTTTCTTTTTTTTTGAGATGGAGTCTCACTCTATCGCCCAGGCTGGAGTGCAGTGGCATGACCTCAGCTCACTGCAAGTGATTCTCCTGCTCAGCCTCCTGAGTAGCAGGGATTACAGGCGCCTCCTACCACATTCAGCTAATTTTTGTGTTTTTAGTGGAGGCGGGATTTCACCATGATGGCTGGGCTGGTCTTGAACTCCTGACCTCAAATGATCCATCCACCTCAAGCCTCCCAAAGTGCTAGGATTACAAGCAAGAGCCACCGCACCTGTCCCTTTTTTTTTAATTTTTATTTTTTAGATGGAGTCTCGCTCTGTCGCTTTTTTTTTTTTTTTGAGACAGAGTCTCGCTCTGTTGCCCAGGTTGGAGTGCAATGGCACGATCTCGGCTCACTGCAACCTCCACCTCCTGGGTTCAAGCAATTCTCCTGCCTCAGCCTCCCGAGTAGCTGGGATTACAGGTGTGTGCCATCACGCCTGGCTAATTTTTTGTATTTTTAGTAGAGACAGGGTTTCACCGTGTTAGCCAGGATGGTCTCAATCTCCTGACCTCATGATCCGCCTGCCTCGGCCTCCCAAAGTGCTGGGATTACAGGCGTGAGCCACCACACCCGGCCTTTTTTTTTTTTTTTGAGACGGAGTTTTGCTGGTCACCGAGGCTGGAGTGCAACAGCGCCATCTTGGCTCCCTGCAACGTCCTTCTCCCAGTTCAAGAGATTCTCCTGCCTCAACCTCCCGAGTAGCTGGGATTACAGGTGCCCGCCACCATGCCTGGCTGATTTTTGTATTTTTAGCAGAGATGGGGTTTCATCATGTCGGCCAGGGTGGTCTTGAATTCCTGACCTCAGGTGATCCACCCACCGCGGCCTCCCAAAGTGCTGGGATCACAGGGGTGAGCCACTGCGCCTGGCTAATTTTTGTATTTTTTTTAGAAGAGAGAGGGTTTCACCATCTTGGCTGGGCTGGTCTTAACTCCTGACCTCGTGATCCACCTGCCTTGGCCTCCCAAAGTGATGGGATTACAGGCATGAGCCACCATGCCTGGCCATTACGTGTGACGCAAGAGCAAAGTTAGGCTCACAGCAAGGTTTAATTTTCAATTTACCTAGACCTTCATGAAATTCAAATTACCATCTCAAAGAACACGGTTCCTGTCAAAACCCTCAGCTGCCCCATCCCCCAACATACCCACATGCTTGTGCAACACTAGCAACTATGGAATCTGATTCTCAATGAGGTACTCTGTATGCTTTCAGTTGAAAATAAAAATGCTGATTCTAGACTCTTTGGTCAGTGCCTGGCCTATCCTCTCCTCTTTTACCCAGAGGAAACGGTTTAGAAGAGACCAGGCAGAACCAAAAGCCAGCATCTGCTTCTAGTCTGGTAGTTACCACCTAGAAAGTAAGCTCCTCTGTATGCAAAAAGTCACTGAATAAAGTTAAACAAGAGAAAAAAAGCAGGTAAGTAATTTCAATGCAGAGTGGCTCTGAAACTTTCTACTCCCTAAAAAGTTCTACCTTGCTACCTTTCCTAGTTTTATCACACAAACATGTAGCTCTAGGGCTGCTACACTCTTGCAAAATACCTAGAATAAAGATGAGACGATGTCGCTCCATGGAATTTTGGTGCCAACTGCTTAGCTATCTGTGACTGCAAAACTGGGACTAATTCCAAGAGCACGCAGGGTGATGATGCTATTAGGGTCTAAGTAATAACACTCAGACCAAGTGACAAAGAGAGGAGCAGAATCAGGACACAAAACCTTCTCTCTTCCTTGCCTAAAGTTTTGCCCCTATGGCACACATCAGAGATCCAACCTACCAATGAACAGAAGAGAAAAATATCGTATCTATATCAAAAAAAGGAAAAAATATATGTAATTTTTTTTCCCTTTGAGACATGGTCTCACAATGTCACCCTGGCTGGAGTGCAGTGGTGCAATCTCTGCTCACTGCAGCCCCTTCCTCCCAGGCTCAAATGATGCTCCCACCTCAGCCACCTGAGTAGTTGGGACTACAGGTGTGTACCACCATGCCCAGCTGATTTTGCTTTTTTTGCTATTATTCTTTTTTGTAGATATGAGGTCTCACTATGTTGCCCAGGCTGGTCTCAAACTCCTGGATTCAAGTGATCCTCCCACCTCAGCCTCCTGAGTCACTGGGACTATCAGACTGCACCACTGCACCTGGCTGTTAGCCAGACAATTTTTAAAGAGAATGAGATTCATCCCTATGGATAAAACCAGAATACTGTTCAACAGAAAATGTTTTCTAGTGTCTTTGTGAAAAATACTGTAGGAATACATTATCGTTTTGTAATCCATACCCATGATTTATATATATCATTATCTTTTTGGGCAGGGAAACAACATTAAAATGTACTCTTCCCTAGAAGAAAATATTTTGTCTGAGAATCTTGAGACCTGCATTTCCCAATCTAAGGCAAAACTCTCAAAGGGCATTATTCCAATGTCTTCATTATCATCAGTCTACACTTGGAAGTGTGGCACGTACTATAAGAGAGGAGAACCTATTACCCAAGGGTGGGTATATAGGTTAATTGCTTGGCTATAAATGCTACAGAGAAGGTCCTAGGCCAGCTTCTCCACACTGGCTCAATTTTAATACATCTCAGCCTTAGTTTAATGCCAAATTATTCCTGCTTTTTTCTCCATCACTCAGGCATCTCTACATTCTCTCATTTCTCTTTAATGTTATTAACACTAAACTGCAATGCTGATATATTTTTAGAAAGGTTATTTCTCTCCTATGACCAAACAACTTATGTTTGTATAAACACTTTGGAAGCCTACAAATATATCTCATTTGGCCCTCAAAAAATACTACAGGGTTTGGAAACTATTTTAATTAAGGATTTAAGAGAGAAATAACCAAATGGAATATGTGAAACCTGTTTGGGTGTTGATTAGAAAAAAAGAAACCATAAAAAGACATTTCTGAGAAAAGAGCCTTGAGAAGCAAAGTTAAACAATTATTAATTTTATAGATGTGACAATACCACTGTAGTTATATTATACTCTCCCATCCTCACCTCTAAAAGATTCCCTGAGTGTATTAATACGTTCTTAAGTATTTAGGAGTGAAATCCCATGAGGACTGGGCTTGCTTTAAAATATTCCAGGGAGGTAGAGGTAGAAAAATGGAGAAGTATAGATGCAAGATTGGCAAAATGCTGTTATCAAAGCTAGGTGATAGGCCAGGTAAAGTGGCTCACGCCTGTAATCCCAGCACTTTGGAAGGCCAAGGCAGGTGGATCACGTGAGGTCAGGAGTTCGAGACCAGCCTTGCCAACATGGCGAAACCCCATCTCTACTAAAAACACAAAAATTAGCTGGGCAAGGTGGTGGGCGCCTGTAATCCCAAATACTTGGAGGCTGAGGCAGGAGAATCGGTTGAACCCGGGGAGCAGAGGTTGCAGTAAGCTGAGATCGCACCATCGCACTCCTGCCTGGGCGAAAGAGTGAAATCCTGTCTTAAAAAAAAAAAAGCTAGGTGGTAAGTATATGGAGGTTCATTATACTATTCTCTCTACTTCACATGCATCTGAGGAATTTTATAATGTAAGTAAAGGAAAAAAATACCACAGAAGAAAATAAAGCAAGTCTGGATAATCAAAATTCTTGATCTGAGTTGGCTTTTTTAAAATAGAGACAGGCAAGCCGGGTGCGGTGGCTCATGCCTGTAATCCCAGCACTTGGGGAGGCCAAGGTGGGCATATCACAGGGTCAGGAGATCGAGATCATCCTGGCTAGCAAGGTGAAACCCCGTCTCTACTAAAAATACAAAAAAGTAGCCAAGCATGATGACACCACCTGTAATCCCAGCTACTCGGGAGACTGAGGCAGGAGAATCTCTTGAACCTGGGAGACAGAGATTGCAGTGAGCTGAGATCGCGCCACTGCACTCCAGCCTGGGCAACAGAGCAACACTCTGTCTCAAAAATAAATAAATAAATAGAAACAGAGACAGGCATTGAGCACAGTGGCTCACATCTATAATCCCAGTACTTTGGGAGGCCAAGATGGGAAGATTAATTGAGCCCAGGAGTTCGAGACCAGCTCGAGCAACATAGGGAGACCCCATCTCGGCAAAAAAAAAAAAAAAAAAAAGGAAAGAATATGTAAGGACAGGGTTTAGCCATGTTCCCCAAGCTGGTCTTGAATGCCTGGGCTCAAGCGATCCTTCCACCTCAGCCTCCCAAAGTACGGGGATTAGAAGCATGAGCCACCGCACAAGGCCTACTTTCCAGTTTTGTTTCTTTTTTTTTAGATGGAGTTTCACTCTTGTCGCCCAGACTGGAGGGCAATGGTACAATCTCGGATCACCGCAACCTCCACCTCCCGGGTTCAAGAGATTCTCCTGCCTCAGCCTCCCGAGTAGCTGGGATTACAGGCACGCACCACAACACCCAGCTAATTTTTTTTTTTTAAATTTTTTGTAGAGATGGGGTTTCACCATGTTGGTCAGGCTGGTCTCGAACTCCTGACTGCAGATGACCCGCCCGCCTCAGCCTCCCAAAGTGCTGGGATTATAGGCATGAGCCACCGGGCCAGCCCTCTTCTTTTTTTTTTTTTTTTTTGAGACGAGAGTCTTGCTCTGTTGCCCAGGCTGGAGTGCAGTGGCACGATGTCGGCTCACTGCAACCTCTGCCTCCTGGGCTCAACTGATTCTCCTGTCTCAGCCTCCCGAGTAGCCAGGATTACGGGTGTGCACCACCACACCTGGCTAATTTTTGTATTTTTAGTACAGACAGGGTTTCGCCATGTTGGCCAGCCTGGTCTGGAACTCCTGACCTCAAGTGATCTGCCCACCTCATCCTTCCAAAGTGCTGGGATTATAGGCGTGAGCCATTGTGCCCAGCCTACTTTCCAATTTTCAAGCTAAAACCACTTATTACAAATCAATAAACCACTTATATTAGAACAAAATCATTCAGAAAGAGATTTTTAGTCTAATTTTTAGTCTAATCCCTTTTATTATAAGAACACAGAAGAAGAGGTTAAGGAATGGGCTCAAAATCAAAGCATAGGCAGTGACAGGCAAAACTAGAGCCCACATTCAATTCATGATCCCTAATTCAATACTTTCTTCTGAATAATCTCTGGCCTTTTTTTTTTTTTTTTTTTTTTGAGACAGAGTCTCACTCTGTTGCCAGGCTGGAGTGCAGTAGTGTGATCTCAGCTCACTGCAACCTCCATCTCCCAGGTTCAAGCGATTCTCCTGCCTCAGCCTTCAAGCAGCTGGGACTACAGGTGCACGCCACCACACCCAGCTAATTTTTGTATTTTCAGTCAAGACGGGGTTTCACCATGTTGGCCAGGATGGTCTCGATCTCTTGATCTTGTGATCCACTGCCTTGGCCTCCCAAAGTGCTGGGATTACAGGCGTGAGCCACTGAGCCCGGCCTCATCTTTGGTTTTTAATTTCCTGGCCACCTAGAAAGCAGCTGGAACAAGAAAGCACCAATGGAACTAGAATGCTCTAACAAACTAAATAAATCTCAGATTTGCTAATGGACAATATGAAGACATATATTCTTCCCTCAAGGTACCCCCTTTTTCCTTGAGACAAGGAAATGTTTCATTTTCACTGATAGGATTAAGAGTACAGTTGTCCTCCTTCAGGTCCTCTCAAGGAAATTAACAACACTGTTCCTCTAGCAACATTCATCAACATCATTTGCAAAAAGAATATGAAAGTACCTTTCTTTTAGGGAGATTACCTTTGTTCTGAATTAGGCAATGCCAGTATTCTAGAGGAGCAGAAACTTTCAAGTCTGATACTTGAAAGCGCAGTTTCACAGTTTTACAGACGTTAAGGTCCTCACTAGCATAGAAAATACCTTTTTGTCTTTGTAACAAGACATTAACAATTTTAACACTGCCAGGCACAGTGGCTCACGCCTGCAATCCCACCACTTGGGGGAGGCCAAGGTGGGCAGTGGATCACCTGAGGCCAGGAATTCAAGACCAGCCTGGCCAACATGGTGAAACCTCATCTCTATAAATACAAAAATTAGCCGGACATGGTGGCATGTGCCTGTAATCCAGCTACTTGCGAGTCTGAGGCAGGAGAATCGCTTGAACCCAGGAGGTGGAGGTTGCAGTGAGCTAAGATCGTAACACTGCACTCCAGCCTGGGCAACAGAGCAAGACTCCATCTCAAAAATAAAAAATTTAAAAAAAAAATGAAAAGAAAAAGAGAAAGAAAAAACAATTAGCCAGACATGGTGGTGTCTGTAGTCCCAGCTACTTGTGAGGCTGAGGTGGGAAGATGGCCTGGGCCTGGGAGGTCAGTGCTGCAGTGAGCTATGATCATGCCACTGCACTCCAGCTTGGGTGACAGAACAAGACCCTGTCTCAAAATACATAAATAAATTAATACATTAATAAAATTAAAATGCTTCTGAAAAAATGAACAATTCCACCTACTGTACATAAAGGAGCTCAGAATTTTGTTGATTTAGGAAGGCTAAAGTCAGAAGGAGAAGTTTCCTTCTGTACTACTCTCTCCTTCACCCCAAGGACTCTTGGTTCAGACAGTAACAAACATTTAACCCGGTTTTAAGTAAAGTTAGTTCACACACAGAATTTCAAATTAGTGAGGGGAGCAGCAGCAGTGGGTAGGAATGCAGGTTCTGAAATCAGAACACCTGAAAATCTATATCCCAGGGAAAACAAAACCAAAAACAGAAAAAGAAATCAGAACACCTAGGTTTGCTAGGTTTGAATACTAGATTTAACATTTACAGCTAGGCACAATGGCTCAAGCCTGTAATCCCAGCACTTTGGGAGGCCTAGTGGGTGGGTCACTTGAGGCCAAGAGTTCAAGACCAGCCTGGCCAACGTGGAAAAACCCTGTCTCTACTAAAAATACAAAAATTAGCTGGGTGTAGTGGCACGCACCTGTAGTCACAGCTACTCTGGAGGCTAAGGCACGAGAATTGCTTGAACCCAGGAGGCAGAGGTTGCAGTAAGCTGAGATCACAGCACTGCACTCTAGCCTGGGCGACAGAGCGAGACTCCGTCTCAAAAAAAAAAAAAAAAAAAAAAAAAAAAAACATTTACTAAGTAGGTAACCTTGGGTAGGTTGGTTAAAATTTCTCTAGAGCAGACTGGCTACCTTATCTATAAAATGTGGAAGTAACAACATGTACTTCCTAAGGTTGTTATGAGAATTCAACAAGTTACGTATAGGCTTAATCTATAATAAATGCTCTACTTAATCTACAATAAATGCCTATAAATTCTAGCAATTATTATCAATGTGAATTATGAAATGCCATCTACAGGACAGGAAGGGTCGGGGAAATGAGAGGTACAACAGAAAGAGAAAAGGAAAAGAGTTGAGACTGGTTTACTGAAACAAAAGGAAATGAACATTAAGTTACAGGAAAATTTCAAGGGAGAGAAAAGGTAGTCACTGATTCATAATATACTGAAGAATTCTGAGAAAAGATACTTCTATGTTAGGGTAACACATTTTTTGGAGAGGGCAGTGAGATATGGGAGCCAGCGTCAAATAATGCTTTTAAGGCATCCACAGCCTTCTTAGAAGAAGACCATGAACTACCACTCCAAGAAGTCTGCAACTGTTTTTTTTTTTTTTTTTTGAGACGGAGTCTTGCTCTGTTGCCCAGGCTGGAGTGCAGTGGCACGATCTCGGCTCACTGCAAGCTCTGCCTCCCGGGTTCACGCCATTCTCCTGTCTCAGCCTCCCGAGTAGCTGGGACTACAGGCACCCGCCACCATGCCCAGCTAATTTTTTTGTATTTTTAGTAGAGACGGGGTTTCACTGTGTTAGCCAGGATGGTCTCGATCTCCTGACCTCGTGATCCGCCCGCCTCGGCCTCCCAAGGTGCTGGGATTAGAAGTCTGCAACTGTTATGGGGAAGAGGAATTGGCTGCTAGTTACTGTAAGGAGCTCATGCTTCTTTAGCACAGATACACATCAGATCTACCTCTCTTACCACTGACCCCACAGCACAGAAAGTTGAAACCTAATGAGGAAAAACAGAAAGTTACCCCTTACTCCTGGGGTCCCATTTGCTTACAGCATGATAAGCATACATGTTTTTAAAACTCTAAAGTTTAAAATTATGAACTGGACCTGGTCAGATTCCTAGCACCATACTGTGAAATGTGGAATGATTTTTTTGTAATTCTAGGTAAATGTTCAAAAAATGGCAGAAGGAGAAGCCTCTGACACAAAAATTCTCGGAGCAGTCACAAAACTTGTACTTCAAGTCATTTCACTCTGGAGTGAATTCAGACAGCAAAACATTTCAGGTATAAGGTTCCTCTGCAGCCAGACTTTTTTATCTTTTAAAAAAGAATGCCGGGCGCAGAGGCTCAAACTTGTAATCCCAGCACTTTGGGAGGCGTGATCACCTGAGGTCAAGAGTTCACAAGACCAGCCTCCTGGCCAACATGGTGAAAACCCGTCTCTACTAAAAATACAAAAATTAGCCGGCGCAGTGGCAGGCACCTGTAATCCCAGCTTCTCAGGAGGCTGAGGCAGGAGAATCGCTTGAACCCAGGAGGCAGAGCTGGAAGTGAGCCAAGATTGCCTTTGCACTCCAGGCTGGATGACACAATGAGACTCCTTTTCAAAAAAAAAAAAAGGCCGGGTGCGGTGGCTCACGCCTGTAATCCCAACACTTTGGGAGGCCAAGGCGGGAGGATCACCTGAGGTCGAGAGCTCGAGACCAACATGACCAACATGGAGAAACCCCGTCTTTACTAAAAATACAAAAAAAACCAATTAGCATGGCATGGTGGCACCTGCCTGTAATCCCAGCTACTCGGGAGGCTGAGGCAGGAGAATCGCTTGAACCCGGGAGGCGGAGGATACAGTGAGCTGAGATCGCGCCATTGCACTCCAGCCTGGGCAACGAGAGCAAAACTCCATCTCAAAAAAAAAAAAAAAAAAAAAGAATGCACAGGCTGGGCATGGTGGCTCATGCCTGTAATCCCAGCACTTTGGGAGGCTAAATCAGGTGGATCACTTGAGGCCAGGAGTTCGAGACCAGCCTGGGCAACATGGTGAAAACTGGTCTCCACTAAAAATACAAAAATTTAGCCAGGTGTGGTGGCGCAAGCCTGTAGTCCCAGCTACTCAGAAGGCTGAGGTGGGAGGATGACCTGAGCCCAAGAGGCAGAGGTTGCAGTGAGCCAAGATCACACCATTGCGCTCCAACCTGGGCGACAGTCACAAGGTAGATTTTGTTTGAGGCTCTTCCGCTCCTTGAGGGCAATTTGGTACTAACTTGCAAAAAGCCGGCCAGGTGCTGTGGCTCACGCCTGTAATCCCAGCCCTTTGGGAGGCTGAGGCAAGCGGATCACTTGAGGTCAGGAGTTCGAGACCAGCCTGACCAACATGGCAAAACCCCATCTCTACTAAAAACACAAAAATTAGCTGGACATGGTGGCGATCACCTGTAATCCCAGCTACTAGGGATGCTGAGGCACGAGAATCGCTTGATAATGGGTGGCAGAGGCAGCAGTGAGCCGAGATGGGGTCACTGAAATCCAGCCTGGGCAACAGAGCGAAACTCTATCTCAAAACAAAAACAAAAACAAAAACAAAAACAAAAAAACAGAAAAAAACAAAGCAAAAAGCCTTAAAAATCATTATGTACAATCTGACCAAGAAGTACTAAGTTATCTTAGTGAAGCAAACAAAGATGTATATACAAGGTTATACATTACAAGGATATACAAGGATTACAGCAGTGTATATATAACTATAATTGCATAGATCCCATTATTGGAAAGAATCTAAGTGAACAATAGGGAACTGATAATATACATCATGGCGCAGTCATAAAATCAAACACTATATAACCATTATTTTTATGTATATTTATGGATGTCAATATATTGAGTGGAAAAAGGTCAAAAAATTATATAATACAATTTTTTATAAAAACTTTATCTATAAATTCACATGAACTTATACACATAGAAAAGGTGCACAAGATTATATACCAAAATGTTAAAAGATGACCATTTCCTGATAGTGGGAGTAGGCTTATTTTGTAACTTTAAATTTCTATTTTTCCTTACCTATATAAACTATACAAATATTTTAATGTGTATGTTACATAATTTAACAATTAAAGGAATGGCTTTACTGTCATTTTCTTTGCTTAATAACCCATTTTTCCCAGTAAACCACTACTCAACAGTCCCACACATACAAACCACCACACTCCCCACACACACATTAACTCAAGCTCATTACAACCACGTTATGCTATTGCAAAGATAAGGAACAAGAAAAAATATGAAAAGAAAATGCCAGAAATGCTGCTGATGATCCTAAGCTAAAAATAAGTATAAGTCTTACGTTCTCATACCCTCTTTCTCAACTACATATTACTTTCAGATGACTATAAAACCTGAAACATACCTGTATCAGCACATATAAGAGATTCTCTCTTAAAAAGGGAACCATACCCCTCAGAAATCAACACTCTCCTATAAAACAGGGATACCCAATTTCAGCATAATTCCTGGATGCCAAGACTTCAAAAATATTAAAGAACTAGCTTCTAAATTATGAAAATAAGCTAGGAAATCATTAATGTTACTAAAATAATTCCAGAACAGCAGAACCAGTCAAGTCAAATGCCAAAGTGAAAACAACCCAGTCAATTTTTGCTAAATACAATGTCAAGCCTACTCTGGACACACTGCCTATAAGGTAGCCCTGCTCCACAAGGAGCAGTACCCCAAAAAAATACAAATTTTATTTTTTAAAAAAAGGCAGGCCGGGCGCGGTTGCTCACACCTGTAATCCCAGCACTTTGGGAGGCCAAGGCGGGGGAATCACAAGGTCAGATCGAGACCATCCTGGCTAACACAGTGAAACCCCGTCTCTACTAAAAATAAAAAATAAAATAGCCGGGCGTGGTGGCGGGCGCCTGTAGTTCCAGCTACTCCAGAGGCTGAGGCAGGAGAATGGCATGAACCCAGGAGGCGAACTTTGCAGTGAGCCGAGATCACGCCACTGCACTCCAGCCTGGGCGACAGAGCGAGACTCTGTCTCAAAAAAAAGAAAAAAAAAAAAAAAAAAGGCAAAGTCAGCCAGGCACGGTGGCTCACGCGTATAATCCCAGCACTTTGTGAGGCCGAGGCAGGCAGATCACGAGGTCAAGAGATCAAGACCATCCTGGCCAACATGGTAAAACCCCGTCTCTACTAAAAATACAGAAATTGGCTAGGCGTGGTGGCGTGCGCCTGTAGTCCCAGCTACTCGAGAAGCTGAGGCAGGAGAATGGCTTGAACCTGGGAGGCAGAGATTGCAGTAAGCAGAGATCATGCCACTGTACTCCAGCCTGGCGACAGAGCGAGACTCCGTCTCAAAAAAAAAAAGGCAAAGTCGAATCATCACACCATGTCACAGAAAATTTTTCTGAGTAACTCTGTACCAGTCCTAAGGAAGCATTCCATTTTGATCCTCGGCCCCACCTTTAATTGTGTTTGTGGTGAAGAGGTACTGGGGAAGCTGATTTCCAGTCACTTGGCAAACACAACTATGATTCTTCATAAATTTACTTGCTACTACCCAGCCACTGGAGACTAATATTCACTATTGAGAGGAAGGAGAAAATGTAAAGGAAGTGAAAATCCATCAGTATAATCTGAGAAGTGTGAAAAAAGGAAACTTCAGAATGAGAAATGAGCTGAACTTTAAGATGGTTTTGAACTCCTGGCTTCAACTGATCCACCCACTTTGGCCTCCCGAAGTGCTGGGATTACAGGCGTTAAGCTACCGCACCAGCCACAAAGATGTTTAAGAGATAACTTGAAGAGATAATGTAAACAAAATCTTTTTTTTTTTTTGAGACGGAGTCTCACACTGTCACCCAGGATGGAGTGCAGCGTCGTGATCTTGGCTCACTGCAAGCTCTGCCTTGCGGATTCACGCCATTCTCCTACCTCAGCCTCCCGAATAGCTAGGACTACAGGCACCTGCCACCACACCCAGCTAATTTTTTTTTTATTTTTTGTTTTTAGTAGAGACGGGGTTTCACCACGTTAGCCAGGATGGTCTCGATCTCCTGACCTCGTGATCCGCCCGCCTCGTTCTCCCAAAGTGCTGGAATTACAGGCGTGAGCCACCGCACCCGGCCTTTTTTTTTCTTTTTTGAGACAGACTCTTGCTCTGTCGCCCAGGCTGGAGTGCAGTGGCACGATCTTGGCTCACTGCAAGCTCCGCCTCCCGGGTTCATGCCATTCTCCCGCCTCAGCCTCCCGAGCAGCTGGGAGTAGCTGGGACTACACGCGCCCGCCACAACGCCCGGCTAATTTTTTGTATTTTTAGTAGAGACGGGGTTTCACCATGTTAGCCAGGATGGTCTCGATCTCCTGACCTTGTGATCTGCCCGCCTCAGCCTCCCAAAGTGCTGGGATTACAGGCATGAGCCACCACGCCTGGCCAACAAAATATCTTTTAAGTTTTTTGGTCTTGAGACAAGGTCTCACTCTGTCACCCAGGCTGGAGGGCAGTGGCAGGAACACAGCTTACTGCAGCCTCAACCTCTCAGGTTCAAGTGATTCTCCCCTCAGACTCCAGAGTAGCTGGGACTACAGGCACACATCGCCATGCCCAGCTAATTTTTATATTTTTTGTAGAGACAGGGTTTCACTATGTTACCCAGGCTGGTTTCAAACTCCTGAGCTCAAGCAATCTGCCTGCCTCAGCCCCCCAAAGTGCTGGGACTACAGGTGGAAACCACTGTGCCCAAATAATTCTGAAATGAGTTCTCCTCACTCTAGTGTGTGGAACAAAACAGAGTTGGCCTTAATAGCACAGCCTCTCCCTGCACTTTCAGAGCAGAAGCATTTCTGTCAGAGATGCAATGACATCATCTACTGATGAGAAACCAAGAAGCAGTGTGTGACTGACTCTAATGTTTGAAATAAACATATAATTTGGGGACACTAAAGGCTAGCCAGATATGCATTCCTCAGACAACTGGAGTTTTGCCCAAACAGGTCATAGGGAAACAATCCCTGAGGTCCAATTTAATTGCCTACCAACACTACTACATAAATATGTCAATAAGCCCGGGCACAATGGCTCATGACTGTAATCCCAGCACTTTGGGAGGCTGAGGCAGGTAGATCACCTGAGGTCAGGAGATCAAAACCAGCCTGGTCAACATGGCAAAACCCGTCTCTACTAAAAATACAAAAAAATTAGCCGGGCATGGTGGCGCACACCTGTAATCCCGACTACTCGGGAGGCTGAGGCAGGAGAATCACTTGAACCCAGGAGACGGGAGGCTGCAGTGAGCCCAGATCATGCCACTACACTCCAGCCTGGGCAACAGAGCGAGACTCCATCTCAAAAAATATATATGTATGTCAATAGTTCCTACATAGAGCACAAAGAGATAAGCAGCTTTTTTGGAATTAAAATGCTAACTCTCAGTGGACTTTTGGTTGATAAAGATGGAGCGCCACACCAAGCAGGGTGGCTCATGCCTGTAATTCCAGCACTTTGAGAGGCTGAGACAGGAGGATCGCTTTAGGCCAGGAGTTTGAGATCGACTGAGCAATATGATGAGACTGTCTCTACTTAAGAAAAAAAAAAAAACAGCAGTGTGGTGGCCCATGCCTGTAATCCTGAGTAGGCTGAGGTGGGAGGATCACTTCAGCCCAGGAGTTTGAGGCTACAGTGAGCTATCATCATGCCATTGCACACCACCCTGGATGACAGAGTGAGATCCAGTCTCGAGGAAAAAAAAAAGTGGGGGGGCCGGGGAGGGCGGGCGCAGTGGCTCACACCTGTAATCCCAGCACTTTGGGAGGCGGAAGCAGGCAGATCACCTGAGGTCAGGAGTTCGAGACCAACCTGGCTAACATGGCAAAACCCCGTCTCTACTGAAAATACAAAAATTAGCCAGACACGGTGGCGGGCACCTATAATCCCAGCTACTCGAGAGGCAGAGGCACAAGAATCTCTTGAACCCAGGAGGCAGAGATTGCAGTGAGCTAAGATTGCACCACTGCACATCAATCAGCCTGGGCAACAGAGCAAGACTCCATCTCAGAAAAAAGAAAGAAAAAAAAATGCAGGCTAGTCGTGGTGACTCACGCCTGTAACTCCAGCATTTTGGAAGGCTGAGGTGGGCAGATCACGAGGTTAGGATTAGGAGTTCAAGACCAGCCTGGCCAACATGGTGAAACCCCGTCTCTACTAACAATACAGGCGGGGCACGGTGGCTCACACCTGTAATCCCAGCACTTTGGGAGGCTGAGGTGGGCGGATCACCTGAGGTCAGGAGTTCAAGACCAGCCTGACCAACATGGAGAAACCCCATCTCTACCAAAAATACAAAATTAGCCAGGTATGGTGGCGCATACCTGTAATCCCAGCTACTCAGGAGGCTGAGACAGGAGAATTGCTTGAACCTGGGAGGCAGAGGTTGCGGTGAGCAGAGATCATGCCATTGCACTCCAGCCTGGGCGACAAGAGCAAAACTCCATCTCAAAAAAAAAAAAAAAAAAATTAGCCAGGCATGGTGGCACGCGCCTGTAATCCCAGCTACTAGAGAGGCTAAGGCAGAATTGCTTGAACCCAGGAGGCGGAGGTTGCAGTGAGATGGCATCGTGCCACTGCACTCCAGCCTGGGCGACAGAGCAAGACTCTGTCTTGGGCGGGGGAAAGAAAAAAAGCAAGATCCCTTACAATATAATAGAACAAAAACAAAATCTACCCAGTTATTTGCTGGATTATCTGAGGCAATCTCTCTGGTCCTAGTTAACTTGGAATACTGAAAGACACTCTATACGCCTGCAGGTGGGAGACACAAATTGTTCTTCAACTGAAAATACTCTTGAAATGTCAACCTGCCTCCTGAGAAGTACTGCTGAACACATAGCTCTAAGGAAGTGTGTTCAAAAAAAAAAAAAGCGGCCAGGCGCAGTGGCTCACGCCTGTAATCCCAGCACCTTGGGAGGCCGAGGCAGGCAGATCACCAGGTCAGAAGATCGAGACCATCCTGGCTAACACGGTGAAACACCCCCACCAAAAAAAATACAAAAAGTTAGCCGGGCGTGGTAGCAGGCGCCTGTAGTCCCAGCTACTCGGGAGGCTGAGGCAAGAGAATGGCGTGAACCCAGGAGGCGGAGCTTGCAGTCAGCCGAGATTGCACCAGTGCACCCCAGCCTGGGCAACAGAGCAAGACTCCGTCTCCAAAAAAAAAAAAAAAAAAAAAAAAAAAAAAGCGTACCATTACAACATCCTTAATAATGACTGGATCAAGCAAATTAAGAAAACCAAGCCACGGCCGGACGCAGTGGCTCACACTTGTAATCCCAGCACTTTGGGAGGCTGAGGCAGGTGGATGCCAAAGTCAGGAGTTCGAGACCAGCCTGACCAACATGGTGAAACCCCGTCTCTACTAAAAATACAAAAATTAGCTGGGCGTGGTGGTGTGCGCCTGTAATCCCAGATACTCAGGAGGCTGAGGCAGGGGAATCGCTTGAAAGCGGGAAGTGGAGCTTGCAGTGACCCAAGATTGCACCACTGCACTCCAGCCTAGGCGACAGAGTGAGACTCCATCTCCAAAAAAAAAAAAAAAAGAAAAGAAAACCAAGCCACATTTCAGAGAAAAGCTAAATTTTGTTTCTTAGCTGGTGTAAATTTTTCCTAACGCTCTTCTAGGAAACAGTCAGAAGTGCAAGGATGTCCCTAGAAACAAAAGCTTGAAAGCAATTTGATCTACCAGTCCTGGGGTCACCTCAGCTAATAGCCAATTAAAAGCAGTATATCAAAGAATGAGCCAGCTGGGCCCGGTGGCTCACACCTGTAATCCCAGCACTTTGGGAGGCCAAGGCAGGTGGATCAGCTGAAGTTAGGAGTTCGAGAACAGCCTGACCCAACATGGAGAAACCCCATTTCTACTAAAAATACAAAAATTAGCCAGGCGTGGTGGCATGTGCCTGTAATCCCAGCTACTAGGGAAGCAGGGGAATCACTTGAACTCAGGAGGAGGAGGATGCAGTGAGCCAAGATCGCACCACTGCACTCCAGACTGGGCAGCAAGAGCGAAACTCTGTCTCAAAAAAAAAAAAAAGAAGGAGCAACATATTTATTAAGATTAATCTTGATGGCCAGGTGTGGTGCCTCATGCCCGTAATCATCCCAGCACTTTGGGAGGCCGATGCAGGCAGATCACGAGGTCAGGAGTTCAAGACCAGCCTGGCCAGCATGGTGAAACCCTGACTCTGCTAAAAATACAAAAATTAGCCAGGCGTGGTGGCGTGCGCCTGTAATCCCAGCTACTTGGGAGGCTGAGGAAGCAGAATCACTTGAACCTGGAAGACAGAGGTCACAGTGAGCCGAGATCACGCCACTGCACTCCAGCCTGAGGGACAGAGCGAGACTCCATCTCAAAAAAAAAAAAAAAGATTAATCTTGGTAACATACAGCCTTTATGCAACATCTTTACCTCAGTTTCCTAATTTGGAAAATGAGGGAGTTAAATTAAAATAACTCTACATTTCCCTCTAGTCAACTTTTGCTTCTAATCCTACAAACAAGTTTCATGGTTCTCAGACCTCAAATATGTATCCCTTGGCACAAAAACGTTCTTTGAAATTAAGAAAAAAATCCAAGTCCTTCCTTAAAAGACTTGGGTTTCCTGAATAAGCTACCCATGGCCAAGAGGCACTTGAAATTTTTGGCAGATAGCCACCTTCCAATTTTATTTCCAAATCTGGTTCTATCTTGAAACAGCAATGAATTCTGCTGGATTAAAATGAACATATTTCAGACCAGGCGCGGTGGCTCACGCCTGTAATCCCAGCACTTTGGGAGGCCAAGGCGGGCAGATCACTTGAGGTCAGGAGTTCAAGATCAGCCTGGCCAACATGGTGAAACCTCATCTCTACTAAAAATACAAAAATTAGCTAGGCATGTTGGTGTGTACCTGTAATCCCAGCTACTAGGGAGGCTAAGACAGGAGAATCGCTTGAACCCAGCAGGCGAAGGTTGCAGTGAGGGTCGCCTGAGGTCAGAAGTTCGAGACCAGCCTGGCGAACATGGCGAAACCCCGTCTCTACTAAAAATACAAAAATAGCCGGGAAGGTGGCTCACGCCTATAATCCCAGCACTTTGGGAGGCTGAGGTGGGCAGATCACCTGAGGTCAGGGGTTAGAGACCAGCCTGGCCAGCATGGTGAAACCCTGTCTCTACTGAAAGTACAAAAATTAGCCGGATGTGGTGGCACGTGCCTGTAGTCCCAGCTTCTTGGGAGGCTGAGGCTGGTGAATCGCTTCAACCCGGGAGGTGGAGGTTGCAGAGAGCTGAGATCCCACCACTGCACTCCAGCCTGGGCAAAAGAGTGAAACTCCGCCTCAAAAAACAAAACAAAACAAAACAAAAAAAGTATTAATATACTCTAATTAAATATCCTAAAAACAAACAAACAAGAACAAAAAACCCTCTTCTCATTCCCTCTCGCCAACTTCCTTTGCTCACCTCCCCTTTGCCCACCCCCAACCAATATCTCTAATCTTTTTGGACAGCTTATTCTGGATTACTTCCATATTGCTCAGTTAAGTATACAAGGTAAATAATAAGAATATGCTGAACTCCCTACAACAGACCTACCTTCCTCTCTTTTTGCCAATGTCTTCCTCAGATTCCAACAAGAGAGATTTTCCAGGAATTAGATATTTGTAAATTAATACATACTGAATACAACCATTACAAATAAACAGACTGAAATTTCACAGGAGAATAAAGAAAAATGGAGACAGTTTAAAAAGATGGAGGGGTTGAGGGAAAAAAGTTCACTTCAAATAGAAAACAGTAAAAGAATAAAAGCTTGTAGGAGATATGAACAAAACAGGATAAACATATGTCGAAATTAAATTCTCTGTTTAGATGGGAAAGGGCAGAGAAGTGAGGTGCAATAGGGGAAACGGGCTTCTTAGGGTTTCCTCTAGGAAACACCATCGGTGTTTCATTCAGTCTCTCTGGGCTGGGTATGGAGCACAGAAAAACAAAGATTCCCTCTCTACCTGGCCATCAGGAAAGAGTATATTCTTGAAGTACACTTTTGTCCTTGATCAAGGAAACCCAGTAAAAAGAAGAAAGAAAAATAAACTGATAAGTTTTCTTGTTCCCTTTTCTTTTTTTTGAGACGGAGTCTTGCTCTGTTGCCCTGGCTGGAGTGCAGTAGTGCACTCTAAGCTCACTGCAACCTCCGCCTCCTGGGTTCAAGTGATTCTCTTGACTCAGCCTCCCTAGCAGCTGGGATTACACGAGCACGCCACCACGTCTGACTAATTTTTGTATTTTTTGTAGAGACAGGGTTTCGCCAGGCTGGTCTGGAACTCCTGACCTCAGGTGATCCACCTGCCTTGGCCTCCCAAAGTGCTGGCATTACAGGCGTGAGTCACCATGCCCGGCTCTTGTTCCCTTCTTTACGTCAAGTAAGAATGCTCCAAAATTCTAGGAGAGAGGCCGGGCAGTAGCTCACGCCTGTAATCTCAGAACTTTGGGAAGCCAAGGCAGGAGGATCGCTTGAGGCCAGGAGTTCAAGGCCAGCCTGGCCAACATGGGGAAACCCCGCCTCTACTAAAAATACAAAAATTATCTGGGCGTGGTGGCGCACGCCTGTGATCCTAGTGACCTAGGAGGCTGAGGCAGGAGAATCGCTTGAACCTGGGAGGCAAGGGCTGCAGTGAGCCAAGATCGCACCACTGCACTACACTGGTCTGTAGCCTGGGCGACAGAGCAAGACTCTGTCTCAAAAAAATAATAAATAACATTCTAGGAGAGAACAATTTAAAGGATAAAATTACCACCTTCCCTCTCCCCAGTTTGCTAGCTGGCCTGGTATTATCTCTGTTGTTCACTTCACAGGCTATAGTTTCCACTTTATTATCCAAGAAAAACAGGCTAATAAAATATTTAATAGCTATTAGGTAGCACATATTTGAGCAAAGGTATTAATCAGAAGAGTTTTAAATTAACCTAAAAAAGCCCACAGACATTAATAAGCAAAACGTACTATTTTGATATTCAACGCTAACGTGTAAGTACACATTATCAATTAATATCAGAAACTGGATACCTATTAGACTAGTTAATTATAACTGACAATGGGCTTGAGTGTCATGGCAGAAATAAATCGATCAGAAGCAATGACATTCTGATGTCAGTTTTCTGGCAGAATATACCAAGGTGACAAAAGGAAAAAGGGGTGGGTGGAAAGTGTCAAAATCCCTATGGAGAGTAAACAGAAAAATATCTCCCTATTTATAAAATATCAACCAAAATGGCACCTGGTGATATTCTGACATTGTATTCTATGTTTGCATTTCTAAATTTCAGTTTATCATTCAACATGATCTAAACTGCTTTACTTTTCACTAAGAGGAAGAACTAGGAAAGAAATCAGCCTACAAATGGCTTACACTGTACACAACAGAACACAGATCAAAAAAACATCCACAGGCCGGGCGTGGCGGCTCACGCCTGTAATACCAGCACTTTGGGAGGCTGAAGTGGGCAGATCACCTGAGATCAGGAGTTTGAGACTAGCCTGGCCAACATGGCGAAACCCCGTCTCTACTAAAAATACAAAAATTAGCCGGGCGTGTTGGCGGGTGCCTGTAATCCCACCTACTCAGGAGGCAGAGGCAGGAGAATCACTCAAACCCCAGAGGCAGAGGTTACAGTGAGCCGAGATCGCGCCATTGCACTCCAACCAGGGCAACAAGAGCGAAACTCCATCTCAAAAAAATATATATATATATCAACAATAATCCCTACTACTGGAGTTAACAGATTACTGCAGGTTACAGGTAGGGCTCTGCTGGGAAGAACAAAGCAATCAGAATCACAGACTGATGAAGCTGTCCCTACTATAAAAGTCCCAAGCAAAAATGCTCCAATACTGTATCCTCTGGATCTCCCTGAGCCGTTAAGGGGGAGAAAAAGTCAGGTAAGCAGCTGTAAAGTTATGTCTAAATCATTTGTGCACATGATAAAATCATATAGGTGAGCGATGACCATTTTAAAAATGTTCTAGTCTGAAGCAAAAGGAACTACACAGCTCATGATTATCTAGGGTTTAAGTGCTTTTCTTTTTTCTTTTTTTTTTTTTTGAGACAGAGTCTCACTCTGTCTCCAGGATGGAGTACAGTGGCGTGATCTCAGCTCACTGCAACCCGCGCCTCCTGGGTTCCAGCAATTCTCCTGCCTCAGCCTTCCGAGTAGCTGGGACTACAGGAGTGTGCCACCATGACTAGCTAATTTTTGTATTTTTAGTAGAGACGGGGTTTCACCACGTTGGTTAGGATGGTCTCCATCTCTTGAGCTTGTGATCCGCCCACCTCGGCCTCCCAAAGTGCTGGGATTACAGGCGTGAGCTACTGCTCCTGGCCTTTTTTTTTTTTTTGAGATGGAGTTTCACTCTTGTCCCCCAGGCTGGAATGCAATGGTGTGATCTTGACTCATTGCAACCTCTGTCCCCCGGGTTCAAGCAATTCTCCTGCCTCAGCCTCCTGAGTAGCTGGGATTACAGGTGCCTGCCACCACACCCGGCTAATTTTTGTATTTTTAGCAGAGACAGGGTTTCACCATGTTGGCCAGGCTGGTCTCAAACTCCTGACCTCAGGTGATCCGCCTGCCTTGGCCTCCCAAAGTGCTGAGAATATAGGTGTGAGCCATTGTACCCAGCCTCAAGTGCTTTTCCTTGAGGAAGTCACACATGATTTTACTCCACAACTCTTATTTCATAGGAGCAGTGTACACCTTAGTATCCTATCCCTTCTAACCCAACCACTAACTTCAAATCAAGCCTCCAAGACAGAAATTCTTTACTCTCCTCATGGTGGTAAAAAGGGCATAAAGTAAGGCCAGCGGCGGCGGCTAAAGCCTGTATGTACCTCAGCACTTTGCAAGGCTGAGGCGAGAGGATCACCTGAGGTCAGGAGTTTGAGACCAGCCTGACTAACATGGTGAAATCTGATCTCTACTAAAATACAAAAATTAGCCAGACGTGGCAGGTGCCTGTAATCTCAGTTACTTGGGAAGCTGAAGCAGGAGAATCGCTTGAACTCTAGAGGCTGAGGCTGCAGTGAGCCAAGATTGCTCCACCGCACTCCAGCCTGGGCGACAGAGAGAGACTCCCTCTCAAAAAAAAAAAAAGACTTTACTGGCAGGGCATGGTGGCTCACGCCTGTAATCCCAGCACTATGGGAGCCCGAGATGGGTGGATCACCTGAGGTCAGGAGTTTGAGACCAGCCTGGCCAACATGGTGAAACCCTGTCTCTACTAAAATACAAAAATTAGTCAGATGTGGTGGCAGGTGCCTGTAATCTGTTACTTGGGAGGCTGAGCAGGCAACTCGCTTGAACCCGGGAGGCTGAGGCTGCAATGAGCCAAGATCACCCCACTGCACTCCAGCCTGGGTGACAAGAGCAAGAGTCCACCTAAAAAAAGAGAAAAAAGATTTTATTTGCGATTGGAAGAGAGTGTTTCTTTGTCTGCATGGTACCAGAGGAATTAGGAAGTTGGCAGGAACAAGTGATGGTTTATGATTTCCTGAATTGTTAAAGGCTAGAAGGCTGGCCCTGTAGAAATTCAAGAAGTGTGCGTGTCAACCACCCTAAAACCATTTACTGTTCTTAGCTGTTTAGCTGAACTCCACTTAAGTTTTGGTGAAACTCTGAAATCCTAAAGGACAATGTTCTCTGACAATGCTGAAAATGGATATAAAACAAAAATGTCATAGCCAAGGACATATTGACAGTTTTTGATAAGCCACTCACAACTTCTAGGCACTCCCAATCTTCTGGCATTTAAATTGGGAAGGAGAGGTTATTTAGGAGAGTTTGTTCCCTGCCAATATTAAAGATAGTTTCACCATTAAGCTGTCAGCTTTTACACTGTTGACAAGTGAAATACACAGAGTAAAGCAAACCATAAGCTCTAAGAGATGTTTAACTACTTTTGCTATTGGAGCAATTACCATGTTTGGATTTGGTGGAGGCCATTATAATCTTTCCATAGTCCATCAAGAGCTTGAAATTTAGCCACTTTTTGCCCCCTTTTTTTTGTTTTGAGACAGAGTCTTGCTCTGTCACCCAGACTGGAGTGCAGTGGTGTGATCTCGGCTCACTGCAACCTCTGCCTCCCGGGTTCAAGCAATTCTCCTGACTCAGCCTCCTAAGTAGCTGGGATTACAGGCCTGCGCCAACATGCCTGGCTAATTTTTTTGTATTTTTTAGTAGAGATGGGGTTTCACCATGTTGGCCAGGCTGGTCTCGAACTCCTGACCTTGCGATATGCCTGTAATCCCAGCATTTTTGGAGGCCGAAGTGGGCGGATTACTTGAGGTCAGGAGTTCAAGACTAGTCTGGCTGACATGATGAAACCCCATCACTACTAAAAACACAAAAAAATAAAATAGCCAGGCATGATGGCACATGCCTGTATTCCCAGCTACTTGGGAGACTGAGTCAGGAGACTCATTCGAAGCTGGGAGGCAGAGGTTGCAGTAAGCCAAGATGGCACCACTGCACTCCAGCCTGGGTGACAGAATGATACTCTGTCTCAAAAAAAAAACCACAAAAACATTTATACAATCTGTATTATTAACTGTTAGTGAGAGGATCTGACAGAAAACATAAAGACCTACAAAAATACCAAAGAGTACAAAGCAAACACCTGACTTAATAGTTGAGAAGTTTGTTTATGGACCATACACAACCCTTCTTCTTTCTGGGTTGGGGATTAGAGGGGAAGCAGGTTTCAAATTAAGGAGCTACTCTATTAAAAATAAAAACCCAGGTGGGGCACGGTGGCTCACGCCTATAATCCCAGCACTTTGGGAAGCCAAGGCGGGCGGATCACAGGGTCAGGAGATCGAGACCATCCTGGCTAACACGGTGAAACCCCGTCTCTACTAAAAATACAAAAAACAAAATTAGCCAGGCGTGGTGGTGGGCGCCTGTAGTCCCAGCTACTCGGGAGGCTGAGGCAAAAGAATGGCGTGAACCCGGGAGGCAGAGCTTGCAGTGAGCCGAGATGGCCCCACTGCACTCCAGCCTGGGCGACAGAGCGAGACTCCGTCTCAAAAATAAATAAATAAATAAATAAATAAATAAATACCCTGTCACTTTTACTTTATCCTATTTCATGCTTATAATGCAGCATGAGTTGTTCTGGTCCCCTAATACTTTTATAGGAAAGGTAAAAAATCCCCTCTCAACAAACTAAAAATAGAGATTTATTAAAAATAAATAAAACTGCAGCTTATTAAGAAGATATGTGTGACTAGATATTTCAGCATCTGAGCTGGAATGTGAAAGGTGGAAGGAACCCTATTCAGCAAATTCTAAACAGCAAAAACGCAACACCAGGCCTGAGGAAATACCAAAATCTCAAGCAAAGCATCCAACATCTGGCAGCGTCTATTCCAGTGTAGAAGCAGCAGTTACTGTGAAACACCAGACACTTCTGATGGAAGCGCTCAGTTTCTGACTCACCTCCCGCCCCCCCACCCGACACACATACACACACTTTCTCCCCTACACACAATCTACTGCTTTTCTTGTGAGCCTCCTCAGCCCTCCCTCAATCTTCATTCGTTTTTAACTATTAATACGCTGAGCTCTCTACATTAACCTGGCTCCATTCTCCAAATTCCAATCTCCTGATACAGCGTAAGCATTCTTCCAGTCCATTTTTCTATTATGCAATACTCCCCCACAACACTTACAGTCACCCCCCCACCCATCTTTCTTCTTCTCAGGCCTAATTTCCAAAACATCACTTCTCGCAGTCTCTACTGCAATTCAAGACTCCATTCCATCTTTCCCATCTGTTTTTAAGGTCTTTGACCTTAATTTCCTACATTCCTTAGACTCTCTTCAAAATTTCCATTCCTTCCCAAAGTTGGGCAGTTTAGAGTTGGGAATCACCAAAGGAATTAGTCTGAGAAAGTATGTATGTGTGTCTGTGTGCCTGTGCGGCCCTAAGGGTGGGGGTGCGAAGTGAGAAGGGGTGACACATTAGGGGGGAGTATCTGAGGGAAAAGATGGCTTCAACAACTCCCGCCCACCCAACAAAATTCACGATTCCCTACCTCTCCAGAAATCGAAAGCGTCCAATAACTTTTCGATATCTTTTAAGTCCCATGGCTTCTCTTCAACATTTTCATCCAATTAGCCCACAATCAACTTAGATTCCACCTGCCTCTCACACTAAGTAGTTCTCTCTACTTCTTAGGCCTCCATTTACTTTCTTAGTTTCTCTACTCCCTTCCGTTTCTCTTGTTTCCTACCGCAACTTCTTTTTTTTTTTTTTTGAGACAGGGTCTCACTCTCTCGCCCAGACTGGAGAGCAGTGGCCCAATCTCGGCTCACCGCAAGCTCTGCCTCCCAGGCTCAAGGGATTATCCTGCCTCAGCCTCCCAAGTAGCTGGGATTACAGATGCACGCCACTACTGTCCGGATAATTTTTGTATTTTTAGTAGGGACGAGATTTCTCTATGTTGGCCAGGCTCGTCTCGAACTTCTGACCTCAAATGATCCGCCCGCCAAGGCCTCCCAAAGTGCTGAGATTACAGGCGTGAGCCACCGCGCCGGGCCACCCTACCCCCACCTTCAATCTCCATCCGTCCTCCTCAAAGACAACCAAAGTTTTCGACAACTTCTTAATCAAACTTATCCTTTCCTCAAACTCCTGCCCGCTCATAAATCCCTATTTGAAAGCCCAGCTCGCGCCCACTTACCGGTAACACGTAGGACATTCCCAGCTACAGGTACCCTCTTAGGTCTCGCTCTTCCTCCCATCGCATATTCCTCACCAGCTCCCTACCCACGCCCTGCCGGGCTTACCTGAGGACAAGGTACAGGAAGGGACCGCGGGATCAAAGGATGAAAAACCGACCGAAGACGACGGCCCGGAGGAGGCCGACGCCATCTTAGCAGCCCCCTCCCCCTCAGCGGCCTGGCTCTCTTTCAATCCGGTTCTTCCTCTTCTCGGAATCGAATCTTCCCAACGTCTCTTTACAGAACCCGCGTTCTGTGGGCCACCTCCCCGCCCCCTCCGGGGCCTCCCTCAGACACGTCGAGCCGGCTCCTGGACCAGCTCAAGGCCACACCATTCGCCTGGCATGGGGAAGAACTCACGTCCCGCACCCCCTCCACAAGTTTAACCGCTTTCCACAGGGGATACTTTCCCCTTTCACAGAAGAGTAAGCTTAAGCTGGCTGCTGGGACCTTGCGCCCAGACCAAGCCACATCTGAAAAAAAAACGAGGCATGAAAAGTCCCAAAGGAGCGAACGCCCCTTCTCCGTCCTTCCTAACCACGGCCTGTTAATCGCCCAACCCGGCCGCTTCACTCCGGGTAGCCAAGCAAAAAATCCGAGCACTGCGCATGCGCCCGACCTTCTCGGGGCATCAGCCCACTCATTGGGGAGAAAAAAGGAGCAAAACCAATCGGGAGGCTGCTAATGGTCACGTGAGGTGGGTCCTCACGCCCTGACGAGTCCACGGGTGGAAGATGTGCGCGCGCGGGTTGGCCGACAGTCCCTACGGTGGCTCGGCAGGTCCTCTTAGGTTCAGTTCTTTGCTAGGACTGGGTCGAGTGATCTGAACTCGGGACAAGAGTCGGTCCGCCAAGTCCTCTGAAATTCCTAACCCAGGAAAGAACTCTCTGCGGGAGTACTGGTGTCAAGTCAGAGACGTTAAGGTGTCGAATATCACAAAACATTTAATACCACCAAGAACTCTTCTTAGTCTTTTTCCTGTTTTACTACTCTTGTTTACTATTTGATTAAACGTGCGTGCATGTCTTACCTTCCTCGGAATGGCATTCGAAATAGATCTGTGTTTTGTTTGCCTCAAGCACAAAGTTAGGCACTGCACAGTGACGGAGTTCAGTAAATATTTGATGCATGAATCAGTGAAGACCTGTCAAAAAAGGGCACGGGAGGCTATCAGGGACTTATCACAACCTTCCCGCGACCCAACCCCTTTAGCCTCCAACTGTCAATTATCTGTGCTCCAAAGGGCATGGAGATACACAGAAAAATTTCTCCCATTGTAGTCTTCGTAGTAACTGCTCGTTTTTAACAAAGTACCCCGTAGGCTATGAACCCTGGTGGGAAGACCAGTCTCTCTGAGCAGACTGTAAAACTTCTGGGGAGCAAGGACTGTGTTTGGTTCACTCTTGTATCTCCAGCTCCTCCAGTGACTTCGTACATAGTAGGGGCTCCATAATTATCTGTGGAATGAATAAATAAAGAGGAATGGTAAAACATTCGGGGTAAGAGTCGGTCAGATAGATCCTCTCAAACTCATGGCCCATGAAATAACTCCATTAAAACAGGTTTTGTGGCCGGGCGCGGTGGCTCACGCCTGTAATCCCAGCACTCTGGGAGGCCGAGGCGGGTGGATCACGAGGCCAGGAGATCGAGACCATCCTGGCTAACACGGTGAAACCCCGTCTCTACTAAAAATACAAAAAATTAGCCGGGCGTGGTGGCGGGCGCCTGTAGTCCCAGGCTACTCGGGAGCCTGGGGCAGGAGAATGGCATGAACCTGGGAGGCGGAGCTTGCAGTGAGCGGAGATCGCGCCACTGCACTCTAGCCTGGACGACAGAGCGAAACTGTCTCAAAACAAAACAAAACAAACAAACAAAAAAAACAGGTTTTGTAACCCCCAGAATGACCTGGTTATCCTCTTTCCAGATGTCTTGTGGGTCCTCATAAAGTAACCTAGGACCCGAACATCCATAGAATATCCCCATGCAGGCCGGGCGCCGTGGCTCACGCCTGAAATTCCAGCACTTTGGGAGGCCGAGGTAGGTGGATCATCTGAGCTCAGGAGTACGAGACAAGCCTGGCCAACATAGTGAAACCGCGTCTCTACTAAAAATACAAAAAATTAGCTGGGCGTGGTGGCGGGTGCCTGTAATCCCTGCTACTCGGGAGGCTGAGGCAGGAGAATCGCTTGAACCCAGGAGGCAGAGGTTGCAGTGAGCCAAGATCGCGCCATTGCACTCCAGCCTGGGCAACGAGAGCGAAACTCAGTCTCAAAAAAAAAAAAAAAAAGGCCGGGCGCAGTGGCTCACGCCTGTAAGCCCAGCACTTTGGGAGGCCGAGGCGGGCGGATCACCTGAGGTCGGGAGTTCAAGACCAGCCTGACCAACATGGAGAAACGCCGTCTCTACTAAAAATACAAAATTACCCAGGCGTAGTGGAGCATTCCTGTAATCCCAGCTACTCGCTACGCCGGAGGCTGAGGCAGGAGAATTGATTGAACCTGGGAGGCAGACGTTTCGGTGAGCCGAGATGGCGCCTTTGCACTCCAGCCTGGGCAACAAGAGCGAAACTCCAACTCAAAAAAAAAAAAAAAAAAAAATCCCCATGCATTTACTGCAGCCTTCTACTCCTCCCTTATGAAGATCTAAGATAATTGTTTCCCTGCTGCCACCTGCTGGATTATTCGTCTTCCTTTGGGCACCGAAAGTAGACAAAATCTTGTTTGTAATTCCACAGCAGTGGAATTTTGTTGTGTTGAAGTATTTTATAATTCCCTGTACCTATACCCTCCACTCAACTAAACAGGACAGGAACTAGTGAGGGGCACACTGAGCACAGGATTTGGCTCATAGGTATTCAATAAATAAATATTTGTTGAATAAATTATCCTTGTTTTCCGAAAAGGCATAGGATTGCTACCATTTCCTGAGTTACTTTAGAAATCGGATAGTGTAGCCGGACGCGGTGGCTCACGCCTGTAATCCCAGCACTTTGGGAGGCCGAGGCGGGCGGATCACGAGGTCAGGAGATCGAGACCATCCTGGCTAACACAGTGAAACCCCGTCTTTACTAAAAATACAAAAAATTAGCCGGGTGAGTTGGCCGGCGCCTGTAGTAGCCCCAGCTACTCGGGAGGCTGAGGCAGGAGAATGGCATGAACCTGGGAGGCGGAGCTTGCACTGAGCCGAGATCGTGCCACTGCACTGCAGCCTGGGCGACAGAGCGAGACTCCGTCTCAAAAAAAAAAAAAAAAAAAAAAAAAAAATCGGCTGGTGTTGATGTAAAGCTGTTTCTGATTTTAAAATTGGAAACAGACTAATAAATCCCAGAATGACCAACGCAGTCAAACAGAGGAATCTTCTCCCTGTGAGCTAATCTGTGAATTCCATTTTATTTTATTTTTGAGACAGAGTCTGGCTCTGTCACCCAGGCTGGAGTGCAGTGGCGCTTGGCTTACTGCAACCTCCACCTCCCGGGTTCAAGCGATTCTCCTGCCTCAGCCTCCCGAGTAGCTGGGACTACAGGCATGCACCACCACGCCCAGCTAATTTTTTATATTTTTAATTTTTATTTTCATCAAGTACTATTTTTATTTTTAATTTCACCAACTCCCACTCAGTCCCTGGGGCGCCCCCACTCCCACTCAGTACCTGGGGTGTCCTCTGAGTCATGGAACCACTCCTCCCCGGTAACATTCCTGGCATAGTAGAACTGTGGTGACGTGGCAGGGTGTGGAAACAGGGGCAGAGCAGGACATGTTGGCTTAGTGCCCCAAGGAAACAGAAAAGGGAGTTCACCAATACATACTTTGGGAAAGGGGGTACAATCTGATGACCTCAAAGTAGGGCCACAGGTACAGACTTCAGTACATGTGAGTACACACCCACACCTTTATTAAAGTGTCATTCATATCTTAGAACAGTTTCTTTATTTTATTTATTTATTTATTTTATTATTGTTTTTTTTTTGAGACAGAGTCTCCCTCTGTCGCCCAGGCTAGAGTGCAGTGGCGCGATCTTGGCTCGCTGCAACTTCCGCCTCCCGGGTTCAAGCGATTCTCCTGCATCAGCCTCCCAAGTAGCTGGGATTACAGGCACAAACCACCACGTCCGGCTAATTTTTTGTATCTTTAGTAGAGACAGGGTTTCACTGTGTTAGCCAGGATGGTCTCGATCTCTTGACCTCGTGATCTGCCTGCCTCGGCCTCCCTAAGTGCTGGGATTACAGGTATGAGCTACTGCGCCCGGCCAGAAAAGTTTCTAAGATTAGAATGAAGTGATGGGGACTGGCAAGAGCAAGGAAAGGATTCTACAATAAGAGGATGGGCTATTTATTCAATTAATCATTCATTAATTAATTCACTCAATTAACATTATTTAGCCCAAGCTACGTCCCAGGCACTATTAGAGTTCCTGGAATACACAGATGACCATTAAGCCCATCATCAGGCAGGATGGCTCACTCCTGTAATCCCAACACTTTGGGAGCTGAGGCAGGCAGATTGCTTGAGCCCAGGGGTTCAAGACTAGCCTGGGCAACATGGCAAAAATCCTATCTCTACAAAAAATACAAAAATTCGCTGAGCGTGGTGGTGCGCACCTGTAGTCACAGCTACTAAGGAAACTGAGATGGGTGGATCACTTGAGCCCAGGAGGTCAAGGCTGCAGTAAGCTAAAATTGCACCACTACTCTCCAGCCTGGGCGACAGAGCAAAACCATGTCTCCAAAACAATTTTTTTTAATTAAAAAAAGGAAAAGATTAAGCCCCTGCCCTCAAAAAGATCACAGACTAATGAGGGGAACAGACATGTGAATCATTAGAATACAATGTAATAGGTGCCATCATAAAGTTTGTGTAAGTGCTATGGTTTGATAACCATATTTTCAGAATAAAAAATGAGAACAGTCTTTACAACAGACAATATTTGAGATTGGAACTATTCCAGAGACTACAGAAGACATCATCTCCATAGTTATATGAATTGTGCCTGGAAAGAGAGGAATGGGTGTTCAGGAAGACTCCACTCTCCCATAAAATTAGAAAAGAAAGGAAAGGGATTCTAAGGAGAAAGAAAGGCATAGAGGCATGACAGAGAATTGGGTGTTAGGGGAGAGATGCTGGAGTAGTGATGTCGCAGGAGGTGTGACTAGAAGGACAGGGAGAGGCTAAATTATGAAGGATCTGAATACTGAATGCCATGTAGTAGTTACCACCTACTACACATTTACTATGCACTTACTAAACACTGTGCTAAGCAGTTGACAAGAATTATCTCTCTCTGTCTTTTTTTTTTTTTTTTTTTTTTTTTGAGACAGAATGTGGCTCTGTCGCCCGGGCTGGAGTGCAGTGGTGCTATCTTGGCTCACTGCAACCTCCGTCTCCTGGGTTCAAGCTATTCTCCTGCCTCAGCCTCTCGACTAGCTGGGACTACAGGCACCCGCCACCATGCCTGGGTAATTTTTATATTTTCAGTAGAGATGGGGTTTCACCATACTGGCCACGCTGGTCTCGAACTACTGACCTTGTGATCTACCCGCCTCGGCCTCCCAAAGTACTGGGATTATAGGCGTGAGCCATGGCACCTGGCCAATAATTATATCTCTTAATCTTCTACGACCTTAAAAGATAGGTATTATTATCAGTCCCACTTTGCAGATGAGAAAACTGAGATTCAGAGAAGTAAAGCAACTTGTCCAAAGTCATACAGCTAAAAGACCTTAAAGTTCACACTCAAATTCAGGTCTGGCTGGCTCTAAAGCTGTGTTCTCTTTTTGTTGTTGTTTTATTTTATTTTAATTTTTAATTGGCACATAATTGTACATATTTATGGGGCACATAGTGATGTTTCAATACATAAAATGTTTAGTGATCAGATCAGGATAATTAGTATATCTGTCATCTAAAAAATGTATCATTTATTTATTTATTTATTTTGAGATGGTGTCTCGCTCTGTCATCCAAGCTGGAGTGCAGTGGCACGACGTTGGCTCACTACAACCTCCACCTCCCGGTTTCAAGTGATTCTCATGTCTCAGCCTCCTAAGTAGCTGGAACTACAGGCACCTGCCACCACTCCTGGCCAATTTGCGTACTTTTTAGTAAAGACAAGGTTTCACCATGTCAGTCAGGCTTGTCTTGAACTACCGACCTCAAATAATCTGCCCACCTTAACCTCCCAAAGTGCTGGGATTACAGGCGTGAGCCACCGTGCCTGGCCTCACAAATATATAATTTATTTGTCTCCAGCACAAACATTCAATATCCTTCTTCTAGCTATTTGAAAATATTATTGTTAATCATAGTTATCCCCCAGTGATATAGAACACTAGAATTTTTTTTTTTTTTTTTGAGATGGAGTCTCACTCTTGTTGCCCAGGCTAGAGTGCAATGGTGCGATCTTGGTTCACTGCAACCTCCGCCTCCGGGGTTCAAGTGATTCTCCTGCCTCTGCCTCCTAGTAGGTGGGATTACAGGCACCCGCCAACGTGCTCGGCTAATTTTTGTATTTTTAGTAGAGATGGGGTTTCGCCATGTTGGCCAGGCTAGTCTCAAACTCCTGATCTAAGGTGATCTGCCCACTTCAGCCTCCCAAAGTTTTGGGATTACAGGTGTGAGCCACCACACCCGGCCAAGAACACTAGAATTTATTCCTCCTATCTAAATGTAATTTGGGGCCAAGCGAGGTGGCTCACACCTGTAATCCCAGCACATTGAGAGGCTGAGGAGTGGGGATCACTTGAGCTCAGGTGATCACCGTGGGCAACATGATGAAATCTCATCTCCACAAAAAGTACAAAAAATTAGCCAGGCGTGGTGACACGAGCCTGTAGTTCCAGCTACCCACGAGGCTGAGGTGCGATGATCACTTGAACCCAGGAGGTCGAGACTGCAGTGAGCAGTGATTGCATCACTGTATTCCAGCCTGGGTGACAAAGTGAGATCCTATCTCAAACAAACAAACAAACGAACAAACAAATGTAATTGGGGGCCAGTGTGGTGGCTCACAGCTGTAATCCTAGCACTTTTGGAAGCCAAGGTGGGAGGACAGCTTGAGCCCAGGAGGTCAAGGAGGCAGTGAGCCATGATCCTGCTGCTGCACTCCAGCCTGGGCAATAGAGACCCTGTCTCAAAAAAAATTGTAATTTTGTGTCTTTTTTTTTTTTCTTTTGAGATGGAGTCTTGCTCTGTTGCCAGGCTGGAGTGCAGTGGCACAATCTCAGCTCACTGCAACCTCTGCCTCCCGGGTTCAAGCGATTCTCCTGCCTCAGCCTCCCTAGTAGCTGGGACTACAGGTGCGCGCCACCACACCCAGCTAATTTTTGTATTTGTAGTAGATACGGGGTTTCACCATGTTGGCCAGGATGGTCACAATCTCTTGACCTCGGGATCTGCCCGCTTCAGCCTCCCAAAGTGCTGGGATTACAGGTGTGAGCCACTGTGCCAGGCCCAATTTTGTCTTTTTTTTTTTTCTGAGACGGAGTCTTGCTCTGTTTCCCAGGCTGGAGAGCAAATGGCGCGATCTCGGCTCACTGCAACCTCCGCCTCCCGAGTTCAAGCAATTCTCTGCCTCAGCCTCTCGAGTATCTGGGATAACAGGCGCCCACCACCACGACCAGCTAATTTTTGTATTTTTAGTAGAGATGGGGTTTCGCCATCTTGGCCAGGCTGGTCGTGAACTCCTGACCTCATGATCCACCCCCTTCGGCCTCCCAAAGTGCTGGGATTACAGGTGTGAGCCACAATTTTGTGTCTTTTAACAAATCTTTCCCTGTCCCTTCCTTCCCCCTGCTCTTCCCAGCCTCCAGTATCCTCTGTTCTTTCACTTCTATGAAATCAACTTTTTAAAAGCGTCACATATGAGTGAGAACATGCAGTGTTTTAACTTTCTGTTCGTGGCTTAAGTCAGTTAACATGTCCTCCAGTTCCATCCATGTTGCTGCAAATGACAGGATTTTCTTCTTTTTAATGGCTGAAAAGTATTCCATTGTGTATATACACCCTATTTCCTTTATTCATCTGTTGTTGGACACAGAGATTGATTTCCTATTTTGGCTACTCTAAGTAGTGCTGCAATAAATATGGGGGTGCATAAATATGGAGTGCAGACGTCTCTTGGATATACTGATTTCCTTTTTTTTTTTCCTCCTAAATTGGCTTCCTCAGGTTGAATTATGTCCTTTCCTTTGGATAAATGTCTATGGCTGTGTTTTTAACCACAATACTATGCTTCCTTCCTCAAGGATTTTTGACTTTATCTTGTAGATGATGTGGAGCCATTAAAAATGTTTGAGGACAGGAGTGGCAAAACGTGGGTTTTTAGAAAGTTTCCTACTAGCAGCAGTGTAGAAAATGGACTGGAGCGGAGAGAATGACCTCTTCTAAAAGAAAATGTGAGCTGGGGGCGCAGGCTTATGCCTGTAATCCCAGCACTTTGGGAGGCCGAAGCGGGCGGATCACCTGAGGTCAGGAGTTCGAGACCAGCCTGGCCAACACGGTGAAAGCTGTCTCTACTAAAAATACAAAAATTAGTTGGGCATGGTGGCGGGCGCCTGTAATCCCAGCTACTCGGGGGACTGAGGCAGGAGAATCGCTTCAGCCCGGGGGACGGAGGTTGCAGTGAGCCGAGATCGTGCCACTGCACTCCAGTCTGGCGACAGAGCGAGGCGAGACTCCGTCCCTACGGAAAAAAAAAACCATATATATATATAAAATAAAAATAAATAAAATAAAATGTGTTGACTTAGGGTTATGGGGGTCTTCGTACCACCAAGTGGACTCATTGAGCAAGGGAGATCGCTGGGTACTAGAGCAAGCGGCCTAGAGCATCCGCGCAGGAGTAGGAGAGGCTGAAGAGTAAAGAGGGTTTAGAGGGTGGGACTGGGAGTCTCTCGACACTCTGTTACTTCTGCCTGTAAACGCCCGACTTCCGCCGCTGGTGGCCACCCGCAGGTAGTGATGTCGAGCGTCGAGCTCCCAAAACCGAGCTGGTGAGGGGCTGCAGGTGGCGGCGCAGTCTCGGTAGGCGGTATGAGTTTGGCTGGGGGCCGGGCACCCCGGAAGACCGCTGGGAACCGGCTTTCTGGGCTTTTGGAGGCAGAGGAGGAAGATGAGTTCTACCAGACGACTTATGGGGGTTTCACAGAGGCAAGATCCGGGCCTGGGAAAAGGGAGGGGAGGAGGCAAAGAGGAGCCCTGAAGGGAGAAACCCCGGACAAAGAAGAAGAGGGCGGGGAATAGAGAGGAGCTCTGGGAGCTGATACTCGAGTTGGGTGGGTGAATCGGAGCCGGGGGGCGAGGCGGGGGAACGGATAGTGTGGAGTCCTAGAAGGGAGAGCTCTGGATGGGGTCAAAGGGGCCTGAGACGGAGAAGCTCTCCGGAGGCACTCCAGAGAACAGAGAACGGCAGAAACCTACCGTATACTTGCGTGGTTGCATCTTTCACTGTACTTCTGACGTCCAGCATACACGAGGCACACACATAGTAGTAGACAGTTGCTCGATGTATACTCGTTGGCCCACTGCTGGATTATTCACCTGAGACATGGAAAGGAACCGCTCCAAAAGTAGAGGAGCTTAGCCCACTTCTTTTTCAGCTTTCAGGTCTCAGTGTAAATGTTTTCTCAGGAAGATAACCCTTCCTTGACTATCCTAACAAGTGTCCCCATTTATTTCTTCCACAGAACATATTTCAATTTGCAATTAGATTTGGTTTGCTTACTTGCTTATGCTTTTCTATTGCATTGTAAACTGTATAAAGTTAGAGATGGTCTGTTTTGTTCAACATTATGTGTGAGGTGTCCGGACTGGGCTGCCACTTGCTAAATTTTTATTAGTTGAATCTACCCGTTTATTAAATGTGTTGAGTACCCAGAGCATGCCATCGGTAATAGGTTGTTTTAGGCTCTAGGGAAACAGAATATTAAAAACAGTGCTCTGTCCTTACATACTCCATGCCCCAGTGGGGTAACTGCCTGGGTTAACAGTTAAAATACTGTGTGATAGGCCGAGCACAGTGGCTTTGGCCGGGCACAGTGGCTCACGCCTGTAATCCCAGCACTTTGGAAGGCCGAGGCGGGTGGATCACAAGGTCAGGAAATCGAGACCATCCTGGCCAACATGGTAAAACCCCCTGTCTCTATTAAAATACAAAAATTAGCCAAGCGTGGTGGTGTGCGCCTATAGTCCCAGCTACTCAGGAGGCTGAGGCAGAGAATCGCTTGAACCTGGGAGGAGGAGGTTGCAGTGAGCCGAGATCGTACCACTGCACTCCAGCCTGGGCGACAGAGCAGGACTCCGTCTCAAAAACAAACAAAAAATGTGTGATAAGGACTAAAACAAGGTGTAAGAGTGTTAAGGTAATACATCTGAACCAAAGTTGTTGATCAGGATAGGCATCCCTGGAGGGATGATGTTTAAGCTGAGGACAGTTTGAAAAGTAGACCTTAGCTTGATGAAAAGCAGGAGAAGGAGAAAGGTTAGTCCACAGAGCAGGATGGGCTGAGTATGTAAAGACATTGAGATCCTGGTCTAGGACCTGCAAGTCTACTTTCATTCTCCAGAGCATGAAGGAGACTAAAGATTGATAAGCCTGCAGGGAGTAGGCATGGGCCAGATCCTTTAGGGCCTTGTGAGCTATGTTAAGGAATTTTGCTCTTCATCCAGAGGACTGAGAAGAGTCATCAGAATTCCACGATGAAATTTGTACTTTAGGAAGGTTACTTACTCTGTAATGAGAATGGCTTGAAGGGGGCATGGCAGTAGAGAAACAGAAAGATTCAAGAGAAATTAAGGAATAGAACCCACAGGACTTAGGGGCTGGGTGTGGTGGCTCACGCCTGTAATTCCAGCACTTTGGGAGGCTGAGGCGGGTGGATCACGAGGTCAGGAGTTCGAGACCAGCCTGACCAACATGGTGAAACCCTGTCACTACTAAAAATGCAAAAAATTAGCTGGTTGTGGTGGCGTGTGCCTGTAATTCCAGCTACTTAGGAGGCTGAGGCAGGAGAATCACTTGAACCCAGGAGGCAGAGGTTGCAGTGGATTGCGCCACTGCCCTCCAGCCTGGGCGACAGAGTGAGACTCTGTCTCAAAAAAAAAAAAAACCCACATCACTGACAGAGTCATTACTGACACAGCCCTAACCAACTAGTTTAAAATAGAACTTTCTCATCCCTCCTCTAAGGCCATTTTCCTATTTCTGTCATTTTACGACTTGTTATTTAATATGTACCCTTCATGCTTCCAAAAAGGATTTAAGGAGGCTTACAATATAAACAAAAAGTAGGAACAGTAAAAATAGAGACAGATCAGAAGTAATTGTACCAGGAACCTCTGCTAAAATGGTAATAGCAATTGATATTAAATTTAGTTGTGAGCTTCCTGGTAGCCAAACCTTGTATTTCTTTTTTTAGTAAGAAAGAAGCATACAAGTTCTTCAAGAGACACAAACTTTTTCAGCCTTAAATCCTAGGGAGCATTTATCATTATATCCTTATATTATAAAAAGTAATGGTTTTCATAGATGATATACAAACATTCTCTTTTCTAGTGATGTCTCTTAATGACTCTCAATAAAAGCCGAAGGAATGGTAGTAAATCCTTAATTTAGTGCAAGTATGTTGATTGGGCACTAAGCTAATGTGTGGTTGATCTACTACCCTCTGGTGATATGGCTTAATACCAGATTAAAGCTGAGGGGATTAATGTGTTCCCAGGCTGTCTTTTACAAACATCAGTTAGGAGGAAATGATGGTCATCAGTGCAAAATTGAACTCTGGCTGGCTTGGAGTGTCAGCCATCTGTGTTATTTGCTTGCTTTGGCATCATGTGTACCAAGATTAGCCCATTAGTCTGCATCACTGATTGAAGAGAGAACCACATATGTGAGGTGTCAGCCAGCCCAGTTGACTCCCTCTCCCTCAAGTGGCTTTTTTCCCTTTTCTTTATAATATGGCTGCCATTCTAGCCCTAACCAGTTCACCTGAGGTCTAGGCTGTACTTCACGTTCTCTACTCCAGGCCATCTAACTGCCCCCAGAGCTTTCTGAAATACCCATTGTACATACCATTACCCCTCCCCTAAATCTTCAGTGGCCCTCCATTATCCATAGTAGCAGTACTCAGCTGTTTTTCTGTCCCAACACGCCTGAGGAATGACACATATTTCTCTCAGTAACTTTAGTTTACCTCAACAATGATTATCAATGGTAGGGAAAATAAGGAGATGGAGGGGATTGAGAATCACTGGCCTGCAGGTTAAAAGCGTGTTTATTAGTGTGACATTTAAGTTTCTCCATAAATGGAATGCAACCTTCTTTTCAAATCATACAGTCCTACAGTGCAATCAGTGTTGGAAGGAGGCAGTGCTGGAGCCAAATGCAGTTGGCTAACAAGGTTTCTTGACAGAGAAAAGTTTTACTTAGATCTAAATCCTTATTCCATAAACATGCTATACACATTACCATTTCTGTGCCTTTGTTTCTGCTATTTCATCTGCCCATGATTCCTTCCTCCCTCTTGGCTGTCTAAATACTAACAGTGTTTTCAATCATAGTTTAAGTCCTCTTCATCCTTTTTTTTTTTTTTCTTTTTGAGACTGTGTCTCGCCCTGTCGCCCAGGCTGGAGTGCAGTGGCACTATCTCAGCTCACTGCAACCTATGCCTCCTGGGTTCAAGCAGTTCTCCTGCCTCAACCTCCCAAGTAGCTGGGACTACAGGTGTGCGTCACCATGCCCAGCTAATTTTTGTATTTTTAGTAGAGACAGAGTTTCACCATGTTGGCCAGGCTGGTCTCGAACTCCTGGCCTCAAGTGATCTGCCCACCTCGGCCTCCCAAAGTGCTGGGATTACAGGCGTGAGCCACCAAGCCTGTTCGAGATCCACATCTCAAAAAAAAAAAAGTAAGATTATGTCCTCCCCTTTACTGTAAGCCCCTGAAGGTAGAGACCAAACCATATCCTTTTGTTCCCCAGTACTTAACAGTGTGTTGCAGGTAAAGGGCTATCAATTAATGTTGGAAGGAGGTGGTACTGGAGCCAAAGGCCATTAGCTAGAAAGTTTTCTTGCCTGAGGAAAATGAAGGGCTGGATTAGGAAGGAGAGTAGGGCAGCCCTTATCAAGAAAGTCGAGAGATTCTGTTCCTCCTGAAGGGGCATTAAGGCTTCCATTGCCAGCCAACCCTTATCTCCCTGTGTCCTTAGGAATCCGGAGATGATGAGTATCAAGGGGACCAGTCAGACACAGAGGACGAAGTGGACTCTGACTTTGACATTGATGAAGGGGATGAACCATCCAGTGATGGAGAAGCAGAAGAGCCAAGAAGGAAGCGCCGAGTAGTCACCAAGGCCTATAAGGTACAGGGGGAGTCCTAGTTGTCTTGGATTTCCTCAATTCCTATTCTCTCTTTCATCAGGTCCCAGTACTCCCTATGCCACTTCCATTTCTGGCAATGCTAGTTTTCTCTCATTGAGATCCTCATATTTCTCCTGACTTCTTCTGTTCCCCAGTATCTGATTCCAATCTGTCCTCAGGAACCTCTCAAGAGCTTAAGGCCTCGAAAGGTCAACACCCCGGCTGGTAGCTCTCAGAAGGCGCGAGAAGAGAAGGCACTACTGCCATTAGAACTACAAGATGACGGCTCTGACAGTGAGTAGGGATGTTAGGGTCAATTGGCAAAATTGGAATATAATAATAAAGTATCATATCAGTGTTAAATTTACTGATGTTGCTGGGTGCGGTGGCTCACTCCTAGAATCCCAGCACTTTGGGAGGCCTAGGCGGGTAGATCACCTGAGGTCAGGAGTTCGATACCAGCCTGGCCAACATGGTGAAATTCCGTCTCTACTAAAAATACAAAAATTAACCAGGTGTGGTGGTGGGCCCCTGTAATCCCAGCTACTTGGGAGGCTGAGGCAGGAGAATTGCTTGAACCTGGGAGGTGGAGGTTACACCATTGCACTCCAGCCTGGGCAACAAGAGCAAAACTCTGTCACCAGAAAAAAGTAATAAAAAGAAGAAAAAATTTACTGATGTTGATAACTTACTATGGGTAGGAAAATCCTCATTCTTAGGAAATACACACTGAAATATTTAGGGATAAAGGCCATGATGTGTACAACTTTAGTTACCTAATTTAGATCATTCAGAAAAAAACCACACATAACAAAATGCAAAAGGGCCAAAATATTACCAATAGGTGATGGGGTAAAAGATACATGAGTATTCCTTGTACTATTCTTGCAACTTCGTAGGTTTGAAATTATTTCAGGCCAGGCACGGTTGCTCATGCCTGTAATCCCAGCATTTTGGGAGGCCGAGGCAGGCAGATCACGAGGTCAGTAGTTCAAGACCATCCTGGCTAACATGATGAAACCCCATCTCTACTAAAAATACAAAAAATTAGCTGGATGTGGTGGCATGCACCTGTACTCCCAGCTACTCGGGAGTCTGAGGCAGGAGAATTGTTTGAACCCAGGAAGCAGAGGTTGGAGTGAGCCGAGATCGTGCCACTGTACTCCAGCCTGGGCGACAGAGCGAGATTCCATCTCAAAAAAAAAAAAAGAAAAAAAAATTATTTCCAAGTACAACATTTCAAAATAAATAAATAAAATATGTGGACATGAATTCAAAGATTTCTTCTTATCTCACTCTCTTCCAGGTCGGAAGTCTATGCGTCAGTCTACAGCTGAGCATACACGACAAACGTTCCTTCGGGTACAGGAGAGGCAGGGCCAGTCAAGACGGCGAAAGGGGCCCCACTGTGAGCGGCCACTAACCCAGGAGGAACTGCTCCGGGAGGCCAAGATCACAGAAGAGCTTAATTTACGGTCACTGGGTAAGTCTGTGGTTTCAGAAAAAGTGAGTAGAGGGGCTGAGGGGCATGAGAAAAACCATGAGACCTGGAGGACCAAAGAACTGGAGAGATGGAAATTTGGGATGATGGAATCAGAAGGAAGAAATGGCGGAGAGTAGGTAATTAGGTGCAAGAGTCTAGGCAGTTATGAGCACTCTGAAGAACAAGCTAAGGTACTTTGGTGTAAAATAAGAGTTGTATAGAACTGAGGTCAAATCCTCGTTCTGCTATTCATTTGCTTTAAGTCTGTAGGTAAATTACTTATTCACATTTTGCTTTTCTTGTTTATAAAATGGGGTATATACCTAATGACTCAGGAAATTTAGGCAGGAGGATCACTTGAGGCCAGGAGTTCATAACCAGCCTGGACAACATAGTGAAACCCCATCTCTTAAAAAAAAAAAAAGCAGGGGGTGATAATGTTGACTTTAATGATAATCATGAGAACGTGAAGTCAGCAGATTAGTCCTTCATGAGATAAATTGCTTTAAAAATCTCTTCATTTTATGGTATTGCTTTAAAAATCTCTTCAGTTTGGGCCAAGCGCAGTGGCTCATACCTGTAATCCCGGCACTTTGGGAGGCCAAGGTGGGTGGATCACTTGCAGTTGGGAGTTCCAGACCAGCCTGGCCAACATGGTGAAACCCTGTCTCTACCAAAAATACAAAAATTAGCTGGGCATGGTGGCGCATGTCTGTAATCCCAGGTACTTGGGAGGCTGAGGCAAGAGAATCATTTGAACCTGGGAGGTGGAAGTTGCAATGAGCCGAGATCACACCACTGCACTCCAGCCAGGGCTACAGAGCGATTGGTTTGGACCACTGTAAGGAGAGTGACTCCCAGGTTTTCCTTTCTTTTTTTTTTTTTTTTTTTTTTTGAGACAGAGTCTTACTCTGTCGCCCAGGCTGGAGTGCAGTGGTATGATCTCGGCTCACTGCAAGCTCCGCCTCCTGAGCTGGAGATTCTCTTGCCTCAGCCTCCCAAGTAGCTGGGATTACAGGTGCCCGCCACCATGCCCAGCTAATTTTTTTGTATTTTTAGTTGAGATGGGGTTTCACCATGTTGGCCAGGCTGGTCTTGAACTCCTGACCTCAGGTGATCCACCCGCCTCACCCTCCCAAAGTGCTGGGATTACAGGCTTGGGCCACCCCGCGGCAATTCCCAGGTTTTCAACATCAGTAACTGGCTTAGGAGACCCTGAAGGAGGAGCAAGTTCAGTGGGGAAAAAACAAATTTATTTTTGAACATGTTGAATTTAAGGAGTTTGTGAGCAATTCATGCAGTGATGAGAGGTCAGTTAAATATGCAAATCTGGTGTTCCAATAAGAGATCTGGGCTGAAAATACAAATTTGGAAGTCTTTAGAATATGGGTGGTAATTGACAATATTGGAGTGCATCTGAGCATGTAGGGAGAAAGCTCAGAGTGAGAAAACAGAGGCCTGATAGAGTCCTGCAGACACTAAAATGTGATAGTTTCATACAAGAGGAGGAGCTTTGAAAAGAGCCTGGAAGTGACCAACGAGTTGGAGAAACCCAGGAGAGTTTGTGTTAAAAATGCCAGGAAAGAGAATGTCTCAAGAGAGTAATTGCTGCTGAGACGATGATTAGTAGAACTGAGAAGTGCCCATTGGTTTTGGTGAGATAGAGGTCAGACATTACCTTAGCACTTTTTGGGGACCAAGTCGAATCAAAGTATATTGGGGAGCAAAACTTTTCAAGCTTGGCCATGAAGGGTAGAAGAGGGAATGGAAGCTACAGAGGGGTGTGAGATTAAGGTAAAGTTGTTTTTATTTTATTCGAAGATATTAGAAATTATGTCTTTCATGAGAAAGAACTGAGTTTAAAGAAAGAGAAGAAAAAACGGTTATTAATAGTGTAGGTTTTTGGAGATGGGAGGCAAGGCTGGGAACCAGAGCAGCATGGTGGAGGAATTGGCTTCAGATGGGGGAAGGGAGAAAGAAAGTGTGGTGGCCGGGCGCCGTGGCTCACACCTGTAATCCCAGCACTTTGGAAGGCTGCGGCGGGTGGATCATCTGAGGTCAGGAGTTCGAGACCAGCCTGACCAACATGGAGAAACCCTGTCTCTACTAAAAATACAAAATATTAGCTGAGTGTGGTGGCACATGCCTGTAATCCCAGCTACTTGGGAGGCTGAGGCAGGAGAATCACTTGAACCCGGGAGGCGGGGGTTGCGGTGAGCCGAGATCGTGCCATTGCACTCCAGCCTGGGTAACAAGAGTGAAACTCTGTCTCAAAAAAAAAGAAAGAAAGTGTGGCTTAGCTGAGTGCAGTGGCTCATGCCTGTAATCCCAGCACTTTGGGAGGCCAAGGAAGGAGGATCGCTTGAGCCCAGGAGTTCAAGACCAGCCTGGGCAACATAGTGAGACCCTGTCTCTGTTTAAAAATGTGGCTTACAGTTGTAGGTTTGTAATCCAGAGGGAGGGCATGGCGGAGGTTCTCACCTGATGTCTTTTTCATTATGCAGCACCATCTGTCAAACATTAAGGATACAGCTGGAAGCTTGAGGAGACTGAGGAGCATTTAAATAGTTATTGATGTGGGATATTGAGCAGTATTGAGGGACCTGCTGAAGGCTAGGACCATGAATTTATGGTGGTTCCAGTCTGTGCTGTTATTTTTCTCCAGTAGCACTCAGCAGTCCAGATCAGGGCAAGGGAATTATTGACAGGAGAGTGACTGAAGTGATTGAAATGATACAGTGAGCAACCTAAGCATGATTTAAAAAGGAAAATGTGACTGGGCGCGGTGGCTCACATCTGTAATCCCAGCACTTTGGGAGGCCGAGGCAGGCGGATCACAAGGTAAGGAGTTCGAGACCAGCCTGGCCAACATGGTGAAACCCCGTCTCTACTAAACATACAAAAAATTAGCCAGGCATGGTGGTGCGTGCCTGTAGTCCTGGCTACTCGGGGGGCTGAGAATCACTGAGGAGAATCACTTGAACCCGGGAGGCGGAGGTTGCAGTGAGTGGAGATCGTGTCGCTACACTCCAGCCTGGGCAACAGAGTGAGACTCAAAAAAAAAAAAAAAGTAAAGTGACATGGAAAAGAAGGTTGTTAGAGATGAGGTGATAAACTGTGGCCATGCAGTGTTGAAGGGGCTACCCATGTGCACTTCGAAGTCACCAGGGTGACCCTAAGATGATGGGAATTGGGGTAGAGACGAAGAGTGGAAACCACTGCCAAAGTCTTCAGTGAATGAAGGAGTGACCATGACTAGGAAGGAGAGAAGTTAATCTAGACTCTTGGCACAGGTCTCAAAAGAGAAGGGAGTTTGCTGGTAGGCAGAAAAGCAGTGCTCTGAAAGCTACAGGGTGGGGCCCAGTAGGACATAGGTATATCCTGTAGGGATGTAAGAGAATGAGCAACCTCCACCAGAGGTCTGCAGAGAGGAGTGGTGGCCTCAGTGAATGACCAGGTTTCTGTTAAGGCAAGTCATGGAAGGAATGCTGAGTGAGGAGCTTGAGGATATAGATGAGTTGGCAGATTACAGAGCACGAGTTCCAGAGGGTGTAGGCAAGTGTTTGAAAGTAGAGGGGTTGGGCCAGGCGTGGTGGCTCACGCCTGTAATCCCAGCACTTTGGGAGGCTGAGGTGGGCGGATCACGAGGTCAGGAGTTCCAGACCATCCTGGTCAACATGGTGAAACCCCGTCTCTACTAAAAATACAAATATTAGCTGGGCATGGTGGCACGTGCCTATAGTCCCTGCTACTCAGGAGGCTGAGGCAGGAGAATTGCTTGAACCTGGGAGGGGGAGGTTGCAGGGAGCCGAGATTGTGCCACTGTACTCCAACCTGGCGACAGAGCAAGACTCTGTCTCAAAAAAGAAAAAGAAAGTAAAGGGGTTGAGGCGTTGGAAGACTGGCTCAAAGGAGAGAAAGCAGTATTATCAAACAGTTCAAGTGCAAGAGAGGTTCAATCATTGGAAGGGTTTCCAGAGTACTCTTTTTTTTTTTTTGAGACGGAGTCTTGCTCTGTCACCCAGGCTGGAGTGCGATGGCACAATCTCAGCTCACTGCAACCTCCGCCTCCCAGGTTCAAGTGATTGTCCTGCCTCAGCCTCCCGAGTAGCTGAGATTACAGGTGCAAGCCACCACGCCCAGCTAATTTTTGTATTATTAGTAGAGACAGGGTCTCACCATGTTGACCAGGTCTGTCTCAAACTCCTGACCTCAGGTGATCCACCCGCCTAGGCCTCCCAAAGTGCTGTAATTACAGGCATGAGCCACCGCACCTGGCCTCCAGAGTACTCTTTTATGGTCAGACTTTAGGGAATTGTGTTCATCATAACCATATTTAAGGACACAGAAATCTGGAGTTCATTCAGAGGAAGGGGACGAGGAATATTTTGATTCATTTTTTTTCGTATGTTTGTTTTGTCTTTGGAGATGGAGTTTCACTCTTGTTTCCCAGGCTACAGTGCGATGGTATGATCTTGGCGCACCGCAACCTCCGCCTCCCAGGTTCAAGCAATTCTCCTGCCTCAGCCTCCCGGTAGCTGGGATTATAGGCATACACCACCACATCTGGCTCATTTGGTATTTTTAGTAGAGACGGGGTTTCTCCAAGTTGGTCAGGCTGGTCTCAAACTCCCGACCTCAGGTGCTCTGCCCACCTCAGCCTCCCAAAGTGCTGGGATTACAGGCGTGAGCCACCGTGCATGGTGATTCTTTTTTTTGAGACGGAGTCTCACTCTTTTGCCCAGGCTGGAGTGCAGTGGCGCGATCTCAGCTCACTGCAAGCTCTGCCTCCTGGGTTCACGCCATTCTCCTGCCCCAGCCTCCCGAGTAGCTGGGACTACAGGTGCTCACCACCACGTCCAGCTAATTTTTTGTATTTTTAGTAGAGACAGGGTTTCTCTATGTTGGCCAAGATGGTCTTGATCTCCTGACCTCATGATCCGCACACCTTGGCCTCCCAAAGTGCTGGGGTTACAGGTGTGAGCCACCAAAAAAAGCCCAGCCCTTTTTTTTAAATTTTTAAAATTATTTATTTTTTTGAGACAGAGTTTCGCTCTTATTGCCCGCGTTGGAGTGCAATAATGCAATCTCACTTCAACCTCTGCCTCCCAGGTTCAAGCAATTCTTCTGTCTCAGCCTCCCAAGTAGCTGGGATTATAGTCATGTGCTACCACGCCCGGATAGTTTTTGTATTTTTAGTAGAGACGGGGTTTCACCATGTTGGTCAGGCTGGTCTTGAACTCCTTTCCTTAGGTGATCCACCCACCTCGGCCTCCCAAAGTGCTGGGATTACAGGCATGAGCCACTGTGCCCAGCCTTGATTCATTTATTCATTAACAAATATTTAATGAGTGCCTGTAATGTGGAAAATGCTGTATCACCCTGATAATATTTAGGCAATATGAGTTATAGTCACTGCCCTTAAGGAGGAGACATATATACCAATAGTGCATCGCCATGGAGCAGTATCACGGAGACCAGGCAGGTAACATGAAGTGTGCAGCCAGCCAGAGGGATGGTGGTGAACTGGAGAGGAGTGCCTGAAAGGAGGAACAGTTACTCAGCTCAGCTAATTGTTCCCCTGTAAGAATGCAGACCCAGGGTTGCGAGATTTTCTTGTTGTTTAAGAGCGACCAGAAATCTCTATATTTAAATATAATTTCCTACCTTACTAATTTTTTTTTTGGAGATATGATCTCACTCTGCTGCCTAGGCTGGAGTGCAATGTGGTGCCATCTCAGCTCACTGCAACCTCCACCTCCCTGGCTCAAGCGATCCTTCCACCTCAGCTTCCCAAGTAGCTGGGATTACAGGCGTGTGCCAGCACACCCAGCTGTAGGAGTGAATTGACAGGGCATTTGTAGAGGAGATTTTGGTATCTGGGAAAGCAAATAAGCTCCTCATCAAAGGGTACCTTCCAACTCTGAGGTACTATAGAGGGCCCAGGTGTACTTGAGAAATGAGCAGAGAGGATGTCAAGAAAAAACTTATAAGCAGAAAACTTACAAAATGGGAGGTGCCAGACGGCCTTAGGGGACTTCCATAGTTGTCTCTGGTAGTTGGCAGTGACTAGATAGCCAGGAAGATAATTGAGAGATCGTGGGACAGTACTGGGATATGGGAAAAAGGGACATTCTGATCATCCCCTCATTTCTTCCTTTGACCCTAAAGAGACATATGAGCGGCTCGAGGCTGATAAAAAGAAGCAGGTTCATAAGAAGCGGAAGTGCCCCGGGCCCATAATCACCTATCATTCAGTGACAGTGCCACTTGTTGGGGAGCCAGGCCCCAAGGAAGAGAACGTTGACATAGAAGGGTGAGTGAATCTCAAGAGGAAAAGAGATTGTGTGTTCAGCTCATGTTCTCTTGGCCCCATTTTGCTTGCTTTTCTCACACAGCTCTCCTTAACACTTGGAGATTTCTTTCAGATTCCTAACTCCCTTCAGCTCAATTTCTTTTTCTTTTTTTTTTTTTGAGACATGATGCTGCTCTGTCACCTAGGCTGGAATGCAGTGGTGCAGTCTCGGCTCACTGCAACCTCCACCTCCTGTGCTCAGGCGATCCTCCCACCTTAGCCTCCCAAGTAGCTGGGAGTACAGCCACACATGCTAATTTTTGTATTTTTTGTAGAGACGGTTTCGCTGTGTTGCCCAGACTCCTGGGTTAAAGTAATCGTCCCGCTTCATCTTCCTAAAATACTGGGATTACAGGTGTGAGCCACCGCGCCCAGCCCAGCTTATTTCTTTCTTATTCCTTTTTCTTTTAGCTTCTCTGTTCTTCTCTTTCCTGTTTTTCCTTCTAGCCTAGCTTTCTTTTCCCATCAGTCACTTAGTACGTTCCTCAGAATGTTCCCAACACCCTGCCTCCTTTTTCTCTTTCCTCATCTCTCTGATTTCCTTCTTTCTTTCTTTTCTTTTTTTTTTTTTTTTGAGATGGAGTCTCGCTGCTCTGTCACCCAGGCTGGAGTGTAATGGCACGATCTTGGTTCCATGCAACCTCCGCCTCCTGGCTTCAAGTGATTCTCCTGCCTCAACCTCCTGAGTAGCTGTGATTACAGGCATCCGCCACCACGCCCGGCTAATTTTTGTATTTTTAGTAGAGACAGGGTTTCACCTTGTTAGTCAGGCTGGTCTCGAACTCCTGACCTCGTCATCTGCCTGCCTCAGCCTCCCAAAGTGCTGGAATTACAGGTGTGAGCCACTGCACCCAGCCTGATTTCCTTCTTTCTGTATCTGTTGTCTTCTCTCCTCAGCTCTTTGTGTTTTTCCTTGTCTTTTGTCCTCAGACTTGATCCTGCTCCCTCGGTGTCTGCATTGACTCCTCATGCTGGGACTGGACCCGTCAACCCCCCTGCTCGCTGCTCACGTACCTTCATCACTTTTAGTGATGATGCAACTTTCGAGGAATGGTTCCCCCAAGGGCGGCCCCCAAAAGTCCCTGTTCGTGAGGTCTGTCCAGTGACCCATCGTCCAGCCCTATACCGGGACCCTGTTACAGACATACCCTATGCCACTGCTCGAGCCTTCAAGATCATTCGTGAGGCTTACAAGAAGTACATTACTGCCCATGGACTGCCGCCCACTGCCTCAGCCCTGGGCCCCGGCCCGCCACCTCCTGAGCCCCTCCCTGGCTCTGGGCCCCGAGCCTTGCGCCAGAAAATTGTCATTAAATGAAGAGATGTCTAGTCCTCAGAAACTTCTTTCCTGCCCTGATTGGGGCTCTTGCTGTTCCGTTTCTTCTCCCTGCTTCTCCCCTTTGTCATCTCTGATCTTTGCCTAATCTGTTTCTTTTTCCTTTTCCCCTAGTTCTTACAGGTTTCGTTGTGTTTTTTAATCTAATAAAATAGAAAGATCCCTTTTGTCTGGTGTCCAGTCTAGGGTTGGGAGCAAGAAGTATTTGAATACCTGCATATATTTGGGTCTTTATTCGATAGCATTTATTATGAGCTGTCCTTTCTAAATTGTATTCATTCCTCCAACTAAATTATAAACATCTGAAAATTGCACACCAAAACACATCCTTGTATTGACCTTCCTATCACTTTACACTCACTGTTTTGAATACAGCAGGCACCAAATAAGGAGGAACTGGCTGATTCTAGTCGAACTCATATGTCTCAGACTGGGGCTTGTATGAAGGGAAGTGGAAGAGATGCCATGGCTGTTAATGACCACTAGAGGCTCTCAGGGCTGGGCAGGGTATGGGGGCTGTGTATATGTGATCTCCCACTACCCCCCACCTGGCCAGAGCTAAAATAATAAAATGCTGAGCTCACTGTTCCCCCACCCTCTCCCCCGGCACCGGGCTCCTCCTGCTGCTGGGACAGTGCTCTAGTAGAACAGACAGACCTACTGACACAGGGGAGGTGAGAAGGGAGGTGACCACCAGGACTGGTAGGTGGGGAAGACAGGGGGCTTATGGATGAGAGCCCGGTGGGAGATGGGAGGAGAAGAGTGGCTCCTATGGGGAATGATGTGGAGTGTGTCCCTGTCTCTGTCACTCAGTGTATATTTCTGCCACTGTGCCGTCCTACCCCTTAACTGTGTATAGTTTACATTGTCGATGTGTCTCACATACTTTCTGGATCTTTCATATTCAGCATGGTGTGTATGCATAGCTCCTTATGCGTATCTTATATTGTACAAAATTGTGCGAGTTTAATATTCCCACTGTTTTTAAAGAAACTTTACCCTATTTACACCCATTGGTCTGGTGTCACCTTCCTGTCCAAAGCAAGGGACAGATTATGGGGACTCACAGAGGCCTTACTACCCTTCCCCCAACCTGGAAGTCCCCCAACTGCTCCGAGCCCTTGCTTTCCCTTAAGACTTCAAATTTTAGCAAACACAGAAAGTGAAATCTTGATCCCCCACAATAAAAGGGAAATGAGGATGGGGTAAGAGACTCTCTCTTCCCCTTACACCTCATTGTCCTTGGTTTTTTTATCCGGTTTAGGAAAAAGCCTGGATTATGAGGAGGAGAGGAGGAATTTCCCTGAAGCTCTCTATTCCCCCACCCCTCATCCCCTTTCAATAGGAACTGGGCATAGGACCAGCTGTGTTGGCAGGGCTTCCAGCAGCTGTGTTAGGGCGAAGGCACTGACAAGTGAGGTTATAGGGGAGGGGTGCTGCCAGGATTTCTCTGTCATACCGTGGGAAGACAAACCCAGCTTAGATGTCTGGGATCCCCATCCAGAGTGGCTGGAAGCTGGGGAAGCAGAAAGGAGACTCTAGTTCTAACTCTAAACAACCTAATCTTCCCCACTTCCCATCCTCAACTAGACTTCTAATCTCCAAGAAATCCAATCCAATGTTCTGCCCCCCTGGCTGGTCTCTTTGTGTCCCTGCTGTGTCCCTGTCCATCTTACCATTGTCCATCCTTTTGTCCCATGTTGCCCAGGCTCTGTGAGTACCACACAGTGGGGAGGGGGTGGGGGCCACCATGTCATCATATCAGAAGGAACTGGAGAAATACAGAGACATAGATGAAGATGAGATCCTAAGGACCTTGAGCCCCGAGGAGCTAGAGCAGCTGGACTGCGAACTACAGGAGATGGATCCTGAGGTAGGGGCTCCAGCACAGGGAACCAGAGGCAGTCCCAGGCATTTGGGAAGGGTGTTGGGCTCTGGGTGGCTGAGAATAGGGTTTGCTACAGGACCTAGGGTCCTAAGAAGGCCAGGGGAAAGGTGTCCGGTGATGTTTTAGGGAGCCCTAGCAGTACCTAGGTCAGAGGGGAGGTCTGACTTGCTCCCCAAAACTCATCCCTAAGAACATGCTCCTGCCAGCTGGACTAAGACAACGTGACCAGACAAAGAAGAGCCCAACGGGGCCACTGGACCGAGAGGCCCTTTTGCAGTACTTGGAGCAACAGGCACTAGAAGTCAAAGAGCGTGATGACTTGGTGCCCTTCACAGGCGAGAAGAAGGGTATGGGGACCCTGACATCCATGCCTCGTAGAACCCAAGTGGCTGTGCTGTCTCTCACTCGTCCCCACTCCAGTTTCCCTCTCACCTTCCAGCTCCTAGTTGCCTAGGGACTCAGATGCCCTGACACTTAAATGCGAGCTTGCACTCTTCAGTTCTTTTTTTTTTCTTTTTGTTTGAGACGGAGTCTCACTCTGTTGCCCAGGCTGGAGTGCAGTGGTGCAGTCTCGGCTCACTGCAAGCTCCACCTCCCGGGTTCACGCCATTCTCCTGCCTCAGCCCCCCGAGTAGCTGGGACTACAGGCGCCCACCACCACGCCCGGCTAATTTTTTAGTATTTTTAGTAGAGATGGGGTTTCACTGTGTTAGCCAGGATGGTCTCGATCTCCTGACCTCGTGATCTGCCCGCCTTAGCCTCCCAAAGTGCTGGGATTACAGGCATGAGCCACCGTGCCCGGCCGCTAATTTTTTGTATTTTTAGTAGAGATGGGGTTTCACCATGTTAGCCAGGATGGTCTCGATCTCCTGACCTCATGATCCACCCGCCTCGGCCTCCCCAAGTGCTGGGATTACAGGCGTGAGCCACAGCGCCCAGCCCCGCACTCTTCAGTTCTTGAGAGATCAGGGGGCTAAGGACTCTTGAGTTTGTAGAGGACTCAGGCTTTCCAGTGTCCCTTCGTGACGCAGCATTCTACCTCCTGGAGGAGGAAGGAAACCTGGAGGCCAGGATCTTGGGAGAAATTACCTCTACCTGAGCCATCCTTCATCTCCCCATCAGGGAAACCCTATATTCAGCCCAAGAGGGAAATCCCAGCAGAGGAGCAGATCACCCTGGAGCCTGAGCTGGAGGAGGCACTGGCACATGCCACAGATGCTGAAATGTGTGACATTGCAGGTGGGTAGCTGTGGGAAGTTGAGGGTGAGAGGATCAGGGGCAGGTGGATTCTAGCCATGACATGGGACTAGTGAGGAAGGCCCTCAACCAGAATGTGGATGTCTAAGAAAGCGTCAAGCAGTAGTTTCAAGCTTTTCTTGTTTGTTTATATATTTATTCATTTTTAAATTTAATAACACCTCAAGAGCAATTTTACAGGGATTGTAAGAGCAAATAAAAGTGGAATCATTGGGCCAGGCACCATGACTCACACCTGTAACCTCAGCACTTGGGAGGCCTGAGTGCACTTGGGAGCACTCAGGATTGCCTGAGCTCGGGAGTTCAAGACCAGCCTGGGCAACATAGTGAAACCCCGTCTCTACTAAAATACAAAAAACTGGCCGGGTGCGGTGGCTCACACCTGTAATCCCAACACTTTGGGAGGCCGAGGCGGGTGGATCACGAGGTCAGGAGATCGAGAACATCCTGGCTAACACGGTGAAACCCCGTCACTACTAAAAATACAAAAAATTAGCTGGGTGTGGTGGTGGGCGCCTGTAGTCCCAGCTACTCGGGAGGCTGAGGCAGGAGAATGGTGTGAACCCAGGAGGCCGAGCTTGCAGTGAGCCAAGATAGTGCCACTGCACTCCAGCCTGGGCAACAGAGCGAGACTCCGTCTCAAAAAACAAAAAACAAAAACAAAAACAACAACAAAAAAAATTAGCCAGGCATGGCAGCATGCACCTGTAATCCCAGTTACTTGGGAGGCTGAGGCAGAAGAATTGCTTGAACCCGGGAGGTGGAGGTGGCAGTGAGCCAAGATCGCACCACTGCACTCCAGCCTGGGGGACAGAGTGAGACTCCGTCTCGGGGGGAAAAAAAGTGGAACCATTCTGGCTGAAAGAGGAGAGTCTCTACAGACTCCTTTATCCTCTAGTGGCTCATAAGGGACCTTCCCTTAGCCCTTTCTCAATGTTTTAGAAACTACTGCCTTAAGAAGTTTATGGAAAGGACCCCTGGGGCTGAAAGAGGGTGGGAAACTTCTTTGGCAAAGTGTAAGTGGTCAGGCTTTACAAATGCAACAGATTCAGAAATAGGTAGGAGGGAGGCTTGGAACAGGTTCCTTCTCATTCCCTGTGACTCCTCTTCTTACCCTCTCCAGCAATTCTGGACATGTACACACTGATGAGTAACAAGCAATACTATGATGCCCTCTGCAGTGGAGAAATCTGCAACACTGAAGGCATTAGCAGTGAGTGTGTTTGGGGAGCATGGTCCCCAGGGCTCTGGGCAGGCAGTCCTAGTGTCTGGGAGAAGGTAGAAAAGGGTGAAATTGATGATTCTGGGAGAGGACATGCTGCATGAGTGATAAGAAAACCTGTGGAGTGCCAGGTGAGGTGGCTCATGCCTGTAATCCCAGCATTTAGGGAGGCCGAGGCAGGTGGATCACCTGAGGTCAGGAGTTCAAGACCAGCCTGGCCAACATAGTGAAACCTTGTCTCTACTAAAACTACAAAAATTAGCTGGTTGCATGCCTGTAATCCCAGATATTATACTTGGGAAGCAGAGGCACAAGAATTTCTTGAACCCGGGAGGTCAAGGCTGCTGTGAGTTGAGATTGTGCCACTGCATTCCAGCCTAGGTGGATAGAGCGAGACTCCATCTCAAAAAAAAAAAAAAAGAAAAGAAAAGAAAACCAATGGGGAGGAGATTATGGGGAACATGTTGGGGTTCCCTTCCTGCCCTCATTCACCAGGTGTGGTACAGCCTGACAAGTATAAGCCAGTGCCGGATGAACCCCCAAATCCCACAAACATTGAGGAGATACTAAAGAGGGTCCGAAGCAATGACAAGGAGCTGGAGGAGGTGAACTTGAATAATATACAGGTATTTGACTTGCATCCTCCAAACCATAACACCGGATAACCACTGACATCCGAGAGTCCCTTAGCCCACCATCTCCTATTCCCCTCCGATAGGACATCCCAATACCCATGCTAAGTGAGCTGTGTGAGGCAATGAAGGCAAATACCTATGTGCGGAGCTTCAGTCTGGTAGCCACGAGGAGTGGTGACCCCATTGCCAATGTAAGGCTAGTTGACATCCCCAGCCCTCTCCCCACATCTTACATGCACCTGTTGCATGGCTGTCATAAAGGGTTTTGCTAGGGAGTGCTATTCTCATCATGCCTTCTTAGGGCAGCCCTCATGGAGACTCCTACCTTCAGTGCTATGGCTCATAACTCTCTACTCTCTCTAACACCCCTAGTCCCACTGCACATTCATCTCCCTGCTTTCCCCTGCTATCCGCCCTGCTTTCTGTATCCCTCTAGCTCCATTTACAGCACCTGAAAGACTCTTCTCAAAGAGCTGTGTTTCCCTCTTGCTCCTGTTCTTTCTTTCCTCAGTCATCTGTGAAACTGTTCCCTAATCCTAACCCAAGTCCCTACTACCCAGGCAGTGGCTGACATGTTGCGTGAGAATCGTAGCCTCCAGAGCCTAAACATCGAATCCAACTTCATTAGCAGCACAGGACTCATGGCTGTGCTGAAGGCAGTTCGGGAAAATGCCACACTCACTGAGCTCCGTGTAGACAATCAGGTCAGCATTCCCTTCCCCTGATGTTAGCATTCAGTCTCATTGAGTCTCCTCCCTGAGCCAGCCAGTGGGGCAGCTATCTTACTTAATCTTGCTTGAATTCTCCTCTTCATTGTCTCTGTGAGGGAAGCCAAGTCAGCATCTCTCTTCACCCACTGTGGAGAAACAAGCTTCTTTGACCTCCCAAAGGGGTCTGTGATGTGGGATGGTAAACAGCCCAGAGAGGGTGACTGTCAGCTTTTGCCTCTCCCTCCCCCAGCGCCAGTGGCCTGGTGATGCAGTGGAGATGGAGATGGCCACCGTGCTAGAGCAGTGTCCCTCTATTGTCCGCTTTGGCTACCACTTTACACAGCAGGGGCCACGAGCTCGGGCAGCCCAGGCCATGACCCGAAACAATGAACTACGTGAGTAACTGCAGACATGATGTGTGGAGTGGTCAGGGAAGTGCAGAAATTGGTGGATCCTCCTGAAAGCAGACCTAATGACTAACAGCCCAGGGTGCTACCAAAGAGCTATTCATATGAGAATTTCAAATCCCAAGAGTGATCAGAAAGTAAACAGAAAACTCCCCCTGCCCCAAATATGGACCAGTAGAGAGGTAGAAAGGATGCCAGAGATAATCATACTTGTTTAGAGGTATCGTAATTTTATTTGTGGTGTGGTTTCTTGTTTTGTTTTGTTAATGTGGGATGGGCCTGTAAGGTGGCCTAAGACACTACCAATTTATGAGTTTGGCTAAGGGACTGGAAAGGAGAAGAGTGCCTTTGCAGAAAGCAGGAGCTGGAACAAACACTTATGTTTAATATTGCTCCTTTACAGGTCGCCAGCAAAAGAAGAGATAACACTGCATTTCCCTTTACCAACTAGCGCTGGGAGCACTGGACACTTAAATCCTCATCTGTCCTCCTTTCCTGTAAATAAAAGCCCTTCTATCCATTTTGCCTGCCTCCTTCCTTGGGCTTTGGGGTGAGAATCTTGGCGCTAACCCCCAAGGGTTACTGCCAGTTCACCAGGGGATTATTTATACTCTGGGGATCAGCAGGCAGGGAGGTTCAGGTTACTAGGAGGAGGTGGGGGTGTTCCCTCCCTTGGTGTTCCCCATAACCCTGCCAATGCCTTTTGACTCTTCTACTTTCACAGGGAACTTAGCCACAGCCCTGTTTCCAGATGTGGCCAGGTCCCCCTAGTGCCTACCTGCAGTCCTTATGTGATTTGAAGGGGGAAAGGACTTTGAGTGGTAGTGGAGAAGCAGGCAGACAACATGAAGGGCAAAGACCTCTTTTTGACAGTCTTATTAATAGGGCACCAGGCTGATGCAGCTGACGCTTGGCATGGCTTTGGTAGGAGGTGGGGGAGGGGTTAGAAGTATGGATAGCCGTGGCTGGGTGCGGTGGCTCATGCCTGTAATCCCAGCACTTTGGGAGGCCGAGGTGGGCGGATCACGAGGTCAGGAGATCGAGACCATCCTGGCTAACACAGTGAAACCCCGTCTCTACTAAAAATACAAAAAATTAGCTGGGCATGGTGGCGGGCGCCTGTAGTCCCAGCTACTCAGGAGGCTGAGGCAGGAGAAAGGCGTGAACCTGGGAGGCAGAGCTTGCAGTGAGCCGAGATCGTGCCACTGCACTCCAGCCTGGGCGATAGAGCGAGACTCTGCCTCAAAAAAAAAAAAAAAAAAAAAAGGAGTGTGGAGAGCTGTGTACCTTGCAGGCAAGGAGTAGTTGGAATGAGAATGAACAGATCTGAAATCCTGAGATCCAACAAGGAACCAGACTTAAGGAAAGTTAAGTTCTCAGCACCCATTGTAATTTATTTGTGAATGAATGGGAAAAGGGTATCAGTCCAAGGGGAGATCAGGTGGTTCCTCCTCATCAGAGTCAAACTCAACATTTTCATCTTTTACCCATCGACCTCGTCCATCTGGGATCCATCCAGAGCTGGAAACATCAGAGAAAATAGCATCGATCAGGAAAGAGGCTTATTAAGAAGTTAGTGGTGAGCTCACACCAGTAATCCCAGCACTCTGGGAGGCCGAGGCAGGTGGATCACTTGAGGTCAGGAGTTCGAGACCAGCCTGACCAACATAGTGAAACCCTGTCTCTACCAAAAAAAAAAAAAAAAAAAAAAAAAAAGTTAGCAGTGAGAAAAAATTGAGAGCCATGTAAGTTGGGTGGCTAAAACAAAACGAAACCAAAGATGGAAAACAACAATGGGAGTCCGGGTGCGGTGGCTCACACCTGTAATCCCAACACTTTAGGAAACTGAGGCAGGTGGATCACCTGAGGTCAGGAGTTCGAGGCCAGCCTGACCAACATGGAGAAACCCCGTCTCTACTAAAAATACAAAATTAGCCGGGCGTGATGGCACATGCCTGTAATCCCAGCTACTCGGGAGCCTGAGGCAGGAGAATCGCTTGAACCCAGGAGGTGGAGGTTACAGTGAGCCGAGAGCGTGCCATTGCACTCCAGCTGGGGCAACAAGAGTGAAACTCCATCTCAAAAAAAAAAAAAGGAAAAACAATAGCTTTGAAACAAGGGTGTCAGAGAGAAAAGAAAATCTGAGGAAACTGATTAGGCATACTCACCTTCGAAGGGTGAGATAATGGTCCAGGGCTCGTCTTCTTGTGGGGCTCATGGGTGCAGGGGCTGAGACAGTTGCTGACTCCTCGGCCTGTGGGCCAGCCGCAGGTTCAGGTTCCCTACTGATCTTCCCACTTTGGAGTTTGACCTCTGAGGGTGGCATAGGGGAAAGGGAGACAGAGGGACCAGGGGCTTCTGGTCTAGGTAGAGAAGAATAGTCTGTAAAAGCAGTAAGGGAAAGGGCCAACTCTCCTATGACTCCCAACCTCTTAAAACAGTGCTTCTTAAACTATATTTCTCAAGATATTAATAAGTTCTGCATACAAAGGATTTCAGAATCATGAATTTGGGAAAGGCTAGCTTAAAATTTTACAAGTTTTTTTTAATCTTAAGACTTTGTATAGTTTTTAAAACTGTTATTCTTCAAGTAGAATTACAAAGTGCCATTTCCCAAACTTTATTTAAAAATCACAAAATTCTCCTTTTCTTTTTCTTTCTTTTCTTTTTTTTTTGAGATGGAGTCTCACTCTGTCACCCAGGCTGGAGTGAAGTGGTGTGACCGTGGCTCACTGCAACCTCTGTCTCCCGGATTCAAGCAATTCTCCTGCCTCAGCCTCTTGAGTAGCTGGGATTACAGGCACACACCACACACCCAGCTAATTTTTTACATTTTTGGTAGAGACAGGATTTCACCATGTTGGCCAGGCTGGTCTTGAACTCCTGACCTCAAGTGATCCACCCACCTCAGCCTCCAAAAGTGCTGGGATTACAGGCGTGAGTCACCGCGCCCAGCCAAAATTCTCCTTTTCTTGAAACACTAAGTAACATCTCCAGAACACTAGTATTCCTCAGAATACACACTGGAAAACTCTTTTAGAGCCATCTGTCTCCTTCTGAGCCTTCCTACCTCTGGCTTTCCCGTCCCATACCTGTACTTCCGGCGGCAGCAACTGTTATAGTGGGGAGCTCTGTGCAGAGCACTCTGGGTGATAAGTCGTGTCTGAGTTAGCAGAGGAGCCTGGTAAGGAGATGGGAGACAGAGTCAGAGCCTTCAGCCCTCCGCCCTTCCAGCCTGGTGTGTGCAGCAGGGTCTTGCCTAGAACACACTCTCCACTCTCTGATTACCTCAGCTTTGGTTTCTTCCCTTCTCAATTCATTCTGATGTTTTGGATTCTGCTTTCTTTCCTTTCCCGGCTGCTTCTTGCCATAGAAAAGCTGCAAGCCTGAGGAGAAAGGGAAACAGAATTAAAAGCATAGCACCAAGAGTGGTGTGCAGAGATTTCGAGGGTTTATTCCCCATCCCGTCTTCCCCCTAACTTACTGGACAGATGTTTCTTGCCTGCACGGTGGGCAGTCAGCATGGCCAGGGTGTCCAGTACCGGTCGATGGGGGCAGATGGCACAAGCAAAGCTGAGCAGGGGTAGAGAAGAGGATAAGTGGTCCAGGGGAAGAGGGTTGGGCCCGTCCCTGCCATAGGTCCCACCCTGTCCTAGCAGTCTTTGCAAAACCCAACTCCCTGGTGACCCAATCTCCACTTCTTCCAGTCCTCACTGGCCGCCAAAGAATCCTAGGTACTCCTGCTGTCCTAATTAATAACAAAAGTTTGTTGAAGCCAGGCGTGGTGGCATGCGCTTGTAAACCCAGCTAATCGCGACGCTGAGGAGGCAGGATCACTTGAGCCCTAGAGTTCGAGGGCAGCCTGGGCAGCACCGCGAGACCTCCGTCTCAAAGGAAAAAAAAAAAAAAGTCTATTGAGCCTCTAACCGCAGAACCCTCAGGCTTGAGCCACTCCTTGCTCTTACCGTCCATCCCGAAGCATCAGCGCCTCATCCTCTGGAATGTAACTGGCTAGGAGGTCCCCGACTCTTCTTTTCTGCAGGGAGTAGGGGAAGAAATCCGGACGGGATCAGCGGGATAGGAGAGAGGGGTGGAAGTGAAATTATAGAAATGAGGAGTGAAATGGAATAAGGACCCTGGGGAGAACAGCGATCATAGACCGAAAAAGGAGTCACTACACAGCTCTAAGTCGCCTGGTTCTCTCCTGCACCCCCGAGTTGTTGCCAGAGCAATGAAACAAAGCTCCTTCCCAACCTTCAGGGAGCGACTGAAGCGGCTCCAGATCCTCTCCGCTCACGCTTACTTTGAGCACATTGAGTTGACTCCAATCGTCTCCTTCCCTCTTGAAAGACATCACGACTGTGAGTCCCAGAAGTGATAAATTCTCTGTTCCGGTTTCGCCACTCCTCCAGGCCACCGTAGCAAGAGCGGGACAGCGCCTTCTCTTTTTTCCTTCTCTTCCTGTCGGCCTCCGTACTTCCGGGGACGCACTTCCACGCATGCATTGCGCGATCCGGAAATCCACTCTCTGGTGCTCGGAGGGAACTGCATTTCCTATGGTGCCCTGCGACTCCGCAGACGCGGAGCCTTTTGGGAAATGAAGTCTTTTCTCAAAGACCTTGCCGCTCAACTGGATCCAGGCCCTTGCATCTTGGCGGATCTGAGGCGTTTGGAGGGACAACAACCTAGATGTGGAGCCGAAATTTGAGGGTGTGACCTATCTTATGCGGAGCGGACCTTTGAGGATCTCTGAGTGGAAGGTGTACTACAAATTCTTGCAATCCTCACGCTCTTCGTCTGCGGCGACAGTTCACCTGGGGTGGGCCTGATTTGTTCCTGACTCTAGCAAACAAACCCCGGGACCGGGGAGAGCTGGGATGTTGGAGCGCCCTGAGGCCAGGCTACTTGGGGGCAAACTGAGGAAAGAGTGTTGAGGATTATTTCTAGAGTTCAAAGGTCAGAGGTCAATGTAGCGAGGAGTTGTGGGGGAGTCCAAAGTCGGAGGGGTGCTTAGGGGAGAATTAGGGAGGGACTGAATACTCAAGGGACAGATTTGTGGATAAGTAGCTTGGAGGGAGGAGAAACCGGGAGGGGGCAGATGGCGTAGTGCTGGGGAGGCGGGGACACAGGGGAAGAGAGAGGGGGAAAGGAATCCCCTGAATATTCATTCCCAGACTTCAGGCCTGTCAGTCGCAGTCTCGGTCGTACCTCCCCTAGTTGCAACCTTAGCTGTTGGCAGGGTGAAGAGATGGCTTCCCCGTCTAGACAGCCCCCGCCAGGGGGGTCAGGACTGCTTCAAGGGAGCCGGGCTCGTTCATATGGAAGCCTGGTGCAATCGGCCTGCTCCCCAGTGAGGGAAAGACGCCTGGAGCATCAGTTGGAGCCCGGAGACACCCTGGCTGGACTAGCACTCAAATATGGGGTGACGGTGAGTTTTCCAGGATTGGGGTGAAGACAACAGTCAGGAGGGATTTAGTCCTGAGAAGAATGTAGTGGCCCTTCTAGGTAACCTCCCCTGAAATGTTCCTAATGTGTTGCACTCTGTTCTGCCTTTATCTTTGTTTTCCCATCACAGTGTTGCACAAGTCCTGCCCTACTATTCCAACGGAGAGGAACAGCTCCTATTTTATTATGCCAGACACTGTGCTGAGGGCTTCACATACGTTAGCTCATTTCACCCTCACATCTGTATCAAGTATACATTTATCGTTCCCTTTTGGCAGATGAAGAAACTGAGACTTGGATTGGTTAACCAGTTTGGCTAAGGTCAAATAATGAGCGTCAGATTTGGGATTCAAACAGGTCTGTCTGACTCTATTAACCACACAGAAAATTTTATGTTGAGAGTGATTAAACGTTTACAGCAACTAATGGAGAGCTGATTTTTAGTTCTCAGTTCCTAAAGTGCCCACCTCTCCTTGCTCTTGGTTCCTCCTCAATGCTCTGCCTTCTTTCCAGTAAGGTGGCCTCCTTTGTGCAAAACAGGTACTCTACACCAAGTATTTCAGGTCATGCATGGGGGAAATTGGATAGATGTAAAAATGTACAGCATTGAAGTTGATGGGGTTACTCCCCCTATCCCTGCCCCTGTTTTCTTGTTCCATCTCACTCAAACAAATGTTGAATTTAGCCAACATTTTTATGCTTGCTGTATTTAAAGCACTGTGATAACTTTTCTGGGAGATAGAAACTTAAACTATATGGTTGCTGTCCTCATGTAATTTATGGCCTAATGAGAAATGAACAGGGACACAAATAATGATTACAAGTGACAGAATGTGGTGAGTTTGTAAAGGTATTAACAACGAATAGGGGTCAGGCATGGTGGCTCACCCCTGTAATCCCAGCACTTTGGGAGGCAGAGGCAAGTGGATCACCTAAGGTTACGAGTACGAGACCAGTCTGGCCAACATGGTGAAACCCTGTCTCTACTAAAAATACAAAAATTAGCCGGGCGTGGTGGTGCTCACCTGTAATCCCAGCTACTCAGGAGGCTGAGGCGGGAGAATCGCTTGAACCCAGGAGGGGGAGGTTGCGATGAGCTGAGATCGCACCACTGCACTCCAGCACTCCAGCCTGGGCAACAGAGTGAGACACACACACACACACACACACACACACACACACAAAGATAGGAAATCAGAAAAGATTAAATTTCAGTTGGAAAGGGGCTGTGGTGGGCCAGGCGTGGTGGCTCATGCCTGTAATCCCAGCACTTTGGGAGGCTGAGGTGGGTGGATTGCTTGAGCTCGGGAGTACAGGACCATTCTGGGCAATGTGGTGAAACCCCATCTCTACAACAAATACAAAAATTAGCCGGGCATGGTGGCATGTGCCTGTAATCCCACCTACTGGGGAGGCTGAGGCAGAGGATCACTTGAGCTGGGGAAGCGGAGGTTTCAGTGAGCCGAGATCGCGCCACTACACTCCAGGCTGGGCGACAGAGTGAGACCTTGTCTCCAAAAAAAGAAAGAAAGAAAGAAAGAAAATACGAATACACTATATCTGTAGTTTCTATATTTCATTATCTAATTATGATAATAATTACATAATTATAAGTAATAGTTTTTAAATAAAGCATTAATGAGCCCCTGCTATGTGTCAAGGTCTGTAGGATGCTAATGACTTCCTGGGGATACAGAGACAGCAAGTCACAATCCTTGCCCTTAAAGGACTTATAGGGTTTAGGCAAAGCAGATATTTAAAGAGGTGAATAATATTATAGTAGGGTTATGTATTATTATAGCAATATTTACAGTATGCATTGGGAGCCCTGAAGAAGGTAGCACAAAGGGAGTGATAGTTGATGAATACAAGTTTTCCAAGCAGAGAATGGGATAGTAGGGGGGTGGGAGCATTTCAGGCAGAAGTAACAGCATGAATAAAGTGTGAAAAAGATCATGGAATGTTCAAAGAAAAATAAAAAGTTCAGGATAGCAAAATGTAGAGGTGGCAGAGGGAGATTAATCTAGACATTTCCTTTGGGAGCTGGATTGAGAAAGCCCTTGAATGCTAATTTGGTTTTTATCTTTTAGCCAGTGCGGAGCCATAGGTGGGTAGTGGGTTAATCAGATTTATTTTTTTAGAAAGATAGATGCCAAGAGGAGGATGAGTAGAAATAGAGCGAGGAAGGCCAGTTAAACTGTTGCAATAACCCCAGATGAGAAATACTGAGGGTCTATTTTAAATCTTTGGCAGTAGGAAGGTGAGACCAGATGTGAGAGAGATTTTTGAAGCAGTTTTGTTGACCACTTGGTATGGTGATGAAAGGCAAGTATTAGTTAAGGATGACATTGATGTTTCTACCTTGGGAGGCCAGGCAGATAGATGGTGATGCCAGTCACTATGTCCAGTGATGAATAAATAGGTCAAAATAAATATTTATTAATGACATTGTTAATAGTATAGTGTGAAAAGCATTCTCAGAAGCAGTGAAAAGACCCAGGATTGTCATTCTAGCTCTGTCATTAACTTGATAGATAATTTTAGGAAAGTAGCTTAACCTCTCTGAGCCTCAGTTCCTTCATTTTTATTTATTCATTAATTTATTTATTCATTTATTTTTAATTTTTTAATTTTTAGAAATGGCGTCTCACTATATTACTCAGGCTGGACTCTAATTCCCGGGCTCAAGCTATCCTCCCTCCTCAGCCTCCTGAGTAGCTGGAATTATAGGCATCAGACATTGCGCCTGGCTTGCACAATAATTTTTTAAAATGTAAGGGGGCCCTAAGACCAAAAAGTGTGAAAACCACTCATCTATAGAATAGAAATAATGTCAGCCCTTTGTACTTTAGCTTGGTTGTTATGGAATCAAAGAAGACTCTGTACAGTCACTTTAAAAAGCTCAAGATGTAAGATTGATCATTATTACTGTCCTTAATTTTGGTGACTTTTTTTTTTAAGATGGAACAGATTAAACGTGCAAACCGCCTTTATACTAATGACTCCATCTTCCTGAAGAAAACCCTCTACATCCCCATCCTGACAGAGCCCAGAGACCTGTTCAATGGTTTGGACTCTGAGGAAGAGAAAGATGGAGAGGAAAAAGTACACCCAAGTAACAGTGAAGTTTGGCCACACTCAACTGAGAGGAAGAAACAAGAGACAGGAGCAGGACGTGCCAATGGTGAAGTCCTCCCCACACCTGGCCAGGAAACCCCCACGCCCATCCATGACCTCTCTGCCTCTGATTTCCTTAAGAAGCTTGATTCACAGATCAGCCTGTCCAAGAAGGCTGCTGCTCAGAAGCTGAAAAAAGGGGAAAATGGGTGAGTCTTGAATGGTTCCTTATAAGTTCCTCCCTAGACTCCTCCATCATTCCTGTCTTACCTAACCACAAACACAAGTAAGTAAGGACAGTGCCAACAGAGGCAAGGTGATACCTTTCCCCCATGTGGCCCCAAGATAATGAGCAGAGGTGATGGCTGCTGGCCTGGGTAGAGGCAGTGGAAAACTGGGTTCTGTGTTCTTATTGGAGTCAGACAGTTAACTATTTTTTTTTTTTTTTGAGACGGGGTCTTGCTCTGTTGCCCAGGCTGGAGTGCAGTGGCGCGATCTTGGCTCACTGCAAGCTCCGCCTCCCAGGTTCACGCCATTCTCCTGCCTCAGCCTCCCGAGTAGCTGGGACTACAGGCGCCCGCCACCACGCCCGGCTAATATTTTGTATTTTTAGTAGAGGCGGGGTTTCACCATGTTAGCCAGGATGATCTCAATCTCCTGACCTCGTGATCCGCCAGCCTCGGCCTCCCAAAGTGCTGGAATTACAGGCGTGAGCCACAGCGGCCAGCTGACAGTTAACTGTTTTTACTGCTCTGATCATCCATGAAGGAGCATTAGGGTTAGGATTTATCTAGAGGGTACTGAGACTGTCTTGAAGCAACCAGCTTATGTATTAGAAGATAGCTTTCCATGTACCTCTCACTTGGCCCATTGTCAGGTTCTTCCCTTGATCTGTCACTCTTTCCCCCCTTTCCTCAATTGCAGGGTACCTGGGGAGGATGCAGGTCTCCACCTGAGCTCCCCTTGGATGCAGCAACGAGCAGTCCTAGGTCCTGTGCCGCTGACCCGTACCTCTCGGACCCGGACACTACGGGACCAGGAGGATGAAATCTTCAAACTCTGATGTCCCCAGAACTGACTGAGAGAAGCAAGATGTTGAAAGAGAAACTTCAGGGGGAGAGGAGCCTGAGGTGAGGCTCAAGAACATGGCTTATGAGCCTGCCTCCCTCCACTCCAGCCATCCTCCCCAGCCTCCTTGTCTGCCAAAAATTCCTTGGCCTGGGGCAGTTTTATTGGCAAGATTAGGGAATGGGAACTGGACCTTTCCCAGTTCTTGGGCTGAATCTAGAGTTGAGTCCTTTAGACTCAAAAGGCTCTTTTTATATCCTTGTTGCCTTTCCTATCCTTTTTACCTTTCCCTGGCCTTAGAACAGGGAAGCAGAGACTCCCCCTCAGCTTCTTCCTCATCTCCAACTATGTGACATAATTTATTTGGTGCTAATATTGAAGTAATATTTATTTGCTATATTTTATTTCTTCCCACTCTTAGCTGAAAAATGGAATTTCTATAGCCCTGGGGTGAGGAGAACCCGGGAACAGTGAGCCAGTGACTGCTGGTTCTCCACTTTCCCCACCTTGTTAGCCAAACATGTTATTGAGGATGAGGCAATCGGTGATATAGCCCACCACAGAGAATGGATGACTGTTGGCCTTTTCTCCAATCTCAAAGTGACAGATTTGGGCTGATTCTTTTTTTTTTTTTTTTTGGTACCCCATTCCTGTTGAATGGGCTCAGTCTTGACAAACCAATTCCCTGTAACTTTTTCACAATTCTTGACTCTGAGAAAAAGCAGCACTGTAGGGACCTGAACTCTCCATTCTACCAGTTCACCCTTCTGACCTGTTCTGCTCAGCCTGTGGTGAGGGGAACAGATGGAAGAAGGCTTTCCTTGGGGTTTGAAGAGGAAGCCAGTTGTGGGAGTCTCTTTGTTACACCCCCTCCCCTCCAGACCCTCTCTCTCTATGCCTTCCTCCTCACTGCATATTTATTTGCGATTTGTAGCACTGATCTATGGTACAGTTGTTTTGTTTCTTAAACAGAAGTAGGTAAGGGAACCTCAGTAATAATGGAAATCTGCCTCAGTCTCCTGTTTGGAAATGATGAGAGGTGAGATAAGTAATGTTTATATACCTCCTTTCTTCTGTGATGATTATAAGGTATACGAAGCTGGACAGATTAAACATTGAGCCCTGTGCATATTTTAGTAGTTTTATTTCCCCTATGAGAATCTCCCCTGCCCTAGCCCCTTCTTCCTGCACTCTGGAACAGAGCCTCTGGCATCTGTCCAAGCTCTGTCTCTAAGGGCCACCTTCCCCTCTTCTGTCTTTAGTATCCCCAAAGGGGTTCTCTGGGCTGTGCCTCCTTTCCTTGGTTCACATGGGAGGGGGCTTCCCTGTTTCAGAAGTCCCTTATGGGAGAAATAGAGATCCAAGTTTCACTTCACCTTTTTCAGGCAGTTCTGTTTCCTGTCCTGGGGCTGGAGTGGGAGAGAGGCCTCACCCCTCAGCATTGCTCCTTCTCCACTAGCTGTTTGGGGGTGGGCTGGTCTCAGAGTCAAAAGCACTCTTGGGAAGGAATGAAGCCTGAAGATTGAAAAGTGTTAGTGCCAGGTGAGCAGGGTTAGGAAGCCCATTATCTGTGTTTTCTCAGTCAACCATTTTGTCAAGGTGGAATGTGCTAGGCTCAGGGCTCTCAGAGCTTCCCTTCGTCTAGCAGCTTCCTGAGTCCGTCACAGATCTTGCCAAGGTGCTGAGTGAAGTCAGGCCCATAGAGGGCCGTGAGCAGACCTGGGTCAGAGAAGTGATCAAACACGTGGCGGATGCGGCCATGTGACTTGGGCGTGAGGTGGTGTTCCACCAACTCTAGCAGCACATCCCGGCACTCGGTCAGCAGGCCAGCCAGAACAGCAGCCTCGAAGGTGAAGTCTACCTCACCAAAGCTAAGTGCCGTCATGGCACCCTGCCGCAGCTTCTGGCGAAAGCGGGTAGCCAGGGCCAGCTCACTGGGGCCAAAGGAGCCATTGCGGTGCAGCACAGCCACCTTGATGGCCACTTTGATCAGGTCCTTGATCACGCGCTGGGCCTGGGGCCGGCTGTGCGTGTACTCCTTGGACACACGGTAGAGCTCATCTAGCACCTCACTGCTTGTCTCATCTATGAAGAGATGAGCCACAGAGCGACCCGCCATCTTACTCAGTAGCTTCTTCTCTGCTTGCAGTGCCAGGCTCTTTGAGCTGAAGGACTCCATGGGTCCTGGAGAGTGGGGTATGTGGTCAGTCACTAGAAGAAAGGCCACAGGCTTCCTTAGAAAGAGAGAAATGGCTTTTCCCTTTTCTGTTGCTTCTTTAGTTTCCATGTCATCATCATCTTTGTTTGTCATCCTCTCCGCCCCCTGGGGCCCCTCAGTCCTCTATGCCTTGCTCCTGCCTGCTTTTTCCCCTTAGTGCTGTAGCAAATCTTGACTCCAAAACAGCCCACGGGAGTGGCGATAGCCCCGGCTGGAGGAATGTGGGCACACGGGAGGCTAGCCTAGCACAAGTTACATCTCAAGGGGAAGTAGGCTGTTGCTGCTGCAGTGAAGACAGGGCTTACCTGACAGATAATTCTTTTTTTTTTTTTTTTTGAGACGGAGTCTTGCTTTGTCACCCAGGCTGGAGTGCAGTGGTGTGATCTCTGTTCACTGCAACCTCCACCTCCCGGGTTCAAGCTATTCTCCTGCCTCAGCTTCCCAAGTAGTTGGGATTACAGGCACCCACCACCACGCCCGGCTAATTTTTGTATTTTTAGTAGAGACAGCGTTTCACCATGTTGGCCAGACTGGTCTCGAACTCCTGACCTCATGATCTGCCCACCTCGGCCTCCCAAAGTGCCGGGAATACAGGCGTGAGCCACCACGCCCAGCCTGACAGAATTCTTACAGCTACCATTTTTGGACACTGACTCTGTGCCATATGTCTGTGTGGCATAGATATTACCATCCTTGTTTTACAGCTAAGCAAATGATACTTACATTAAGTAATTTACCCAAGATCAAACGCAACTCATTTTTTGGCCCCCAAAGCCAGTGGCAGCTAGTGCACTATACTTCCTTTAAAGTAAGAAGCATAAGCATCCCAGGAATCCTAATAGGAGTAATAACTAACATTTACTGAGAACCTACTATATGCAAGTGCTTTACGTCAGTCATCTTAGCCTTCCCAATCCTGTGTAAGGTTAGGGTAGGTATCCCCATTTTGCAATGAGAAAACTGAAGCGAAGAGAAATATAGCAATTTGGCCAAAGTCACTAGTAAATTATAAAGATGGGCTTCAAACCAAATAATCCAGAGAAACCTCCTTCCCCGGAATGCTCCCAGTGTGGTTAAAGCACACTGAGGAAGCACGAGAAGCCAACACCTCAAGAAGGGCAGGCAGTCCTGAAGGTCTGAGCCTTCTGCTACACTGAACTCAGGACCCTCTTGGTGGCATATCAGCTCCATGTGTCCAGGGTTCTCTCCCCATGGTCTTCGCCTGTGGTTCTTCTGGTTGTTTTGCTTCTTACTTCCCCCTCCTCTGCTCTGCAGGATGTGGCTGTGACCGCAGTGAGGAGCAGCCTCGCCCTCTCCCCCAAACCAAAATGGGAGTCTGAAGAGGCAGAGGAGGTGGAGACTGTGGGGGTTTTTTTCCCCAGCTGAATCCTTCCAGTGGAAACCTGAACCTTGCTTTGCTCCCAGCTTGCCTTGGGGCTTTCTGGACCATGCTCCCCAGCCGGAAGAGGAGATTGCTCCATGTGAGCCTTCCTTCCTCCTTGGCCTTCCTGTTACCCAGCTCTCCATTGCCCCCATTGCCGTCTCACATTTATTCCGCTGTCTTCTCCCTCTCTCCCTGTTTCAGTCTCCCTTTTTCTCTTGTCTGGGTCCTCCCTATGATCCTCTGGCCTGGCCATACTCTCCCTCTGGCCCTTACCCATCTATCTCCTTGTTTCCTAAGATTTCCTTGCATTTCGCACACATCCATATGGATGTGGATCCACCTGCATCCCTCAGCCCTGCCCCCACCGCATCCAAAACCAGGTCTTTCAGAGGCTGCCTTGCCACCAGAAAAACTAAGCTAAGCTCTACAAAGGACCCAAGAATTGTACAAGCGAGAGTTTCACAATATGAAAAGCTAAGACTGAAAGAGCTAGAGATTCCTCTGCCACCATTACCCCTAAAGTCTACCATTCTGTCACTGCCGGTCCCTCACCTGCTGTGCTGGGTGCCAGTCTTGCCTTGGATGTTCCCGGAAAGCTTACAGAATGGAGAAGCTTCACTTAGTGTGAGAGCCCTTTGGCTTGGCCCCACCCCTTGAGCCCCGCCTACCTACTCTCTGCTTAACCTCCGGTTCATCACTTCTGTCACCAAGAAGGCCTATGGCCCAAGAGCAACCTAGAAATAAGACAAAGGTCAAAAAGAGTGGAATTCTGTTGGAAATAGTCTCAATTCTTTGAAGGGGGGAAAGGGATTTGCATCCTCCACTCTCAAATTGCTTCTTTCTTTTCTTGCTGCCCAGTTCCTGAAGATCCTGTCCTTACATTTCTACAGTACTGGGAAGGATGTAAAGCCCAAATTTCTGGGGTAGGAGGTCAGTGGGAAAAGTTCTGAAGATTGAAAGGTGGTGCTGTGGGGCAAGTATTTAATATATTATTCCAGTGATTGCCAGGTAAGAGCACAGACTGTCACAACCCTTAATACTGAAGGGAGGAAGGTGCTGGGACCAGGGCTGCTGCACCACAGGTGACCAGCAGGTGCCAGCACAGCACTGAATCACTAGCGTAGAGGAACAAGCCTACTGAGTTGCCTTTTTTTTTTTTTTTTTTTTTTTTTTTGAGACAGAGTTTTGCTCTTGTTGCCCAGGCTGGAGTGCAATGGGGTGATCTCGGCTCACTGCAACCTCTGCCTCCCGGGTTCAAGTGATTCTCCTGCCTCAACCTCCCAAGTAGCTGAAATTACAGGCCTGTGCCACCATGCCTGGCTTATTTTGTATTTTTAGTAGAGACGGTTTCACCATGTTGGCCAGGATCGTCTTGAACTCCTGACCTCAGGTGATCCACCTTGGCCTTCCAGAGTGCTGGGATTACAGGTGTGAGCCAACGCACCCCGCAGGGCCTACTGAGTAGGCTACTGTAGTAGCTACTTTGTAGCTGCTAAAGGGATACAAAATGAGGGGAAGCCACAATTGGGTTTTGTTTGTTTGTTTGTTGTTTTGTTTTTGAGATAGGGTCTCACTCTGTCGCCCAGGCCACAGTGCAGTGGCATCATCACAGCTGACTGCAGCCTTGACCTCCTGGGCTCAAGAGCTCTTCCTACTTCAGCCTCCCAAGTAGCTGGGACCAGAGGCTCACAAGCCTTCCTTTTTTTTGTAGAGAGGAGGGTCTAACTATGTTGCCCAGGCTGAACTTCTAAGCTCAAGCAATCCTCCTACCTTAGTCTCCCAAAGTGTTGGGATTACAGGCGTGAGCCACTGCACCCATCCTGGAAGTCACAGTTGTTGAATGAGACAAAAACACTTGCTATCAAGAATCTTATGGGGAATCTGGCGAGGGAAATAAGCTTAAACATAAAGAACAGTAATACTAGTCAAACAATGCCATTAACTTTAATGGAGATTTAAATAATTTTGAGAGTAAAGAAGCTTAATTATGATAGGGCTGAAGAGGTAGACTTGGAAAGATAGATTCAACTACTTAATAGCCAGAGATGGGGAAGAAGTCCCAGATGATGGGGACGGCATAAGCACATGCAGGAAAAAAACAAAATACAGGACGTTCTCAGGAAGTGGTGATTTATGTCTGGAATGTAAGTTGTTTGAGAGATAAGTGAAGAAGGAAAAAGATCAGATCATGGCAAACTTTAAAAAAGTTGCCCCAGGCCGGGCGCGGTGGCTCATGACTGTAATCCCAGCACTTTGGGAAGCCAAGGTGGGTGGATCACCTGAGGTCAGAAGTTTGAGACCAGCCTGGCCAACGTGGTGAAACCCTGTCTCGGCTGGGCATGGTGGCTCACACCTGTAATCCCAGCACTTTGGGACACCGAGGTGGGCGGATCACGAGGTTAGGAGATCAAGACCATCCTGGCTAACATGGTGAAACCCCATCTCTACTAAAAATACAAAAATTAGCTGGGCATGATGGCACATGCCTGTAGTCCCAGCTACTCGGGAAGCTGAGGCAGGAGATTCGCTTGAACCAGGGAGGCAGAGGTTGTAGTGAGCCGAGATCGCGCCTCTGCCCTCCAGCCTGGTGATAGAGTGAGACTCGGTCTCCAAAAAAAGAAAAGAAAAAAGAAAAAGAATAAAGGGAATAAAAATATAAGAAGATGCAAATACAATAATAACTTCTGGATTCAGAATTCTGCTACCTAGTCTTTACCTGTTTTCCTCTCCAGCTTCAGACTCCCCTCCCTCCCTCCCTTCCTTCCTCTCTCTCTCTCTTTCTTTCTTTTTTTTTTTGACAGAGTCTTGCTCTGTCCCTGTCACCCAGGCTGGAGTGCAGTGATGCGATTTCAGCTCACTGCAACCTCTGCCTCCCAGGTTCAAGTGATTCTCCTGCCTCAGCCTCCTGAGCAGCTGGGATTACACTGCCACCACACCTGACTAATTTTTGAATTTTTAGTAGAGACAGGGTTTCGCCATGTTGGCCAGGCTGGTCTCGAACTCCTGGCCTCAGGCTATCTGCCCATCTTGGCCTCCCAAAGTGCTGGGATTACAGGCATGAGCCATAGCGCCCGTCTGTAATTTGTGATTTTATTAACTGTCTACCCACTAAGCTCAGATTATCTTTTAGTGTCTACACAGTGCTTGGCACATACTGTGGTCAATAAATATGTGCTGAAAGAATAAAGTCAAAACATATCCAAGAACCAGGATATGAGGGGAAAATGGTAGTAACATAGGAGTCACATGTTATAATGTTCATTTACTTCATTCATGGGGAAGTCTTTTATTTTCTCTCTCATTTTTTTTTTTTTCTTCAATTGAGACAGAGTCTCACTCTGTCGCCCAGGGTGGAGTGCAGTGGTGCAATCTCGGCTCACTGCAACCTCTGCCTCCCGGGTTCAACTGATTCTCTGCCTCAGCCTCCTGAGTAGCTGGGATTTCAAGCACCCACTGCCATGCCTGGCTAATTTTTGTATTTTTAGTAGAGACGGGGTTTCTACCATCTTGGCCAGGCTGGTCTTGAACTCCTGACATCGTGATCCACCCACCTCAGCCTCCCAAAGTGCTGGGATTACAGGCATGAGCCACCACACCTGGCCAAGAACAATTTTTTTTTCGAGATGGAGTCTCGCTCTGTCACCCAGGCTGGAGTGCAGCGGCGTGATCTCGGCTCACTGCAACCTCCACCTCCCGGATTCAAGCAATTCTCCTGCCTTAGCCTCCCGAGTAGCTGGGATTACAGGCATGTGCCACCATGCCCAGCTAATTTTTTTGTATTTTAAGTAGAGATGGGGTTTCACCATATTGGCCAGGCTGGTCTCGAACTCCTGACCTTGTGATCCACCCACCTCGACCTCCCAAAGTGCTGGGATTACAGGCGTGAGCCACTGCGCCTGGCCACAAATTTTTTTTAGAGATAGGGTCTTGCTATCTTGCCCAGGCTGGAGTACAGTGGCTCACACTGCTCACTGCAGCCTTGGACTCCTGGACTCAAACAGACCTCCTGCCTCAATCTCCCAAAGTGCTGAGATTACAGGAGTGAGTCACTGTGTACCCTGGCCAAATGACGGTATCTTAAATGTGCAAAACACTTTTGAATTTGCAAAATGTTTCACCTACAGGATCTTATTTGATCCTAAGAAGTAGGCAGGAAGGTAGTATGTCCACTTACAGAAGACAGAATCAGACTTAGAGATAAGTAGTTTATCCAAAGCCATACTCCAGAGATGAATCTAGCTAAGTCTCAATGACTTTCAATGGTGCTCTTTCCACTGTATAATCTACAGGAAGTGAATAGTACTTTTTTGAGCAATTTCTACTTTGAAGCAAAATGAAGATATTTTGCACTTAATTGGATAAACTTCAGTTATTTGGAAAAGTATTCAGGATGGAACAGTCCGATGTTTGTTTTAGGTGAGGTTTTACCATGGTTAAGATCAATACTCTCATATCAGTTCAGAAAGAGTAAGTTTAGTGTGATTTAAAGCAGTCAAGTAAGTCAGCCTGACATAGCTGGAGATAGTTCACAGCTTTTACTCTTTTTTTGTTTGGGGTATTTATTTATTTATTTATGAGATCGAGTCTCACACTGTCGCCCAGGCTGGAGTGCAGTGGCATGATCTCGGCTCACTGCAACCTCTGCCTCCTGGGTTCAAGTGATTCTCCTGCCTCAGCCTCCCAAGTAGCTGGGATTACAGGCGCGCACCCCCACGCCCGGCTAATTTTTGTATTTTTAGTAGAGACGGGGTTTCACTATGTTGGCCAGGCTGGTCTTGAACTCCTGACCTCATGATTCGCCCAGCTCGGCCTCCCGAAGTGCTGGGATTACAGGTGTGAACCACCGTGCCTGTCCTATTTTTATTTATTTACTTTTTTGAGATGGAGTCTCACTCTGTCGCCCAGGCTGGAGTGCAGTGGCACGATCTCGGCTCACTGCAACCTCTGCCTCCCAGGTTCAAGCTATTCTCCTGCCTCAGCCTCCTGAGTAGCTGGGATTACAGGCGCGCGCTACCACGCCCAGCTAATTTTTTGTATTTTTAATCGACACGGGGTTTCACCATGTTAGCCAGGATGGTCTCGATCTCCTGACCTCATGATTCGCCTGCCTTGGCCTCCCAAAATGCTGGGATTACAGAAATGAGCCACCATACCTGGCTTGTTTTTTTTTTGTTTTTGTTTTTTGTTGTTGTTGTTGTTTTTCCTCTGAGCCATAGGATGTTTGTTTGTTTTTAATCTTTGATGCATTTATTTCTTCCTCTACTTACTGTATGCCAGGCATTACAATTAAGTGCTGGGGATAAAAAGATAAAAGACAAGCTTCCTGTCTTTTTTTTTTTTTTTTTAAGATGGAGTTTCGCTCTTGTTGCTCAGGCCAGAGTGCAATGGCGCGATCTTGCCTCATGGCAACCTCCACCTCCCGGGTTCAAGTGATTCTCCTGCCTCAGCCTCCTGAGTAGCTGGGACTACAGGCGCCCGCCACCATGCCCGGCTAATTTTGTATTTTTAGTAGAGACGGGGTTTCTCTATGTCGGTCAGGCTGGTCTTGAACTCCCAACCTTAGGTGATCTGCCCACCTTAGCCTCCCAAAGTGCTGGGATTATAGGTGTGAGCCACTGCGCCTGGCTACTTCCTGTCTTTAGACTAAGTGGTAAACATGAAAAATCCAAATGGAAGTATCCAATAAGCAATTGTATACATGAGTCTAGAACTCAGGAGAAAGACCTGAGTTGAACACCTAGATTTTATGGTAAGCAACATATAAACAGTTTATTGTGGCCGGGCGCAGTGGCTCACACCTGTAATCCCAGCACTTTGGGAGGCCCAGGCGGGCGGATCATGAGGTCAGAAGATCGAGACCATCCTGGCTAACACGGTGAAACCCTGTGTCTACTGAAAATACAAAAAAAAAAAAAAAATTAGCTGGGCATGGTGGCAGGTGCCTGTAGTCCCAGCTACTCTGGAGGCTGAGGCAGGAGAATGGTGTGAACCCGGGAGGCGGAACTTGCAGTGAGCCGAGTGAGCCACTGCACTCTAGCCTAGGTGACAGAGGGAGACTCATCTCAAAACAAAACAAAACAAAACAGTTTATTGTAACTGTTGGTTTTGTAACTGTTCTCATTGTCGGATTATCTTGACCAATGAGAATGGGTAGAGAAGAAAGAGGTGGCTAAGGACATGACCATAGGGAACACCAGCATTTAGAGAGGTCAGAGAAGGCTAAGAAAGGTCATATTAGGCTGGGTGTGGTGGCTCACACCTGTAATCCCAACACTTTGGAGGCTGAGGTGGGCAGATCGCTTGAGGTCAGGAGTTCGAGACCAGCCTGGCCAACATGGCGAAACCCTGTCTCTACTAAAAATATAAAAATTAGCTGGGCGTGGTGGTGGGCGCCTGTAATCCCAGCTACTCGGGAGGCTGAGATGGAGAAGCGCTTGAACCCAGGAGGTGGAGGTTGCAGTGAGTGAGCCAAGATTATGCTACTGCACTCCAGCCTGGGGCGACAGAGTGAGTCTCTGTCTCAAAAAAAAAAAAAAAAGAAAAGAAAAGAAAAGAAAAGCCATATTAATAGAAGTGAAACTATCCATTCATTAAAAATACATATTTATTAAGCCCCTAGTCTTTGTTAAGAGAAAGAGGGACCTCAGGAGCCAAAAGAAGAAAGCATTTCAAGGAGGGGGGAGTCAACAGGTCAAATGGCACAGAGAGGGCAAAAGGATAAAGACTGAAGAGTTGTTCATTGAATGTGACCAGGAGGTCGTTGGTGGCCTTAATGAGAGCAATCTCAGTGGACTGATGGGGACAAAAACTAAAATGATTGAGAATGAGAATCATGAAAATGGATATAGCAAGTATAGGTAACTCTAGAAGCTTAGTTATGAAGGGAAGAGAAATCGAGTGATGACTGGGTGCAGACAAGGATCAAGAGAAAGTTTGGAATGTTTTCCTTTTAATCATGGGAATTACTTGAGCATGTGTATATGCTAAGGGGAAAATATCAGTAGAAAAGGACAGGTTAAGACTGGGAATGGTGGCTGACGCCGGTAATCCCAGCAGTTCGAGAGGCCGAGGCAGGAGAATCACTTGAGCCTAGGAGTTCAAGACCAGCCTGGGCAACACAATGAGACTCTGCCTCTATTTTTTTTTTAAGTTAATACTTTCTGTGTGCAGGCACTATGCTACAAGGAAAGGATACAGTGTTGAGCAAGATAGACAACCAGGGACTGCATACAACTTACAGTAAAGTCATAGGTGAACCTTCGACAGGTGATACGGATGGCATTCACTAGGATGAGAGAGACATGATGCAGGTAAGTATATCTGTAGGGAGCAAAAAGTTGGTGGAATTCTCACTTTATTATCTCTGTTTTCTCTGAAGACGGATGAGGGTTTTCCTGAGATGAACAAGGAAATGGTAAGGAAAGGAACTTGCAAAAAAAGGAGGAAGTTTGAAATATCTCCCTGGGGATTGGAAGAGAGTGCTTTTCCAATCCAATCTGTGGGACTGTGTGATTTCCTTTTTTTGAGATGGAGTCTCGCTCTGTTGCCCAGGCTGGAGTGCAGTGGTGCGATCTCGGCTCACTGCAAGCTCCGCCTCCTGGGTTCAAGCAATTCTCCTGCCTCAGCCTCCCCAGTAGTTGGGACTACAGGCGCACACCGCCACGCCCGGCTAATTCTTTTTATTTTAGTAGAGACGGGGTTTCACTGTTGTTGCCCAGGCTGGTCTCGAACTCCTGAGCTCAGGCAATCCACCCGCCTCAGCCTCCCAAAGTGCTAGGATTACAGGCCTGAGTCACTGCGCCCGGCCAGGACTGTGTGATTTTCTTCAAAACACTAAGGGAGTAGGAAGAGAGGTTTTTTATTTTTATTTTTATTTTTTTAAGAGTCTCCCTCTGTGTCACCCAGGCTGGAGTGCAGTGGCACGATCTTGGCTCACTGCAATCTCCTGTCACCTGAGTTCAAGCAATTCCCCTGCCTCAGCCTCCTGAGTAGCTGGGATTGCAGGTGCCCATCACCACACCCGGCTAATTTTTTTTTGTATTTTTAGCAGAGCTGGAGTTTCTCCATGTTGGCCAGGCTGGTCTCAGAACTCCTGACCTCAGGTGATCTGCCCACTTCGGCCTCCCAAAGTGCTGGGATTACAGGGGTGAGCCACCTCGCCCAGCCAAGAGAGTCATTTTGATTTGTCCTTCAAAATAGCTCTCAGATTCATGTATTTCTTTCTAAATCTGTTCCCATCACCCTTGTCTGATTGTCCCTCTCCCCTCACCTTTAAACCTTGTTTACTTGCTAGTAGGTCTCTGTCTTCTTGCTTAAAAAAATAAAAAAATACAAGTTGCACCCTTTTTCAAGAATTTAAAATGACGTCCTACTCCTGTCAGATGATTTTAACCAGCTCACCTAGTCATTCCAGGCCTTCTGTAATTTGTCTTCCCCTTTTCCCTCCCCTTGCTCCTAACTAGTGCCTTTCCCACACACCAGCCTCACAGGACCTTTTTTTTATCCATGCTGCAGGCTCCTTGCTAACCAAGTAAAAGCTTTTGCTGAAGCTGTGTCCCTCGGGAACATTTTCTTCTTTTGCACCAAGCCAACTCCCACCAAAGTTTTCCTGTCCTTCATGATAAAATGTATCCAGCATCTTTCTGTGCAGTCTTCGGAGAATATTTATTGTCTTCTTTGCACATTTGGAAATTTATGTTCAATGTAGCTTTTCTTTTGAGACTTGGTGTTGTCTTTTTAATAGTTTAGTACTATTAAATATTTAATATTTAGTACTGTCTTTTTAATAGTTTAGACTTTTTAATAGTTTAGTATGTGCAAATCTTATTTTAATTCAAATATATTATCATTTTCTTAAAGTCTGGAACCACAACCCACAGTGGATTGTGTAGTAGATTGTGTCTCAAGTAAGTGTTTAATACTTACTGGATTGAACTGAGATTTGAGCTGGGTCCTAAAACTTTAAATGAATTACACCTTAATCCCCACTCACTAATCTATTCCATAAGCATGTATCTGAGTACCTAAACCCTGTGCTAGGAGCTGAGGAGATTTCTTTTAACCTCTCAGTGCCTCTGTATTTTGAGGTGTCTTTCTCTGAAAATTTCTTTCCAGCCTTTAAAACAACCCCAACTGTCTGACAGTTTGTTGAATTGCCTTGGACCCAAGATCCCTCGGCCGTTAATTCTGTGTAGATATTGTCCCTGTTTATCTTCTTCTATTTTTTTTAGATCTGACTTTACTGAGTTACTGTTCATCTTACTGGTTCACCTGGCCTTAAATCTGTCTCTCTGTCTCTCTCTTTCTCTGTATGTGCGTGTGCACATGTGTGTGTATGTTTAGGTCTCTTGTGTACTCGCTGTGGGGCTTAGCCTAGTTGTTGATACTCCCCTCCCTGATCACAGTCCAGTTAAGGCTGGCCTAAAGTGGCAAACCCCTTCCCCCTCCTTTCCTCTAGTCCAGAGTCCAAGATGTGGGTAGAAGTGTTCAGTCAGATAAAACTATCTGAGAATGCCAGTGTCTCCCAGGCCACCCACTTTCCTGGAGAATTTTGAGAATGTCTTTTGTCCCAGCCCCACATAGAGAAGAATCCTACCAGGCAATACCAAGGTACCAAGCAATCCTGTCTGTAGTAGTTTATTCTTCCTCCTCACTGACATTCCCAGGGGCTTTATGAAGGGTGGGGAGGGAGAAGGGGCAGTTTTGCTGTTTGGAGGGATGTCACGGTCCTCTGAGGAAAGGTGGGACGTATGTCTGTGGGGCAGGAAGGCTGTGTGGGTTACTTTATCAAGTCTTAGCGTTGCTACTCTTTGTGCCTTTCTCTGAGTCAGTTAGTCTTGATTTCCACATCTGTTTTGGCTTCAGCCTCTCTCACCTGCCCTCTTCCATTACCCAACAGCCTGACTGCTAGCTAGTTCTTGCCATAGTGGCCCAAACTCATGCTGCTTTGTAGAGGTGGGAGGGGAGGAGATCATGGAAACAAGGGAAACCTCCTGCTGACACCTTCCTTTCCTTTCCCAGGCCTCCAGCCCCCACGCGCATGCTAGGCCTCCTTATCCGGGTCAGGACGAACCAGAGGAGGCCTACGGGGAGAAATAAGGAGACAGAGGGACAACGCATAGAGAGGAGCAACAGAGAGTTGGGGGCAGAGTCAGGGAGATGCGGGATGCGCCCTCGGGAGCAAGGTCGCCCAAGCCGTATAGGAGGGGAAGGGAGGACGGATCGCGCAGGCTCTGACAGCCCAGCCCAGCCCCGCGAGGCTCCCAGGTTTCCTGTCTGTTTCTCCTCCCAGCTCCTCTTCCTCTCTTGGGAAATTTCTCCCCAGAGCCTCTCCTGTGCCAGCCTGTCTCTGCTTCTGTATGTATTTCTTCCTCTGCCCGGTGTCGGCGACTGTCCGTGGGTCTCTCCATCTCGCGTCTGTCTCTGGTCTCCAGTTCAGCCTCCCGGCCTGGCCCTCTGGGTGGACGGTGCTCCTGGCGCCCCTCCCCGGGCAGCACTATTGGCGGAGAGGTGACGAGAAGGCGGTGTCTAGCCGCCCTCCGAGGGCGGGATTAGTCGCGGCGACCCAAAGGCGGGCAGGAGGTGGGCCCGGCTGGGAGGCGGGCGGGGCCACTGGGGCCGAGCCCAGAGCCCCGGGCGGTCGCATTGTTTTCCTCCGCGGATCCGCGGCTGGACTTGGACCCAGGGCTCTCCCGACAGCGCCCTGGAACCCAAATTCAAGCACCATCCAATTCGGACGCTCATCGCATCTCGCCTGAGCACAACCACGGATTGCGAACTCAGCGCAGCGCGTGGCCGCTGGCCGCCCGCGGCGATCTCGATCCCGCTGACCCGAATCCTGGAGCAAGTACCCCGGGCAGGGAAGGGGCTGCGGGGAGGCGGGGAGGGAGCAGGAGGGCGCGGCCGGCGGGGGGCAAGCTTCTGAAGCGCTAGGGGACCAGGGAGGTGTCGGCGCCCGGTGTGCCTGGCTGACGGAGAGGGTCAACGAAATTGGGGTGCAGGGAGGAAGGAGGGACAGTGGCCGAGCCCCGTAACTGTACTGGTGAGAGCAGAGTCTGGGCACCTCGTTCAATTGGGCTTTCGTCGAGTCGCATCCCGCTGGACTGGGAAGCGCGAAAAGGGATTATTTGAGGCGCGCTCCGTAGAGAGCGTGGAAAACCTGGCCCCTTGCTTTCCCAGCAAGGAAACTAGGGCTCCGAGACCCACGGAGAACTAGACCCTCCTGACGCCCCTGAAGGGATGGGAAGAGGGACGCATCGTTCCGGACTTTGTGTCACGGGTGCTCCTCTGTCCTTGTGCAAGCCGGAATCTGAGCACCCTCTGAAGGGTTGGCTCGTGCAAAGAGGCGGCGAATGGGGCCCTCGAGCAACATCGGTCCCAGCGCCTATCTCCTTCCTTCAGCCCGCTCGGCCCGGGGCTTTGTTAGACTGAGGTCTCCCAAGGAGGACATCCGAGCTGGCAACTGCCTCCTGAGCCCACGGTCCCCACTGAGCGCCGGCCTCAGGCCCGCCCTCGTCGGTTCTCAGCCTCTGGCCCTGTTTCCCTGGCCTGGGAGACCCGCCTCCGCTCCCCAACCCCCGCTCCTATCCCCTCTTCGTCTGCGCCTGCAGGCCCCTCCAGCCCCTCCTCTCGCTAACGTGGCTCTGGGACCCGGTCCCGGCCCAGACTCTGCTACCGGCCCCTCCTCGGAGCCCCGGATCCGGTGAGGGGGAGACAGGTCGAGCCCCTGGCCCTAGGCCCACCTCTTTTCGAGGCTTTAGACACCTGGATTGTCCTGGTTGGGGGTTGGGTGGGAAGGAGGGTAGGTGCTGAGTGTGGGGCTAAGAGCTAAGAGTGGGGGAAATGGCTTGGAGAAAGGAAAGCTCCGGTTCCACAGGCTCCTTGGCGCGACCCTGCTCCCTCTGAGGAAGGTGGACTGGGGCGGGCGACCAGCCCAAAGGCTTCCTGCTATTGTCCCCAGCCCAGTCTCCCCTTCTCCATCCCTTCCACAGCTCTCCTAGACTCTGGCTGTGACCCCAGCCATTCCCCAGAGGTGGCTTCGGGGCCAGGAGAGAGAAGGGCTGTTTCCTCTTCCCAGCAACGGGAGGATCTGGAAAGGGGAGAGTCGGCCAGGTCTCTCCCATGTGCTTCAGATGGGGTGTGTGAAGCAGCTCGGATTCTTCCAGGGCAGAGTGATCTTTTCTCCAGGCCAGGAGTTGAGGAGCTGACCAGATGCTGCTTCCCAGAAACAGCTACAAGAAGCCCTCTTAAAGGTGTATCATAGTTGAGTCTAGAAGGCCAATGCAAAGGCCAGCCAAGTGTTTGTAGAGGCTGGACTAATCCAGCCTAAAGTGGGGTGTGAGTGTGTGTGTGTGTAGACTGAGTGGAAGGGAGGCACAGCCTGCTCTCTCAGGGAGGAAGGAAAGGGTTGAGGGTGCTTGCTATCAGATCATTTTGCCTGGAAATGAAGAGCATGTAAATGAGATGCAAATTAGCCTCTATTGTCCCTAGCTAAGGCGCTTTTGCTAAGAAGGCTGTTGGATTCTGAGGGCCTTAACATGGGAGTGGTCGCCATGCCCCACAAACTCTCCCAGTGACCCCCTTTGCCAAGGCTAGCCCTGTAGTTCTAGCAGTTTCTAGAAAGGGGCCATCCCCTTCCCCTGCATCTCTGGGCATAAAGCCACCAGCACCTTTGTAACCAAACTATTAAGAAGTGTCATCAGCCCCCTCCCATTTTCAAGGCAGCATCTCCCCTACCCAAGCGTCAGCAGACTTTTCTTGAATTTTTACATTTACTTGTAAGGGATGTGGTAAGGGGAGCATAATGCAGTCTCTTCTCTCCTTTGTCCTGTCTTCCATCAGGTCAGAGGTTTCCTATCCCCCTCAAGCCCCCACAGGAGTCACCAACCCAGGTAAGGAAAGGGCAGCAGCTCCTGAGGGCAGGGGGTGGAAGCAGGCATGAGCAGGGAGCAGAAAGAGGGGCTGGCTCTTCTCCTCACTTGCCAGAGACCAAAGTTGTTTCCAGGGTGAAGATACCAGTTGCTCAGGGCAACTTGGAGGCAGGGGGGTGGTGGGGAGAGCAGGTTGGGGAGGATGAGAGACAAGCTACGTCCCTTTCTCTTCCCCTGGGAACAACAGTATCCGGAAACATGTCGGGGGAGGGAGGAAGGCCCAGCCTTTCAACACCAGAGGGTCGTTAGCTAGCTGCTACTCTGCCCTGGGGAAGGGGGGTCATCATTAGGTGTTCCTACTCTTTTCCTTTCTTCAGCTCTCTTGAGGCCCCACCTGACGTCAGCCTCCCCACCAGTGATGCTGGATTGGGGGTGGGGGGACACTTGGGTCCTGGCTGGGAGAGTAGAATTACTGGGGAGATGGAAGGGGGCTTGGCCTGGAAGCTTAGGGTCTGTTTTAGGGGACACGGTGGGATGGGCAACTAAGGATTGGTGAAGGATAGTTATCTGTTCACAAAAGAAAGGAGTCTCACCCTTCTTGACCTGATTTTTGGAGCCGACCAAGTCCCTCACTTCAATTTTAGGGGAAGGCAGGAAGCTGGTGTATACCTCCTGCTGTGGGCCCCAGCCAGGGTCATTTGGCTGAGGGAGGCTGATGGTGGAAGGAGACCTGTCTCACCATCTCTTCCACCATATCCATCTTTTCCTGGACTTTGGGCTACAATTACCTGCCTGTCACTGAATAATTTATATTTTAATTTCAGAGGCAGCAGATGAGGGAAGGAAGGGAGAGAGGCGCACGTTTAGCCATTTTGCTTCACTAGTCCCTTGTACCCCTGGCTTCTCATAGGGGGTGGGTCTGCTCTTCCCCCCTCAAGTACATGCACTGGTTCTTAGGAGCCAGGGAAGGAGCAGGGGGCTAGAGAGCCTGGAGGGGGTGGCACAGTGGTCGGGCAGACAGCTGCAGCCAGAGCTAAATTTAGCCTCTGATCTGGCTTTGATGCAGATTCATTTTTGGCGAAGACAGTCCCCCCCACCAACTCTCCTCCCTACTCAGTTCTTCCCTAGCGGTGGGAAGGGCCCCTGAAGCATGAGCTTAGACCAGCACAGTGACCTCTAGGCTGCCTCCCCCAACTGTGTCTTCCTCAACTCTAGAAAGGACAGTGTCAGCCACACGGCTGCCCCCGCCTAGGCGCAGTGCCTGCATTGCTCCCAGGGTGCCGTGGGGGTCTGGGAGGGAGGGGGAGTCAGACATGGTGCCCTTTTCCTCCTCCCAGTGCCAAGGAGTCACTATTTATAATTTTAAGGCTTCAGTCTCTAATTATAGCTGAGAAGGGGTTAGCAAGAGGGGGGCCAGGAGGTGTCACCTACTGAATGTCCCAGACCCAGTCAGGAGAGAAGAGGAAAAGCTGAGATGGGGGTGGGTGTGTCCTGTCCTTACCTGGGGTCATGCAGGCAGGCCTCACACCAGCCAGTTTGGGCCAGTTGCAGAGGGAAGGGCCTTGAGTGACAATGACAGCTGGCTGGAACTGGGGCAGTGCTGGAGAGAGGGTTCTTTTCCCCCACCCCACAGGGTCTTCTGGGGATACACCAGGAGAGGAGCCTGCTGGCTTGCTTCAGGGGAGAGGGAACTTCGCTCCTCCCCCACTTTTCCCTGTCTCCCCTTTCAGGGCCGGCTTATGGGTGAGGGGGCACCCCCTGGGGCCTGAGCTGCCCCGCACAGGATGCCCCGTGCCCCCCACTTCATGCCCTTGCTGCTACTGCTGCTGCTGCTCTCACTTCCCCATACTCAGGCCGCCTTTCCCCAGGACCCCCTCCCTCTGTTGATCTCTGACCTTCAAGGTGAGTGCCCAGTACCTACCTTGCCCCATCTCTGTGAACAATTAGAGACTGAGACCCCCTGTGTGGGAGGCAAGGTGCAGGAAGGCTCCCAGCCTCAGGAAGCTAACAGCCAGACCAGCAAAAAGAAGGAAACAGGTAGAGTGAGCTGACACCTCCTGCCAGCTGCTTCTCATCCCTGGGCCTGGTTTCTTCACTTAGAGGCAGCATCGTGTGGAGGTTAAGAGCATGGGCTCTCCAGGAGATTGAGACCATCCTGGCTAACACGGTGAAACCCCATCTCTACTAAAAATACAAAAAAAAATAGCCGGACATTGTGGCGGGCGCCTGTAGTCCCAGCTACTCGGGAGGCTGAGGCGGGAGAATGGCATGAACCCGGAAGGCGGAGCTTGCAGTGAGCGGATATCGCTGCACTCCAGCCTGGGCAACAGAGCGAGACTCCGTCTCAAAAAAAAAAAAAAAAGAACATGGACTCTCAGCTAGACCAAACCTTAGCAGGTTTGAATCCCTGCCAAGCTGCTCACTAGCTGTGTGACCTTGGTTAAGTTACTTAACCTTTCTTTGTCTCAGTCTCCTCAGCTGTAAAATGAATATAATAGTATTCTGAGCCAGTGGTGGGTACTCAGGAGGCTGAGGCAGGAAGATCACTTGAGCCCAGGATGTAGTGCTCTGTGATGGCGCCTGTGAATAGCCACTGCAGTCCAGCCTGGGCAACACAGCCAGAGTCATCCCACCCCCCAACCCCCATCCCATCTCTTTAAAAAAAAAAAAAAAGCCGATTAAAAAAAAAAAGTCAGCTGGGCACGGTGGCTTTACACCTGTAATCCCAGCACTTTGGGAGGCCAAGGTAGGCGGATCACCTGAGGTCAGGAGTTCGAGACCTGCCTGGCTAACATGGTGGAACCCCGTTTCTACTAAAAATACAAAAAATTAGCCAGGCTTGGTGGCGTGTGCCTGTAACCCCAGCTACTTGGGTGGCTGAGGCAGGAGAATTGCTTGAACCCAGGAGGCGGAGGTTGCAGTGAGCCGAGATCGCGCCATTTCACTCTAGCATGGGCAACAAGAGTGAAGCTCCGTCTCAAAAAACAAAAAACAAAAGTCTTCTACCTCATGGAATTATTTAGGGATTAAATGAGGTTATACATGTAAAGTGCTGAGAAGACTGTATGGCACAAAGTAAATGCTTTATATGTGTTTCCTGTTATTCTTAGCTACATAGAGAAGGTCTAATACTAGTTCAGTGGTTCCCAACACCTCTTACTCGCCTCTCTACCACTGGTACCACCCACCAATAAGCCCACCATGATAGAAAGCATAAACCCACTTTTTCTGAGAAGAACCTTTATCTATTTGCAGTTCCGGTTATATTTGTAGGATTTAGAGTAATTTTAAGGATAGAGGAGCTGCAGTTGGGTTACTGAGAGTAATTGTTGAGGGATATATAAGAATAGCAAACACTCCTATGTGCTAGAAGCAGCTCCAAGCACATTATGAATTTTTTTTTTTTTCGAGACGGAGTCTTGCACTGTTGCCCAGGCTAGAGTGCAGTGGCGTGATCTCGGCTCACTGCAAGCTCCGCCTCCTGGGTTCACGCCATTCTCCTGCCTCAGCCTCCCGAGTAGCTGGGACTACAGGCGCCCGCCACCACGCCTGGCTAATTTTGTTTTTGTATTTTTAGTAGAGATGGGGTTTCACCATGTTAGCCAGGATGGTCTCGATCTCCTGACCTTGTGATCCGCCCGCCTCGGCCTCCCAAAGTGCTGGGATTACAGGCGTGAGCCACCGCTCCCAGCTGAGCACATTATAAATGTTAAATCATTTATCCCTGAACTCTGGCTATCCTTTGACCACTGATGACTGTGGTTTCCACCACGATCAGGCCAGGTGGATGCTGGAGGTGAGGTGGTCAGAGGAGGCAGAAACCTTGGAGGGCTGAGGTGGCCTGTGAAGAGCCTTGAGGGGAGGGTGCAGAGGGCTGGGAGAAACGGAGTGAATAAATGCTCCAGTGGGACAGTGCACAAGGTGGGAGTGAAAGGAAATTGCTAGCCCTAAGGCAGTTCCAAGAAGGGACTAGGCTCAACTCCAGAGGCAGACAGACCTGGATCTGAATCCTGATACCTGCCACTTCCCAGCTAAATGAGCAAATTCCTAAATGGCTTCTAGTCTCAGGCTCCTCATCTGTAAAATGGGGCCAAAGCTACCTCATAGGACCATGTATTAAATGAGACAATGCGTGTAAAGTGCTAACACTGTGTTTGGCAGAGATTAAGTACTCAGTGTTATTGGTATTAAGAATAGCTTTTGGGCACTCTAACCTCACACATCCACTGTGTCCACTGCTGGGTTTCATCTGGTTGGAGAGGGTGTTGGGGAAGTTTGTGGTATCCTCAGAATCCTATCTCTCTGTGTCCTCAAGGTACTTCCCCATTATCCTGGTTTCGGGGCCTGGAGGATGATGCTGTGGCTGCAGAACTTGGGCTGGACTTTCAGAGATTCCTGACCTTGAACCGGACCTTGCTAGTGGCTGCCCGGTAAACTGGCCGTGGCACAGTTGTGGGGCAGACATGCATGCTCCTGGGCAGACTTGGGACCTGTATGGCCACTGTAGCATCTTGCAGGGGACACATGCAGGTGCACAAGCCACGGGGTGTGGACATGCTTGGACCCAGAGCACAAATGCCAAGGCATGGAGGAAGGGGGAAGGGGAGGGCCAGAAGGTCTGCACTGTTTGTCCCTGAACAGCTGACTGTGGGTAAAGTGGGGTGCCTTGACTAGGCTCTGACCCCTCCTTACCTACCCCCTCAGGGATCACGTTTTCTCCTTCGATCTTCAAGCCGAAGAAGAAGGGGAGGGGCTGGTGCCCAACAAGGTGAGGGGCTGTGTGGGAAGAGGTGCAGACGTGGAGATGAGGCTGGGAAAGGTCTAATGTGGGTCAGGTGGGTGGGAAGAAGAATCTAAAAGGAGCCATAATGTGAGGAGGGAACCCAGTTGCCCATGATTTTCCCTCTTCAACTTATCCCTTCAGTATCTAACATGGAGAAGCCAAGATGTGGAGAACTGTGCTGTACGGGGAAAGCTGACGGTAAGGAGTGAGACGAGAATGTGGAGGGAAGGAGAGGATTACTCTGCCCCCAGTCTCTGTCCAACTGGTCCTCTACTATGCCCAATTTCCTTCACACTTTTTCCATCCCAGGCCACAGGGGAAAATGAGAAGGAAAGAGAATTCCTGATTTTCAGTTTCTCTTACATGCCTCACAAAAAAGAAAAGTGAGGCTCAGAGAGGCCAAAGGATTTGCAGAAGGCCAGAGGGCCAGCAAACAGCTTATTTGGGACTTTATCTCACATTGCTCTGTTGGGCTCCAGAGGAGTAGCCCACCTTTCTTTCTTTTCTTTTCTTTTTTTTTTTTTTTTTTTGAGACGGAGTCTCAGTCTGTTGCCCAGACTGGAGTGCAATGGCACGATCTTGGCTCACTGCAACCTCCGCCTCCGTGGTTCAAGCATTTCTCCTGCCTCAGCCTCCCAAGTAGCTGGGATTACAGGCACATGCTGCTACACCCAGCTAATTTTTTGTATTTTAGTAGAAATGGGGTTTCACCGTGTTGCCCAGGCTGGTCTTGAACTCCTGAACTCAGGCAACCTGCCCACCTTGGCCTCCCAAAGTGCTAGGATTACAGGCGTGAGCCACCACGCCCGCCCTGTAAGCCCACCTTTCTATTACCTCCTGTTCTCAGTCCCAGGACCCTCTGTCACTGACCTAGAATTTTGGGTTCTCTAGGATGAGTGCTACAACTATATTCGTGTTCTTGTTCCCTGGGACTCCCAGACGCTCCTTGCCTGTGGAACGAACTCATTCAGCCCTGTGTGCCGCAGCTATGGGGTACAAAAGAGAGGGTGGGGGTTAGGATGGGAGTTGGGGGGACCCCAAGATGGGCAATGGGTTTGATGGGAAAGGACCAAGGACTGCGGTTGGGGAATGGGAGTGCCCAGAATGCAAGGGTCCAGAGGGGTTGGGGAGGAGGCAACGGGACAGGAGGGAATAGGCTATGGAGCCAGACTCCAAGACCCTAAAGGTTCCAGGCATCTGCTCCCTCTGCCCTCAGATAACTTCGCTGCAGCAGGAGGGTGAGGAACTGAGTGGGCAGGCTCGATGCCCCTTTGATGCCACCCAGTCCAACGTGGCCATCTTTGCAGGTGTGCAACTGGGCATGTGAGAAGAAAGCATGTGGCTGGAGGGAGCTCCCACCTTAGCTCCTCTCCCAGTGGGTCTTTCCCCCATTCCCCTGAGTGGAGGGTTGAGGTAGGGACCAGGGCCAGGCCTAGGTAGGGGTGCAGGAGGCCCAAGAAGAGGCAGGATACAGATCCCTGAGCCCTCCCCTGACCCCACTCCACCCATCCCTCCAGAGGGCAGCCTGTACTCAGCCACAGCTGCGGATTTCCAGGCCAGTGATGCTGTAGTTTACAGAAGCCTTGGGCCCCAGCCCCCACTCCGCTCCGCCAAGTATGACTCCAAGTGGCTCCGAGGTCAGGGCGGGCCTGGGGAAAGGAGACTGTTATTGGGGAGGAGGCACAGAGGGAGGACTGTGGCGGGGAGCAGGCAAATGGTGTGGTAGTGTGTATGTATGCAATGGGGAGAGCGGTGTGGGGCCAGGAGCTTCTGAGCAGGTACAGATACTCTTCTATACCCTTTCCTGTCATTCCCCATCTTAGAGCCACACTTTGTCCAGGCCTTGGAGCATGGAGACCATGTCTACTTCTTCTTCCGCGAGGTCTCTGTGGAGGATGCTCGGCTGGGGAGGGTAAGGAGGTGGGCATCAGGGTGGGTAGCTGGAGGGTTCTGCTGGATCCTGAGGAGCCAGTCTGAGTGGGAGGAGATCTCCTGACCATAATCTCCACAAAGCAATCCCCTGGACTCTCACCCCTCAACTTGGAATAGCCCCAAGCCCTCTGACCCCACATCCTGCTTGTCCCTCACCCTTGACCCAAGTTGACCTACCATGCCATACCCTTCATTCACTGTGCCCCTCACATTGCTCCCTTGGTGCTCTTTTTTTTTTTTTTTTTGAGACGGAGTCTTGCTCTGTCGCCCAGGCTGGAGTGCAGTGGCGCCATCTTGGCTCACTGCAAGCTCCGCCTCCTGGCTTCACGCCATTCTCCTGCCTCAGCCTCCCGAGCAGCTGGGACTACAGGTGCCCACCACCATGCCCGGCTAATTTGTTTGTATTTTTAGTAGAGATGGGGTTTCACCATGTTAGCCAGGATGGTCTCGATCTCCTGACCTCGTGATCCACCCACCTCAGCCTCCCAAAGTGTTGGGATTACAGGCGTGAGCCACCGCGCCCAGCCCCTTACTGCTCTTAACTCACCACACTCCTTGCATGCAGCTGGCCCTGTGGGTCTGTCTCACCATTGTCTACTCCACTCTCCTCCCCTAGGTGCAGTTCTCCCGCGTAGCCCGAGTATGTAAACGTGACATGGGCGGCTCGCCTCGGGCCTTGGACCGCCACTGGACATCCTTCCTGAAGCTTCGGCTCAACTGCTCTGTCCCTGGGGACTCTACTTTCTATTTTGATGTTTTACAGGCCTTGACTGGGCCTGTGAACCTGCATGGCCGCTCTGCTCTCTTTGGGGTCTTCACCACCCAGACCAATAGGTTGGTACTAGGCTGACTAGTGTGACCCAATCTGTCCCCTGCCTCACCAGCCTCCAAACTCCCCTTTCACAGCCTACTGATGGGGCAGTTAAGGGAACCTCCGAACAAAGCCAGTTTGCTGTGTTGCCATTTTTTCTCCTAGTGTGGCACCCAGTGGCTGCCCCACCTCCTCAGTCTCTATCTCTTAATGTGGTATGAAGGGTGCCACCACTTCTTCCTGGGGGAAGTTGTGCAGTTCCTTTCAGCACCTATCCTGCATCTTTTCTGGCTCCTCCAGCATCCCTGGCTCTGCCGTCTGCGCCTTCTACCTGGATGAGATTGAGCGTGGGTTTGAGGGCAAGTTCAAGGAGCAGAGGAGTCTGGATGGGGCCTGGACTCCTGTGTCTGAGGACAGAGTTCCCTCACCCAGGTACCCAGGATGGAGTTGTTTTTGTGGGGGCAGAAGCAAGCAGCGTCTGCCCCCAAGATGGGATTGTGAGGAGGTAATGAGATGTCCAAGGCCTCAGGGTGGGGAGCTATAGTGGGGTGGCAGTGGGGCCGAAGAGCTGCGGCAGGGAAGGGGACAGTGCTACGAGTGTCTGTGTGGAGGGGGAGCAAGGCTTTCCAGTCAGGTTTGGGAGCAGTAGGGGGCACAGAGGTTAACTAAGCTCCAGCTCCCAGTCCAAAGGCAGCCCCTTCCCATTCACCCACCAGGCCAGGATCCTGTGCAGGAGTAGGGGGAGCTGCCTTGTTCTCCTCTTCCCGAGACCTCCCTGATGATGTCCTGACCTTCATCAAGGCTCACCCGCTGCTGGACCCCGCTGTACCACCTGTCACCCATCAGCCTCTACTCACTCTCACTAGCAGGTATGGGGCTGAAAAACACTGACCACTGCCTCCCTGTTCTCAGCCACCCTCCTCTTTCTTTGACCCAACAAGGTAAACCGCATTGGTGGGAGGAAGAACTTGTGAAAGTAGAAGGGAGAGAGCTAAGAAGGCAACCCTGGGGCCTGGGGGAAGGGCACAGGCACAGCTACCAAGGCAGTTGGGCTCTCCCTGAAATGCTCAGGTTTCCACTAGACAGGTTCCCTGACCTGAGGCCCTTTCCTCCAGGGCCCTACTGACCCAAGTAGCTGTGGATGGCATGGCTGGTCCCCACAGTAACATCACAGTCATGTTCCTTGGCTCCAATGATGGGACAGTGCTGAAGGTGCTGACCCCAGGTGGGCGATCCGGGGGACCTGAGCCCATCCTCCTGGAAGAGATTGATGCCTACAGCCCTGCCCGGTGAGGCCTTTGGAGGGCAGGCCCCCTGCAAAGCAGGGAGGGGATGGGAGGTAGCAGCTGCAGATTCGGGAATAGGTTGGAAACATCAACATTGGCTTTTGCAGGGTGGGAGCTCTGGGCTAGACAGGCTTGGCGAGAAGACTGGACAGTGTGGTAGGGCGGGGCAGCTCCATGGGTTGTGCTCAGTTGCTTGTGTGCCTCCCCGCTTTCTGTTCTTCCACTCACTCAGGGAAAAGGTAGCCTCATCTGTCCATCTCTGGTTCCTTCTGGCCTCACCCTAGGTGCAGTGGGAAGCGGACAGCCCAAACAGCACGACGGATCATAGGGCTGGAGCTGGACACTGAGGGTCACAGGCTTTTTGTGGCTTTTTCTGGCTGTATTGTCTACCTCCCTCTCAGCCGGTGTGCCCGGCATGGGGCCTGTCAGAGGTGAGAGGGGCCTGAGGCCAGGCCCTGTGTGGGCAAGCTCCCCGGGCCAGCAAGAGCACAGAAACACAGGTCTTTGGGGTGGCAGGAAAACACAGGGGATGGCTGTGGGGTGCCTAGGTACCTCAAGCATTCTGAAGGTGGGCAGCAACCAGGGTGTGGAGAGACTGAGGTGGACAGGAGAGAATGAGGCTGGGAGCCTCCTGTAAGCCAGGGTGGGAAAAGGCAGCAGAATGGAAAGTGACTGGAGTAGAAAGGGATCCAGCCTCACACACCTCCGTTTTCCCTAGGAGCTGTTTGGCTTCTCAGGACCCATACTGTGGATGGCATAGCTCCAGGGGCTGTGTGGATATCAGGGGATCTGGTGGGTAAGTGATGGGTCCTTGGGTTTCCTGAGCATAAAATTCCCCACCAATAAGACAAGCTGAGGGCCAGAGTGGGAGATACGGACAACGTACAGAATTCTATAGCCACTTCGTTTTCCTCCTAGGACTGATGTGGATCAGGCTGGGAACCAGGAATCCATGGAGCATGGTGACTGCCAAGGTAAACAGAAGAGGCAGCTGCTGTTGCAGCCAAAGCTGCACATGGCCATGATGGCCACAGACACCATCCCAGGCTTGGCCTTTTGTCCTTCTCTCCTTCTGTGGCACAGTCACCCCATCAGTTCTTCATGAAGCTTCTCTTTCCCCCCATCTTCACCCTGTCCCTTCTTCATAGATGGAGCTACTGGGAGTCAGTCTGGCCCTGGGGATTCTGCTTATGGTGAGTCCTCTTGTCCCAACCTCACCTTCCCTTGCTCAGCCCACATACCTGAGTGTGTGTCCTGTAGCAGCAGCAGAGCAGCATTCTGAATACCCTGGGAGTATCGGAAAAGGGTCGGCATCCTCCAGATACCCAGCATGTAGCTCAGTACTTGGCACACAGTAGGGTACTTTTTGAACAAATAAATCAATGTCCTGCATGATGAGCCCTTCCCCAGGCCCAGAAGAAACTAGAGGCTGGCGTTCTGGACTCCTGGGTTCCACAGGAGGGAGGAAGGACCCCTGGAAGGGTGTCAGGGGTAGAGATCAAGAGCCTCACTGGCTCTGACCTGGTCTCTGCCACCAGTGCTTCCGGGTCCTGGCCCTTCCCCTGGGACCCCCAGTCCTCCCAGTGATGCCCACCCCCGGCCCCAGTCTTCCACTCTTGGAGTTCACACTCGGGGTAAGGGGGCTACTTGGGAGAGATAGGAGTGAAGTGTGGGGCTGCTGATTCTCGGAGCGTTCTAAGCCCCTCACTGAATGGTGTTTGGTGCTCACTAACGCCTGTTTGGAGCCTCCCTTCCCCAGAATTGGGCATCCCAGCCCCGAGTTCTCCTGCACGAGCAGTTTTTGGCAGTTGCTCTTGGCATGGCTACAGGGGCCAGAAGTGGGATGGGGAATCCCCAGGCCCAAGCTCTGGCCTGAGTGTGAGGGGTAGTGCGTGGGCTGTATGCTGAGGAGTCAGGAGAGGTGAATCCTGAGGATGGTGGAGGCTGTAGGAGTGAGGCTGAGTAGCAGCGGGAGGGACGATGATGTCAGGCCTGGGAACTGCCGGCGCCTCTGGGCCTAGGTACCCCGCACCGCCTCCCCTTGGCTGAGCCTCCCTCCTCCCTCTCGGTCGGCAGGCGTGCGCCGGGACCTGCCCCCAGCCTCGGCCTCCCGCTCCGTCCCCATCCCACTCCTCCTGGCCAGTGTGGCCGCAGCTTTTGCCCTGGGCGCCTCAGTCTCTGGCCTCCTGGTCTCCTGTGCTTGTCGCCGCGCCCACCGACGTCGGGGCAAGGACATCGAGACTCCGGGGCTCCCGCGCCCTCTCTCCCTCCGCAGTTTGGCCCGGCTCCACGGTGGGGGCCCAGAGCCCCCGCCGCCCTCCAAGGACGGGGACGCGGTGCAGACGCCGCAGCTCTACACCACCTTCCTGCCGCCTCCGGAGGGCGTGCCCCCGCCGGAGCTGGCCTGCCTGCCCACCCCCGAGTCCACGCCGGAGCTGCCGGTCAAGCACCTCCGCGCCGCCGGGGACCCCTGGGAGTGGAACCAGAACAGGAACAACGCCAAGGAGGGTCCGGGCCGCTCACGGGGCGGGCACGCGGCGGGCGGGCCCGCGCCCCGCGTGCTGGTGAGGCCACCGCCGCCCGGCTGTCCCGGGCAGGCCGTGGAAGTCACCACCCTGGAGGAACTGCTGCGCTACCTGCACGGCCCGCAGCCGCCCAGAAAGGGGGCCGAGCCCCCCGCCCCTTTAACCTCGCGGGCGCTCCCGCCGGAGCCCGCCCCCGCCCTCTTGGGCGGCCCCAGCCCCAGGCCCCACGAGTGCGCCTCGCCGCTGAGGCTGGACGTGCCCCCCGAGGGCAGGTGCGCCTCTGCCCCCGCCCGGCCCGCGCTCTCCGCCCCCGCTCCCCGGCTGGGCGTCGGCGGAGGCCGGAGGTTGCCTTTCTCCGGCCACCGGGCCCCCCCTGCCCTGCTCACTCGAGTCCCCTCGGGAGGTCCCTCCAGGTACTCCGGGGGTCCCGGGAAGCACCTCCTGTACCTGGGCCGGCCCGAGGGCTACCGGGGCCGCGCCCTGAAAAGGGTGGACGTCGAGAAGCCCCAGTTGTCCCTGAAGCCTCCCCTCGTCGGGCCCTCCTCCCGCCAGGCCGTCCCGAACGGCGGCCGTTTCAACTTTTAAAGGGAGCGGCCCACGGCCTCCAGCGTGGGGAGCGCCCGAGTCCTCTCGGCCACGAGCTGGACGCTCTTCAGGACGTTTCACCGCCCCCTCGCCCCGCACCTCCAGCCTTCCCGACTCGCAGAGTCTCCCGAGGCCCCTTTTCGCCTCGGGTTTATTTATTGACTGTCTTTCCCCCTGTCCTCGACAGAAGAGTGGGAGGTGAGAAGCCCGTCTCCTCAGTGAGCCAGCATTTCAGGGGGAGCTGGCGGACTCCCACTCCCCGCTCCCTTCCAGCCAAGCTGCCTTAACTCGCCCCTCGGGGCTCCCCCAGAGACTGTGCCCCGGGCGGGCCGCGCGCGCTGTGTCCAGAGTCCTCGGGCCTTCTGGGTCTGGGACGTGCCTCTCCTACTGTGTAGGAGCCTCCGCTTCCCAATACAGCCGTGTCTGCAGCCACTGCCTGACTTCACTCGGGCGGGGGAGGGCGGCAGTCGGTCGGCTCGCTCTGGGCGCCCTCGCTCTCTGCCTTCATCTGGGCCCTGGGCTCTCCCGGGTAATGGGATGGCTGCGGTCCCGCCGGGGGGCAGTCTGGAAAGGTTTCCTAAAGGAGACGAGCGAATTAACGGTGTCGAGGTGAGCCAGGGCCAGGGGGACCCCGGTAAAGTTTAGTTGAGGCTGGGGAAGGCCCTCGGAGCTCGTTTCCAGATCGAGGTAAGAGGGACTTTCTTAAAGGCCTAGTCTATGGGATGGGGCGGCGGAGGGAATTTTTTGAGAAATAAAATGAAGCTGCAGTGTACGTTACTTGAAGTTCCACATCAGAAAATCTTGTCCTTAGGAGAATTTGTCTGGCAGATTTTGGGTTGCATGAGGGGTAGGCTACAAAAAACAGCAAAGTATTCGTCCCTGTTGGAGGCAAGGGTCTGCCCCCGGCTCTTACTTAAGGAGCGGGACGGGGGACGAGAGCGTGCGCGGCGTCACACGCACGCTTAGCCACCCCCCAAGAAGCCGCCGCCGCGCTCAAGCTCCGCGCGCTCAGGACCAGGTAGCGTGTAGCTGTCGTGAAGCTCCCTTTGCTCCGGTTGGGACTGGCTGCGGATACCTGTCCGTTATCCCCGGCACCAATGAGAGGGACGAACAGGACCACCTGCACCGCCCACCACCCTCGCTAACAACGCTTTAAGGCCTAACGCAGGAGGCAGCTGGTGCGAATTTACAAATCGGGTTTTTCACCCCCGCGTGGCTGCAATGTCCGCCCAGTTCGAGCCCCACATTCTCCCGCTGGCTCCGCCTGGGGGTCGGGCCAACTCTTGCTGCTAAGGAAGCCTCACCAGTCCCCTTCCCGTTTGCTACCTAAATGTCCTCGGCGGGAAACTGCTGAGAACAATTTGGGGAAGCCTGAACTTGTTCCTAGTTCCGCGCTTTATTACTTGTGATCATGACTGGTCAGAACTCCGCCCGGAGCCTCCATTTGTTCATCTGAAAAATGGGGTTGAGAAGCTCAAGTACCAGAATGTGAAAACGCTTTCTAAAGGCGAAGGCATGGTATCTTGTGAGATAGTAATTCCTTCAAACTCACGCATAGGCTATTCCTATTCCTAACTTTGCGATCTGCTTTCACTAGGCAATCCCTTTCCCTTTGTATCCTTATAATTTTCACCTATAGATTTTACCCCCAGGGTTTTTTAATGCCCTCTGAACATTATTTCCATTTCAGTTAAGCTTGTCTGGCCAAATTTGGTTGTCCTCCAGAGTCTGACCTCTTTTTGCTTGGCGCTTGTTTCACCAGGTTGAAGTGGTCCTTTAGGTCTCAGTTTTTCCCGTATGGGGTGCCTTACTTAAACCAAGGTGCCTCGGGGCCAGTGCTAGTTTCCTAGATACTGGAGGAAAGCAAGCAAGGAAGGAGTAGAGAATCCAGTCACTTGACTTCATTATCCTCTTCAAACCGAAATTTTGAAGGACAAGGAAAAGTTTCAAGGCTGCAGCCTTTCACAGTCCTCTGAGGGACAAAACTCAAATATAGTTCTTGCCTTGAAGGTGGTCACAAACAAAAAGGGTAAATGATCCTAAGGTTTAAATATAGACCTAAAAGAGAGATATATACAATGGAAATTTAATCTTGTAATTCTTTGCAGGCAGCAGTAATTTATAGGTTAAAGTCCTGGTTGTAGTTTAATTATAAAATATGTTCTTTTATTAGTATTTATCACTATGGTGACTTCTTTAGCCAAAGAGTATCTAAACTGAACTCTCAGAGCTAACAGAAGTAACTATGTTGCAGTGAGAGCAACAGTCCTGGGTCTCTACCTCTTGTTTTCTATGTGACCTTGGCAATTCAACCAACATCTTTGAGGCTGTTTTTTTGGTAAGGAATGGAAAGAACATATGGCAACAGGGATTTGTAAAGTACCGTATAAATATATATATTTAAATTAAGTGCTTTGTGGGAAAATGATTTGCCCAAAATAAAGCAGACTTCTACCAAGTATGCAGTTCATTAATACAGATACCTCTCCCTGATAGAGAGTAGTGAATAATAAATTAAGAGGATGAATTAAAGTAAATTATCCCTGACAATAGAAGGATAAATATGACCTCAAGGAATCTGCTAATACTCTTTTTTAAAAAATCATACCATTAGCTCAGTTTTTGTCTTTAGGAAAACCAGAATGTGCCAACGGGAGGATAGCATCATCATCCTCAGGGATTTCTAAGCTGATTTCTCAGAGGCATCCTGGGAGGTTATGGAGAAACCAGGGCCCCAGCAGACAGATTCCATCAGTTTGTGTAAGGCTTTGGGGACTTGAATCACAGAAGGTTCCACAGTCACAGAGCTTGAAAAGCTGTTCAGCATCTTGGGTTCTTTGGGGGCTAAGTCACAGGGGCCTGAGATATTATTGTCTCTCAGGTTTTTAACTCCTTGATGTCACTGTCCCATCCATGAGAACCACACAGGTATGCGTCACTCTCTGCTACTTAATCCAGCAGTTGACCCTTCAGAACTGTTGGCTCATAAGAATATAAGGTTATATGTATGAGAGTAAGGTTCAAGTACATGGATAAAATATGAAGCCTGTAAATCGAAAAGATCACCTACCTTTACCAGGTGTATCAGACAGGGTCCCAACAGGAAATAACATTCTCAAAATAATGAAGGGCTATTTTGAAAGGTATGGGCAAAGGATAGGTCAGTAACTGGAGGCTAATAACTGTATTAGGCCTAAAAGGATAAAAGGAGTTATTAGTTTCTAGGTCCTGGAGGGGGAGAGTGCCTTGAGAGAAGCAGTGACTTTTTTTTTTTTTTTTTTTTTTTTTTGCGATACAGTTGCTGGAGTGCAGTGGTGTGATCTTAGCTCACCAAAACCTCCGCCTCCCAGGTTCAAGTGATTTTCGTGCCTCAGCTTCCCGAGTAGCTGAGATTACAGGAGTGCACCACTGTGCCTGGCAAATGTCAATACATCGACTTCAGTCTTTTCTCTTCCCCCAGTCTCCTGTCAGGGCTCCCTATTGGCTGAATCCAACTGGAGGCCAAAGCACAGGAAGCCCATTGATGTTCATATAGGTCAGTCTCCCAGGACAGAGAACAGGCTACAGAATAGAGGAGCGTAATCTGGAAGGAAAGAAAGAAAACATCCAGCATACCTAGAGATGAAGACCCTATTCATTCCCCACAAGAGAGATTATTTTTTACTCTTCTTGCTCAAGTATTGCTGGCCAGAAACTCTATGCAGATACCCCCAAATTAGTTTTGGAGCAAAATTTACTTTGGGGAGCTTATAGGAAATGCTGCTTGGATCATATTTTTCTTCTCAGTTTCTTTTTTTTTTTTTTGAGACAGAGTCTTGCTCTGTCGCCCAGGCTGGAGTGCAGTGGTGCAATCTCGGCTCTCTCAGCTCACTGCAATCTCTGCCTCCTGGGTTCAAGCCTCCTGCCTCAGCCTCCCGAGTAGCTGGGATTACAGGGATGTGCCACCATGCCCGGCTAATTTTTGTATTTTCAGTAGAGATGGGGTTTCACCATGTTGGCCAGGCTGGTCTCGAACTCCCAACCTCAGGTGATCTGCCCGAGTTTGGCTTTTTTTTTTTTTTTTTTTTTTCCGAGATAGTGTCTCACTCTGTCACCCAGGCTGGAGTGCAGTGGTGCAACTGCGGCTCACTGCAAGCTCCGCCTCCTGCCTCAGCCTCCTGAGTAGCTGGGACTACAGGCGCCTGCCACCACACCCAGTTAATCTTTGTGTTTTTAGTAGAGACAGGTTTTCACCATGTTAGCCAGGATGGTCTCAATTTCCTGACCTCGTGATCCGCCGGCCTTGGCCTCCCAAAGTGCTGGGATTACGGGCCACGGCACCCGGCCCTCAGTTTCTTAAATGCAAATCTGAGATGAATTAAGCTGCCCAAGGCTAGTGAATAAAATAGCATTCTGACAAAAGGGAAATCACAGAGGAAAGTACACTAATTAACTCAATGTAGAAACTGTAGTTTTAGAAAGAACAATTTTAGCCAGGGTGCCATGGCTCACGCCTATAATTCCAACAGTTTGGGAAGGTAAGGCAGGTGGATCCCTTGAGCTCAGGAGTTCAAGACCAGCCTGGGCAACATGGTGAAACCCTGTCTCTACCAAAAATACAAAAATTAGCCAGGCATGGTGGTGTGCACCTGTAGTCCCAGCTTCTCAGTAGGCTGAGGTGGAGGATTGCTTGAGACCTGGAGGTCGAAGGTCGAGGCTGCAGTGAGCCAAGATCATGCCACTGCACTCCAGCCTGGGCAAGAGTGAGACCCTGTCTTTAAAAAGAAAAAAAAAAAAGGACAATTTTTACAAGTGTGTGACTCTGCAAAGTCAACCTATTTTTACAACTATATGATGAGGATAATACTCACCTTACAAGATGGGTATTTATATGTATATGCAGAGTACCTAGCACATTGCCAGACATGTAGCAAAAGCTTAAAACATGGTGGCTATTGTTATTTATAATTTTGGGCCCTTTCCCAAACTTTCCTTTCCTTTACAGCACTACCCTTAAACTTTAGGACTGGTTATAGGAGCAGACTGCAACCCCACACTTTTGTTCAGAAGTCTCCCATAGTCTTAACTTACTCAATTACCTATCAAATGTCTTGCACAAGCCTTACACAGGTGTAGTTATCACTGGGTTGCTCCCACTTCAGCCTTCACCTGTATTTTTTACCTATTGATCTCCTTGGAGTAGAGGGTTCTTTTTTACAGAGGAAGGAAGTCTTAGGAAAGTTGCCCTAGTTCATAATTTTTCCCATTACTTAAGACTATCACCCAGCCGGGCACGGTGGCTCACACCTGTAAGCCCAGCACTTTGGGAGGCCAGTGCGGGTGGATCACCTGAGGTCAGGAGTTCAAGACCAGCCTGGCCAACATGGTGAAACCCCGTCTCTACTAAAAATACAAAAATTAGCTGAGTGTAGTGGTGCATGCCTGTAATCCCAGCTAATAGGGAAGCTGAGGCAGGAGAATCACTTGAACCTGGGAGGCAGAGGCTGCAGTGAGCCAAGATCATGCCACCGCACTCCAGCCTGGGCAACAGTGTGAGACTCTGTCTCAAAAAAAAAAAAAAAAAAAAAAGAGTATCACCCATCAGAGAACTCTAGGTTCCTATCTCTCTAGTTCCCTCCAACTTTCCCATCTTGATGATTTCTCTCACCAGGATTTAATTCAACAAGATTTTTAGTTCTTTGGTTCTTAAGGCTCCACAAGTTCCTGCTTTTTTTTCTGTCAGCACAGCCAAGACTATATATATTAATAAAGTACCTGCCAGAATTACTTTCTATTACTTGAATATGTGCACAGCATTTGCTGACTATATGTATTTACCAAAAAGAAATTATCTACATGTACCCTAGTACATGGTAGGTGTCCAATTTCCTAAATATTGACTTTGAGAACTTACTTGAGATTCCAGTCGCTGAACACAGATGCTTATATGTCCTTAGCTTTGGACAGGCTCAAAGCTAATTTTGTAAAGAAAGGTATCCTTCTTGCCAACAAAACAGCTTTTCAGAACTCTATACACTAGATAGGATACCCATCTTGCTAGTCAAATTGGTCTGTTCACCCCGGCTATCAATGGGGATTGTGCTACTATCAGACTGATCCTCCTATTTTTAAATATAAATGTGTGCTGATTTTGGACTAAGATAGCAGCAAGCACCCTATTAACCAAGAATAGCTGAGAAGCTGGCAAAGTAAATCTACTCTTTCCAAGCACTCCTGAGTCTGATGTTTTTCCCCATACGTCTCAGTATTGACTTTACTCCCACACAAGGCACATAATCATTTTCTTCAGCTACTTTTCTCCTCCCTTGGTTGTTTGCTTTTAGGGAAGGGAGTGGGGAATGAGAGAAAGAAGGAAAATGTACATTTAACAAGCTGGTCAAAAGCTCTCCTCATTCTCATTTCATTTCTTACCTCAACTTGCTCTGCCTGTCAAGAATACCAGGCTGAGAGCGGTGGATAAGGAAAAGGCAATGGCCATGCATGGGTTAGTAGATCTATACCCCTCCCCCTTCAGTTAGCTCAGTTGGACAGGGAAAATGAGCTCTGTGGTTCACCTGTCATTAGAGAATAGATACAAATTTGGCCGGGCTCGGTGGCTCACGCCTGTAATCCCAGCACTTTGGGAGGCCGAGGCGGGCGGATCACGAGGTCAGGAGATCGAGACCATCCCGGCTAAAACGGTGAAACCCCGTCTCTACTAAAAATACAAAAAAATTAGCCGGACGTAGTGGCGGGCGCCTGTAGTCCCAGCTACTTGGGAGGCTGACGCAGGAGAATGGCGTGAACCCGGGAGGCGGAGCTTGCAGTGAGCCGAGATCCCGCCACTGCACTCCAGCCTGGGCGACAGAGCGAGACTCCGTCTCAAAAAAAAAAAAAAAAAAGAGAATAGATACAAATTTTGCCCAGGAGATGAAAACAAATTCAATGACACCCTGAAATGGTCGGCTTTGACATTTTATTGAGAAACATTTTTATTTTAAATGATAGTACAAAAACTGTATATATAATATAGATCTGTATAAGTATATATACATACAAATGCTCATACACACATATACACACAAACTTGCTCATCAGAATAAAACCCTAAATAAAGAAGTATATTTAAGTTTTTCTAAAAATACGCTGTACATAAAGCTGTCAGACAACCTGAAAAACTGAGGACATTGTGAGAACAGTCTGGGCGCATCCCCCCACACACACACCTGCCGCAGTACACACACAAATGGCCTTGACAGAAGGACAGCACATGGGGCAAGGTCAGGGAGAGAGCTGCTACCATCATTGTTGCTAGAACAAGATGTCTAAAGCCAACTAGAAAGCACAGGATATAGAAGGTGACCTAGATTAACTTTCAGAAACAAACCACCTCAGAATAAACAAAAAATATGTGGTAGGGAAGGAGGGGAACGGAGAGAGAAAAGACAAGGCCCAGAGATTAGAAATGACCTACTAACTAAATTCGAATGCCTGGGAAAGCCTCAATGAGATAGGAACAATGGAATCACAAAAGCAGAAAAGGTAGGAGGAGGGGGAGATAGGGAATCACAATTTCCTGTCACTAACATGCCAAACTGCTACTGTAGAGTCTAGGAATGTCACCTCACCCCCTAATACTAAAGAGGCTAAAAAATAAGACAAAAATTTAAAAAGGGCAGCATCAGAGACTTAAAAAAAATTGGCATAGGAAATAATAGTACTACTCAGAAGGGGTAGTACTTCTGAGATATAGTCACCACATAAAATAGAGACAGATAAGAGCCTAGAGTGCATACAGGTGGTCATCACATATAGTCCATTCTGAAGTTCCTTTTCTAGCTATCCAGAGATGGGTTTGCACAAGGAGTAGAGAAGAGGAAGCCTTCTCTAATAAATTAGGACAAAAACTGATTCCCACTCCATATTAAACTTTCAGGAAGAGTTCAGTAAATGCATCAAATTTTCCAGCTCTGGAGGTCTGTAATGATAGGAGAGAGCCACACAAGCTTTCTTAAAATGGTCATCATCATACTGGTGAGAAAAAAAAAAAAAAAAAGAGGCTGGGCGTGGTGGCTCACACCTGTAATCCCAGCACTTTGGGAGGCCAAGGAGGGTGGATCACGAGGTCAGGAGTTCGAGACCAGCCTGGCCAATATGGTGAAATCCCGTCTGTACTAAAAATACAAAAATTAGCGCGTGCCTGTAATCCCAGCTACTTCAGAGGCTGAGGCAGAAGAATCGCTTGAACCCGGGAGACAGAGGTTGCAATGAGCCAAGATCATGCCACTGCGCTCCAGCCTGGGTGACAGAGAGAGACTCTGTTTAAAAAAAAAAAAAGAAAAGAAAAAAGAAAAAAAAATCATTTCTCAAACTGATATTTCTTTTTTTCCTTTTTCTTTCTTTTTTTTTTTTTTGTGAGCCACCGCGCCCGGCCTCTTTTTTTTTTTTTTTTTTCTCACCAGTATGATGATGCGCCACCACCCCCGGCTAATTTTTGTATTTTTAGTAGAGACTGAGTTTCACCACGCTGGCCTGGCCTCAAGTGATCCTCCCATCTCGGCCTCCCAAAGTGCTGGGATTACAGGCGTGAGCCACCATGTCTGGCCAGCAGCTTTACTTATTTTATTTTATTTTATTTTATTTTATTTTTTGAGACCGAGTCTCATTCTGTTGCCCAGGCGATCTGTTGCAGTGGGGCGATCTCAGCTCACTGCAAGCTCTGCCTCCTGGGTTCACGTCATTCTCCTGCCTCAGCCTCCCGAGTAGCTGGGACTACAGGCACCCACCACCACGCCCGGCTAATTTTTTGTATTTTTAGTAGGGCCAGGGTTTCACTGTGTTAGCCAGGATGGTCTCAATCTCCTGACCTCGTGATCCACCTGCCTTGGCCTCCCAAAGTGCTGAGGTTACAGGCGTGAGCCACTGTGCCCGGCCAGCAGCTTTATTTTAAAGTAGACAACCATCCTAAGCTCGAAGTTTCTCTTGCTCAAGCACCAATTCTGATCCATTTGTCTGTTTTTTCTTTCTTTCCTTCTTTTTTTTTTTTTTTTGAGACAGAGTCTCGCTCTATTGCCCAGGCTGGAGTGCAGTGGCACAATCTCAGCTCACTGTAAACTCCACCTTTTGGGTTCAAGCAATTCTCCTGTTTCAGCCTCCAGAGTAGCTGGGACTACAGGCGTATGCCATCATGCCCAACTAATTTTTGTATTTTGGTAGAGACAGGGTTTTGCCATGTCGGCCAGGCTGGTCTCGAACTCCTCACCTCAAGTGATCTACCCACCTCAGCCTCTCAAAGTGCTGGGATTACAGGCGTGAGCCACCGTGCCCAGCCATTTTTGTCTGCTATTTGATTCTTAATAATCCAACCTTGCCAATAAACAGTTGGAATCCTCTAACCCAGAAGATCTAAGCAATATTTCCCCAACTTCCATGACTAATCCAGAAAGATATGCAAAGTCATGAAATGGTATTGCCATTAATGTATTCAATATTTAATTTCTAACTACTTCAAAGCATCCTCACCTGCCATTCTCTCCATGGCAATACAATTGGAGATCAAATCCTATTTCCCTTATCTGGGATGCCAAGAGGACCGTTCCGAGTAAATAAAAATCAATGCCTTTTTCTTACTTATTTTCAGATACCTCCATTCTCTCCCTCTCTACCCTAGCCTCTCCTCTAACAAACTGCCCTATCTCAGAGACCCATCATAAAAAATGACTTGGCCTGTATTAGAGATTTTGGGGGTTGGGGAGGTAGGAATGATAGCTTCTGCAGAAAGAACAATAAGATCTGCTAAAGAATTCCCCCAAAAAAGTGGTGACTGTATAGTCAGAAGGGCATGTTGGATGGACATTCTCTGCCTTTAGTCAGTAGCCACCCCAGAGAGTGAGCTGGTTGGGCCTGAATATCATCTGCAGAGTTAACCTCCTTCCCCTTAATGGGCGAGGTGTGGGGGAAGAGGGATTAAAGTCAACATATGCACCGAGAACATAAATAAAAGATATCTAAAATGATACTTGGTTCCTCTATCGTTAAAGTAAGGCTCCGAAATCCCACACATAACAGCTTCTTGTTAGCACCTGGTTCCCAAAGGGACTCAGAAAAAATAAAAACATTGCAAACAGGAAAAGATTATTTGACAGCAGATAGAACAATTTCATCATCACCCTTACCTAGGCTACTCCCCCTCACATTTTCCTGTCATCCCCAACAGCCCAGAATATTCTCCAATCATCTGGGAAGTGTTAAGTACTCAGATCTGTGGAGAAAACAGATCTGTGGAGAAAACCTAGCTAAGGTGGCCAGTAGCCAAGGTTAATTTCCAAACTGATATTTTTGCCTATAAATCTCTAATAACCAATTCTGTTTGTTAAATTTGGTTTGGGGAGTTAAATTTTCAGTCTATTTTGAGACCCAAGTGATTCTGCTCCTCTGTAACACTGCAGCAAATTACTTCACTAATCAAGGTAAACAGAACCATGTTAACTGTCAGGTTTTTTCCAAATTAAAAATGCATGTTTTCCCCATGACTGCTAATTAAGAAAACCATATTCTAAACAGTCATTCGAATGTTTACTTGGCACATCTCCCTCTGGTTTCTTCTAATTTATAACAAAGCAAGCAAGTCTAGAATGATGAGGGCCCAGTTTCAAAGGCAATAACCTCTGTAACATAACCTGTTCATAACCTCTCTCTCTCCATCCATATTCCCTTTCTTTGGGAAAAACTCCATGCTGACATACAAAGAAAACCCAGCAGGTAGGTGGTCAGGCGCAGTGGCTCACGCCTATAATCCCAGCACTTTGGGAGGTCGAGACAGGTGGATCACCTGAGGTCAGGAGTTCAAGACCAGCCCGACTAACATGGAGAAACCCCATCTCTACTAAAAATACAAAATTAGCCAGGCATTGTGGCGCATGCCTGTAGTCCCAGCTACTCGGGAGGCTGAGGCAGGAGAATCACTTGAACCCAGGAGGTAGAGGTTGCGGTGAGCCAAGATCACGCCATTGCACTCCAGCCTGGGCAACAAGAGTGAAACTCCGTCTCAAAAAAAAAAAGAAAAAGAAAAAGAAAACCCAGCAGTTAAACACTTTCCAAAAGTGTCTGGGCAGAGGAAGTGTAGGCATAGTGGGAGAGAAAGGAAGAAGACAAAGTAGCCAGAATCTTTGGTTCTTTATGGCACTGACAGTTCTTATTCCCTTTGTCAACACACACTGAGCACCCTATAAGGCACAAAGCTCTGTAACAGACCCAAGCTTAAGGAAACAGAGCAATTTACTCATGCCAGATCAAAAGGAAATAAAACTAAACAACATCATCAGCATTTACCTCCGACCCCCTTTTTGTTGCACATAAGAGGATAAGATATAAGCTCCACAGAAAAGCACAATATGTCCTAAATGACACTTAGAAAATTCAACAAAGTTTTATAAAATTAGAGTCTAGGCTGTGCGCGGGGTGGCTCACGCCTGTAATCTCAGCATTTTGGGAGGCCAAGGCGGGTGGATCACCTGAGGCCAGGAGTTCCAGACCAGCCTGACCAACATAGAGAAACCCTGTCTCTACTGAATATACAAAATTAGCCGGGCGTGGTGGCGCGTGCCTGTAATCCCAGCTACTCGGGAGGCTGAGGCAGGAGAATAGCTTGAAACCGGGAGGTGGAAGTTGCGGTGAGTTGAGATCACACCATTGCACTCCAGCCTGGGCAACAAGAGCAAGACTCCGTCTCAAAAAAAAAAAAAAAAAAAAGAGAGACTGAGCTTGACATTACATAAATGTTTGGAAACAAGTTTTTCTGACAAGAGACTACCCTCCTCACTGTAATTTTATGAAATCCAGTCAGAGCAAAGTTTATATGTCAAGACCAGAGTTTCATAGCCCCTATAAGCCTTTTTCTGGCCACTTCCCAGCACTGTGGAAACACAGCCTGGATTTTGGTTTTATATATACTCCTCCCACATAAACAAGTTTTCTTTCTTTTCTATTTTTTTTTTAATTGAGTTTCACTCTTGTTGCCCAGGTTGGAGTGCAATGGTGCCATCTCGGCTCATTGCAACTGCCGCCTCCCGGGTTCAAGCGATTCTCCTGCCTCAGCCTCCTGAGTAGCTGGGATTACAGGCATGTGCCACCACACCCAGCTAATTTTGTTTTGTTTTGTTTGTTTGAGACAGAGTCTCACTCTATCGCCCAGGCTGGAGTGCAGTGGCATGATCTTGGATCACTGCAACCTCTGTCACCTGGGTTCAAGTGATTCTACCGCCTCAGCCTCCCGAGTAGCTGGGATTCCAGGTGCCTGCCACCTCGCCAGGTGAATTTTTGTATTTTTAGTAGGGTTTCACCATCTCGGCCAGGCTGGTCTTGAACTCCTGACCTCATGATCCACCCACCTCAGCCTCCCAAAGTGCTGGGATTACAGGCATGAGCTGCCGGGTCTGGCCCTAATTTTGTATTTTTAGTAGAGACAGGGTTTCTCCATGTTGGTCAGGCTGGTCTGGAACTCCTGGCCTCAGGTGATCCGCTCGCCTCGGCTTTCCAGTTCAGTTTTTAAAAACTCTATTTCAATTTCCTTTTTTTTTTTTTTTGAGACAGAGTCTGGCTCTGTTGCCCAGGCTGGAGTGTAATGGTGCGATCTCAGCTCACTGCAACCTCCGCCTCCCGGGTTCAAGCGATTCTCCTGCCTCAGCCTCCCAAGTAGCTGGGATTACAGGCAGGTGCCACCACGCCCGGCTAATTTTTTGTATTTTTGTTTGTTTGTTTTGTTTTTTTGAGACAGAGTCTCACTGTGTCGCCAGGCTGGAGTGCAGTGGCACGATCTTGGCTCACTGCAACCTCCACCTCCCAGGTTCAAGCAATTCTCCTGCCTCAGCCTCCCAAGTAACTGGGACTACAGGCGTGTGCCACTATGCCTGGGTAATTTTTGTATTTTTAGTAGAGACGGGGTGTCACCATGTTGGCCAGGATGATCTTAATCTCTTGACCTTGTGATCCGCCTGCCTCTGCCTCCGAAAGTGCTGGGATTACAGGCGTGAGCCGCTGCGCCCGGCCAATTTTTTGTATTTTTAGTAGAGATGGAGTTTCACCGTGTTAGCCAGGATGTTCTTGATCTGACCTCGTGATCCGCCCGCCTCGGCCTCCCAAAGTGTTGGGATTACAGGCGTGAGCCACCACGCCTGGCCTAGTTTCCTTTTTCCTTTGAGATACAGTCTTGCTCTGTCACTCAAGCCTGGAGAGCAGTGGTGCAACCATGGCTCACTGCAGTTTTGACCTCCAAGGCACAAGCGATCCTCCCACCTCAGCCTCCTGAGTAGCTGGAACCATAGGTGCCTGTCACCATACTTGGCTAATTTTTAAATTTTTTGTAGACACAGGTTTCTATGTTGCCCAGGCGCATCTCAAACTCCTGGACTCAAGCAATTCTCCCATTTCAACGTCCCAAAGTGTTGGGATTACAGGTGTGAGCCACCACACGCAGCTTATTTCAGTTTCTTACACAAGCATCTGAACTATAGACACATAATGGATAAGTATCTGTCAGACAATCAAAAATTTCTTCTCAGTGATGTGGTGGCATATGCCTGTCCTCCCAGCTACTCAGGAGGCTGCGCCCTGGAGGCGGAGGTTGCAGTGAGCCAAGATTGCACCACTGTACTCTAGCCTGGGTGACAGAGTCAGACCGTGTCTCAAAAAAAAAAAAAAAAAGGGAAAATTCTCTTCAGTGAAATTAACTTAAGGTTGGGAGTTCCTGCTCCTTTGGAAATGGACTATATTCCTTTTCTCTTCCCCAAAGCTTGTCTAACTTCCCTTCCAATTGGTTTTTCCAACAGATACGCATCATAAATCTAAGGGGCATTTTCAGGTCACTTGATGGTATAATTATTAAAGGCATATATATTGGTGCATATATATTAGAAATGTTATCTTAAAATCTTTTGTGAGAAAGTCAGTTATTTAAAAAAAAAAAATCAACCCACAACATGCAGTATTCTTTTACTTCTATGTTTAAAGCAATGATATGAGCTAAGAAATTTGGTCCTTTATTCTTTTGGCCCCTCAGAAAAAATGTTCCCTAAATATGGCTTTGAATTTTCTAGTTGCACAGAGAAACTTCCTGAGCCCAAGCATTGTACCCTGCTATAGTTTTCTTCTTAAAGACACTCTTAGTTTTTATACAATGTTTGTCTTCTGTATATTTCCTTTTTTAAAAGAGGATTAATATGAACACAGTGCAAATTGTGGCCCTTGCATATTAAGATGAAACAGTTGCCATGGAAACTCTAGTGTGAGGCTCTGTGGTCCCTGCTGACCCAGTCACTTTTGTCTCTCTCTCTTCCAACTCCCCCTCTGTGACTACTACAGCATCTACCTCAGCCACCTCTTCAACCATGGTGAAATCAACTCCATTGGGCTGCTGTCGGGCTATGGCCTCCAGCTTAAGACGGTACTGTTCTGCTTCCTGCTCTTTCTTTAGGAGCTGGTGTCGGTATTCCTGGGCTCTTCGATTGGCCTCCTGGAGTTGTTGCTGTAGTAGCTCTCTTTCATTGCCTTCCTGTAAAAGTAAGCCATGTCACCACCAGGTAAATTCCTGATCATAAATTATCCAGACAGTAGACAAAAAGACAGGCCAGGAGCGGTGCCTCACACCTATAATCCAAGCACTTTGGGAGGCAGAGGTAGGCAGATTATCTGAGGTCAAGAGTTCGAGACCAACTTGGCCAACATGGCAAAACCCTGTCTCTACTAAAAATACAAAAATTAGCCAGGCATGGTGGCAGGTGCCTGTAATCCCAGCTACTCAGGAGGCTGAGGCATGAGAATCACTTGAGCCCGGGAGGCGGAGGTTGCAGTGAGCTGAGATCATGCCACTGTACTCCAGCCTGGGCAACACAGCAAGACTCCGTCTCAAAAAGAAAAAAGAAAAGATGAAGAAGGGTTCAGGCCTTAATAATTAAGGCTTTAAATTCTTTTCATCACTCCTAAAAACATTACCTTGCTTTCCTCCACACTGTTTGTCTTCTCTCCTATCCTTGGTTTCTTTGTTAGTGGCAACTTCTCTTCTTCTTCCTCTTTAATTACAGTCTCCTCTGCAACCTTACCAGCAGGTACAGTTAGAACTACAAGTCAAAGGACACCAATTGGAGGTGATGAATGCATAATAAAACAAAGAGGTTTTGCTTGCTTTTAATTAGAAAATAAACTAAAATATATTCTAGGTTGGGTACAGTGGTGTGTGCCTGTGGTCCTAGCTACTCAGGCAGCTGACTGGAGGACTTCTTGAATCCAGGAGTTCAAGACTAGCCTAGACAACACAGCAAGACCCCATCTCAACAAAAAAGCAAAGAAAGAGAAAGTAAAATATATTCCTTGATATATTATTTTTAATATCTCTTTGAATTTTCGAATCAACAGGTAAGGCATGGCCCTTCAGGGAGAAACAAAAAGGATTAATAGAGCACTGAGAATGGCTCAAAAAGGAAGGGTATAGATTTGCAGGCTTGGAAGCCATGCAAGTAAGTCCCAAGTCTGAAGCTCTTATATGAAGGTGTCTGACTCTAGGTCACCTATGGCCAATTAGCTTATCAATCCGCCCAGAAATGGCAGGGCAAGGTGGCTCACACCTATAATTCTAGCATGTTGGGAGGCTAAGGTGGGAGGATCACTTGAGCCCAGGAGTTCAAGACCAGCTTGGGCAACATGGCAAACACTGTCTCCGCAAAAAAAATACAAAAAATTAGCCAGGCATGGTGGAGCATGCCTGTAATTCCAGCTACTTGGGAGGCTGAAGTGGGAGGATCACCTGAGCCTGGGAAGTTGAGGCCGTAGTGAGCCAAGAACTCGCGACTGCACTCCAGCCTGGGTGACAGAATGAGACCCTGTCTTAAAACAAACAAACAAACAAAAAAAACTGCAGAAATAATCTGTCAAAAGAAGGCCTGAAGTCTTTATATATTTTTGAGACCTCTAATAAAAGCCAATAGCCATTATCTGTACCTAAATTAATTCTCTTCTCATAGATAAGTGAGAGAAGAGTCAACACACACACAACACACATGACACACTACACATCTGTCAGAATGGCTAAAAGTTGTTTTTTTTTTTTTTTTGAGATGGAATTTTGCTCTCGTTGCCCAGACTGGAGTGCAATGGCGTGATCTCTGGAGTGCAATGGCTAACTGCAACCTCCGCTTCCCAGGTTCAAGTGATCTCCTGCCTCAGCCTCCCAAATAGCTGGGATTACAGGCATGCCCCACTACACCCGGCTAATTCTGTATTTTTAGTAGAGACAGGGTTTCTCCGTGTTGGTCAGTCTGGTCTCAAACTCCCGACCTCACGTGATCCACCTGCCTTGGCCTCCCAAAGTGCTGGGATTACAGGCGTGAGCTACCACACCCGGCCTTTTTTTATCGAGAAGTCTCACTCTGTAACCTAGGCTGGAGTGCAGTGGCACAATCTCAGCTCACTGCAACCCCCACCTCCTGGGTTCAAGCAATTCTCCTGCCTCAGCCTCCTGAGTAGCTGGGACTACAGGTGCATGCCATCACACACAGTTAATTTTTGTATTTTTAATAGAGATGAGGTTTCTCCATGTTAGCCAGACTGGTCTCAAACTCCTGACCTCAGATATTCCACCTGCCTTGGCCTCCCAAAGTACTGGGATTACAAGTGTGAGCCACTGTGCCGGGCTAAAAGTTTTTTAAAAAGTGATGATACCAAATGCTGGAGAGGATGTAGACATACTGGATTATTCATAAATTGCTGGTGGGAATGTAAAATGGTACAGCCGCTCTAGAAAATAGTTTGGCAGGATGGGCGCAGTGGCTCATGCCCTGTAATCCCAGCACTTTGGGGGGTCGAGGCAGGCAGACTGCCTGAGCTCAGGAGTTTGAGACCAGCCTGGCCAACATGGTGAAACCCCATCTCTACAAAAAATACAAAAATCAGCCGGGTGTGGTGGCACCTGCCTGTAATCCCAGCTACTCGGGAGGCTGAGGCAGGACAATCACTTGAACCTGGTATGCGGAGGTTGCTGTTAGCTGAGATAGTGCCACTGCACTCCAGCTTGGGTGACAGAGTGAGACTCCATTTGAAAAAAAAAAAAAAAAGAAAATAGTTTGCCAGTTTCTTTCTTTCTTTCCTTCCTTCTTTTGAGACGGAGTTTCATTCTTATTATTCAGGCTGGAGTGCAATGGCGCGATCTCGGCTCACCGCAACCTCTGCCCCCAGTTCAAGCGATTCTCCTGCCTCAGTCTCCTGAGTAGCTGGGATTACAGGCATGTGCCACCACACTCGGCTAATTTTGTATTTTTAGTAGAGATGGGGTTTCTCCATGTTGGTCATGCTAGTCTCAAACTCCCGACCTCAGGTGATCCGCCCAAGTTTGGCAGTTTCTTAAAAAACAAAACAAAACACACACTTACCTTATGACCCAGCAATTGTACTCTCGGGCATTTATCCCAGAGAATAGAAAATTTATTTCCTACTTGTTTTTTTCTTGAGACGGAGTCTGGCTCCACCCAGGCCGGATTGGAGTGCAGTGCAATGATGCTGGCTCACTGCAACCTCCACCTCCCAGGTTCAAGTGATTCTCCTACCTCAGCCTCCCGAGTAGCTGGGATTACAGGTGCCTGCCACCACGCCTGACTAATTTTTGTACTTTTAGTAGAGATGGGGTTTTGCCATGTTGGGCAGGCTGGTCTCAAACTCCTGATCTCAGGTGATTCACCCACCTTTGCCTCCCAAAGTGCTGGGATTATAGGCTTGAGCCACCATGCCTGGCCTATTTCTCATTTGTTTTCTTTTCTTTTCTTTTGAGACAGAGTCTCGCTCTGTCTCCAGGTGGAGTACAGTGGCACAATCTCGGCTCACTGCAACCTCCACCTCCTGGGTTCAAGAGATTCTCCTGCCTCAGCCTCCCGAGTATCTGGGACTATAGGCATATGCCACCACACCCAGATAATTTTTGTATTTTTAGTAGAGATGTGGTTTCACCATATTGGCCAGGATGGTCTCGATCTCTTGACCTTGTGATCCGTCCACCTCGGCCTCCCAAAGTGTGTGAGCCACTGAGCCCGGCCCTATTTCCCATTTTTTTATTTCCCATAAGAACCTGTAAACAATTATGGTGTTCATAATGCTTTATTTATTTATTTATTTATTTATTATGAGACAGAGTCTCACTCTGTTACCCAGGTTGGTGTGCAGTGGCAGAATTATGTCTCACTGCAGCCTCAACCTCCTGGCCTCCAGTGACCCTCCCAAGTAGCTGGGACTACAGGCACACAAAAGCACGCCTGGCTAATATATTTTTTTTTTTGTATTTTTTTTTAGAGATGGGTTTCGTCATATCGTCCAGGCTGATTTCAAACTCCTGGGCTTAAGCTATCTGCCGGCGTAGTCCTCCCAAAGTGCTGGGATTATAGGCATGAGCCACTGTGCCCAGCCAGTTTTATTTTTAGATAGCTGAAACTGGAAGCAGCTTAAATGTCCTTCACTGGGTAAATGGTTAAACAAACTGTGGTACATCCATATCATGGAATAATCTCAGCAATAAGAAGGAATGAAATATTGATTCAAACAACAACTTGGATGGGTATCAAGGGAATTATGCTGAAAGGAAAAAAGCCAATCTCAAAATCATGTATACTGTATGATTCCACTTATATAACATTATTGAAATGACAAAGTAGAGGATGGGCACGGTGGCTCATGCCTGTAATCCCAGCACTTTGGGAGGCCAAGGTGGGCGGATCACCTGAGGTCAGGAGTTCGAGACCAGCTTGGCCAACATGGCAAAACCCTGTCTCTACCAAAAATACAAAAAATTAGGTGGGCATGGTGGCATGTGCCTGTAATCCCAGCAATAGATTTCTCTGTATTATTTCTTAGAACTGTACTGAATCTTTAATGATCTAAAAATAAAAAGTTAAAAATTATATTTACGTTTTAGGATATATTATGATTATTTTAAAACAGAAGATTTGGCCAGACACGGTAGCTCATGCCTGTAATCACAGCATTTTTTTTTTTTTTTTTTTTGCAGTTGGAGTCTCCCTCTGTTGCCCAGGTTGGAGTGCAGTGGCACGATCTCTGCTCACTGCAAGCTCCGCCTCCGGGGTTCACCCCATTCTCCTGACTCAGCCTCCGGAGTAGCAGGGACTACAGGTGCACGCCACCAGGCCTGGCTAATTTTTTTGTATTTTTAGTAGAGACAGGGTTTCACCGCGTTAGCCAGGATGGTCTCGATCTCCTGACCTCATGATCTGTCCACCTCGGCCTCCCAAAGTGCTGGGATTACAGGTGTGAGCCACCGCACCCGGCCAATCACAGCATTTTGGGAGGCCAAAGTGGGAGGAAAGCTTGAGTCTAGGAGTCTGAGACCAGCCTGGGAAGCTTAGCAAGACCTCATTTCTATTAAAAAAAAAAATTGAGGGGCTAGGCGCAGTAGCTCATGCTTATAATCCCAACACTTTAGGGGCTGAGGTGGGCACATCACTAGGTCAAGAGATCAAGACCATCCTGGCCAACATGGTGAAACCCTGTCTCTACTAAAATACAAAAAAAAAAAAAATTAGCCAGGCGTGGTGGTGCACACCTGTAGTCCCAGCTACTCAGGAGGCTGAGGCAGGGGAATCACTTGAACCTGGGAGGCAGAGATTGCAGTGAGCCGAGACCATGCCACTGCACTCTAGCCTGGTGATAGAACGAGACTCTGTCTCAAAAAGAAAAAAAAAATTCGGGAGCTCCTTCCTTTTACCTCGTTGCACTCTTGAGAGCAAGATGGGTTACCAGCAGCTCTACTGGAGCCACCCACAAAAATTTGGCCAGGGTTCTTGCTCTTGTCATGTCTGCTCAAACCAGCATAGTCGGCCAGGTGCGGTGGCTCACACCTGTAATGCCAGTGCTTTGGGAGGCCGAGGCCGGCAGATCATGAGGTCAGGAGTTCAAGACCCGCCTGACCAACATGGTGAAACCCTGTCTCTACTAAAAATACAAAAAATTAGCCGGGCATGGTGGGAAACGCCTATAATTCTAGCTACTCAGGAGGCTGAGGCAGGAGAATCGCTTGAATCCGGGAGGCAGAGGTTGCAGTGAGCTGAGACCACACCATTGCACTCCAGCCTGGGCGACAGAGTGAGACTCTATCTCAAAAAACAAAAACAAAAACAACAACAAAAAGAAAAAATCAGCACAGTCTGATCCGGAAATATGGCCTCAATATATACCGTCAGCCTTTCCATCAGTACATGAAGGATATAGGTTTTTTTTTTTTTTTTTTTTTTTTGAGATGGAGTCTCGCTCTGTCGCCCAGGCTGGAGTGCAGTGGCGTGATTTCGGCTCACTGCAACCTCCACCTCCCGGGTTCATGCCATTCTCCTGCCTCAGCCTCCCGAGTAGCTGGGACTACGGGCGCCCACCACCACGCCCAGCTAATTTTTGGTATTTTTAGTAGAGTCAGGGTTTCACCATGTTAGCCAGGATGGTCTCGATCTCCTGACCTCGTGATCCGCCCGCCTCGGCCTCCCAAAGTGCTGGGATTACAGGTGTGAGCCACTGCGCCCAGCCACAGGATATAGGTTTCATTAAATTGGACTAAGTGATCTCTCTTGAATGGATTATCCAAGGCATGCACCCAATTAAAAACCATGTTAGCTCTTCATATATGAAAATTAAAGGCCGGGCACAGTGGCTCATGCCTGTAATCCCAGCACTTTGGGAGGCCGAGGCAGGTGGGTCACAAGGTCAGGAGTTCGAGACCATGGTGAAATCCTGTCTCTACTAAAAATACAAAAATTAGGCCGGGCGCGGTGGCTCACACCTGTAATCCCAGCACTTTGGGAGGCCGAGGCGGGTGGATCACGAGGTCAGGAGATCGAGACCACAGTGAAACCCCATCTCTACTAAAAATACAAAAAAAATTAGCCGGGCGTGGTGGCAGGCGCCTGTAGTCCCAGCTACTCAGGAGGCTGAGGCAGGAGAATGGCGTCAACCCGGGAGGTGGAGCTTGCGGTGAGCCGAGATCACGCCACTGCACTCCAGCCTGGGTGACAGAGCGAGACTCTGTCTCAAAAAAAAAGAAAAAAAAGAAAAAAAAAATTAGTGGGGGGCGGTGGTGGGCGCCTTGTAATCCCAGCTACTCAGGAGGCTGAGGTTGGAGAATTGCTTGAACCCAGGAGGTGGAGGTTGCAGTGAGCCGAGATTGCGCCACTGCACTCTAGCCTGGGTGACAGAGCAAGACTCCGTCTCAAAAAAAAAAAAAGAAAAAAAAAATTTCGGGAGCTGTAGCAGGAGGATCACTTGGGTCCTGAATATCAAGACTGCCGTAAGTCATGATCGTGCCACTGCACTCCAGGCTGGGGCCACCACATCTGGCTAATATTTGTATTTTTTCAGTAGACATGGGGTTTCACCGTGTTGGCAAGCTGGTCTTGAAATCCCGACCTCAAGCGCTCCTCCCGCCTCAGCCTCCCAAAGTGCTGGGATTACAGGTGTGAGCTACCATGTCTGGACAAAAATTTAAAAACAAAAACAAAAAAACAGAAGATTTACATAATCATTGGGTTTGGCAGATTTAAAAATTGGTTTGTATTTCTTTATAAACTCATCAACTGATGTCAGTGGAAAGCAGCTTAGATATATGTTGAGTAGAAATGGAAGTTTAGTCTGGGATTTAAATTTTTCTGCAGATAACTCATGAAATCTGTTTTCCTTCTTTGGGCCTTAAACATATTTGTAAAAAGTAGTATAGGCTGAGCACAGTGGCTCATGCCTGTAATCCTAGAACTTTAGGAAGCCAAGGTAGAAGGACTGCTTGAGCCCAGGAGTTTGAGGCCAGGCTGGGTAACATAGGAAGACCTTGTCTCTACGAAAAAGTAAAAAATTAGCTGGGTGTGGTGGCTTGCACCTGTGGTCCTAGCTACTTGGGACTTGAGGTGGGAGGACTGCTTGAGCCTAGGAGGTTGAGGTTGCAGGGAGCTGAGATTGCACCTCTAAATAAATAAATACATAAATTTAAAAAATAAAAATAAAAAAGTAGTATAGTTTATTTAGGTAAAACCTCAATTCTATTCTTTTTCTCCAAAACAACTCAGTTTTCATTTATTTATTTCCATTATAAGCAGAGTCTCTCACCTACCCAATGAGCCCTAAAAACTTAAAATGATAACTATGTTCACAAAAATATCAGCAATGCATAAATTAGAATTTATGATACCAAAGTTTGGATTATAATAAGTTTAATTCTTATCTTCCCATACTTTCTGATCCATCAGTTGAAATAATTAAAAAATTATAAATCCCAACACGGGCAACATAGTAAGACCCAGTCTGTACAAAAAATAAAAAAAGACCAGGGGTCGTGACTCACACCTGTAATCCCAGCACTTTGGGAGGCCAAGGCAGGCAGATCACTTGAGTTCAGGAGCTAGTGACCAGCCTGGCCAACATGGCGAAACCCTGTCTCTGCAAAAAAAAAAAAAAAAAAAAAAAAAAAAAAAAAAAAATTAGCTGGGCATGGTGGCACATGATTGTAATCCCATCTACTCCGGTGGCTGAGGCAGGAGAATCACTTGAACCCGGAAGGCGGAGACTGCAGTGTGCCGAGATCACGCCACTGCACTCCAGCCTGGGTGACAGACTGTGTCCCTGTCTAAAATTAAAAAAATAAAAAAATTAGCCAGGTGTGGTGGTGCATGCCTGTAGTCCCAGCTACTTGGGAGGCTGAGGTGAGAAGGTTGCTTGGGAAGTCGAGGCTGCAGTGCGCCATAATCATGCCACTGCATTCTAGCCTGGGCAACAAAGGGAGATCCTATCTCAAAAACAAAAACAAAACAAACAAAAAAAAACTATAGGCCGGGTGTGGTGGCTCACGCTTGTAATTCCAGCACTTTGGGAGGCCGAGGAGGGTGGATCACGAGGTCAGGAGTTCGAGACCAGGCTGACCAACATAGTGAAACCCCGTCTCTACTAAAAATACAAAAAAATTAGCCGGGCGTGGTGGCACACACCTGTAATCCCAGCTACTCAGGAGGCTGAGGCAGGAGAATCGCTTGAACCCAGGAGGTGGAGGTTGCAGTGAGCCGAGATTGTGCCACTGCACTCCAGCCTGGAGTGACAGAGCAAGATTCTGACTCAAAAAAAAAAATATATATATATATATATATATTTGTGTATATATATATATTTGTGTGTATATATATATATATATATAAATCCCCACAATCATTTAAGCCAAGTCAAAATTTTAGTGACATTAAGAAAGGAAATTATACCAGTACCCTTCGTTTCAACCTCCAATATACATTTTTATTTTTTAGAGACAATGTTTTGCTCTGTTGCCCAGGCTGGAGTGCAGTGGCATGATTATGGTAGCATACTGCGACCTTGAGCTCCTGGGCTCAACTGATCCTCCTGCCAAAACCTCCTGAGTAGTTGGGACTATAAGCACGTGCCATCAACCAGGCTATTTTTTAAAAAAATTGCGTAGAGATGAGGGGGTCTTGCTATGTTGCCCCAGCTGATTTGGAACTCTTGGTCTCAAGCAATCCTCCTGCCTTGGTCTCCCAAAGTGCTAGGATTACAGGATTACATATGTAAGCCATTGTGCCTGGCCAACCTCCAGTATTTTTAAGGCATGGAGTTGTAATGATGGGCTTCCTCTTTTCAAAAAATTTTAACTATGTCTTTTTTGAATAACTGATACATTAAATGATTAAAAACATCAAGACTATAAAAGCATATACATTGAAAAGCCTCCCACTCATCCTTAGTACCCAATTGCCCTCCCTGGAAGCAACTAATGTAATGCCTCAGTATACTAATGTATAGCCTCAGTCTGAATATAGCTGGGCATGGTGGCGTGGAACTGTAGCCCCAGCTTCTCAGGTGGCTGAGGCGGGAGGATAGCTTGAGCCCAGGAGGTCGAGGCTGCAGTGACCCATGATTGCACCACCGCACACAAGCCTGGGTGACAGAACAAGACCCAGTTACACACACAAAAAAGAAAAAAGAACTGTTTAACCAAAAGGTACACAACATCACTGGGTGTGATGACTCATACCTATAATCCCAGCACTCTGGGAGGCTTAGGCGGGAGGATCACTTGAGGTCTGGAGTTCAAGACCAGCCTGGCTAACATGGTAAAACCCTGTCTCTACTAAAAATACACAAAAATTAACTGGGCGTGTTGGTGTGCGCCTATAGTCCCAGCTACTCAGGAGGCTGAGGCACAAGAATTACTTGAACCAGGGAGCTGGAGGTTGCAGTGAGCCAAGATCCTGCCACTGCGCTCCAGCCTGGGCAACAAAGAGGAACTCCATCTCAAACAAACAAGCAAACAAAAAAACCCAAAGGTACATCTTTATGTACATCTTTAATACCTACAGATATTACCAATATCCTTTTTAGAGGATCCATTAATGTGCACTCTCACAAGTGATTTATAAGAGTGCTTGTTTCCCTATACCTTTAACAACATAGTGTTATAATGGTATGTCAGTACAGTATTTGCACTTCTCGTTATGAATGAAGTAGGTCGAAAATATTTTCTTTTTCTTTCTTTCCTTTTTTTTTTTAAAGACAGAGTCTCACTCTGTCATCCAGGCTGGTGTGCAGTAGCACAATCACGGCTCAGTACAGCCTCAACCTCCTGGGCTCAAGTGATCCTCCACTTCAGCCTCCTGAGTAGCTGGGACTATAGGCGTGCGCCACCATGCCTGGCTAATTTTTGTATTTTTAGTAGAGATGGGGTTTTGCTATTTTGGCCAGGCTGGTCTTGAACTCCTGCTCTCAAGTGATCCTCCTGCGTCAGCCTCCCAAAGTGCTGGGATTACAGCCGTGAGCCGCCTCACCCAGCTATTTTCATATTTTTAAGAGCCATCAGGGCCGGGCGCGGTGAACCCGGGTGCGTGAACCCAGGAGGCGGAGCCTGCAGTGAGCTGAGATTGCACCACTGCACTCCAGCCTGGGTGAGAGAGTGAGAATCCCTTCTGAAGAAAAAAAAAAAAAAAGAGCCATCAGTACATTTTTTTTCTGTGAACTATTGGTTCATATTATTTGTTATTTTTTCCACCAGATCAACTGGTTTTTACTACAGATTTTATACATATTAGGCAATTAGCTTTTGCCAGTCTGGTTCCGTTTCTTTTTCTTTTTCAGAGCTTCTTTGCCCCAACTTGCATCTGGCAATCTCCCACTTCCACTATTTGTCTTAATGCCTCATTTTTAGGTGAGTATGGAGTATCTAAAATATCTTTTAATAAACAATTGTCTACAAGAGATAACTCACCTTGCTGTCCATCTTGCACAGTTACAATAAATGGCTGGCCAATGCCTCCAGTAGGGATTGAAGTTTGGATATTACCCAGAGGGACTCCATCAGTCACTATGGTGATGACCCTCTGGCCTCCACTCCCCATTACTTGCTGGATTGATGAGTCAACGGAATTTCCTTCTATAATTTCCTCTGTATTGGCTAGAGATGACAAAAGCAAATTTAAAATTTCAGCTTTTTAAAAACATAGGAGTATAGCAATTTCAACCTCCTTGAACCTGACAACATTCAGGGAGAGGAACATTTGAAAAAAAAAAGTGAGATTCAACAGTTCGCAAAAGGTTTTGTGAACAATGCTAAGTCAGAGGAGAAAAGAAAACAGAATGCATTAGAACAGTATTTTGTAAAATGTGTTCACTGAGGTATTAATAACTTTCACTAAAGATGGATTCTATGTATAAATACGTTTTCAAAATTCTGGTTTAAACATGCTTAAACTTTTTTGTTTTGTAGGAGTATCAGAGACTTCAATAGGCTAATAAACATTGTGATTTTCCAACAGGGTGTGATTCTCCAACAGAGTATAAGATACTCTGTTTCGGCTGGGCACAGTGGCTCACGCCTGTAATCTCAGCACTTTGGGAGGCCAAGATGGGCGAATCACTTGAGGCCAGGAGTTAGAGACCAGCCTGGCCAACATGGCAAAACACTGTCTCTACTAAAAGTACAAAAATTAGTCAGGCATGGTGGCACGTGCCTGTAGTTCCAGCTACTTTGGAGGCTGAGGCACGAGAATCGCTTGAGCCTGGGAGGCAGAGGTTGCAGTGAGTCGAGATGGAGCCACTGCACTCCAGCCTGAGCGACAGAGCGAGACTCTGTCTCAAAAAACAAACAAAAAAACCAGATATGCTGTTTCCCCAACATATTTGATATTGGAACCCTTTTTTTTTCAGAAAGTATCTTGAAAGTCTAAAATGGCTGGGCACGGTGGCTCACGCCTGTAATCCCAGCACTTTGGGAGGCCGAGGTGGGCAGATCACCTGAGGTCAGGGGTTCGAGACCAGCCTGGCCAACATGGTGAAACCCCATCTCTACTAAAAATACAAAAATTAGCTGGGCGTGTTGGTGGGCGCCTGTAATCCCAGCTACTTGGAAGGCTGAGGCAGGGGAATTGCTTGAACCTGGGAGGCGGAGGTTGCAGTGAGCAAAGATCACGCCATTGCACTCCAGCCTGGGTGACAAGAGCGAGATTCCATCTCAAAAAAAAAAAAAATCTAAAATAACCATAAATTACAGTAGATCATTTCTATAAGAAAACAGGGATATTTAATAGTGAATTCACAGAATAATATGTGAAGTAGTCAAAATATTGAAGTTTGATAGACAAAAATGTTAGATGGCTTTTTTCCTCTGATAAATCAAGAATAATAGCTGGCTGGGTATGGTGGCTCACGCCCATAATCCCAGCACTTTGGGAGGCCACGGCAGGAGGACTGCTTGAGGCTGGGAGTTGAAGACCAGACTGAGCAGTGAGACCATCCCCCCAAATTTGAAAAATTAATTGAGCGTGGTGGCATGCACCTTTAGTCCTAGCTACTCAGGAGGCTGATGTGGGAGGATCACTTGAGCCCAGAAGTTGAAGCTGCAGTGAGCTCTGATTGTGCCACTGCACTCCAGCCTGGGTGACAGAATAACAGAATAAGATCCTGTCTGTATCAAAAGAAACCCCAAACATATATATATATACATATATGTTTATATTAAATGTATATCAAATATATATACATTTGTATATATATTTGATATATATATTTGTATATATATTTGATATACATTTGATATATACATATATATACACACATATATATATAAAATAGCCAACGCTTATGTGCCAGGTACCATTCTATGAGTGTTATGTGTATTATGTTGAATCGAGATTTTCAGTTTGATTAGTCAATATCCCAATAAACTAAGCACTATTAGAGGAAATAATTCCTACCACTATGGAATGTCTCTATCTAAAGTGTCACAGGGCCAGGCGCGGTGGCTCACACCTGTAATCCCAGCACTTTGGAAGGCCGAGGTGGGCGGATCACTGAGGTCAGTAGTTTGAGACCAGCCTGGCCAACATGGCAAAACCTCATCTCTACTAAAAATACAAAATTTAGCTGGGCATGGTGGTGGGCGCCTGTAATCCCAGCTACTTGGGAGGCTGAGGCAGGAGAATTGTGCTTGAACCCCAGAGGTGGAGATTGCAGTAAGCTGAGATCATGCCACTGCATCCCAGCCTGGGTGACAGAGTGAGACTCTGTCTCAAGAAGGAAAGAAAGAAAGAGAGAAAGAGAGAAAGAGAGAGAGAGAGAGGGAGGGAGGGAAGGAGAAAGAAAGAAAGAAAGAGAGAGAAGAGAAAGAAAGAAAGAAAGGAAAGAAAGAAAAGAAAGAAAGAAAGAAAGAAAGAAAGAGAGAAAGAAAGAAAGAGTCACAGATAGAACTTTGCAGTAATAAGTGGGGTATCAACCATCCATATGCAACACATCTAGGTAGTTCAATGGAAATAAAGGATTCACACCTCTTAGAAACAAAGAACAGTTAAATATTAAAGCTGAAAGGTCCTGGATAGATAACCTAATCCAACCATCATGCCAAAGATGAGAAAACTAGAACCTGGAGAAGTGATTTATCCAAGATCAAAGAGCAAAGCAAAAGAATAGCAAGGACAAGTTTAATACACTGCTTTTCCCTTTGCTATGTTGTTCCCTCATATACATCTGAGTAGAGATCTTTATGATTACACCCATTCAGAAAAATAGGATTGGAATTGGAAGAATGTTCTTACCACCCAAATGTCATGGCAGAAAGAAATCAGAACATTCTGCTTTCATATATGATGGAGCAGATGGCCAGAGGGTTCCAGACAGATTTCTAAATGTCTACTGAGCCCTAACTATGACTATATGCCCCTGCCTATATGAAGCCTTAAGTCTTCCCCCCACAGACCACTAGCTCTGGCTAAATGACTTGAAAACTTTTTTGTTTTAAATATCAGAAAGGCAATACATAGCCTATATTTGCTCAACTCCTTTGGAAATGCCAAAATAACATCTCCAGTGAAAATAAAAGCAAGCCATGAAGTACAAAGGATATGACAACGAAAAAGGTACCAGTCCCATGTATTTTGATACTTTAATATAAGATATCTGGGCTGCTATTTTGAATCATTCCATGATAGCATCAGTCAAAACATAACATAGAGTATCTCCAAAAAAATCTGCTAATATGAGAATAGACATTTCAATCTGAAGTAACTAGAGTCAGGGAGAACAAACTTCAAATTGTAAACACACAAAGGAATAATTCAGTCATTCTCTGATATTATTCAGCTGTCTGATTATACCACCTAGCAATTTTTCTTTCTGATGTTCAATGATGCCACATCCCTTTTCCTTAGCTGCCTCTAATTAAATGCAATTCTTTAATAATATTTCATGCAAATTAAATCTGCTGGAGACTTAAAAACAAAAGAAAAAGTGGTGATTCACCCAGCAGCATATCCCTTACCTACCTGTGGCTCTGTGTGAGTTGGAGAGGGGGACTGATGCCTCAGCAAGAGCTGCAAGGGTAGCCAGCACTGAGGTGGTAGAATTTGAAAACTGTACTGTTGAGGCATGGGGGTCACCTATTTCAGTAAGAAAGACAAATGAGGTCCAATGTAGAGAAAAAATTGAGGCAAATTAAAAACAGCTTATTAAATCAAAACCTCAGCTTTTCCTTCTAATGTCCTCAATCTTGTTCTCTAACTCAAACTGATATAAGCCAATTATATCAGTGTTAAAATTCTTTTAAGGTTTAAAAAGTTTTTCCTTTAAAGTGGATTAAATTAATATACTTGGAGGGCCGGGCGCCATTCCTGCCTGTAATCCCAGCACTTTGGGAGGCCGAGGCGGGTGGATCACGAGGTCAGGAGTTCAAGACCATCCTGGCTAACATGGTGAAACCCCGTCTCTACTAAAAATACAAAAAATTAGCTGGGCGTGGTGGTGGGCGCCTGTAGTCCCAGCCACTTGGGAGGCTGAGGCAGAAGAATGGCATGAACCCGGGAGCCAGAGCTTGCAGTGAGCTGAGATCACACCATTGCACTTCAGCCTGGGCGACAGAGCGAGACTCCTTCTCAAAAAAAAAAAAAAAAAAAAAAAGTATACTTTGTACAGGGCCACTACATTCCCCTCATTTAATCATTCTCTTGGCACTGCCAGTGCTGAGCATTAGTAGCTAACAGACCAAGAGTGCTACCCACTCCCTAAGCTGACTGGGCAGAGCTCTCCTTGGCAGCAGGCAGTAAGTGTAAAATGCATACCTCACCCCAAGCTCAGCAGTGATAAGGGAATAGTCCCCTTCTGGGCTTTACCCAATCATACTACCTTTTTTCATCAGCTAGATAGATGTGAAGAATAGGATTCACCTCTAGTACAAGAATAGTTAAAAACCTAAAGTTTCATGGCCGGATGCTGTGGCTCATGCCTGTAATCCTCGCACTTTGGGAGGCCGAGGCGGATGGATCACCTGAGATCAGGAGTTCGAGACCAGCCTGGCCAACAAGGTGAAACCCTGTCTCTACTAAAAATACAAAAATTAGCTGGGTTGGTGGTGGGCACCTATAATCCCAGCTACTCAGGAGGCTGAGGCAAGAGAATCGCTTGAACTTAGGAAGTGGAGATTGCAGTAAGCCGAGATCGCACCACTGCACTTCAGCTTGGGTGACAGAGAAAGACTCCATCTCAATAAATAAATATATAAATAAAAAGTTTCATATATTGAATGTCAAAGGGTAGTACAATAGATTAACACTAAAAACGCTAAATGTTAAAAATACTTTAGTTATGTCAAGATGTACTTTTATTTTTTATTTATTTACTTTTTGAGATGGAGTCTCGCTCTGTCTCCCAGGCTGGAGTGCAGTAGCACGGTCTCAGCTCATTGCAACCTCCGCCTCCCGGATTCAAGCGCTTCTCCTATCTCAGCCTCCTGAGTAGCTGGGATTACAGGTGTGCACCACCACGCCCAGCTAATTTTTATACTTTTAGTAGAGACGAGGTCTCGCCATGTTGCCCAGGCTGGTCTTGAACTCCTGACTTCAGGTGATCTGCCTGCTTCGGCCTCCCAAAGTGCTGGGATTATAGGCATGAGCCACTGTGTCCAGCCAAGATGTACTTTTAAAAAGACTTTGTTCATAACCTTCTTCTCTTATATCTGTGTGCTATTCTCATAGCTAAGTTGTAAGAGGGAAGCGCACTAGATCTGGCAACAGACATGCCTAACTTTATGAACCAAAAGTATTACTCTAACTGTAGATATTTCCTTGTTGGGGAAAAAAAGTATTACTCAACAGTTTTGTATAAATCTTACTTTTATAAAATGAATTATATTTCTCTATTTCTTTCACTATAATTTCAGAGATACCTATTATGCCAGTTACAAATTTATTGCCTCTCAGTTCCGAATCTACCCTTCTTTGTCCTGCCTGGTGATGCTGGGGCTGGACCCTATAAACATTTCTTGTCAGCTGGCATGACATTAAGCTTTGTTAGTATAGAAGTAGAAGTAGCTGCTGCACCCTCTATTGGCTATTCCTGTATTCTTTTCTTTTTTCTTTTTCTTTTTTTTTTGAGACGGAGTTTTGCTCTTGTTGCCCAGACTGGAGTGCAGTGGCGCGATCTCAGCTCACTGCAACTTCTGCCTCCCAGGTTCACGCCATTCTCCTGACTCAGCCTCCCTAGTAACTGGGACTACAGGCGCGCACCACCATGCCCAGCTAATTTTTGTATTTTTAGTAAGACGGGGTTTCACCATGTTAGCCAGGCTGGTCTCGAACTCCTGACCTCAAGTGATCTGCCCACCTCGGCCTCCCAAAGTGCTGGGATTATAGGCGTGAGCCAGCACACTAAGCAATATATTTTATTTTTAAATGTACTCTTAATTTATTTTTTCAAGACAAACTCTGGCATTATCGCCCAGGCTGCAGTGCAGTGGTACAATCTTGGCTTACTCCAGCCTCTGCCTCCCAGGCCCAAGCTGTTCTCCCACCTCAGCCTCCCAAGTAGCTGGGACTACAGGTGTGCATCACCATGCCTGGCTAATTTTTTTTTTTTTGTATTTTTTGTACAGACCAGGTTTCACCATGCTGCCCAGGCTGCTCTCGAACTCATGAGTTCAAGCTATCCACCTGCCTCAGCCTCCCAAAGTGCTGAGATTATAGGCGTGAGCCATCGCACCCAGTCTACTCTTAATTTTTAAGTTTTCCCACTACCTATGCTTAAATATTCTTTCCAGTTTTTCTTCTTTCAAGAAGTCAGGGCCAGGCACGGTGGCTCATGCCTGTAATCCCAGCACTTTGGGAGGCCGAGGTGGGCAGATCACCTGAGGTCAGGAGTTTGAAACCAGCCTGGCCAACATGGTGAAACCCCGTCTCTTCTAAAAATACAAAAATTAGCTGGGCGTGGTGGCAGGCACCAGTATCCCAGCTACTTAGGAGGTTGAGGCACAAGAATCGCTTGAACCTGGGAGGCAGAGTTTGCGGTGAGCCAAGATCATGCCACTGCACTCCAGCCTGAGTGACAGAGTTAAACTCTGTCTCAAAAAAAAAAAAAAAAAAAAAAAAAAGGCCAGGCACAGTGGCTCACACTTGTAATCCCAATACTTTGGGAGGCTAAGGCAGGTGAATTGCTTGAGCCCAGGAGTTTGAGACCAGCCTGGGCAACATGGTGAAACCCCATCTCTACTAAAAACTACAAAAAAATTAGCTGGGTGTGGTGGCAGGCGCCTGTAATCCCAGCATTTTAGGAGGCCATGGCGAGTGGATCACAAGCTCAGGAGTTCGAGACCAGCCTGGCCAACATGGTGAAACCCCGTCTCTACTAAAGATACAAAAATTAGCCAGGCATGGTGGCAGGCGCCTGTAATCCCAGCTACTCGGGAGGCTGAGGCAGGAGAATCACTTGAACCCAGGAGGCGGAGGTTGCAGTGAGCTGAGATTGGGCCACTGCACTCCAGCCTGGGCGACAGAGCGAGACTCCGTCTCAAAAAAAAAAAAAAAAAAAGTTGTTTTAATCAGTGTGACTGAACCAATATGAATACAAAAGATTGTGAATGTTCTGATTACATGTATATATAAATTTAATGTAAAGTTTTTGTATCATCCTGCTGAATGCAAAATTATTTTAAATAACTGTTGATAGCTTATAAAATGAAGATCACTATTGCCCCCTGGTGGGCATGTTGGGGTCAAGCTTCGCTAAGATACTACGTTTTCATTTAATAGCTATTATTGAAGCCCTACTATAAAATGGACCTTGAAATACAAATTCTCAAACTCTCACAACAACCTCATAAAGTAGGTATTATTATATCCCAATTTTGCAGATAAGTAAACAAGGCATAGAAAAGTATGAAGTTTTCCTAGGGTTAAGCAGCTAGTCAACCAATAATTATTTGAGCACAATTCTGATTCCAAAATTCTGTGTATATCACATACATTGCTTCTTCTCTTTTACCACACTACCTCTCAATATCAATAGCTTAGTCAAGATCTTTCCTTTGACATTATAGAAACTTAACTAAGAATACTGTTATTTCAAATAAAAGAAACAGAAAAAGAAACCAATAGTCAACTGGAAAATTTATTTAAATGAGGACACAAGTTATTTCATTGTAAAAAAAATATTTATAAAAGGAGATGCTAACTGATAGGCCAGGTGCGGTGGCTCATGCCTGTAATCCCAGCACTTTGGGAGGCCGAGGCGGGTAGATCATGAGGTCAGGAGATCAAGACCATCCTGGCTAACACGGTGAAACCCCATCTCTAGTAAAAATACAAAAATTAGCTGGGCGTGGTGGCACATGCCTGTAGTCCCAGCTACTCAGGAGGCTGAGGCAGGAGAATCGCTTGAACCCGGGAGGCAAAGGTTGCAGTGAGCCAAGATTGCGCCACTGCACTCCAGCCTGGGAAACACAGCGAGACTCCGCCTTGGAGAAAAAAATAAAAAATAAAAAATAAAAAATAAAGGAGATGCTGAAAAACAAACTCATTCATTCTTATTTAGATAGAAGGTTTTGTTGAAAACATGCAGGTTTCTTTCTTTCTTTTTTTTTTTTTTTTTGAGATGAAGTTTCACTCTTGTTGCCCAGGCTGGAGCGCAATGGCGCAATCTCGGCTCACTGCAACCTCCGCCTTCCAGGTTCAAGCGATTCTCCTGCCTCAATCTCACAAGTAGCTGGGATTACAGGCACCCACCACCACAGCCGGCTAATTTTTGTATATTTAGTAGAGATGGGGTTCCACCATGTTGACCAGGCTGGTCTTAAACTTCTGACTTCAGGTGATCCACCCACTTCGGCCTCCCAAAGTGCTGGGACTACAGGCGTGAGGCACCGCGCCAAGTCAAAAACATACAGGTTTCAAAAGATCAACACCAAGTAGTTTTCTCTGCTGTTTTCTTTTTATATATGCACTAAGAACAAATCCAGACTCTTATACTTTATTCAGATAATCACATTTACCTCTTTTATATCAGTACTCCAAAAGCCGCTTATGTTTATTCTGCTTTGTTACTGCTTTAAACTATTAATGTTTATTTCCCTTATCAGTATCATGTTGAGGCACCTTCATATTTTCATTTTTGGTCTAGGCATAACCCTTCAATAGATTAATCTGTACAATATTTTCCTTTTTTTTTTTTTTTTAGAGACAGGGTCTTGCTCTGTCATCCAGGCCAGAGTACAGTGGCACAATTATAACTCACAGTAAGTCCAACTCCTGAGCTCACGAGATCCTCCCATGTCAGCCTCCTGAGTAGCTGGGACTGCAGGTATGCATCACCATGCCCATCCAATTTATTTTTAGTAGAGGATGGGGTCTTGCTATGTTGTCCAGTCCAGGGTGGCCTCAAGCAATCTTCCCACCTTGGCCTCCCAAAGCATTGGGATTACAGATATGAGCCACTGTGCCCAAGCCAGAATATTTTACTTTTAACACAATAAGTATTCCTTTGTAATCCCTATGTATGATCTTCCCTTCCCCAGAAAGAATAAGTACCTCAGCTTTAAAATCTATTACAAATCTTCTGCTTTGGCAATATTTTAATTAAGGAGTATTAGAAAGGGTATCCATTCATCTCCTGGAAAATCTAGGGTTCTGTTCTTTTTTGAGTCTAAAATAAATTTCATGTTATCAGAACATTACCTGAGGTTGTTTTGGTGTTGGTTGAAGAAATAAGGCTTGCGAGGTTAACAACCTCACCCGACGTGAAGATGAATGGAGCAGCCATACTCACAGGGTCAGTCACAGGGTTGGCTCTCTCTGGATTAACATTCACCTGATTCTGCATTGCTTCCTATCAAACAAGGCAGGATATTTCAATCAGAACACTTATTAGCTTTTCTTTTCTGTCTTTCTTTTTTTTTTTTTTGAGACAGTCTCACTCTGCCACCCAGGCTGGAGTGCAGTGGCACGATCTTGGCTCATTGCAACCTCCACCTCCTGGGTTCAGGCAATTCTCATGACTCACCCTCCCGAGCAGCTGGGATTACAGGCACACGCCACCACGCCCAGCTAATTTTTTGTATTTTTAGTAGAGGGTTTTGCCATGTTGCCCAAGTTGGTCTAGAACTTGTGGGCTCAGGCAAATCGCCCACCTTGGCCTCCTAAAGTGGTAGGATTACAGGCTTGAGCCACCGTGCCCAGCCCAAGAACACTTATTAGCTTTAGTTACACAGTTACTGAACAGCATATTCCACTCCCATCCCAATGCTCTATCAATTATAACTAGTTCCGGTACACAATGTCCCAGGGAGATCAGAGTTCTCATTAAGACCACCATTTTTTTTCAGACCAGGCCAACAGAGTTGTTAGGTTGCTTTCCAAAGCTTGTTCCTACTTCAGGAAAGCAAAGGTGTATCATTTGCAAAAACTTCTAGACAATTCAATCAACCTCTATGAATCTTGTTTTTTTCATTTGAAAAATGAGGGAGTCAGGCCAGGCACGGTGGCTCATGCCTGTAATCCTACCACTTTGGGAGGCTGAGGCGGGTGGACCACTTGAGGTCAGGAGTTTGAGACCAGCTTGGCCAACATGGTGAAACCCTGTCTCTACTAAATGCAAAAATATCAGCTGGGCGTGGTGGCAGGTGCTTGTAATCCCAGCTACTCGGGAGGCTGAGGCAGGAGAATTGCTTGAACCCAGGAGGCCAAGATTGCGGTAAGCCAAGTTGGTGTCATTATACTCCAGCCTGGGCGACAGAGTGAGACTCCGTCTCAAAAAAAGAAAAAAGAAAAATGAGGGAGTTGACCTGAATAGCCTAAAAAGTAATTTCCAGCACTAACATTTTATGATTAATTATCTACAAGTCAGTGTGCTAGCAAGAGATCCCTGCAGAGTATCTATAGAGAACAATATTCTCTAGAGTTTTGTCCAACTACTTGTTCCATTCGGCCATTGAAAAAATTCCTGAGAGAATATATAACAAGCAAATAAATAAGTGCCAGATTTTAAAGTCTCGCTCCATATGCTGTACTTTTGCTTCCAGGGATATCTGTTCAATTTTGGTGAAAAGTAGCTTATCTTTATTACTTTCAGAAGCAATTTTCTACAAACATAATCACTACTTTAAAAAGTCCAGTTATGAAAGGGCTCTAAACAAAGAATTGAAAGTTCAAGGGACTAACCAGTATATAGACCACCTGTCAATTAAAAAAAAATACTGAAAATGCAGCAGAAATGGCTTGCTTGCTTGCTTTCTCTGTCTCTCTCTCTCTCTTTTTATTTTTTTTTGAGACGGAGTCCCACTCTGTCGCCCAGGCTGGAGTGCAGTGGTGCGATCTCGGCTCACTGCAACCTCCGCCTCCAGGGTTCCTGCCTCAGCCTCCCAAGTAGCTGGGACTATAGGCGCACGCTGCCATGCCCGGCTAATTTCTTTTGTATTTTAGTAGAGACAGGGTTTCATCGAGTTGCCCAGGCTGGCGTTGAACTCCTGAGCTCAGGCAATCCACCCTCCTCAGCCTCCCAAAGTGTTAGGATTACAGGCATGAGCCACCACGCCCAGCCAGAAATGACTGTTTTTCATATATAATTATCCCCTTGACTAAGAGCTTCAAATGAAACAGGTTATCCATTCTTTGGATATTGTGAAATTCCTTTTTTTTTTTTTTTTTGAGAGTCTCACTCTTGTCTCCCAGGCTGGAGTACAGTGGCACGATCTCAGCTCAGCTCACTACAACCTCCACCTCCCAAGTTCAACCGATTCTCCTGCCTCCATCACCCAAGTAGCTGGGATTACAGGCACCCACGACCAAGTCAGCTAATTTCTGTATTTTTAGTAAAGATGAGGTTTCACCATGTTGGCCAGGCTGGTCTTGAAGTCCTGACCTCAGGGGATTCACCCACCTCGGCCTCCCAAAGTGCTAGGATTACAGGCGTGAGCTACCATGCCTGGCCTAAATTCCTTCTTGAATTTGCCCTTTTCCTTTATCCTCCACTAGGACATGAAGTGTTCACAGCACGATAAAATTAAAGATAGGAAATAAAATATTACAATATTACATGATAAACAGACATCTAGTAAGTGCTATGGGAGCACAGAGGAGGGAAGAGTAGTACTGCTACGTGGCGAAATAGTAGCACTTCCTTGGTTCAAGTTCTCATTGGCCCTTGCCTGGCCTAATGAAAGTCACCGTATAGTTATTTAGCATTAAGTGTCTCTCTCATCTGTGTGCCACATTCCAAACAATCATCTTTTTAAACCAAATTTAGTCATATCAGTCCTCTATTTAAAAACTTCTATCCAAATGCATCGCCCACATAATAGTTCAAACTCCTTCACACGCTGTAAAGCATCCCTACATTCAGAATCCAGCCTAACTTTCAAGCTTAGCATCTGCCACTCCCAAACTCTACTTCCTTTGCCCATTCTCTCATCACTCAACTACTTTTTCTTGAACATTCCACGTTCTTTCACACCTCTGTGTCTTTGATTTGCTCTTTTTCTAGGCTAGAATATAGTTTTCTCACTTCTCTGCCTACTTCAATATTCAGTTCAGATTCCACTATTCCCTCCTTTGTGCTCCCATGGCACTTACTAGATATCTATTTATTATGCAATATTATAATATTTTCTTGCCTGTCTTTACTTTTATCATGCTTTCAACACTTCATGTCCTATTAATTTTTTTTTTTTTTTGAGATGGAATCCTGCTGTGTCACCCAGGCTCAAGTGCAGTGGCGCGATCTTGGCTCACTGCAACCTCTGCCTCCCAGGTTCAAGTGATTCTCCTGCTTCAGCCTCCCGAGTAGCTGGGATTACAGGCACACGTCACCATGCCCAGCAAATTTTTTTTGCATTTTTAGTAGAGACGGGATTTCACCATATTGGCCAGGCTGGTCTCGAACTCCTGACCTCAGGTGATCCACCTGCCTCGGCCTCCCAAAGTGTTGGGATTACAGGCATGAGCCACCACGCCTGGCCCATGTCCTGTTAATTTTTATATCCCCTGTCCTATTGTTCCCTGATGTACAGTGCTGGCTTAAGAAATTAATGGGCAGGCCAGGCGCAGTGGCTCACGCCTGTAATCCCAGCACTTTGGGAGGCCGAGGCAGGCGGATCACCTGAGGTCAGGGGTTCAAGACCAGCCTGGCCAAAATGGTGAAACCCTGTCTCTACAAAAATACAAAAATTAGCTGGGCATGATGGCAGGTGCCTGTAATCTCAGCTACTCAGGAGGCTGAGGAGGAAGAATCACTTGAATCCAAGCAGTGAGCCGAGATCGTGCCATTGCACTGGGCAACAGAGTGAGACTCTATCTCGGGGTCGGGGGTGGGAAACAGAAATTAATGGGACACAGCCGGCACAGTGGCTGACACTTGTAATCCCAGCACTTTGAGAGGCCAAGGCAGGTGGATCACCTGAAGTTAGGAGTTCGAGACCAGCCTGGGCAACATGGCGAAACCCTGTCTCTACTAAAAATACAAAAATAAGCTGGTCATGGTAGTGTGTGGCTATTGTCCCAGCTGCTCGGGAGGCTAAGGTGGAAGAATCCCTCAAACCCAGGAAATGGAGGCTGCAGTGAGCTGAGATCATGCCACTGCATTCCAGCCTGGGCAACAGAGTGAGACTCTGCCTCAAAAAAAAAAAAAAAAAAAAAAAAAAGGACGAAATCATCACAGTTAATTTTAAATTCTGAAGTGGCTTCCTTATCACTCAATATGCTTTAGAGCTTCATAGATAGTCCCCAATTTACAAGGGTTCAACTTACAATTTTTCAACTTTGCCATGGTGTGAAAGTGATCTGACTTATGATGGGGTTACACCTGCATAAACTCATCATAAATGGATCCAAAGTAACCCTATCATAAGTCAAGGAGCATCTGTATACTGTCTCACATCAGTTGATGAATATTCAGAAAACATCAAGTAACTTTTAATATTGTCCCAAGTCAAGTTTAATTAGAAAGGGAAATTTTCATGGAGAAAAAGACATTCTAAAGCCAAATAAATGTTTTTGGTACTAGCCACAACATGGTTCTTTAATCACCATGATTAATTCAGGGCTTTATAGAATATATATATTAAAAAATATATATAAAAAATATAAAAAATATATATGCGTATACATATATACACACAAATATATATTCTATACATAGCTGTATTTTAAAGATACTAATGACACTGAGTCACAAGATTGAGACATATTAGAAGTGCTACTTTAATAAAATAGGGAAAATTCAGTTTTGATTCAGCTCCTACAAAAAAATCCTTAACTTCAATTAACATACATTCTGGAGAGTATAAAAAGAACCACACCTGGAGGATGACCAAAATCTCAGCATTGTTTTTCTCCAGAGCTATGTCAAAGGCTGATTTATCAAATTTGCTGAAAGCATGGACATCAGCTCCATATTTGATAAGTAACTCTACGACATCTCGATGGTGGCGCTCTGTGGCCCAATGCAAAGCTGTCATCTTCAGCATGTCCTTGGCATTCACATCTGCACCATTCTGTCACAGAAAAGCATTTTTTTCAACAAACAGCGGTTATAGTAGCACAGGTGCAACATCCCATCATCAAATACAGAGGATTTCCATAGAGATTACGTACTCAAATCTAGATCACATTTAAGGAATATCAAAGGGAAAAACATTTCTCAAATTCTCCTAAATGCTGACAGACATAATGCTTTCAACGAGTGGGTCCTCTAAGGACATCAATGGGAAATTAAACAGATGGAAGACAAAGAGAGAAAGAACAGATTTTTGTTGCATTTATTAACAGAAAGCCAAGTGCCTGAATAAATAGGCATAAGTGCAGAGAATACCTTCAGGAACGGAAAGAAGAAAAATCAGTAAGTCTGTTTAGCCTTTAAAAAATTAGAAAAGCTTGAGCTCAGGAGTTCAAGATGAACCTGGGGAACATGGTGAAAAAACATGCCTCTACAAAAAATTCAAAACATTAGCCAGGCGTGGTAGTACATGCCCGTTGTCCCAGCTAAAGGGGAGGCTGAGGTAGGAGAATCTCTTGAGCCTGGGAGGTGGAGGCTGCACCACCACACTCTAGCCTGGGTGACAGAGTGAGACCACCGTCTCCAAAAAAAAAAAACAAAAACCATTAATAATAATAATAATAAATTGGAAAACTAGGCTGGGAGCAATGGCTCATGCCTGTAATCCCAGAACTTTGGAAGGCTGAGGATGGAAGGATCACTTGAGGCCAGGAGTCTGAGACCAGCCTGGTCAACGTAGTGAGATCTCATCTGTATTTTTTTTTTAAATATGATTTTAAAAAAATGGCTGGGTGCGGTGGCTCACGCCTGTAATCCCAGCACTTTGGGAGGCTGAGGCGGGTGGATCACGAGGTCAAGGGATGTAGACCATCCTGGCCAACATGGTTAAACCCCATCTCTACTAAAAATATAAAAATTAGCTGGGTGTGGTGGAGCACGCCTGTAGTCCCAGCTACTCCGGAGGCTGAGGCAGGAGAATCGCTTGAACCTGGGAGGCAGAGGTTGCAGTGAGCCAGTATTGCGCCACTGCACTCCAGCCTGGCGACAGAGCAAGACTCCATCTCAAAAAAAAAAAAAAAAAAAAAAAAATTAGAAAACTGGCTAGGCACAGTAACCCCACACCTGTCAGTGTTGGGAGGCTGAGGCAGGAGAATTGCTTGAGGCCAGGAGTGCAAGGCCAGCCTGGGCTGGGCAATACAACGAGACCCTATTCTCTACAAAAAATAAAAACAAAAATAAATTAGCTGGGCATGGTGCTGCATGCCTGTAGTCCTCCCAGCTACTTTGGAGGCTGAGGCAGTAGGATTGCTTGAACCCAGATGTTGAAAACTGCAGTGAGCTATGATCATGCCACTGCTCTCCAGCCAGGACAAAAGAGTGAGACCCTGTCTCAAATTTAAAAAATTGTTTTAGGGCCGGGCGTGGTGGCTCACACCTATAATTCCACCACTTTGGGAGTCCGAGGCAGGCAGATCACAAGGTCAGGAGTTTGAGACCAGCCTGGCCAACACAGTGAAACCCCATCTCTACTAAAAATACAAAAAAAAATTAGCTGAGCATGGTGGTGGGCGCCTGTAATCACAGCTACTTGGGAGGCTGAGGTAGGAGAATCGCTTGAACCCAGGAGGCGAAGGTTACAATGAGCCAAGATTGTGCCACCGCACTCGAGCCTGGGCGATAGTGCGAGACTTCATCTTTTTTTTTTTTTTTTTTTTTTTTTTTTTGAGACACAGGAGTGAGCCACCGCACCCAGCTGAGAGTTCATCTCAAAAAAAAAAAATTGTTTTAATAAATTAGAAAACAGTCAGGTGCGGTGACTCACATCTGTAATCCAAGCACTTTGGGAGGCCAAGGCAGGTGGATCACCTGAGGTCAGGAGTTTGAGACCAGCCTGGGCAACATGGTGAAACCCCGTCTCTACTAAAAATACAAAAATTGGCTGGGTGTAGTGGCGGGCGCCTGTAATCCCAGCTACTCGGGAGGCTGAGGCAGGAGAATCACTTCAACCCAGGAGGCAGAGGTTGTGGTGAGCAGAGATCGTGCCACTGCACTTCAGCCTGGGCCACAAGAGCAAGACTCCTTCTCAAAAATCAAACAAACAAACAAAAAATAAATAAGAAAACAGACTCCTCATAGCCATGAAGGTTTTTTTTTTTGTTTTTTTGTTTTTTTGTTTTGTTTTGTTTTGTTTTGAGACGGATTCTTGCTCTGTTGTCCAGGCTGGAGTGCAGTGGCGTGATCTTGCCTCACCACAACCTCCGCCTCCCAGGTTCAAGCGATTCTCCTGCCTCAGCTTCCTGAGTAGCTGCGATTACAGTCGCGCACCACCACGTCCTGCTAATTTTTTTTTGCTTTTTTTCAGTAGCGATGGGGTTTCACCATGTTGGTCTGGCTGGTCTCGAATTCCTGACCTTGTGATCCACCCGTCTCGGCCTCCCAAAGTGCTGGGATTATAGGCACCCGGCCTGCCATGAAGACTCCTGGAGATGCAACTTAATGCTATAACTGTCCTAAACTTAATCATTCCCAAGTCATTTCCTAGTACCCATTTAAGTAAGAAAACAGGAAAGTGGATGCCTTTTTAACAACATAACCTTGCCCCTATTCTTGCTTTACCCGAACAAGCAGTTCCACGATGTGCGCATGTCCATCGGCTGCAGCCATGTGCAAGGGGGTCCTGTCTACTTTAGTCCGGGCATCCCTGCTAACACCTGCTCGAAGGAGTACTTCTGCTGTGGAATAATGACCATATTGAGCTGCAAGGTGGAGGGGTGATGTTCCAAGCTGTGGAAAAATAATGCTCATTGAATATCCACTGTGTGCAGAGTCCTAGATCGTTACTGGAGAGATACAAATGAACAAGCTATGGTTCTTGTCCTTCAAGAGAGAATCTGGTTGGGCAGATAAAACTGAAAAAATGCTTAAATTTACAAATTAAAGGCCAGGGGCCAGGTGCACTGGCTCACACCTGTAATCCTAGCACTTTGGGAGGCCAGGGTGGGCAGATCACCTGAGGTCAGGAGTTCAAGACTCTTCTGGCCAACATGGTGAAACCCCGTCTCAACTAAAAAATACAAAAAAAGTTAGCCAGGCGTGGTGGTGGGCACCTGTAATCCCAGCTACTCAGGAGGCTGAGGCAGGGAGAATTGCTTTGAACCTGGGAGGCAGAGGTTGCAGTGAGCTGAGATTGTGCCACTGCACTCCAGCCTGGGCGACAGAGTGAAACACCGTCTCAAAAAAAAAAAAAAATTAACATGCTAATGGACAAATAAATATACCACCAATTGAATAAGTACTAAGTATAATGGCTTTATGTCAGGTGGATTTATCAGTTAAGATTCCCTAAAGGACGTGACTTTACGCAACGTCTAGAAGGTTAAAACAAACAAAAAAAGGATCAGGCTGGATGTGGTGGCTCATGCCTGCAATCCCAGCACTTTGGGAGGTCAAGGCAGGAGGACTGCTTGAGCCCAAGAGATCAAGACCAGCCTGGGCAACACAGAGAGACCTTATCTCATAATAAATTAAAAAATAAATAAATAAAGTAAATTTTAAAAAAGAAAAAGGGTAGAGACTAGAAAGTTACATGTGGAATTTGAGGTACAAATTTGACTGACTGGAAGAAAAGTTTTTTGCCACAGTAAAGCAGGGCAAAATGAATGATGAGATGAAGACGCAATAAAAATTTAGCAATGATGTATCAACAGCAATAAGTAAGTCTGTCATCCCAGTGTAAATCTTGTAAGAGTTATCTATCAGCATCCACTTTGGCCAGAGCTCTATTCCCTTCTTTTTGTTATGCTCTTTATTTTAAGCCTGTTTAGTTTATTCTTTGCTTTTTCATATATTTAGCCTCTCTGCCTGACTGAATTTAATTCACATTGTTCTTTCCAGGTCTATTTATAGAAATGCTAATTTCATGGGTTTCCTTTTCTTTCTTTTTGTGAAATGCTAATAATCTGTTGGCCTCTCAATTAATCAGTCCAGAATAGAGGTCACTCATTCATTGAAATTGTTAAAATTAGGCAATGTGTACAAAATCTGTGACTGCTAAGAAAGCCCACATTATAACTTGGACCTGTTTCTTCTGAAAGTCTTTGGTCTCCAAGATGGTTGAGGCTAAATTACACCTTCCTCTTTAATGTTTTTTGAACAGTGGTAAAGGAAACAAAACAGCTAGATGACTTCTTTTTTTTTTTTTGAAACAGAGTTTCCAAGCTGTAGTGCAATGGTGCAATCTCCGCTCACTGCAACCTCCACCTCCCGAGTTCACGCGATTCTCCTGCCTCAGCCTCTCAAGTAGCTGGGATTACAGGCGTGCGCCACCATGCCCAGCTAATTTTTTGTATTTTTAGTAGAAACGGGTTTCACCATGTTAGCAGGCTGGTCTCGAACTCCTGACCTCAGGTGATCCGCCCGCCTTGGACTCCCAAAGTGCTGGGATTACAGGCGTGAGCCACCACGCTCAGCCTAGACAATTTCTTATTAACCAGGGCATATTAGAGAAAAGGAAACAAGGAATTTATTAGTCTAGGAATGCATTCTTATTATATTGATTTTGTTTAATTTCTAGCTAATTACAGAAGCCTATAACCCAAGTACACTCCAGAGACAGTTAAACCTTTAGAAAATACTCTAAAAAACATTATAGAAAATCACAAGTATATAATACCTTACAATTATCACCTATATATCCACAGGAGACTCTCAATTTGGAAAACTAAAAGAAAAAGAAAACCACATATTCAGATGAGACAAAGAAAATAAAACTCTTGTAAGGGATATGAGGTAGAAAGGGAGTGAAGAAAAACCAATAGTCTGTTAGCCTTTAAGAAAAATGTTGGTAAAAGCATACATTGGAAATAATTAAGAGACCTCTCCTCTAAGCTTACCCAGTCTGTGGTGAATGGGGCGCCATTTGCCATCAACGTTCTCACTTCATCATCTTGGCCTTTTCTTGCTGCTTCTAGCAACCTCTTTCCCAAGTCCACCAAAGACATCTTTATGCATAGGAACAAAAGTTTTCAGGTAGCTATAACTCGAACATAAGGAAAGCCGCCAATACATTTTTTAGAAGACTTCTTATATTTGAATGTATATAAGATACATCTCAAGTTGACTGTCTGGTAGGTCACTTCCTTTCTACCTCGTCTAACACAAACAATAAAATATTTGGGAATGTTTCAAGCCCTAATACATAGTTCTATCACTTTCAATCCCCAGAAAAATACTCTGGAAATATCTGCAACACACTACGACCTTTCTAGTTTAAGGAATCGATAAAACACCATTTCATTCCCCTGAAATGAAGAAGGGTACAATATTATTTTAAGGAACATAATATAAAATAATAAAGTATGTACTTTGATCTCCAGGAAGGGAGCAAGGTGGATGCCCATCTGTGAAACTACTGCTTGATGGAAATTATGAGAGCCCTTATTAGCAACTAACTGCTCTCTCTGGAGGTTTGTAGGTCTTTGGATAGCACAATGAAACAGGACACATCAAGGTTTCCAAATAAAACTGTAACTCTCTTTTTTTTTGAGACTAAGTCTCGCTGTATTGCTCAGGCTGGAGAGCAGTGGTGTGATCTTGACTCAGTGCAACCTCTGCCTCCCGGGTTCAAGCAATTCTCCTGCCTAAGCCTCCTGAGTAGCTGGGATTACAGGCACCCGCCACCATGCCTGGCTAATTTTTGTATTTTTAGTAGAGATGGGGTTTCACCATGTTGGCCAGGCTGGTCTTGAACTCCTGACCTCAAGTGATCCACCCACCTCAGCCTCCCAAAGTGTTGGGATTACAGGCGTGAGCCACTGCGCCCGGCCCAAACTACATCTTAATCTAGTTTTTATCTTCTGACTATCGTGTAATCATATAATCATGCTTAAAATTTAAGGAGACAAAGAGGGGTGCAGTGGCTTGGGACTGTAATCCCAGCACTTTGGGAGGTCAAAGTAGGAGGATTACTTGAGCTCACGAGTTTGAGACCAGCCTAGGCAAAATGGCGAAACCGTCTCACAAAAAATACAAAAATTGGCTGGGCGCGGTGGCTCACGCCTGTAATCCCAGCACTTTGGGAGGCCAAGGCAGGCAGATCACCTGAGGTCAGGAGTTTGAGACCAGCCTGGCCGACATAGTGAAACCCTGTCTCTACTAAAAATACAAAAATTAGCCGGGCGTGGTGGCACATGCCTGTAGACCCAGCTACTTGGGAGGCTGAGGCAGGACAATTGCTTGAACCTGGGAGGTGGATGTTGCAATGAGCTGAGATCGCACCACTGCACTCCAGTCTGGGCGACAGAGCGAGACACTATCTCGAAAAAATAAAAAATATATATACAAAAAAATACAAAAATTAGCTGGGCATGGTGGTACGTGCCTATAGTCTCAGCTACTCAGGAGGCTAAAGTGGGAGGAAAACTTGAGCTCAGGAGGTGGAGGTTGCAGTGAGCTGAGATTGCACCACTGCACTCTAGCCTGGGCAACAGAGCCAGATCTTGACTCAAAAAAAAAAAAAAATTAAGAACAAGCTTTCACTGATTAAACACTGATCTCGTTAGGCCAGTAGCTCAACAAATATGGTTTATGGACCCCTGGTGGTCCCTGATGCCTTTTTAGGGAACTATGAGGTCAAAACTATTTTTGTTATAATACAAAAACATTATTTGCCTTTTTTCTTTTTCCATGTTTACATTAGCACTAACGGTGCAAATCCAACAGTGGGTATAACTGCTGGTGCCTTAGCATGAATCAAACTGTGCTATTGGTTATTGTATTCTTCACTGCCATGTAATCTCAAGGGAAAATTGCCAGTTCTACTTAGGAGTGTCCTGGATGACACAGCAAAAATTATTAATTGTATTAAATCTCAACACCTGAATATATGTGTTTATAATTTATGTGTGACAAAATGGGAAGTATACATAAAGCACTTTTTTTTTTTTGAGACAGGGTTTCACTCTGTCACCCAGGCTGGAGTGCAGTGGGCACAATCACAGCTCACTGCAGTCCTGACCTCCTGGGCTCATGGGATCCTCCCATCTCAGCTTCCCGAGTAGCTGGGACTACAAGCACACACCACCATGCCCAGCTAATTTTTGTATTTTTTGTAGAGATGGGGATTCACAATATTGTTCAGGCTGTTCTCAAACTCCTGGGCTCAAGCAATCGACCCATCTTGGCCCCACCAGTGTTGGGATTACAGGCGTGAGCCACCACACCCAGCCTCTTCTCTACCTTTTTGCCCAAATGACAATTATATTGTACCCACTATTCTGCATGATCTGTCCATAGCAATAGAATCCCAAAGTGTTGGGATTACAGGCATGAGCCACTGTGCCTATCCGACATAAAATACTTCTGCTGCTTACTGAAACATGATGGTTTTCTTGAGAAAAAGCACTACACGATTAAGTTACAAGCTAAAATAACTGCTTTTGGCCAGGCGCAGTGGCTCACGCCTATAATCCCAGTACTTTGGGAGGCCCAGGCGGGTAGATCACGAGGTCAGGAGATCAAGACCATCCTGGCTAACACGGTGAAACTCCATCTCTACTAAAAATACAAAATATATATATATATATTAGCCAGGTGTGGTGGCAGATGCCTGTAGTCCCAGCTACTCAGGAGGCTGAGGCAGGAGAATGGTGTGAACCCTGGAGGCGGAGCTTGCAGTGAGCCGAGATTGTGCCACCGCACTCCAGCCTGGGCAACAGAGCGAGACTCCGTCTCAAAAAAAAATAAAATAAATAACTGCTTTTATCATGGAACATCATTTTATTATTTTATTTTTGAGACAGAGTTTTGCTCTCATCACCCAGGCTGGAGTGCAATGGCATGATTTCAGATCACTGCAACCTCTGCTTCCCAGGTACAAGCGATTCTCCTGCCTCAGCCTCCCAAGTATCTGGAATTACAGGCACCCATCACCATGCCCAGCTAATTTTTTTATTTTTAGTAGAGAGGGGTTTTGCCATGCTGGTCAGGCTGGTCTCGAACTCCTGACCTCAGATGATCTGCCTGCCTCGGCCTCCCAAAGTGCTGGGATTACAGGTGTGAGCCACCGCGCCTGGCCATTTTATTTTATTATTTTTGAGACGGGTTCTTGCTCTGTCACCCAGGCTGAAGTGCAGTGCCGTGATCACAGCTCACTGCAGATTTGACCACTTAGGCTCAAGCAATTCCATCTCAGCCTTCCAAGTAGCTGAGACTACAGGCAAGTGGCACCATGCCCAGCTAATTTTTTTTTAAATTTTTTGTAGAGACAGAGTCTGCAACATCACTTTTATATGAAGGAATGATGAATAGACCAAGGGCTCAGGTATATGGCAGGTATGTTTTTTAAAAATGAACAGCTGGCTGGGCGCGGTGGCTCACACCTGTAATCCCAACACTTTGGGAGGCAGAGGCGGGCGGATCACAAGGTCAGGAGATCGAGACCATCCTGGCTAACCTGGTGAAATCCCATCTCTACTAAAGATACAAAAAATTAGCTGGGCATGGTGGCGGGTACCTGTAATCCCAGCTACTCGGGAGGCTGAGGCAGGAGAATGGCATGAACCTGGGAGGCGGAGCTTGCAGTGAGCCGAGACTGCGCCACTGCACTCCAGCCTGGGCGACAGAGTGAGACTCCGTCTCAAAAAAAAAAAAAAAAAAAACAGCTAGGGCCGGGCGCGGTGGCTCATGACTGTAATCCCAGCACTTTGGGAGGTCAAGGCGGGCTGATCATCTGACGTCAGGAGTTTGAGACCAGCCTGACCAACATGGAGAAATCCCATCTCTACTAAAAATACAAAAAAAATTAGCCGGGCATGGTGGCGCATGCCTGTAATCCCAGCTACTCAGGAAGGCTGAGGCAGGAGAATCACTTGAACCGGGAGGGAGGTTGCGGTGAGCCGAGATCCCGCCATTGCACTCCAGCCTGAGCAACAAGAGTGAAACTCCGTCTCAAAAAACAAAACAAACAAACAAAAAAAAACAGCTGGGCACAGTGGCTCACGCCTGCAATTGCAGCATTTAGGGAGGCAGAAGTGGGAGGGCAGTTTCAGCCCAGGAGTAAGAGACTACCCGACTACCCCGGGCAACACAGTAAGGCCCCATTTCCACATTAAAAAAATATATATATTTTTTTATATATATAATAAAAATAAAAGGATGGGCACGGTGGCTCATGCCTGTAATCTCAACACTTTGGGAGGCTGAGGGGGCTGGATCACGAGGTCAGGAGTTCAAGACCAGCATGTCCAAGATAATGAAACCCCATCTCTACTAAAAATACAAAAATTAGCCGGGCATGGTGGCGGGTGCCTGTAATGACAGCTACTCGGGAGGCTGAGGCAGAGAACTGCATGAATCTGGGAGGTGGAGGTTGCAGTGAGCCAAGATTGCACCAAGGCACTTCAATCTGGGTGACACAGCAAGACTCCATCTCAAAAAATAATAATAACAAATAAATGAATAAAATAAAAAATGAACAAAGTGAGCTGCCACTTCAAGGAGAACAACTGACAGTATATATACATATATATATATATAATTTTTTTTTTTTCTCTCTATAGAGACGGAGTCTTGCCCTGTCACCCAGGCTGGAGTGCAGTGGCGAGATGACGGCTTACTGCCAACCTCTGCTGCCTGGGTTCAAGCAATTCTCTGCCTCAGCCTTCCGAGTAGCTCGGATTACAGGCATGTGCCACCACGTCCAGCTAATTTTTCTGTACTTTTAGTAGAGACAGGTTTTCGCCATGTTGGCCAGGCTGTCCTCAAACTCCTGACCTCAGGTGATCTGCCTGCCTCAGCCTCCCAAAGTGCTGGGATTACAGGCGTGAGCCACCGCGCCCAGCCAATTGACAGTATTTATTGCCAATTATCAATTACAATTTGAGCTTTCAAGCAAAAATTAGAATTTTGGAAAATCTATAACCACCACCATCAACTTGGTAACTCACATTAAAGACTTTCCTGATGAAATAAGTGGTAATATTAATGTGATTTTTTGACATTGTATAATAAAATGCATCAATATTTAGATGACCTATACAATTTGGTGAACCAATACTTTCCAAATGACCAATGTTTAATGTAATGAAATCATGCACAAGTGAAACAATTCAAAGTGAAAGATCAATGGGTTTTAAGGTTACAGAATAGAAAAATTCACTGATGTGTTTTCAAATTCCTCATTGCAACTAACTTTTTCTTTTCTTTTTTTTTTTTTTGAGACAGGGTCTTTTTCTGTTGCCCAGGCTAGAGTGCAGTGGTATGATCATAGCTCACTGCAGCCTTGAACTCCTGGGCTCAAGCAATCCTCCGTCCTCAGCCTCTTGAGTAGCTAGGACTACAGGTGCACACAACCATGCCTGACTAATTTTTTAGTTTTTTGTAGAGGTGCAGTTTTGTTATATTGCCCAGGCTGGTCTCAAACTCCTGGCCTCAAGCAATCCTCCTGCCTTCGTAAACTAACTTTTAAGAAATTACCATTTGTTGGCCTGGCACAGTGGCTCATGCCTATAATCCCAGCACTTTGGGAGGCTGAGGTGGGCGGATCACAAGGTCAGGAGATTGAGACCATCCTGGTTAACACAGTGAAACCGCATCTCTACTAAAAATACAAAAAAAAAAAAATTAGCTGGGCATGGTGGTGGGCGCCTGTAGTCCCAGCTACTCAGGAGGCCTGAGGCAAGAGAATCACATGAACCCAGGAGGCGGAGCCTGCAGTGAGCCGAGATCGAGCTACCACACTCCAGCCTGGGCGACAGAGCAAGACTCCGTCTCAAAAAAAAAAAAAAAAAAAAAAAAAAAGAAATTACCACTTGTTGGCCAGACGCAGTGGCTCACGCATGTAATCCTAGCACTTTGGGAGGCCAAAGCGGGTGGATCATCTGAGGTCAGGAGTTTGAGACCAGCCTGGCCAACATGGTGAAACCCCATCTCTACTAAAAATACAAAAATTAGCTGGGCATGGTGGCATGTGCCTGTAGTCCCAGTTACTTGGGAGGCTGAGGCAGAAGAATCGCTTGGACCCGGGAGGTAGAGGTTGTGGTGAGCCGAGATCGCACCACTGCACTCCAGTCTGGGCAACAGGGTGAGACTCCATCTCAAAAAAAAAAAAAAAAAAGAAAAAGAAATTACCACTTGTCAAGTTTTTGTGCAGTATCAAAGAATACTCACTGTTACTGGAAAAAGTTATTATAATACTCTTTCCTTCGACAAGTACATATTGTAACAGAATGAAGTAGATATAAGAATGAAGCTATCAACTGGGTGCGGTGGCTCACGCCTGTAAACCCAGCACTTTGGGAGACTGAGGCGGGCAGATCACCTAAGGTCAGGAGTTCGAGAGCAGCCTGGCCAACATAGTGAAACTCTGTCTTTTCAAAAAATACAAAAGAATTAGCTGGGCATGGTGGTGCACGTCTGCAGTCTCAGCTACTCGGGAGGCTGAGGCGGAAGAATTGCTTGAACCTGGGAGGTGGTGGTTGCAGTGAGCCAAGGTCACGCCACTGCACTCCAGCATGGGTGACAGAGCGAGACACCATCTAAAAAAAAAAAAATAAATAATAATGAGAATGCAGCTGTCTTCTATTAAGCCAGAAGTTAAAGAGAGTTGAAAAAATATATAAAACAATGCTCTTGTTCTCACCATTTTTTAACTCTGAAGATATATATATACGGTTTGTTTCTTTGTTTCTTTTTTGGGGTTGAGACAGGGTTTCGCTGCTCTGTTGCCCAGGTTGGAGGGCAGTGACACAATCTCGGTTCACTGCAACCTCCGCCTCCAGTGTTTAAGTGATTCTTGTGCCTCAGCCTCCCAAGTAGCTGGCATTACAGGTGTGCACCACCATGCCTGGCTAATTTTTCTATGTTTAGTAGAGACGGGGTTTCACCATGTTGTCCAGGCTGGTCTCAAACTCCTGAACTCAAGTGATCCGCTGGCCTCAGCCTCCCAAAGTGCTGGGATTATAGGCATGAGCCACCACACCAGGCCTGAAGATATATTTTTTATAAAAATGTTTTATGTTGGCCGGGTGTGGTGGCTCATGCCTGTAATCCCAGCACTTTGGGAGGCCGAGACGGGCGGATGACGAAGTCAGGAGACCGAGACCATCCTGGCTAACATGGTGAAACCCCGTCACTACTAAAAATACAAAAAAATTAGCTGGGCGTGGTGGTGGGCCCGTGTAGTCCCAGCTACTCGGGAGGCTGAGGCAAGAGAATGGCGTGAACCCGGGAGGCAGAGGTTGCAGTGAGCCGAGATTGAGCCACTGCACTCCAGCCTGGGGGACAGAGCGAGACTCCGTCTCAAAAAAAAAACCTTTCTTTTTTATTTTTTTTTTGTGAGACATAGTCTTCCTCTATTACCCAGGCTGGAGTGCAGTGGCGCAATCTCGGCTCACTGCAACCTCCAACCTCCACCTCCTGGGTTCAAGTGATTCTTGTGTTTCAGTCTCCCGAGTAGCTGGGATTAGAGGTGCCACGCCACCATGCCCAGCTAATACTTGTATTTTTAGTAGAGATGGGGTTTCACCATCTTGGCCAGGCTGGTCTTGAACTCCTGACCTCAAGTGATCTGCTTGTCTTGGCCTCCCAAAGTGATGGGATTACAGGCGTGAGCCACTGTACCTGGCCTAAACCCTTTTTATTTTATTTATTTATTTATTTATTTATTTATTTATTTATTTAGAGATGGAGTTTTGCTCTTGTTGCCCAGGCTGGAGTGCAGTGGAATGATCTCAGTTCACTGCAACCTCTGCCTCCTGGGTTGAAGCGATTCTCCTGCCTCAGCCTCCCGAGTACCTGGGATTACAGGCATGTGCCACCATGCCCAGCTAATATTGTATTTTTAGTAGAGACAGGGTTTCTCCATGTTTGTCAGGCTGGTCTTGAACTCCTGACCTCAGGTGATTTGCCCAGCTTGGCCTGCCCACCACCATACCCAGCTAATTATTGTTTTTTTTTTTTTTTTTTTTTTTTTTTTTGAGATGGAGTTTGGCTCTTGTTGCCCAGGCTGGAGTGCAATGGCATGATCTTGGCTCACCGCAACCTCTGCCTCCAAAGTTCAAGCGATTCTCCTACCTCAGCCTCCCAAGTAGCTAGGAATACAGGCGTGTGCCACCACGCTTGGCTAATTTTTGTATTTTTAGTAGAGATGGGGTTTCACCACCTTGGCCAGGCTGGTCTTGAACTCCTGACCTCGCGATCCACCAGCCTCAGCCTCCCAAAGTGCTGGGATTACAGGCATGAGCCACTGTGCCCGGCAATGTTTTATTATTATTATTGTTATTATTTTGTGTGTGTGTGTGACAGAGTTTTGCTCGTTACGCAGGCTAGAGTGCAATGGTGCAATCTCAGCTCACTGCAATCTCCGCCTCCTAGGTTCAAGCGATTCTCCTGCCTCAGCCTCCCGAGTAGCTGGTATTACAGGCATGTGTCACCATGCCCAGCTAATTTTGTATTCTTAGTACAGACAGGGTTTCACCATGTTGGTCAGCCCCTCGAACTCCTGACCTCAGGTGATTCGCTGCCTCGGCCTCCCAAAGTGCTGGGATACAGGCCTGAGCCACTGCGCCCGGTCGCAAAATGTTTCTGAGCAGTGTTTTATACTGTAGTCTGCTTTCATATCTACATTTATCGTATTTATATATTTATTTACTGAGACAGGGTCTCACTCTGTTTCCCAGGCTGGAGTGCAGTGGCATAATCATGGCTCACTGCAACCTCTGCCTCCTGGATTCAAGCGATTCTCTTGCCTCGCCTCCTGAGTAGCTGGGATTACAGGCACCTACTACCACGCCTGGCTAATTTATGCATTTTTAGTAGAGGCAGTGTTTCACCAGGTTAGGCCAGGCTGGTCTTGAACCCCTGACCTCAAGTAACCCGCCAGCCTCAGCCTCCCAAAGTGCTGGGATTACAGGCGTGAGCCACTGCACCTGGCCTATCACTCTTCTTTAATCATCTTTCTGTCACATATCAATACTACTAAATGACAACCAACCCAAATCTGTCATCCCATTCTTTCAACAAGCCATGATTTTAAAGCCCTATTTCTTACTATATAGAGATATAATTAAACTTTGGGATTAGAATGTAAATAGGGTGCTATATTTACCTCCTAATATAAGAAAGATATAGAAATGCGTTCTTCAAGGCTATTTTCTCCTCCTATCCTCAGTTACTCTTTTGAGTTAACCTGAAGCATCCATCTTAAGAAAAAGTAAAATGTAGCCAGGCACAGTGGCTCACGACTGTAATCCCAGCACTTTGGGAGGCAGAGGCAGGCGGGTCACTTGAGGGCAGGAGTTGGAGACCAGCCTGGCCAACATGGTGAAATCCCGCCCCTACTAAAATACAAAATTTTACTACCCCGCCTGTACTAAAAATACAAAAATTAGCCAGGTGTGGTGGTGCACGCCTGTACTCCCAGCTACTCAGGAGGCTGAGGCAGGAGAATCACTTGAACCTGGGAGGCAGAGGTTGCAGTGAGCCAAGATTGTGCCACTGCCCTCCAGCCTGGGTAACAGAGCGAGACTGTCTCAAACAAACAAACAAACAAAAACAAAAAAAGAAAAAGTAAAATGAATTTTTTTTTCTATTTTTTTTTTGAGACGGAGTCTTGCTCTGTGGCCCAGGCTAGAGTGCAGTGGCGCGATCTCGGCTCACTGCAAGCTCCGTCTCCCGGATTCATGCCATTCTCCTGCCTCAGCCTCCTGAGTGGCTGGGACTACAGGCACCCGCCACCATGCCCGGCTAATTTTTTGGATTTTTAGTAGAAGCACGGTTTCACCGTGTTAGCCAGGATGGGCTCGATCTCCTGAACTCGTGATCCGCCCGCCTTGGCCTCCCAAAGTGCTGGGATTACAGGCGTGAGCCACCGCGCCCAGTGTAAAATGAATTTTTATTCTTACTCTTTTTTTTTTTTTTTCGAGTTGAAGTCTCACTCTGTCTCACCCAGGCTGGAGTGCAGTGGTGTGATCTCGGCTCACTGCAGCCTCCACCTCTCAGGTTCAAGCAATTCTCCTGTCTCAGCCTCCTGAGTAGCTCGGACTACAGGCTCGTGCCACCACAACTGGATAATTTTGTATTTTTAGTAGAGACAGGATTTCACCATGTTGGTCAGGCGAGGCTTGAACTCCTGACTTCAGGGGATCCACCTGCCTCAGCCTCCCAAAGTGCTGGGATTACAGGCGTGAGCCACCGTGCCCGGCCTTTATTTTTATTATTCTAAAGAAAATTATTATTTTTTGAGACTGAGTCTTGCTCTGTTGCCCAGGCTGGAGTGCAATGGTGTGATCTTGGCTCACTGCACCCTCAGCCTCCTGGGTTCAAGCGATTCTCCTGTCTCAGCCTTCTGAATAGCTAGGATTAGGTGGCACGTGCCACCATGCCCGGCTAATTTTTGTATTTTTAGTAGAGACAGGGTTTCACCATGTTGGTCAGGCTGGTCTTGAACTCCTGACCTTGTGATCCACCTGCCTCGGTTTCCCAAAGTGCTGGGATTACAGGCGTGAGCCACTGCGCCTGGCCTCTCTTTTTTTTTTAAAGCTGAGCCCAGCCATGGGTTTATACCCTCAAATACCTATGAGTGGCCGGGCGCGGCGGATCACAAGGTCAAGAGAACAAGACCATTCTGGCCAACATGGTGAAACCCTGTGTCTACTAAAAATACAAAAATTAGCTGGGCGTGGTGTTGCATGCCTGTAGTCCCAGCTACTCAGGAGGCTGAGGCAGAAGAATCACTTGAATCCGGGAGGTAGAGGCTGCAGTGAGCCGAGATTGCGCCACTGCACTCCAGCCTGGTGAGAGAGTGAGACTCCATCTCAAAAAAAAAAAAAAAAAAACCTATGAGTTGGATAAATTCCTCCCCTCCTGAGGTCCCAGGATAATGTGGGGCTCCTGGGCCTGTCAGAAAGTCAGAAAGTGACACTCTTTACTTACCACAGATCAGGAACCCTGTACAGGGACTTTAGACAAGGTATGAGGCCAGTTTTCCCAACGGGCTTTAATTGGCTTTGTAAGTCTTATGTGAGATTCCTTTTACGGAACAAAGTTCTTTCAAAGCCAATTTAAAAAGCCTATGTGAAAAATCATTATTCTTGCTGCACTTTATACAAATAATCAGACCAAGTGTAATCCCAGCACTTTGGGAGGCCCAGGAGGGCGGATCACGAGGTCAGGAGATTGAGACCATCCTGGCTAACACAGTGAAACCCCGTCTCTACTAAAAATACAAAAAATTAGCCGGGTGTGGTGGCAGGCACCTGTAGTCCCAGCTACTCGGGAGGCTGAGGCAGGAGAATGGCATGAACCCAGGAGGTGGAGCTTGCAGTGAGCCGAGATTGCGCCACTGCACTCCAGCCTGGGCGACAGAGTGAGACTCCATCTCAAAAAAAAAAAAAAAAATCAGACCAAGTTTAATAAAGCCAATCTATTTTACCATGATTTGCCTTTAGTAAAAATGGGAGACTGGCAAGGCACAGTGGCTCACACCTGTAATCCCAGCACTTTGGGAGGCTGAGGCGGGTGGATCACCTGAGGTCAGGTGTTCGAGACCAGCCTGGCCAACATGGTGAAAGCCCGTTTCTACTAAAAATACAAAAATTAGCCGGACGTGGTGGCATATGCCTGTAATCCCAGCTACTCCGGAGGCTGATGCAGGAGAATTGCTTGAACCCAGGAGGCAGAGCTTGCAGTGAACCAAGATTGTGCCACTGCACTCCAGCCTAGGTGACTGAATAAGACTCTGTCTCAAAAAATAAAAAAAATAAAAATTCTAGTCTCATCAGTTGTTTTTAAGTTTTTTTCTGCAACTTAGATTAACTCTGCTTATTCCTGTGAACCAACCAGTGATCTCTGGCTGCTGCTCACAAGAAACAAAAGGAATGGGTAATGTAAAAATCTGGATCAATATTCTAATTCTGGGCACATACTGGAATCAGCTAGTAACCCCAAATCAGCTTGGTTCCAACAGTTGCCCAGTTCATGGAAAACCTTCTTATTTAATTTACTTGGGATAGTTTTGCTTATTTTGCTTTACTGTTGAGGAGTATATTGCTGTTGTACTCTTTGTGTAGGAATGCAGGATAAGCTTACTGAATGTTTTCTTAAACTGAACACCTTTTAATCTTCCAGATATCACCTTTTGTTGGAGTTATGAATAGCTCTCACCATACTGATGCTTTCTGACTGAGCTCCTCTCTGAACCCTGAATACAAGAGACCCTAAGAGTCAGGCAGGAATATCATCGCCCCTATTCACCCTGAAAAAGTTACAGAAGATGGATCTTTATTTCTTTGTAACCCCTAGGATTAAGGGTTCTCTAATAAAAGGGATGGGAGAAATGTCAGAGGTGTTTGAACCAGAGCAACTCCATCTTGCATAGGAGTTGGGTGAAATAAGGCTGAGACCTACTGGGCTGCATTCCCATTAAGGCATTCTTTTTTTGTTTTGTTTTGTGTTTTTTTGGGTTTTTTTGGGGGGGGTTTTTTTGAGATGAAGTCTCGCTCTGTTGCCTAGGCTGGAGTCCAGTGGTGCAGTCTCAGCTCGCTGCAACTTCCGCCTCCCAGGTTGTAGCGATTCTCCTGTCCCAGTCTCCCACCTGGCTAAATTTTTTTTTTTTTTTTTTTTTTTTTTTGAGACAAAGTCTCGCTCTGTCGCCCAGGCTAGAGTGCAGTGGCACAATCTCGGCTCACTGCAAGCTCCGCCTCTTGGGTTCACGCCATTCTCCTGCCTCGGCCTCCCGAGTAGCTGGGACTACAGGCGCCCGCCACCATGCCCGGCTAATTTTTTGTATTTTTAGTAGAGATGGGGTTTCACCATGTTAGCCAGGATGGTCTCGATCTCCTGACCTCGTGATCTGCCCTCCTGGGCCTCCCAAAGTGCTGGGATTACAGGCATGAGCCACCGTGCCCGGCCAATTTTTTGTATTTTTAGTACAGATGGAGTTTCACCGTGTTAGCCAGGATGGTCTTGATCTCCTGACCTCTGCCCGCCTCAGCCTCCCAAAGAGCTGGGATTACAGGCATGAGCCACTGCGCCTGGCCCTTGTTTTGTTTTTTGAGACTGTCTCACTCTGTCGCCCAGACTGGAGTGCGGTGGCACGATCTCGGCTCGCCACAACCTCTGCCTCTAATGCTCAAGCAATTCTCCTGCCTCACCCTCCCGAGTAGCTGGAATTACAGGCGTGTGCCACTACTGCCTGGCTTATTTTTGTATTTTTAGTAGAGACAGGGTTTCACCATGTTGGCCAGGCTGGTCTTGAACTCCTGACCTCAAGTGATCCACCCACCTCGGCCTCCCAAAGTGGTGTGAGCCACTGTGCCCAGTCAGTTAAGGCATTCTTAGTTACAGGATGAGATAGGAGGTCAGCACGAGATACAGATCATAAAGACTTTGCTGATAAAACAGGCCATAGTAAAGAAGCTGGCTAAAACCCACCAAAAGCAAGATGGCGACAAGAGGACAAGAGTGACCTCTGGTTGTTCTCTCTGCTACACTCCCACCAGTGCCATGCCATGGCAGCTTACAAATGCCATGGCAATGTCAGGAAGTTACCCTATATGGTCTAAAAAGAGGAGGCTGCTGGGTGCGGTGGCTCACGCCTGTAATCCCAGCACTTTGGGAGGCTGAGGAGGGCGGCTCATGAGGTCAGGAGATCGAGACCATCCTGGCTAACGTGGTGAAACCCCGTCTCTACTAAAAATACAAAAAAAAAAAAAAATTAGCTGGGCATGGTGGCGGGGGCCTGCAGTCCCAGCTATTCGAGAGGCTGAGGCAGGATAATGGCGTGAACCCAGGAAGTGGAGCTTGCAGTGAGCCGTGATCACGCCACTGCACTCCAGCCTGGGCGACAGAGCGAGACTCCGTCTGGAAAAAAAAAAAAAAAAAGCGGAAGCATGTTTAGCATACAATCAAGAAATAACCAGCCGGGCGCGGTGGCTCACGCCTGTAATCCTAGCACTTTGGGAGGCTGAGGCGGGAGAATCACGAGGTCAGGAGATCGAGACCATCTTGGCTAACATGGTGAAACCCCGTCTCTACTAAAAATACAAAAAATTAGCCGGGCGCCGTGGCAGGTGACTGTAATTCCAGCTACTCAGGAGGCTGAGGCAGGAGAATGGCATGAACTAGGAAGCGGAGCTTGCAGCGAGCCGAGATAGCGCCACTGCAGTCCAGCCTGGGCGACAGAGCAAGACTCTCAAAAAAAAAAAAAAAAAAAGAAATAACCATAATAATACTGCCCATGGAGTAGCTATTCTTTTTTTCTTTACTTTCTTTTTTAGCCAGAGACTTGCTCTGTCACCAGGCTGGAGTACAGTGGCGCGATCTTGGCTCACTGCAAACTCTGCCTCCTGGGTACAAGTGATTCTCCTGCCTCAGCCTCCCAAGTAGCTGGGACTACAGATGCACGCCACCATGCCCAGCTAATTTTTGTATTTTTATTAGAGACGGGGTTTCACCATGTTGGCCAGGCTGGTCTTGAACTCCTGACCTTGTGATCTGCCCGCCTCAGCCTCCCAAAGTGCTGGGATTACGGGGATGAGCCACCGCGCCGGCCTTCCTTTACTTTCTCAAGCAACTTGCTTTCACTTAAAATAAAACAAAACAAAACAACAAAAAACAAACAAAAAACACAGCATTTTGAGGGGAACTATATGCCATTCTCCCAGTATCTTGTCCATGCTGGTTCTGGCAGGTGGTCAATACCTGCCTGGTGGCCCATCAACCAGACAAGAGATGAAGCCTGATACATCAGAAAACAGTCTAGGCACTTCTGACTCCTTGACTACAGACAACTAACATGTTCTCCCTTGCTGGCTGTACCTCCACTTTCCCTATACATAAACTGAGGAAACAAAATCTGTCTCACTTGCCTTCTAGGATTTTGGAGATGAATAAAATAAATCCCAGTGCTTTGGGAAGCCAAAGCAGGAGGATCAGTTGAAGCCAGGAATTTGATCCCAGCCGGGACAACACAGAGGGACTCTGTCTCTACAAAAATACAAAAATAAAAAAATTAGCAGGGTGTGGTGGCCCATACCTGTGGTCCTAGCTATTCAGGAGGCTAAGGCGGGAGGATAGCTTAAGCCCAGGAGTTCAAGGATGCGATGAGCTATGATCACTGCACTCCAGCCTGGGTGACTGAGCAACACGCTGTCTCTAAAAACAAAAAAATAAAAAAAGATGGAAAAGAACCTAAATATATGTCAATAGGGGATGGGATAAAGTACTGAGCAAGACCCTGTCTCTAAAAGTAAAACTAAAAATAAAAAGAAATAAAAAGATTGAAAAGAACCTAAATATATATCAATAGGGGACTGGATAAAGTATGTTTGTTTGTTTGTTTGTTTGTGATGGAGTTTTGCTCCTGTTGCCCAAGCTGGAGTACAATGGCGCGATCTTGTCTCACTGCAACCTCTGCCTGCTGGGTTCAAGCCATTCTCCTGCCTCAGCCTCCTGGGTAGCTGGGATTACAGGTGTGTGCCACCACGCCCGGCTAATTTTTTGTATTTTTAGTAGAAATGGGGTTTCACCATGTTAGCCAGGCTGGTGTCGAACTCCTGACCTCAGGTGATCCACCCACCTCGGCCTCCCAAAGTGCTGGGATTACAGGCCAGAGCCACCACGCCCGGCCTGTTTGTTTTTTAAAGAGACAGGGCCTCACTCTGTGGTCCAGGCTGGAGTGCAGTGGTGCAATCACGGCTCACTGCAGCCTCGACCTCAAGCGATCCTCCCACCTCAGTTTCCCGAGTAGCTGGGACCACCAGTGGGCACTACCACGCCCAGCTGATTAAAAATAATTTTTTTTTCTCTGTACCGACAGGGGTCTCCCTATTTCGCCCAGGCTGGTCTAGAACTCCAGGGCTCAAGGGATCCTCCCACCTCAGCTTCCCAAAATGCTGGGATTACAGGCGTGAGCCACTGCGCCCGGCCAAAACCTTTCAATAAGTGTGTGTTTTAATAATTCATGAAGTGCTTGAGCTCTTGACAACAAAGTACTCTATTATCCAAGATAATTAGAGTAATTACTTTTGTTTATTTAAGAATCTGGATGGGGCAGTTTTCTCTTTATTGTCATCAAAGCACGTGTGAAAATACATGCCTAAGAACATCTCTACTGGATTGGGTGGACCAAGTGATTAGATGAAAATATGGTCTTGGATGGCCAAAATTTTGTTACATCGTTGATAGTAAGCCATAGACTGTCCTTTTCCAAAGACGTTGGGTTGGGGGGGACCCCCTAGAGAGAAAGCCCTTTTGGGAAAAGGGAGAGGAATGGGATGACCTCTGGCTCAAGGAAGTATGTGAAAACAGGAGACAGCCAACGGAAAGAATTGCAATGGAAGAATCTATGGTTCTTTTAGTATTGCTCAAGTCCCCACTGGGCGGCCAGCTGTACAAACAACTGTGAAAGAAGCAGAGGCGAGGCCGGGAGCCGTGGCTCACGCCTGCAATCCCAGCACTTTGGAAGGCCAAGGCGGGGGGATCCCCTAAGGTCAGGAGTTCGAGACCAGCCTGGCTAACATGGTGAAACCCCGTCTCTATTAAAAATATACAAAAATTAGCCATGCATGGTGGCGCACGCCTGTAATCCCAGCTACTCGGGAGGCTGAGGCAGGAGAATCGCTTGAACCCGGGAAGCGGAGGTTGCAGTGAGCTGCAGGTTGCAGTGAGCCGAAATCGCGCCACTGCACTCCAGCCTGGGTGACAGAGCAAGACTCAGTTTTGAAAAAAAAAAAAAAAAGAGCAAAAAAGCAGAGGCGGGGCCCGTACTGCTCTCATTCAGATTACCGAGTTCACTAGTAATCTTTCAGGTCATTATTTGGGTCAGATAATGAGAGTCGCCGTTTCCCTCTCTATCATAAACCCTACAGTTCCTCACACCAATGTCTGTCTGAAAGATGGGAACCAATTTGGGGCAGGGGGCCAAACTCAGCCTCGGCGACAGGCCTCGGCCCCGGCTCCGCGCCGCCCCCTAGTGGTCACCTCCGCGGCCTGGGCTTCCCTTGGTCCAGCTCCCCAGCCCCAGGTCTTACACCCACCCCCTTCTTCACCTCCTTCCAGTCCCCTCCCCTTCCTCCCGACAGCATCCCCTTCCTCCCCGTCCCCCTCCCGCCGCTGCCCCCGCTTCAGTGACGGGGAGCCGCGAGGTCTGCACCCAGAAGTCCGAGGCTGGGCTGGGAAGCGGTGTGACTTCTCACGGCACTTTCCTTTCCAGCCCTGACGCCCCCCGGAGTCCACACATCTCTTCTTTCCTCCTCACCTCCTCGTCCGGGACGCTGCCGGCCACGCTTCCACGGAGCCCGCCAGTTTAGTCCCGTTTCCTTCTCTAGTTAAGACTCCCTGTCAAGGACGGTTACTTTTTGCCCTTTTCATGTGTGCATGTTTTGGGGGCCTTTAACCCCCCCTCGTGGAGAAACAGAGGCAACAAAATGGCGGACCCGGAAATGAAGGCGCCGCGAGTAAGATTTCTGGCGGAGGAATCTGTGAAGGGAAAATGATCAGAAAACTCATGCTCCCATTCTAACAGAAAGATGATGCACCCCCGAGGTTCATCGCCTTTCTGCTGAGGCACTTCTGAGGTGGAAAAGTGCGTCACCGAGGCATGCTAGGCAGGACTATTTAACGGGGCGGAGGACTGCTGGTTACGTATCTTGCGCGTCTGAATAGTTCCAGCAGGGGACGGATCCTAGGTCTGGTGTTGGCGCCAAGAACCTGGCGAACTGCTGAGGGAGACTCGGAGCGTGCGTCAGTCATGCAGATTGCGTCTTAACTCTTGGCTGCTTCTTCGGGGTCCGGGGCGGCCAGGTTTAGTTTGACAGGAAAGCCTCGTTTCCTTATCCCAACCTCGGCTGCAGCTGTTTGGGACGTTCCTGGCTTTGTGCATTGGGTTCTGGTGCCTGATGGACACATTTTTCCAGTTACAGGCCGAATGTAAGGACCCCAGAGCCAAGCTGTCAGTGAGAACAGTGAAACAAATAACTGAGTCATTTCTTTTCTTTCTTTCTTTTTTTTTTTTGAGACGGAGTCTCGCTCTGTCGCCCAGGCTGGAGTGCAGTGGCTCGATCTCGGCTCGCTGCATGCTCCGTCTCCCGGGCTCACGCCATTCTCCTGCCTCAGCCTCCGGAGTAGCTGGGACTGCAGGCGCCCGCCACCACGCCCGGAGATTTTTTTGTATTTTTAGTGGAGACGGGGTTTCACCGTGTTAGCTAGGATGGTCTCGATCTCCTGACATCGTGATCCACCCGCCTCGGCCTCCCAAAGTGCTGGGATTACAGGCGTGACCCACCGCGCGCGGCCTTTTTTTTTTGAGACGGAGTCTCGCTTCGTCCGTCGCCCAGGCTGAAGTGCAGTGGCGTGACCTCGGTTCGCTGCAACCTCTGCCTCCCGGGTTCAAGTGATTGTCCTGCCTCAGCCTCCCCAGCAGCTGGGATTACAGGCGTCCGCCACCACGCTGGGCTAATTTTTGTATTTTTAGTAGAGATGGGGTTTTATTTTACCATGTTGGCCAGGCTGGTCTCGAACTCCTGACCTCAAGTGATTGGCCCGCCTCGGCCTCCCGAAGTGCTGGGATTACAGGCGTGAGCCACCGCGCCCGGCCTGAGTCATTTCTTTTTGGAGGCCTGCAAGAGGATGGAGCATGAGTTTGCAAATCCATTTAGTCACTTTATTTACCAAACAGTTGATCCCTGTCTCCACCCACCAATTGCCATGGCTGAAGGACTCTGAAGGGGCCCTTCAAAACTCAGTAAAAATAGAAAAGGACGCACTACTTATCCTTCCTGGCCCCATTCTTCGTTAGACTGGGACCGTCTTTAGATGTGGGCTTTTCATGGCCTAGAGGGAGGATTTGTCTTTTTTTCTCCCACCTGGGGACTTCTCTAGATCATCCTTATTTAGGGTATAGTGTCATCCTTATTTATAGTACACTGCCCAATTCTGTCCTATCCATATTGGTATTTACAGTTTCTCTTTTGAGAGTTGGAGTCTTGTCTCATTCCCGTTTACATTCTGTTTGGCTCAGTGCTTTCCTATAGCAGGCACACAAAAACCAGAAGTTAAGCAGATAACATATTTGAGTGAATTCGTTTATCTTCTTAGGCACCTAGGAGAATTATTACCTGAAATATAATGTTGGTAGTCAGTGGGCAAGCAGAAGAGTGGTTGTACCTGTCTCCCTAACTACTTTTCTAATTTTAAGTTGATTTTGCCCTTTCATTATCTGTTCAATGCGAAGTTCACCATCTAATGTCTAAATGCTACTCAAATCATTCTTCCTCTAAGTTGAATATTATTATAGAAAGATAAAATGAGGCCGGGCTCAGTGGCTCACGCCTGTAATCTCAGCACTTTGAGAGGCTAAGGCGGGCAGATCACCTGAGGTCAGGAGTTAGAGACCAGCCTGGCCAACATGGTGAAACCCCGTCTCTATGAAAAATACAAAAATTAACCAGGCCTGGTGGCAGGCGCCTGTAATCCCAGCTACCTGGGAGCCTGAGGTGGGAGGATCCCTTGACCCTGGTGGGTGGAGGTTGCAGTGAGCGGTGATCCCCGCCACTGCACTCCAGCCTGGGTGACAGAGTGGGACCCTGTCTCAAAAATAAAAAAGAAAAAAAAGATGTATAAGCTAAGTGTGAAAGCAAGGCTAATTTCTCAGATTTCTGTGGCTTTTCTTGTGAAGAGAGAAAATTAGACTCCAGTCCTGGGATTGAATGTCTTTATTAAATAAACGAGTAAATGGTAGCACAAATCACCATCAATATTTTTGGAAGGATTGGGGACAAGATGTCGAGTCAGAATATAATTGTTCATTTCAGGGTCTCAATGTAGCTGAAGAACTGTGCCCACTGATCAGTATTACGTATTGCAAATGCAGGAGGTAAGGCTAAAATAGGACTTATGCCGTTCAGAAGATTGAATTGAAACCTTAAAAACTATCATAATAGTAGGAATGCATGTTAAGATTTGATAACTTTCTTTAGCTAGAGTTTTCAACCCACAGTTAGGAGCAAAGTTGTAAAGTGAGTAGGTGTGAAGAAGGGACACTCTTTTGAGAAAAGAAATTAGCTACTTCTAAAATGATTCAATTATTTTCCCTATTTTCATTTTCCATAATATTTCCTCCTGTTTTATACCTCTAACTACCCTCCTGATTTCTCTGAGGAAAAAAAAGAATATAAGAGCAGGATCAAAAAAAAGCAAGAGACTTATCACTTTAGCCTTTTAGAAATACTGTTTCGTAGCAGATAACCTCAAATTAAAACTTCCGAGGTTTTCATCACCCCTTGAAGAAATATTTGTGTTTACTGCCCTGGAGCAGGAAATTAGGAAGGTTTAAGGAATCTCTGAAGCTGATTATAATAGAGTCAAAAATCAGTCTTCCATTTTGCACTACTATACTACTCTCAGGTGTCCCCAGTCAGGCCTAGTTTCTGGAGTTAATATTTGGGGGGGAAAGGAGGAATCCCTGTGACCCAGTACTCCATTGCTTGAACCATTTACTTTGTGACTTGAGGGCTTTTGAGAGAAATGGAGTAGACAGATAGATAAATAAATACATAGAACTCAACTCTGGCAGATTCATCAGCACCACCAACACAGTAGGGAGAGAACAAGATTAAAATGGGAAAGGAGTGGAAAGGAAGGGGCTTGAGAGGGAAGACAATGAGGGCAAGGTGATGGGAGAGAGAAGTCTTGGCCTTAGAGCAAGTCCAGTTCGAAGGAGTGGATGCTGGCAATGGGAGCTCTCCAGAAGTTGAAGGTGCTGTACTCAAGGAGGCCATCACCTTCAGGGTTTTTCTCCTGGTCTGCTGCAGTTGCTTGCCCGATCATTTTGCCAACGCTGCTGTCTTTGACCTTGTAGGTGGCTGTATCTGACAGACCCAGGCCTTCCAGCTCCGACAGATCCAGTTCTGGGATGGGCATCCTCCAGAAAAGAAAGGAACTGTACTGGCTACTCACAGGGTCCCTCATAGCTTCCTAGAAAGAAACCACTTGTCAGTCTTCATGCTACAGCAACTTCTTTGTGGCCCATGGCCTTTCCTTGCTTAGATACTCCACATACTGGTAAAAAGGAATTTCTTTTTTTTTTTTTTTTCTATTAAAGAAAGAAAATTGTATATCCTCCAATCCCACCAGTAAAAAGGAATTTGGGGAGGAAAAAAAAGAAACTCACCATCCCCAATTGCCTCTGGAGAGAATCCAAGTTCCCTTGGACAAGCTTCAGAAACCCTTTATTATGAATTTCTACTTTTTTTTTTTTTTTCTCTCAATGAGACGGAGTCTTGCTCTGTCGCCCAGGCTGGAGTGCAGTGGCACGATCTTGGCTCACTGCAAGCTCCACCTCCTGGGCTCACACCATTCTCCTGCCTCAGCCTCCCGAGTATCTGGGACTACAGGTGCCCACCACCACGCCCGGCCAATGTTTTGTATTTTTTAGTAGAGACGGGGTTTCACCATGTTAGCCAGGATGGTCTCGATCTCCTGACCTCGTGATCTGCCTGCTTCGGCCTCCCAAAGTGCTGGGATTACAGGTGTGAGCCACCGCGCCCGGCCGAATTTCTACTATTTTCTAAACTTCCCATCTTGGAATGACTTATTTACCATCTATTGCATCAAATTGATCTTGGGTCTGATTTTCAAGGCCTTCCAAAATCTAGCCCATTCTTCCCAGCAGTGGTATATCCTCTGTTACAGTTATGCTCATTCCTGTCTTGCTTAACTCTCTCCATTCTCCACCTTAAAATACTTTCCGCATTTCAGCCAGGTGTGGTGGCTCATGCCTGTGATCTCAGAAGTTTGGGAGGCAGAGTGGGTGGATCACTTGAGGCCAGGAGTTTGAGACCAGCCTGTCCAACATGGGGAAACCCTGCCTCTACTAAAAATACAAAATGTTAGCCAGGCATGGTGGTTTGTGCCTGTGGTCCCAGCTACTAGGGAGGCTGAGGCACGAGAATTGCTGGAATCCAGCAGGGTGAGGTTGCAGTGAGCCTTCCAACCTGGGCAACAGAGCAAGATTCTGTCTTAAAAAAAAGACTTTCCACATTTCAGGACTCCATTCAAGAGCTCAGTGGCTCACACCTGTATTCCCAGCACTTTGGGAGGCTAAGGCAGGCGGATGACTTGAGACTAGGAGTTCCAGACCTGCCTGGGCAACATGGCAAAACTCCGTCTACAAAAAATACAAAAAATTAGCTGGGCCTGGTGGTGCACGCCTGTAGTCCCAGCTACTTGGGAGGCTGAGTGGGAGAATCACTTGAGCCTAGGAAGCAGAGGTTCCAGTGGGCTGAGATTGTGCCGCTGCACTCCAGCCTGGGGAATAGAGTGAGACCCTGTCTCAAAAAACAAAAAGACAAAACAAAACAAACAAAAAACTCCAAGTCTATAGAGGAACCCCCGTTCCCCTAGCCCAAACTCCTATTATACTTAAAAATACTTGACTTCCTCCTGACTTTGGTTTAATAGCTCATGGTATGTGTGAAAAGACCTTCCGTGACTTTTCTGCTTTCTATTTTCCTTCTTGCCTTCTAAATCCTACTATAAACTCACCTCTTGCAGATGACTTCCTTAAACTTTTACTCAGCTTCATCTACTCTATTTCCTCCAGCATCTCCCCCAACACCCTGTAGAGTTTTACCTAACTCCATCAGTTTGGGATTACAGATCACTGTTAATGTATTTTATGTATAGGGATGGCCTTATTGCCTTCTGAATGGGGAAAAGCAAAGGGCAGTAGAGAGCAAGCTAGAATCTGAGAAAAACAAAAAGCTCTTTGACAAATTGACCCCTTGTCTTAAAACCAGAGTATGAATAAAAAACTGCTCAAATAGTCCCTGAGGGTTTGGCAGAGCTATCTTGCAATTTAAAAAGCTAAAGCAAATGTTATGAAATATTAACTCAGAAGGCCTAAAACCTCTATGTCATTGACCCAGAGACATGTACACAGGGTACCAAATACATTCAAGAAACACATGCATGCAAGCATATGTGGCATTAAAATCAAGTCAAGAACATAAAATAAGACTACACAGAAAATTGAAGTTAAAGTGCTATTCACTAATGTAAATAGTAATGAAATTTTTGATTTAATATAGTATGGATTTAATTATCAAATACTCCAAATTTTGCAAAAGACCCCTTTTTTGGCTAGCTTCCCCTTCCCCTCCACAAATGCTCTCCACCCCTACTTCATCTATCTTTACATCTATCATTATCTTAAACGGTATCATTTACTTAAAGGGTTGACAGTGCCTTGTACCACAATATATATTCAATAAATGCTTCCCATTATCCTTCATTTTAAATTATCCAGGTATTTTAGGCAAAGGCAATATCTAATTATCACTCTGTTCTTAGAGATACATGATTAGCAAATATGTAGATTAGAAAGATACACTCTCTCGGAGCCACACAGACACGCCCAAACATCCTTTGTCCAGACCCTTTGTGGGCATCCAAGGCCTACTCAACAGGGCCTTGCTGTGTCATGCTGCCACCATGGGGAAAGGGGGAGGACAAGGTGGTGGTAGAGGGGAGCAGAAGCTCTCTGGCATCTCACCATGCGTGCCTCAGTCAGAGCTTGGATTTTCCTATTAGCATTCCCTCACCAGTTCCACTGAATTGCAAATAATCATTCTTTTCCAGAATCTGTCCCCATACCTAGGAGTTTCCCCAAGGGTAAAGACCAATCTACTTTCTCTGTACACAAGTGGTGGGCTTTGTACACAAAGCCATTCAAGGCTGCTGATTAACTTTCCCTCACTATTTAATTAATACCTTGCCATTCCCTTATATTAGCCCACAGGTAAGCCTTAACAATCCATTTCTCTCTAGCCTACCTCTCCTTCAGAACAAAACCTAGGTGCTAAAAGAACTTTCCTAGCCAGGTGCAGTGGCTTACGCCTATAATCCCAGCACTTTGGGAGGCCGAGGCAGGCAGATCAGGAGGTGAGGAGTTCAAGACCAGCCCAACCAACATGGTGAAATCCTGTCTCTATTAAAAATACAAAATTAGCCAGGCGAGGTGGCGCATGCCTGTAATCCCAGTTATTTGGGAGGCTGAGGCAGGAAAATTGCTTGAACCTGGGAGGTGGAGGTTGCAGTGAGCCGAGATCTCGCCATTGCACTCCAGCCTGGGCAACAAGAGCGAAACTCCATCTCAAAAAAAGTAATAATAAATAAATAAATAAATAACTTTCCTATGCTGTAACAGGGATCTCTTTTCTCTGATCCCAGTGCTCGAGTATACTGATGATAATGAGAGCAAATGGATTGGAAATCCATTTGGATTTAAAGTAAAGTTCAGATTGGAAGAAGGTATTTTAACAGAATCAGATACTCTTCCATGCGTTAATGGATCTATCACTTTCTCTACTCATTCTACCCAAGCCCTGCCTGATATTTTAGGACTATTAGAGCTGCCTACAGCCTCCACCCTGCTACTTACTAGCCAAGGGTCAAGAAGCATTAGTTGTGGTCGGGCGTGGTGGCTTACGCCTGTAATCCCAGCACTTTGGGAGGCCGAGGCGGGTGGATCACGAGGTCAGGAGATCGAGACCATCCTGGCTAACACGGTGAAACCCCGTCTCTACTAAAAGTACAAATATTAAGCCGGGCGCGGTGGTGGGCGCCTGTAGTCCCAGCTACTTGGGAGGCTGAGGCAGGAGAATGGCGCGAACCTGGGAGGCGGAGCTTGCGGTGAGCTGAGATAGCGCCACTGCACTCCAGCCTGGGCGAAAGAGCAAGACTCCGTCTCAATAATAATAATAATAAATAAATAAAAATTAAAAAAAGAAGCATTAGTTGAAATGTTCCCAAAGGAGCAGAAAGAACATTCTATCACCTCCAAAAACAGAACCCCAAGTTTCAAAAGGCCTTTCTCCAACACACCCTATTGGGTCTCACCAGGCCAGAGACTCCTAAATAATGGCCTTAAATAGGTTCCAAAATGCTCCAGTATAATGTGAAATGACTGTACTAAGGCAGAAAAAGAAAGTGTTAATCTAGAACACAGTGATGTGTGAGAGTGTGGGGGCTTCAGGAATGGTGAGTGGGTAGGCTAGGATGTTTTTAATGTTGAAAGTGAATTCTGAGTTGTTCTTTTTCTTAGTTTAAGTTCCAAAATAAACCCTGGGAACTGAGCATTACTCAGCAGAGAAGCTGCTTAGAAGGAGGGTGATGCCGGGATTGCAGCAGGGTCGGGGAGCATGTTGGAAAGGTGAGGTCATCATCCTATGATACTCAACTCTGATAATCTCCATAGTACTTTGCAGAGACGTGTGCAGAAAGAGAGCTACAAAAAATGGTTGTATCCATTAACCAACCACCCACTGCTTAAATCTGGGACTATAGAGATTCTAAGAAGCATACCTAGGAGTCAATACTGTTATGGACTTGTGGCTACAGGGATTCTTACTGTTACCAGTTATTTTCACAGCTAGCTGGGTTCTTTTCTCTATCCTACCTGACAAGTCTTCTCCAGAATGAGCTTAGTATAATGCAGGCCACATTATAGGCTCTTTAAAAAATAGAATCATGGGGCCAGGCGCGGTGGCACACGCCTGTAATCTCAGCACTTTGGGAGGCCGAGGCAGGTGGATCACAAGGTCAGGAATTCGAGACCAGCCTGGCCAAGATAGTGAAACCCCGTCTTTACTAAAAATACAAAAATTAGCCAGGTGTGGTGGCAGGCGCCTATAATCCCAGCTACTCGGGAGGCTGAGGCAGGAGAATCGCTTGAACTGGGGAGGTGGAGGTTGCAGTGAGCCAAGATTGCACCACTGCACTCCAGCCTGGGCAACAGAGCGAGACTCCATCTTAAAAAAAAAAAAAAAATAGAATCATGGGGGGAAAAAATCATAGAATTTTAAAACTAGAAGACATCTTAGAAATTAATGACTTGGGAAGACTTCCAGCCAGTTTGTATAGAATCCAGATCTCATAATTCCCAATCTGATCCCTTTTTGTGTTGTACATGGATAGTTGCCAACAGCTTTATATAACCCTATACCAGTATTCCCAAAACTTAAAAGAATTTTTAGTTGCTGAAGAATAGATTTTCCGTGGTTTAGGTGATTGTTCCTGTAATTGTGATCTGAATGGGGAAAAGCAAAGGGCAGTAGAGCAAGCTAGAATCTGAGAAAAAAAAAAAAGCTCTTCGACAAACTGACTCCTTTTCTTACAACCAGAGTATGTATAAAAAACTGCTCAAACAGTCCCTGAGTGTTTGGTAGAGCTATCTTGCAATTTAAAAAGCTAAAGCAAATTTTATGAAATATTAACTCAAAAGGCCTAAAATCTCTATGTCATTGACCCAGAGACATGTACACAGGGTACCAAATACATTCAAGAAAGACATGCATGCAAACATACGTGGCATTAAAATCAAGTCAAGAACATAAAGTAATACTACACAGAAAATTGAAGTTAAAATGCTATTCACTAATGTAAGTAGTAATGACATTTTTGATTTAATATAGTATGGATTTAATTATCAAATACTCCAAATTTCGCAAAAGATCCTTTTTTGGCTAGCTTCCCCTTCCCCTCCACAAATGCTCTCCAGCCCTACTTCATCTATCTTTACATCTTTCATTATCTTAAATGGTATCATTTACTTAAAGGGTTTTGACAGTGCCTTGTACCACAATATATGTTCAATAAATGCTTCCCACTATCCTTCACTTTAAATTATCCGGGTATTTTAGGCAAAGGCAATATCTAATTATCACTCTGTTCTTAGAGATACATGATTAGCAAATGTATAGATTAGAAAGATACACTCTCGGAGCCACACAGACACGCCCAAATATCCTTTGTCCAGACCCTTTGTGGGCATCCAAGGCCTACTCAACAGGGCCTTGCTGTGTCATGCTGCCACCATGGGGAAGGGGGAAGGACAAGGTGGTGGTGGTGGTAGAGGGGAGCAGAACCTCTCTGACATCTCATAATGTGTGCCTCAGTCAGAGCTTGGATTTTCCTACTAGCATTCCTCCACCAATTCCACTGAGCTGCAAATCATTCTTTTCCAGAATCTGTCCCCATACCTAGCTCCTGTGGGCTATACTGATTTCACTATGGAATCAGGCAGTTCTCCAACACAGAGGCCCCCACCTTTCCTACCCTAGGCTGCCTCTTTCTTTGGAGCAAAGATTCGAGGTGGAATGAAAGAGATTATCCAAAGAAAGGTCAGGATTACACCCAACATTATCCCATATAACCCCCTCCCAAACTCCCTCCTACAGAGAAACATAGAACACTACAGAAAAAAATTGCAAGTATAGGGAAGTAGAGGACAGAGAGATACAGTAGGACTAAAAATTAAACAGCTGGTAAAACAAATTATGGTTTGAAAAGGAAGATAAGTAGACTGAAGATATTAAATACACAGGACAATAAATTACAGAAAAGGATACTTGAAATGAGGTAGGTGCTGAGAAATAACTACAAGTAAATTGTTAGAGATTAATGGTCTGTATAAGGTAACAAGGCATGGATGCTGTGAAGAAATAACTACCCATTGTTCATAGCGCCCCCTTCTCTCCTCTTCAGCTGTCCCCCACCTCATGTGGGGTCTTTCAATCTAACCATAAGCAGCCGCTCTTCTATCTTTGCAGCCCCCTGCCCCCTCCCTCAGTTTGGTTTACCTGTTATCAATCAATTACTGGCGTGTTCCAAAGATGGAGGGAGTGCCTCGGGAGCTCCGGGGTCTGCGCCGGGCTGGAGAAATACAAAGCTGTTGGGGCTTTGACGGCTTTGTCTTCTCACTCCTTTTCCCTCTTCAGTGACTGAGTCTGTCAGTTCACTCTCCCCCTGCAATGCAGCCCCTCCTAAGAAGGGCGGAAGGATTCCCCGCCCCCTCCTGCCTGACTCGGCTAATTCAAATGATAGGTTCCAGAACACTTGAGGGAAGGAGAGACGATGAAAGCATCTCCCTAGGCTCATTGGTCTGCGCTATTATTCCCGATCTCTTCCAGCACCCCCGTGCTGACTGGGGGCCCAATGAATGAGCAGTTAATTGCCCTCTAATTTTAGGTCCTCTAATTTATGGATTTGAAATCTTAACTCTAGACTACAATGGAAAGGAGGAGTATTCCTTTCTTCCACAATTTAAGGACTTTAGGTTACAAAGTATTTTTAAGAATCAGAGTATTTTTCCACCCCTTCTCCCAATCCCTGCTCCTCCAGACTCGCCTCTCTACCCTCACAATGGGTAAATAAACCTAGTCCTATTCCATTTTGGGTAGAGCACAATAAATTTGGGGTGGGGGGCGTGCTTCTGCGAATCTCTGAACTTGGTTAGGTCTGGGGGTTTGGGGGGCTCCGCTTCGTTTTGCCCCGAAATGCCTGGCGAGTAAAGGGAACGTGAGATTCCGGGGGCCCCAGCTTGGGTGCCAGGGCCTCATCTAGGTGTCCGCATTCTCCAGTTCTCCCCGCAGGGGCGGCGGCCTTGAGGGGCTGCAGAGGCACCCTCCCACGTCCCGCGCAGTGCAGTGCCTCCGCAGTCCAGAGGGGAGCAGTGCGCCGGGCTCCGAGCCGGACGGGTTTCGTAATCGCGTCGCCGCCGCTTCCGCCCTCAGCCGGCCCCACCTCTGCCGGCTCGTACTCGGCTCCCCCACCTCGCCGCAGAGCTAGCCCGGGAAGCCCACACTGGCGGCCACGGAGCAGAGTCCCTCACCCCCACCAGCTGTAGCTGAACGTCTGGATGGTGGAGAAGAGCAGGTGAGGCCGTGCAGTTGGTCCCCTGGCCCGCCTGCCGCGCCGGCCGGGCCAGGCGGAGACACACCGGATGCGGGGTGTGGGGGAGGCGGGTGTCCTGGGCTGCAGAGATGCTGGGGTGGTGGGAAAGGGGTGCGCGCCCGGGGTGGCCGTAGTCATCCACGCTCCTGGGGTGCGCAGGCTGAGGCCGCTGAAGAGTAGAAGGAAAAGAAGGAACTGGAATGTTGGGGGAGGTGGGAGGGAGAGGGTCCGAAAGATTCCCAGAGAGGTCCCAGTCCGGTTAAGGGTTGAGAACAGCAGAGAACTTCTAGGTAGAGTTGTGTAGTGGGGGGAGACAGATACGGAATCTGTGTGATTGAATATATTTGGGGAGGGGAGGCTTAGGGCCTAGCCCTCTTTCCTCTTAAGCCCCCAGAAGACCTTTCCTGGGGAAGGGAAGGTTGGTGTTGGGCCTGTCACTTGGCTGAAATATGGAGTCCACACCGCTTCTCCAGAGTCCCTCAGCAGCCCTCCATGTCTCGGGGTCTCCACACAGGGACCAGCTGCTGCCCCGGGCTTCTAGCCAGAATTGCCCATGCCATTCTCTCGATTCTTTCTTTCTCTCCAGCTGCTTCATGTGAGGGCTTGTCAGGCCGCGGGTTGGAGGCCTTAGGGCCAGAGGCGGTGGGACCGGGAGAACCGGTTTGGGGCCCGAACAGGACCAGAGAACTAGCCTGTACATCCTTCCTCCCTGGCACCTCTTTCCCATCCCTTCTGCTCACCTCCCAACAGCTCTGAGACCCTCAAGTCCTAGTATGATCTTGGTGGGGGCGGGGGGTGGCTTTCCCGGTTCCATATTTCACTCTTGCCATTTGGAACTCAGAGAGGTCGAGTTCTGAGCACCACTTGGCTCTCAGGACGTGGCCTTATGAGGTCTAATCCTCATCCCTCCTGTTGTTTTCTCAGCCCCTTCCCTATTCACTGTGGGGTTGGATTCGGGTGGCTCTTCCGCCTGGGCTGACCAGCTCAGGACTTCATTTTTCCTCAACCCACTCTCTTCTGGCTGCTTTAAAGAAGAGTGGCCGCCAGTGGCTCTTACTTCCTTTTCTGGCTTTGTTCCCATCCCCCACTGCCCTGCGCTACCATCACATTCACCCTGACCTGTCTTCTTCACACTCTGACCCCACCCTCAAGTTTCAGAGACCCTAATGTCCTAGGGAATGGAATTTCCTGGTCACTTCTCGTCATCATTGGTCATTTCATGCCAAGTCCCACACACACGCTTTCCCTCCACCCAGCTCTGGTCAGGTCCCTGGAAAAGAAACAGAAATGGCCTTGTTCTCTCCACTGCCCCTTTCCCTCTCTCCTTCTCCTCCCCCTCTCTTCTCTTCCCTCCCAGCACTATCCACCTCTGTCCCTCAGCTTTGAGCAGAGTGGGGGATGTTGAGGGAGAGTCCAGTCACAGTACAGCCTGCCTGCTGGTGTTGGGGGTTTCCTCTAATTCTTCATTTTTCCCCAACCCTTACCACCTGCCACCACCACCATCAGGACAAACCCTATGACTGACTCACTGACGTCCCACTGACCACAGCTCCCCTCTCTGGACAGCGTGTTTTAGCTTCCGCTCCTTCTGGTTACTCCTCCCTTCCAGTGGTGAGAAGAGAAGAGAAAGCCCAGCCTCCTGGGTTCTCCCCTCCCCTAGAAGCTACATTTGAGTGTTTGTGTGATCTCATCTCAAGGCTGTTAAAAAAAAAAAAAACCTCTGTGTGTGTGTGTGTGTGTGTGTGTGTGTGTGTGTGTGTGTGTTTTGTATTTGAGACAGGGTCTTGTCCTGTCACCCAGGCTGGAGTGCAGGGGTGCAAACATGGCTCACTGTAGCCGCAACTCTTGGGCTCAAGTGATCCTCCTGCCTCAGCCTCCCCAGTAGCTGGGATGACAGGCACATGCTACCACACCCTGCTATCTCGTTTTTTTGTGTGTGTTTTTTTTGAGGCGGAGTTTCGCTCTTGTTGCCCAGGCTGGAGTGCAGTGGCGATCTCGGCTCACTGCAATCTCCGGTTCAAGCGATTCTCCTGCCTCAGCCTCCCAAGTAGCTGGGATTACAGGCATCCGCCACCACGCCCAGCTAATCTTTTGTATTTTTAGCAGAGATGGGGTTTCACCATGTTGGCCAGGCTGGTCTGGAACTCCTGACCTCAGGTGATCCGCCCACCTTGGCCTCCCAAAGTGCTGGGATTACAGGCGTGAGCCACCACGCCCGGCCTATCTCTTGTTTTTAAATCAGTCTAGGGTGCCAAAGCATCAGGGTTCCCGGCCTGCAAGAAAGGGAGATTCCTGTTCATGTTAAAGTGTCATATTTATGAAACTGCCCTTTTTGGAATCTTTGAGGTTGTCTGTACTATAGGACTGGGGAAATGCAAGTGAGTCTAAGAAGAAACCCAGATGTGTCCTACCCTGGCTGGCAGTAGTGAGAAGGGAGGAAGTTCTTCCTTGGACACTAGTACTATTGGAAAGTTCCTTATGTCTGGTTCACTGATGAAGCTTGAGGATAGAATTGGTGAGGAGGGAGGGGAGAACAGGTCACAGCTGGAGGGGAGCCTGGGCCCTATAGGGTGTGAGGCAGAGCAGAGTGGCAGATAGGACATGTGGACGGTGGGGAAAATATTCCTCATGGGACAGAAGATACCTGGCACATGTACCCACAACCTGTACACAGATGATCTGTACTGGACACACGTGGAGATATGGCCATGCCACGCATGTGCAAACAGAGGTGTACACACAGGAGTGCAGTGATACAGGACACAGATAAACAGAATGTACACAGCCTTCAGGAAGGATCTCAAGGTCAGGTAATAAAGGAACTGCTGCTGACTGGCTTCTGGGAGGGATTGGATTTCACTGGAGGGAAATCAGGAGGAATAGGGCAGCAAACAGAGAGGGAAGAAATTCCTTATTGTAGAAAGTCTTTCCTGAGGGCCAACCTGCCAGTTAGTCTCCTAGGACCTCAGTGGTCCAGGGCTCTCCTGTTCTTAAAGAAACTCTAGGCGTTCAGGGCAAGGTAAGAAAAAAGGCAGGGACAGGGTGGAGACCTTGTTTGTGAGAACAAAAAACCACTATTTCCTCTTCAGAGTCACTTAAATGCCCCTCCCCTTCTGCCCTAAACTCAGAGAGAAGGGAGCTGGAGCTTGTATCACCCCAAACTTTGCTAATTTCTGCCACTATCCTTTGGTCCTCGCCCATCCTCTTAACTCTAAGTGCTTCTAGCCCCCTTCCTCTCCCTTGGTACCACCAGCCACTGCTCCTTAACCCCTTGGTGTCCTTTTGGTTCTGTTCCTTTTTTTTAGAGTCAAACTGAGGTTCATAGTGTTTGGGAATGAGTGTTGGTGTACAGGTCTAGGGCCTCTCAGGGAGGACTGGGAAGATATAGGCTCATCAGGAGGTTTCTCAAGGATTGGGGGAGGGGGAGATTTCTCACTGATCTTTCTTTTTACTTTCTTCTAATCCAGGGTTCCGAGTCTGAGGAAGACATAACCTTGTGCCTGCCTGCCCACCTCTCTCTCTGGTCCTGTTCATCTCTCAGGCTCTGAGACACTGACCTTCACTGCTCAGTTAAAGGTTCCAGGGATTCCACTTTGTCTGGACCCATCCAGCTGAGTGAACCCAGGGTGGTGGTGTATCTGGGGAGAGTGAGGAGTGGGTTGTCCAAACACCAGGGAAAGAGCCCTTTGGGGCCTCAGACAGCGGAGTGAAGCTGGAACCATCAGGGAACATGAGTGAATTTTGGCACAAACTGGGCTGCTGTGTGGTAGAGAAACCCCAGCCGGTGAGTCTCCCCACCCCCCATCCTAACCCAAAGAGCAGTCAGTTACTGTGTGCTGTGAGGTAGCCACACCATCTAGGATCTGCCATCTAAAAAAGCACACTTCTTGCCTCCCTCTGTGTCAGGAGCTTCTATGGTCAGGCAGCTGTATATGTGGAACAAAGGGGACTGGGTGATGGAAGAAGTGAATAGTCCTAGCTATTACCTCCTGTTCCTGTCCATTCTGAGCTGGGTGGGGTTTGTAGGTGGAGCTGCATACCTGTCAGTTTTCCCCATTATTTCATCATCAGTCAGAGGTGACTTTGACATGTCCTTTCTTTGTCCAGTGTTCACTCTGCAGGCCACTGCCCTCACTACTCTGGTTCATGTCTTCTGTGTGCTTTTGTTGTTCCAGCTTTGCCTTTCATGCCCTAGTGATTTCCCTGTTAAAATGCCACATCCCCTCTTCCCACCAGGCCCTTAGCTTTTCAGTGGTTTTGAAGACTCTTTTCCCTTCCTCCGTGCTGACTGGAGGAGGGGCCTTAAGACATGACTCCTTATCTTCTCCAAGCAGAAGAAGAAGAGAAGACGGATTGACCGGACCATGATTGGGGAACCAATGAATTTTGTTCACCTGACTCACATTGGCTCAGGGGAGATGGGGGCCGGAGATGGACTTGCCATGGTAACAAGGAAATGGGGAGAGGTTGATACAGGGGTGAGGTCTATAACCGTTCCCTCTTTTTGAAAGTTCAAGCTAGGGACATATGAAAATACTCAATGGGGAAGTAAAAACCTGGGATTCTAGTCCTGGTCACCAGTTGTGGAAACCCGAGACCTGGCATTTTAGGTGTCTGGGCCTAGGTTCTCTCATCTTTACAACTTAGCAGATTGTTCTTCACTGGGGTAGGGGGTATATATATCTTAATAGTTGGAGGGCTTTTTCCAAAAACTTATAACTCTCCCTTCTCCTAATTAAGAACTGCTATCTCAGTGCCACAGTAAATCATATATTTAGGAGTGTTGGGACAGGAAAAAAGCTGAGTACCTTCATCCTAAATAATGTCTAAGATGCACTTCTGTTCCCAAAATAAGGGAAATGGGTCTAGAGATAGTCTTTTCTCAGATCCTGAAACTCAGATATATAGGGGAGAATCCATTGTGAGGGAATATTATTAGTAAAAGACCCATTTTACCTCATCCTCATGAAGGCCAGTGTGAAAAGAGGCATTGAGACTCCCCTAGGAGGAATGGTGGTTAGCAGATGGCTGCTATTGTCAAGGAGATGGCGTCAGCCTCTTCCCTGGAAGGCACAAAGTAGAGTTCTTACTGTAGGATATGAAGACTTACGAAGGTGTCTCGCATCTGTTTTTTTACAGACAGGTGCAGTTCAGGAGCAGATGAGATCCAAGGGAAACCGAGATAGGCCATGGAGCAATTCTAGGGGCTTATAGCTCCAATAATGGAATGGTGAGTGATTAGAGAAACCCATCTAACACCTCAGCCCCCATAACAGCACAACCTGATACCCTGACTCAGAACCCTGATCTTATGCAAGAAAGGGAGGTGTGGCCGGGCATGGTGGCTTATGCCTGTAATCCCAGCACTTTAGGAGGCCGAGATGGGTGGATCACTTGAGGCCAGGAGTTCAAGACCAGCCTGGCCAACGAGGCAAAACCCTGTCTCTACCAAAAAATACAAAAATTAGCCGGGCACAGTGGCGTGCTCCTGTAGTCCCATCTACCTGGGAGGCTGAGGCATGAGAATCACTTGAACCTGGGAGGCGGAGGTTACAGTGAGCTGAGATCGCGCCACTGCACTCCAGCCTGTGTGATAGAGCAAGACTCTATCTCAAAATATAAAAAAAGAATGGGAGATAGGGAGGAATTAGAAGGGAAGATTCAAGAATGTAGGATCTAGGCCGGGCATGGTGGCTAACGCCTATAATCCCAGCACTTTGGGAGGCCGAGGTCAGCAGATGACTTGAGGTCAGGAGTTTGAGACCAGCCTGGCCAACATGGTGAACCCCTGTCTCTACTAAAAGTACAAAAATTAGCCAGGCATGATGGCACACGCCTGTAATCCCAGTTACTCAGGCGGCTGAGGCCGAAGAATCACTTGAACTCGGGAGGTGGAGGTTGCAGTGAGTCTAGATTGCGCCACTGCACTCCAGCCTGGGCAACAGAGTGAGATTCCATCTCAAAAAAAAAAAGAATGTAGGATATAGAAAGACTGAGAGGGTGTTGTGCAGACAGAAGTAAAGAACACACTGTGGAAATAGCTTAAAGTCTGCACTAGGTAGTGCCTTCTTCCTAAAGCCTTGGTTTTCTTTGAGGCTAATCTTCTTTAAGAAAAACTTTTTTTTTATTTCAGGTTCTGCCATCTTGAAACCCCCATTCTGTTTCCAGCCCAGAAGAAATGCTGCCCCTACCAGATCCCTCCTTGAACCAGTGATCTAAGGACCCCTCTTTTCCCTATCTGCCTAACAGTGCCTCACAAGGCTTGGGGGCTGGACTCCCTCTACTCCCTCTGGCCATAGCCCCTCCTGGAGATGGGGTCAAGGCAGCAGGACTGATCAAGTGACTACTGGTTAGCCAGAGGAGCTCAGCTGAAGCCCTGGAAACCCTCAGGTCTGAGATAGGAGTTCTCTAGGAACCTGGAATGAGTTCCTGTCTCCTGAATGATGGTCTGGGTGCCACCTGTTTTTAAACTCTTAAACCTGGAACTCCTTAAATGGGGTAGGTGGGTGAGATTATCAAAGCTGAAGCTGGCTTTGCTGAGAAGCTCCCTACCTCCCTGCCCTTCTCCTCCTTCCTGCTGGAATGAACTAAAGCAGATGTCAAGCAGGGGCTGGTGGGGGTGCCTACTCCCTTTTCCACTCTATCTTTAGATTTCAAACCTTAGGCTTACAGCCCCTCAATATCTCTCTGCTAACACCAGTGTCTCTTTCTAGTTAGGCCTCTAATCTTCTGTTTCTGTTTACCAGCTTCCCAGCAACTTTCCTTTTTTAAAATATTAAAAATTTAATTCAGGTTCTCTTAATTATCCTCATCCTGCTGTTGCCTCCGCCCTTAACTCTATCCCTATTAGGAACCTTGTTTCCCACCGAATAAGAGTTAAGGTAAGAGGTAGCTCTTCACCTGATGACATTCCATTTAAGTTTTGGGGCATCTTTCCTGCCCTCTGCCAACCTCCCTGCTGGCCCAGGTGAGAGGAGGAAGAGGGGTCTGGAAAGAAACCCAGAATGCGGCAGAACTAGGAGTAAGTCCATCTCAAGGTGGACTTCTGATCATTGAGGATGGTGAGATAAATAGGTTGAAAACAATCATCTGTGAGTTTAGGAGTCTTAAGATCCTCACAGCACGGGAGCAGGGAGAGGCTCTAGAACAAGGTTTCACAACCGAGATGCCTTTGACATTTTGGGCTGAAGTGTTCTTTGTAAGGAAAACCTGTTTCCTATTTTGTGCATTACAGGATATTTAGCAGCAACCCTGGCCCACTCTAGTTATGACAACCAAAAATGTCTCTATACATTGCCAGATTTCTCCTAGGGGGCAAAATCGCCTCCATTTGAGAACCACAACTCTAAAGTCAAGATATTTTTCTCTGAAGTGATTTCTGCTTGGCACGCTACCCTCATCATCTTACTCATCTTAAGCCCGAGCCATGGATCAACTAGGAGCCCATATAAATGAGGCTCAGTAGGGCTGCACATAATCTCCAAACAATTCTTTATTCAGTGTTTTGCTTGTGTTTGCATGTTGCTATGATGGACAGGTCCCCCTCCTCCATTCTTGCCCTCTGGAGAAGTGGTTCCTGCAGTGTAGAGATATGAACAGGGTATGGTAGGATTGGGGAAAGGGGAGAGAGAAGCAGTAGATACACTCCTTATCCTCCCCAAATTTTAAGCTCTATTTCTGTGCCCTAGTCCTAGACACACATTAGACTCAGGGAGTTTTGTCTGAAGACCAGGTCCCACTGCCCCCTGGCTGAAGAGTCTGCTTTAAATGGGAAAACAACGTAGGAGCAGGGGTTTTTAGGCACTTTCAGTATTCTCAGGTGTTCTTCGTTCTGGCCCTTCCAGGGTAATTAGGAAGGCAGAACAAGACAGATGAGCTCCTGCCTGCTCTGAGACAAGAAGGGTGGGGTCTCATTAGCTTTGCAACAGGAAACATCCTGTTTTATGGTAGTGGGGTCAGGAATGTAGGAACTGGTATCCATTCTGCCAATTCCACCACCCATTCAGTTTGCTTATCCCTACAGAACAGTGACTGAGGTTCTTTTTTTTTTTTTTTTTTTTTTTTTTTCAAATTTCCATGTATTTTCTGCCATTTTTCAGGGTCTAAGATTGGTCATACATTCCCAATTTACTCTCAGTTCCAGTCAAGCTGGTTGCTCTGAAAGTAACCCAGCTTGTTGCTCTAAAATACCTCAGTAGCCTGAGTGTTATACTAGAGATCTAAAGGGTTAACAGGATAGGGTGGAAAGGTTAGAGACTCCTAGAAATCTCTGGTCACCGTGATCTTCGGCCTCATTCTAATACCTGTTCTTTGGACAGTCTTTTTCCTTTGGTGCTCTCTTGCCTTTAGCTACCTTCTCTAATATGTATGCTACCATCACTAATAAAGTGATGGGAATGGGTTTGAGAGTCGTAATTTATATTAAAAAGTTGTTGGACTTTTAAATACATTTTTTCAAATAAAAAATTAAGCAAAATAGTTGCACAGTAATCATTGCAGGTGTGTGTTGGATTAAAGGATGGATATAGCTAATGAAGATAACTCCTCGAAAGTGGCTGAGATGGAATTTTGTACCAACATTGCCCTTTTGAGGAGAGAGGGCCAAGCATGAAGGCAAGAAGACCACTGTCATCTTTCAAGGGCTCAACTCCTTGTTCTTCCTACTCCCTTTTCTTAGCGTTTATTTGAGATTTTTCAAGCCTGTAAAAGAAGTACTTGTTTTAAAACAATGTTGGAAATGAGGAAAATGAGCAATATCAACATTTTATCCTGAGGGACAGGGAGTAGAAAACAAGCCAGAGGCTGCTAGTTACATAGTTCAGTCTTAGGGATGAAGGGATTTATGTCTCTCCTCCCTCAGGTACCTCTGTAAAGAAACACAAGACCAAACAATGTGTTTTCCAGTTTTGTTTTTCTGTACTAAAAATATCTAGTGGGTGCTAGGATTGAAAGGGCAAGAGAGGTTGAGATACTGACATCTCCTCATGTGGATGAAGTGGCCATTACCTCTGGTTTCTGTCTATCTGCGTAAGAAAAAAAAATAGAGAAAAAGGGAAATTACAACCACATCTATATTCTTTTCCCTTCCTTGCTTCATCTCCCCCTCCCACAAACCCATATTCCCTCAACCCTACTGCCCACCCCTTACTTATTTTTGTATGCAATAATGGTATTGGACACACAAGGAGAAAAACAGAAACAAGCAAAATGACCAAGTGTAAGCTTTATTACCTTTCCCTCCTCAAAGTCCTATCATCCGTATCAATTGAGACTACCTTATCAAGTCAATCAGAACCTTTGCTAATTCTGGGAAAAGCAGAGGACTATCCTTCCTTGTCCTGGAAGGACAGTACTCCCAAATGGTAGTGGTGAAGAGAGTGGGCACTGGTGTCAAACCTGGTTTAAATCTCGTGGCTCTGCCACTTACTAGCTTTGTAAACCTCAGTTTCTTCATCTGAAAAGCAGGGATAATAATACCTCATAGGATGTGAGGATCGATTCAGGTAAAGTGCACATAGTAAGACCTCAAATTTTGGCACTTGTTGCTGTTAAGCTGTATTAGGTCAAAACTATTAATTGATTAAGATCCTTCATATCTGTTAATTATCTGTGCATCAAAAAGACTTTATGGGCCGGGCACAGTGGCTCATGTCTGTAATCCCAGAATTCTGGAAGGCCAAGGTGGGCAGATCCTTGAGCTCAGGAGTTGGAGACCAGCCTGGGCAACATAGCGAGATCTTGTTAGCCAGGCATGGTGGTGCACGTCTGTAGTCCCAGCTATTCAGCAGGCTAAGGTGGGAGGATTGCTTGAGCCCAGAAGATGGAGGGTGCAGTGAGTTGTGACTGCGCCACCACACTCCAGCCTGAGTGATGAGAGACCCTGTCTCGAAAAAAAAGTCTTATGGTCAGGGGCACAGTAGCTCATGCCTGTAATCCCAGCACTTTGGAAGGCTGAGGCAGGAGAATTGCTTGAGCCCAGGAGTTTAAGACCAGCCTGGGCAACATAGCGAGATCTTGTCTGTGAAAAAAACAGAGAATTTCCAAGACCAGGCATGGTGGCTCATGCCTATAATCCCAGCACTTTGGGAGGCCGAGGCGGGTGGATCACTTGAGGTCAGGAGTTCTAGACCAGCCTGGCCAACATGGTAAAATGCTGTCTCTTCTAAAAAAAAAAAAAAAATTAGCCGGGCATGGTGGTGGGTGCCTGTAATCCCAGCTACTCAAGAGGCTGAGGCAGGAGAATTGTTTGAACCTGGGAGGCAGAGGTTGCAGTGAGCCAGGATCACGCCATTGCACTCCAGCCTCGGCAATAAGAGTGAAACTCTTGTCTTGAAAAAAAAAAATATTTCCAATCTTAACTATTTGGTCAATAATCACCTAATGAGCAGTAAGACATTTTACCTAATGACCAACCAGTAGTTGCTCAATAAATAATAGGTGGAATCAATGGCTAACAATGTGAATAACCAATGCATGTTATGAATCAATAACCAGGTAAGTCAGTAACAGTTCATGTAAGCAACACTGGCTGGCTTAGCAACTGGGTTTTAGATACCAGGACTTTTCAGATCCGTCAACAAAGACCCTGGCTCATCACCAAACACTTACTGGTTGCATCTCTGTGAACACTGAAGAGAGGCTATTCCAAATATCCTCCAGGCCAATCCTGACCCGTTTCCAAAAAGCCAGGGCTGGGCAGGGGCTGGCGGGTGGCAGGCTGGGACTGCTTCTGAGGTGGATGGTGGGGAAGGGGGTAGTGGTGGTCCTGGTACTGGTGGTGCTCTGAGAGGCACAGTTGGTGTCAGTACAGAGACTTGTGTCCAGGGGGCACTCTTCCCGAAGTCGGTTGCAGGGACATTGTTGATAGGTGCAAGGCTTGTGCTCCGTGCGGAGCTGGCTCAGCGCCCCAACTCGAAGGCGCCCGGAAAGGCCGTGCAGCTTCCCAGACCGGCTCCGGCTCATGGTGCCCGACTTGCAGTGGCAGTGCCACGGGCCCCAGGGCATCAGCACCAGCCGCAGATCCTCAGGAGATGGCATGGCTGTGGGTGAGGGTGACGGCCACCGGCTCGGGGTAGACCCAGGTGTGGACCACTGGCTCAGGGTGGCCTGCGAGCCTGGCAGGTCCTCAGTAGACCTCCCGGGGGAGCGCGGCAGGCTTGAAGTCAGCCTGATTTCAGGCTCCTGACTATTGGCTATAAACCTCGTGCTGGAACTCCCCGCTGTATTGGGAGTCGCACTGGGAAGCTCTCTGCTGGTGCTATCCTTTCCGGCATTAATCACAACCCCCTCTTCTGAAGACCCATCCTCCTCGTTAATGGCGGACGACCGGCTAAAGCCGGTGGACACCGTGGCGGCCAAGAGCTCGGCAGCCGCTGGTCCAGCCAGGCGGTCGGCGTCGGCCATGGCATCATTCTCGTCCTCTAGGATTATCCTTGTCTTCCGGGGAAGACCAGTCCGGGCGGTGCTCCGGTAGCTGCGGGTCATGGGGCCCCCAAAGCGTAAACTGACCCGCTGCATTTCGGTCGGAGTCTGGGTCAGGCCTTGGGCCCCCGCCGCCCGGGGACCCAGATTCAGCAGCAGGACCCACAGCAGCGCGCCGGCGGCGGGGACCATGGGGCTGGGCTCTTGGGGTTGGGAGGGTGGCCAGTGAGGCAAGCCCTGCCTCCTACCTTCGCTCCCTCCCTTCCGCTGTAGACCCACCGGGTCGTTTGAACCGAGGCCCGCGGGGAAGGGGGTGGGGTTCGACGCGCAGGCGCGCTCGCGCGGGCCGCGCGGGGTGCTCCTAAGGAACCTCTGCGGCAAGAACTCTGCCAGAACCGAAGGTTTGGGATGCAAGGGGTGGTGAAAGAGTCGTTCACTTCTTTGGAGCAGAGCTTAAATGTCTCATCGCAGTTTATTAGCCTCTACAGTTCTAAATTTACTAAAGAGGGCAAAAATACAGGTTTTGAAAGCACTCCTTCCCAGGCTCACAGGCAGCAGACATGACTTAGAAGGAAAAAGGGCATACAGCGGTTCTTCAAGATTTAATGAGCTGACTCTCCTGGCTCCCAGCAGGCAGGCTGGCTGTCAGGTAAGCCTCTTCCATCCAAGGTGGAAGGATCACAGTCCCTCCAGTTAGACAGGAGGAAAATTAGGACCCAAAAAGATGAAGTTATTTGCCCAAGGTTCTACAGCTAAAGTAGGATTAAAACCCAGAGCTCTGGCCGAGCGCGGTGGCTCACACCTGTAATCTCGGCACTTTGGGAGGCCGAGGCGGGCAGATCACGAGGTCAAGAGATCGAGACCATCCTGGCCAACATGGTGAAACCCCGTCTCTACTAAAAATACAAAACAATTAGCTGGGCGTGGTGGCGTGCGCCGGTAGTCTCAGCTACTCGCTGAGGCTGAGGCAGAAGAATGGCTTGAACCGGGAGGCGGAGGTTGCAGTGAGCCGAGATCGCACCACTGCACTCCAGCCTGGCGACAGAGCGAGACTCCGTCTCAAAAAACAAAAAACAAAAAAACCCAGAGCTCTGCATATCCCATACAAAATGACCCTACATTCAGCCTTCCGTCCCAGCAACTGGAATGAAAGTCACCCAGCAGATCAGTTTCCCAGCCTCAAAGCCCTGCTGAAAGTAGGGTCATGCAAAGGACAAAATCCCACTGAGAAGTGAAGATCCGGTGGTACTGAGGTTGGGGATAAGATGATTTACAAAACAGTTCAGATGTTTCAGGGATTCAGGTGTAGGCAGATCACTAACTGGTTCTAAGGCCTTTTATCCAGTCCTGTGCTATGTCCCTCCTGAGCCATGGAGATCCCGGTCCAGCCTAGGAGAGGGAGAGGGGGAGGAGAGAAGTGGTTCAGGGGGTAGGACTTGGGTTTTATTTTCTGGTTTGGGGAGAGAAGCCAGGTGAATTGGAAGAGCTAGATGATTGGGTTGAGTCATCATTTAGCACTTTTGCTCCCTAACACCCTCTCCCCCACTGGATATCATCTGTTCACTGCCAACACATCTCTTCCTAATTTCTAGGGCCAGTCTGAATCTCCTCTGCACTGTGATTATTCCTTTATTCCTTATTGCCTCTGCACTTATATGTATAGGTTTTTTTTTTTTTTCATTTATTCTTGTTGGATGCAGTAGTGTCCTTCATTTCTTCTCTGGGTGTGTGCAGTTTCCCCATATACATTAAAGCACCCGAAAACAGGGCCCTCTAGCTTTTCGTTCTTTTGTATGTCCCCCAAGGCATTAAAAAAGTAGAGATTGGCTTTACACATCCCACCCCAAGGCTTTATTCTTAAGTGTGAAACTCACTGTCTGACAGCTTCAGGGATGTGGACTTGATCCAGGGATATGAGTTGGGCCAGCTCCCCCAGGCTGTCCAGAAAACGGATTTTTCGTGTGAATTTGGAACTGAAAAGAGAGAATAAATCAACTGTGTTTTGTATTGGGAGAAGGGTTCCCAAAAATCCTTGCAAAGAAAAATGTAGAAGTAGAGTGGTTAAGGCTAGAAAGAATCAAGGTGGAGAAAGATCTTAATCTTGATTTTGAAAATGGGGGGAAGGAGAAAGGAGTCCTTGTTCCTAGAACTAGTACCTGATGAAGGGCCGAAGCAGTGCCAGAAATGCTTTCACATACCATGTAGCATGGACAACCACCAGGGCTCGCAGGTTTTTCCGTAGCCTGAAAAACAACATGAGATCATCCTATTTCTTCTTCCACCTTTATGTGTGAAGATCACGTGGAACTGTTTTCTGTACTGTAACTTCCTTCATTCACTTCTCTAGTTTCTAGATTTATCTGGTACTTGGGTCTAATCCCCATTCCGTCAGCTGTAATCTCAGCTCCACCCATCTTATTTAGCCCTCCATGATCCTCATTTTTAAAAAAACTCTCAAGATTTTTTTTTTTTTTTTTTTTTGAGACGGAGTCTCACTCTGTCGCCTGGGCTGGAGTGTAGTGGCACTATCTCAGCTCCCTGTAAGCTCTGCTTCCCGGGTTCATGCCATTCTCCTGCCTCAGCCTCCTGAGTAGCTGGGACTACAGGCGCCCGCCACCGTGCCCGGCTAATTTTTTGTATTTTTAGTAGAGACGGGGTTTCACCATGGTCTCGATCTCCTGACCTCGTGATCTGCCCGCCTCGGCCTCCCAAAGTGCTGGGATTACAGGTGTGAGCCATCGCGCCCGGATTTTTTTTTTTTTTTTTTTTTTTTGAGATGGAATCTCACTCTGTCGCCAGGCTGGAGTCAGTGGCTCGATCTCGGCTCACTGCAACCCTCCACCTCCCGGGTTCAAGTGATTCTCCTGCCTCAGCCTCCCGAGTAGCTGGGATTATAGGCACATGCCACCATGCCCAGCTAATTTTTGTATTTTTTTAGTAGAGATAATGACTTGTCACCATGTTGGCCAGGCTGGTCTTGAACTCCTGACCTTGTGATCCGCCCACCTCGGCCTTCCAAAGTGCTGGGATTACAGACGTGAGCCACCGCGCCCGACCACCTGGTCTTTTTCTGCTCCATTTCCATCTTGTGCTCTACCCTCGCGTAAGTTCCTTTTGCATGCTTCTACATCGCTCCATGACCAAGATTACTTATAAAACTCTAGGTGGAAGAAGACCAGCAAGGACGAAAAAAGGAAAGGGGGCAAGAAGAGAAATGTGAGCAAATGGAGATGGGGGAACCAAAAGGGGAAAAAAAAAAAACCTGAGAAGGAAAAGAAGACACAGGGCCAGGCACAGTGGCTCACACCTGTAATCCCAGCACTTTGGGAGGCCAAAGCAGGCAGATCACCTGAGCTCAGGAGTTCAAGACTGGCCTGAGAAACATGGCAAAACCCTGTCTCTAACAACAACAACAAAAATACAAAAATTAGCTAGGCATGGTGGTGGCGCATGCCTGTACTCCCAGCTACTTGGAAGGCTGAGGTGGGAGGATGGCTTGAGCCAGGGAGGGAGAGGCTGCAGCGAGCCAAGATCTTACCACTGCACTGCAGCCTGGTGACAGAGAAGACACATAGGTCAGTGATGAAGGCAGAGAAGAAGATAATGGAGGTGTGGAAAGGGAAATAAATGGCAAGACTGAGAGAAGAGTGCTTTCTGTGTGCCAGGCAATATGCCACACTAATTTACTCGATTTTCACAAATACCCAGTGGCAAAAGTATAACTATTGCCATTTTACAGATAAAGAAGCTGAAGTGGCCGGGTGCAGTGGCTCATGCCTATAATCTCAGCATTTTGGGAGGTGGAGGCAGGCAGATCACTTGAGCTCAGGAGTTTGAGACCAGCCTGGGCAAAATGGTGAAACTCCATCTCTACAAAAAATACAAAAGTTAGCTGGGCATGGTGGCCCATGCCTGTAGTCCCAGCTACTTGGGAGGCTGAGGTGGGAGGATCGCTTGAGCCTGGCAGGCAGAGGTGGCAGTGAGCCGAGATCGTGCCACTGCACTCCAGTCTGGATGACACAGCCAGATCCTGTCTCAAAAAAAACAAAAAAACAAAAAAACTGAAGCTGAAGCCCAGAGAGGTTAAGTGACTTGTCCAAAGCCATACAGCTAGTAAACAGTAATGTGGTAACAGCAGGATTTGAAGCTAGATTTCCTTGACTCCAAGAGAAGACAGAAGACAAAAGAGCTGGGAAAGGAACGTAAAAGGACAAAGAAAATAGGAAAAGGACTAAATGGAAGAAGAAATAATAGAAAGATGGGGAAAAAAAGATGAGATAGAGAGTTGTAGCCCTCTCATCCCAGGTCTCACCGCCGATCCAGGGTACGGTAACACTGACGTATCCAGCTTAGAGGTGGAACTTGGGCCCTGCTTGTGCCTCCACTCAAATGAACAAGCAGGTAATTTTCAGCTACTAGCAGCTCCAGAGTTCCCACCATATACCTGGGGGGATGAAATTGCAGGGAAGGTATGTGTTAGGGGCTTCAGAGAGTGAGAGGAACATTACTGTAGACTCTCCCATCAGCTACTGATCTTTGAAGGAGTTCTTTTTTACTTTTCCCTCCCTAACACTGCCCTGTAGCCCTTCAGGCCTTCCACCTCACCTAAACAAGTGTTCCATGACATAGGTGTAGTTGGGGATGCTGCTTCTGGGTAGATAACAGGAAGCAAAAAGGATGACAGCATTGAGGCCATCACCGTGGTAACCTGGAGAGTGTAAGGGGAAAATTCATTTGGTCAACAAATATGTATTGACAGATAGTATATCTGTTTAAGTTGAGGGACTCTGAGGGTCTCTGGAAGTTCCAGGATAGATTTTGGATCCAATGACTGAGTCTCCAGCTTAGGCATTTTATTAAGAAGCCATAGCTCTTAACACCTGCATTATGCTAGCCATTACCTCCATGAGACAGGACTTTCTTATAGGGCTCAATGACAGTCATGTCTACGCGCTGCTCCCGTGGTCCCATTCGGAACACCCTCCAGTGATGTCCATCTTCTCCAGTCACATCCCACATACAACCTCGGCCCAGCCTTTCAGCTGTCTCACTGGTGCCCAGACCCTCTGCCCGGGGTAGTTCATCTAAAAGAGAGGGATGGGGAAGGATCAACAAGGCAGATTTCCTACCTTCAGTTTTTTGTAACTTCCTCAGATTCCTAGTTTGTTACTCTAATCTGTCATTACTCAATTTTTTCCTTGATTCTTTTTTTTTTTCCTTTTTTTTGAGACAGAGTCTCACTCTGTCACCCAGGCTGGAGTGCAGTGGTGGGATCTCAGCTCACTGCAACCTCCACTTCCTGGGCTCAAGCGATTCTCTAGCTTCAGGCTCCCATGTAGCTGGAACTACAGGCATGCACCACCATGCCCAGCTAATTTTTGTATTTTTTGTAGAAACAGGGTTTTGCCGTGTTGCCTAGGCTGGTCTTGAACTCCTGAGTTCAAAGCAATCAGTCCACCTTGGCCTCCCAAAATGCTGGGATTAGAGGCATGAGCTACCACACCTAGCCTCTAACCCAGGCTTCTGTTTTGACTCTAGCCGTATCCCTAAATGCCTAGAGTGTACATCTTCACTTCGTGTCTGCTTGTCATCAACAAATCACCAGATTCAAAAGGGAACTCAAGGTTGTGCTCAATGGCTCGTGCCTGTAATCCCAGCACTTTGGGAGGCCAAGGCAGGAAGATTGCTTGAAGCCAGGAGTTTGAGACCAGCCTGGGCAACAAAGTGAGACCTCATCTTTACAAAAAATTTAAAAAATAATAAAATTACAAATTACAAAACAATAACAACAACAACAAAAAAATGGAACTCAAAATCATTCTTTTCTGCTTTGGGAGGCCAAGGTGGGAAGATCACTCATGCCCAGGAGTTCAAGGCTGCAGTGAACTATGATCATACCACTGCACTCTAGCCTGGGTGACAGAGTGAGACTTTGTCTCTAAAAAAATAATAATAATACAGCCTGGGCAACAAGAGTGAGACTCTGTCTCAAAAATAATAATAATAATAATAAATAAATTATTCTTCTTATTCTCCCTCATATTTCCTATTTCCTTTTTTTTTCTGAGATGGAGTCTTGCTCTGTTGCCCAGGCTGGAGTGCAGTGGTGCGATCTTGGCTCACTGCAACCTCCGCCTCCCAGGTTCAAGTGATTCTCCTGCCTCAGCCTCCCGAGTAGCTGGTACTACAGGTGCACGCCCCCATGTGTGGCGAATTTTTTGTATTTTTAGTAGAGACGAGGTTTTGCCATGTTGGCCAGGCTTGTCTCAAACTCCTGACCTCAGGTGATCTACCTGCCTTGGCATCCCAAAGTGCTAGGATTACAGGCATGAGCCACCGTGCCCAGCCATATTTCCTGTATTGATGAATGACTGAATCCATGTAGCTGCCTGAATGAGAAAATTATATTATTATTATTGTTGTTGTTGTTGTTTTCTTTTAGAGACAGGGACTCACTCTGCTATCCAAGCTGGAGTACAGTGGCTCGACCTTTGCTCACTGCAGCTTTGACCTCCTGGGCTCAAGTGATACTCCCACCCCAGCTTCCCAAGTAGCTAGGGCTATGGGTACACATCAGCATGCCTGGCTAGTGAGAAAACTGCATGTCATGTGAAACTCTTTCTTCTCTATCAGCCCTGAAATGAACTGGACTCCAGATTGTGATCCATCTATCTCTATGATATTCTTTCATCATCCTTTCCACTACTGCTATCCTGGTTTGGGTTCTTAGTATTTCTCACCTGGCCTTGGTACTAGCCTCCTTACTGCTTTCCCTGCCTCTAGTCTGTTTTTTTCCAATAGACCCTCTATACCACTGCTAGAGCAAGCTTTCCTTTCTTCTCTACCTTTTTTTTTGAGACAGGGTCTCACTCTGTCTTCCAGGCTGGAGTGGAGTGGCATGATCTTGGCTCACTACAACCTCTACTTCCCAGGCTCAGGTGATCCTCCCACCTCAGCCTCCCAAGTAGCTGGGACTACAGGTCTGTGCCACAAAGCCCAGCCAATTTAAAAAAAATTTTTTTTGTAGAAATAGGGTTTCACTTTGTTGCCCAGGCTGGTCCCAACTCCTGGGCTCAGATGATCTGCCCTCCTCAGCCTCCCAAAGTGTTGGGATTACAGGAATGAGCCACTGCACCCAGCCTCTTTAGCTTTTTATTCAAATGATAATATATTATACCCACCATTCTGCATGATCTTTCCATAGCAATAGAAAGAGCTGCTTCTTCTTTTTTTTTTTTTTTTTTGAGATGGAGTTTTGCTCTTGTCGCCCAGGCTGGAGTGCAGTGACGCAATCTCGGCTCACCGCAACCTCCACCTCACCGGTTCAAGCGATTCTCCTGCCTCAGCCTCCCAAGTAGCTGGGATTACAGGTGTGTGCCACCATACCCAGCTAATTTTGTATTTTTAGTAGAGATGGGCTTTCTCCATGTTGCTCAGGCTGGTCTTGAACTCCTGACCTCAGGTGATCCACCTGCCTCAGCCTCCCAAAGTGCTGGGATTACAGGCGTGAGCCACCGCTCCCAGCCTAAGAACTGCTTCATTTTAAAAAATAGTTGCATAGCCGAGTACAGTGGCTCATGCCTGTAATCCCAACACTTTGGGAGACTGAGGCAGGAGGATTGCTTGAGGCCAGGAGTTCAAGACCAGCCTGGGCAACATAGCAAGACCCTGTCTCTACAAAAATATATAAAAATTAGCCAGGTTTGGTGGCGTGGGCCTATAGTCCCAGATACTTGGGAGGCTGAGGCAGGAGGATTGCTTGAGCCTAGGAGGTTGAGGCTGCAGTGAGCAAGATTGTGCCATTGCACTCCAGACTGGGCAACAGAGCAAGACTGTCTCAAAAACAAAATGTTGCCTAGTATTTAGTATTCCACTGGATGGATGCACCATAACAAACGTAATACCTTACTGCTGGATCTTTAGGTTGTTTCCAATCTTTTCAGAGTCATTAAATTTGATCATGTTACTCCTTTGATTAAAACCTTACTGGGCCAGGCATGGTGGCTCACACCTGTAATCCCAGCACACTGGGAGGCCAAGGCAGGTGGATCACTTGAGGCCAGGAGCTCAAGATCAGCCTGGCCAACATGGCGAAACCCCATCTCTACTAAAAATATAAAAATTAGCCACACGTGATAGCACACATCTGTAATCTCAGCTACTCAGGAGGCTGAGGAACAAGAATCACTTGAACCCAGGAAGCAGACGTTGCAGTAAGCCTATATCACACCACTCTACTCTAGCCTGGGCAACAGGGCAAGACTCTGTATCAAAAACAAAAAACAAAAAAACTTATCATGACTCCCTATTGTCTATAAGATAAAACCTAAACTCCTTATCATGGCAGCAAGGGCCTCCATGATGTGACCTTTTTCTACTTAACCCAGCAGCACTATCTTTTGTCATTCTCTCTTCACCTCCCGGCCCTTCATATTAAAATAGTCATGCTCATACTTTGAATTCCCCAACATGCCATGCTATTGCTTGAGTTGCTTCTGCTTCTTCTCCTTAGAATGCCCTCTCTCCAACTACCTGATAAATGTCAGCTTCAGTTTTCAACACTTAGCTCAGAATCATCTCCTTCATGAAGCCTTTCCTAACATCTCTCAGGCAGAACTGACCTTTTCCTTCTCCCTGTCTACACTGTACCCTACACATATATAGATCATAACCTTTAACTGCAATTATTTTTATATATGTTTATTTCCTACTAAGCAGAGAATTCCCTGTAGGCCCTCTCTTATTCATCTTTATAACCCCAGTCCTATACATGATAGTATGTAACAGGCATTCAATTAAATTTTCCTTAATAAACAATGGGCTCCCCTCCCCCTCTACTGACTACTCTCACATTGGACCTATAAGCCCAAGTTCCATTTGAGGAAACTAATTTTGCTGGCCGTAGCCCTTGGTCCCACCTTATTAGTTCTAACTGCAGTCCCATTAAGTCCATCCTGATCCTTTAGCTCTAGCCTCTACTTCTACCAGCTGAGTCCTCTGGTTTGTTTCCCACCTTCCCATTCAAATTCATGTCCACTGTCCAGCTGCTCCGAGTCTGAAGGTGTCTCCAATTCGTCTATCTCCAGGTCAGAACTGCCATCAGGAGAGGAAGGTGCAGACTGGGTGGGTGAAGCTCCATCATTTCCAGGCCCCTTAGTCAGACTCAGCCGCAACTCTGGGGCAGAAAGACGCTTGCGCATGGGGCGCTGGCCACACAGGGCTAAAGTGCTGGGGGTACCTGCAGCTGGAGAAAGGGGGAAAAAGAGAACCAAGATGGGTGTGTGTGTTGGAGAGCCGAGAGGGCTAGAATTCCTGTATGTGAAAGTGATAATATGGGGTGAATGCTGAAGAAGGACTCACGCAGGGGAGATTTGGGAAAAGGGGGAAATGGAACTGTAAAAGGATAGAGGTGGCATAGCCCTTTACTGGACTAGAATCAAGAACTTGAGGCCTGGTTTCTACTTGACCTACCTGCCTGTGAATCTCCTTTAGGGTCTTCAGGATCTTCAGAAGTGCCAGCCTCCTCAGGAAGCAATCTAGAGGGGAAGAGATTAAAAGGCGGCAGACATATACACCAAAGGCATCAAGCCAGGACTCAATATATAGGTTCTCTCTCCCCACCATGATTTTATCACCTATGCTGCTTTTTTTTTTAATTGTTTTTTTGAGACAGGGTCTCACTCTGTTGCCCAGGCTGGAATGCAGTGGCACAATCACAGCTCACTGCAGCCTCTACCTCCAGGGTTCAAGCGGTCCTCCCACCTCAGCCTCCCGAGTAGCTGGGCCTACAGGTGTGCACCACCACACTTGGCTAAATTTTGTATTTTTGTAGAGATGGGGTTATGCCATGTTGCCCAGAGTAGTCTTGAACTTCTGAGCTCAAGTGATCCACCTGCCTCGGCCTCCCAAAGTGCTGGGATTACAGGCATCAGCCACCACGCCCGGCCTCTGTTTTCTTTTTCCCATTTTTTTCCTTCAAGTCCTAATTCACCATCCCTGTGTCCATTTGCTTTTTTTTTTTTTTTTTTTTTTTTTTTTTGAGACAGAGTTTCACTCTTGTTGCCCAAGCTCGGGTGTAATGGCACAATCTCAGCTCACTACAACCTCTGCCTCCCAGGTTCAAGTGATTCTCCTGCCTCAGCCTCCCGAGTAGCTGGGATTACAGGCATGTGCCACCACACCTGGCTAATTTTGTATTTTTAGTAGAGACGGGATTTCACCGTGTTGGTCAGGCTGGTCTCAAACTCCTGACCTCAGGTGATCCACCCGCCTCGGCCACCCAAAGTGCTGGGATTACAGCCATGAGCCGCCGCGCCATCCCCTCCGTCCATTCGTGACCACCCCTCCCTTCTCCCAGCCACCCTCACACGTCCTCACCTAGGGAATTCTTCATCCTGCCATTCCTCCTTCAGCTCCAACTCCCCATGTCTCAGGGCTGCTCCTAGTTCTGGTGCTTCTGCAATCTCCCTGACCCTAAGACAGCCCCCAAGAAGAAAAGATCAAGGGAACTGAATAGTAGGTAAGAATAATTGAAATGAAGAACAGTAATTGAGATACAGAGCAGAGGATAGGCCTTCAAAAGGACTCAGATCTCTTGCCTCCTATACAGATGCTTCTCTTACCTTCACCACTTGCTAGAAGCAGATTACCTGCTGTTAAGTTTGGGAGCAGACGAAAGATGGAATGTAAAGTTAATCATATTTACCTCTGTAGCAGTTGCTCCACCTACAAAGTTGGGGTGAGAGATGTCCCACATTACAAGTGGCTGGAACCCAGCTAGACCCACCCAGCTATCATTGAGCAAAGTCGGGAAGACGGTACCTAGTTAGGCCTGCCTTTCCTCCACCGAGCTGGGGAGTGGCTAAGGGAAAACATGGCATAAGTGGAGGGGTGGAGGAAGAAGGTAAGGAGAAAGATTTGCCAGAACGAGAACCTGGACCTAAACTCGGTTCTGGTTCAGCTTTCCTGATGGCCATTCTGGAGGGTGAGGGTTAGAAAATAAAAGAACACAGGCAGATTTATCAGGTACAACATATTACAGAAACTTCCTTTATTTTTAAACCAGGGAATTATCCTGGAATCCTGTTCCCCAGTTCCATACCATACTGACATTTCCTACCTAAAACCACCCTCATCTCTTCTCTGCAAACTCTCTTACAGTCTTGTCTCCTTGAGGAACCCGAGATTTGACCCAGTAAGAGCTGGGTGGTGGGGAAGTCTCTCCGGACTGTTTATTCACTGTTACCAATCAAGTGAGCCAAGATCTTACTTACCCAACATCTGTCTTTTTTCCTGCCTCTTGTATAGTTCCCATCTTCACAAGTCTTCCTGCCTCCTTCTTTAAACACCTAGGAGTTGTTGGGGAGCTGGTTGTCCCAGCCCCCAACACTTCCTTACCTCTTTTCTGTCTCAGCTGTTGTAGCTCTTGCCTCCAAGGAGGGAGGTGTGGAAGGGAGGTAACCTCATCTTCAAAACAGGTTTTGCCACTCCTCTCCCCAGGAGCAGGTTTGCCCAAAAGAAAAACCCTGCCTCCTGTGAGGGGGCGGGTTTTGGGGAGGAGAGTGCATTTTCTAGTGGGGGCCAGTCTCGGTTGAGTCTAGGAAGGCAATTTGTTCTCCTTTCCAGACTCCATATATCCCTCTCAAAGTTGCTCTTTACACAAATAAGCAAAAAAACCAGTAGAAACCGTTGTGTTTCTGGCCGGGCGTGGTGGCTCACACCTGTAATCCCAACACTTTGGGAGGCCAAGGCAGGCGGATCACCTGAGGTCGGGAGTTTGAGACCAGCCTGACCAATGTGGAGAAACCCCATCTCTACTAAAAATCCAAAAAAAAAAAAAAAAAAAAAAAAAAAAAAAAATTATCTGGGCGTGGTGACACATGCCTATAATCCCAGCTACTTGGGAGGCTGAGGCAGGAGAATCGCTTGAACCTGGGAGGCAGAGGTTGTAGTGGGCTGAGATTGTGCCATTGCACTCCAGCCAGGGCAAAAAGAGCAAAACTCCATCTCAAAAAAAAAAAAAAAAAGAAAAAGAAACCATTGTGTGTGTTTCTAGGACTGTTATCTTGGATCTACTTTTCAAGCATAAGGAAAACTGGGGAAACGGAAGTATGTTATAAGGAGGTTTCTGGGAGAATAAACAAGTTGAACGGGAGGCTGAGGATGAGGGGAGACAGAAGCCTGTTGCTCCTTATTCCCAAAAAGAGTCAACAGAAAGAAGACATTAAGTATAGTAGGAAGAAGGGGGATCAATTTTGAGGAGACTGAAACAACTATCACAGAGAAAGGCCTGAATACACTTGTAAAAAAAGACAGTAAGACCCCCAAACAGGAAAAAATTATTTAATAGTATAACAAAATGCAAAATAAAGTACCCAAGTTACAAAACATAAATTCCTTTGGTTCATGATCACACCACTATTTTTACCTTCCACATAGCTACAGACATCACACCCTCAAAGTGAAGTCAAACTGTCCCCCTCATACTGAAGATGTCATGCCAAAACCATCACATACCCCACTGTTCAGTGAAACTGTTGGCAACTTACATGGAACAGAGCTGTGGGGTAGGAAAAAGGGGAAAGGGTTGCGTTAAAAAAAATGGGGAGACTCTACACATGCAGAACAAGTTAGTGGGAGGGAGTGCTCTGCTGGGTCAACACGCCATGAACCACACCCCTATTCGTGCTACATGAGGCTGAGTCCTTGCTACAACCACACAGAAATACAGACAATCAAGTGAACCTGAGCACCCCCAGGGATAACAGAAGAAAAATACAGAGAAGCAGAGGAGAGAAAGAATGGCAGCAAGAGGCAGATCACAGAATACCAGGGAACACCTAGTCCAAACCCTGTTTTACAGATGGGGAAAGTGAGACCTGGAGTAGTGAAGTGTCTTGCCAAAATACATAGTTTATGGGAGCATTAGAACTCCATGCTTCCTTTTAATGTGAGCAAGGAAAAAAAGAGATTGACAAGAAATTGATAGGCCTGCTAAGGCAGGAGACAGACCCAGGCCTCTCATTCCAGTTCTGTTGTCTTTTTGGAAGAGTGCCTATGAGGTCATTAAGGCCTTTCTGGGTGTTTTCTTGATTCTCAAGAGTCAGGGTTCTGGGTGGCTCTGGGACAGAGGGATCCAAAGAAACAGCCAGGCCACCTGATCAGGACAGAAGACAATGGCCTCTAATCTGTTCCCAAACTAGATCTGAAACAGTCACAATAAGCTAAGAATAGAAATTCAGCCATCTCTGAATCAAACACCATCACCTAAATGGTGGCAGAAAGAAAAGTCACCGAGCTGATAATCTGCTGTAGGCTGAAAACTGGAATAAATTTCCAAAGCGCACTCTCTTTTCTCTCTAGCTTGAGGCAGGTATTCAATAAATACTTGAATGAACAAGTGAATAAATGAATACATGGAGACCATCGATGAATGTTCAGTTCCATGACAGATACTGGTTCTGTTCAAGATCCATGCCGAGGACACTTTTGGGGTCTAAATTCTTTTTGTCCCACTGTGCTGGGACTGCAGATATGTCACATCGTGCCCCTGGCAAATAAAATAGAGAGAGGTGCAGATTTAAATAATAAAATGTGTCTGATTGGTAGAGATTAGGGGGAAAAGGTGGAAAACCATTCTTAAAGCAGCTGCTTTCTTTCACTTTTTTTCTCCTCTCAGTTTTATGAGAACAGTATACCAGATCCTGGAGCAATGAAGACAGAATTGCTGAATCTCCAAACATCTCAAAACATGCATTTGAAGTGAGTCAGGTAGCCTCACCCACTACCTCCTCGCCTCTCAACAGTCACTTCTTGGACAGGGAGGCTGTGGTAGACTGTGACAGTGAGATCTGACTGCACTTCTCGAAGACGGCCTCAGCAGAGAGTTTAGGCAGCCCCTGATCTAGAGGGCACTCATCCACCAAGCTGTTCATGGGCGTCGGGGGCAGCGGAGGGTCCTCCTCATCTTGACTCAGGCCAGAAATCAGGGAGTTACTTGCCCTGTCCAATTCCTTGTCCACTTGCTCCCTGGACACATCTGCTGTCTCAGGCTGTCCTGAAGGGATCTTCATGGAGTCAAAATATGCTGACAGGGCTTCCTGGAGCAGGGGCAGAAGTTTCTTTCGAGAGACCTGGGTGTTGCCTTGAAGATAGGCATGGAGGTTAGGGTGGGTACTTGAGGCAGGGGTCAGCTTCAGGGGTGGAGAGTGGGAGCGTTCCAGGACTTCACAGATCTAAAGAGGAGACAATAACAGGGAAATGATACACAACTTGCTGTAGCAAAGTGCTGGGCTTCTAAGTGAGAGGCTTCCTCTATAGAAGAGGAAGCTTTTAAAAAGTAAGTCGGCCGGGCGGGGTGCGGTGGCTCACGCTTGCAATCCCAGCACTTTGGGAGGCCGAGGCGGGTGGATCATGAGGTCAGGAGATTGAGACCATCCTGGCTAACACAGTGAAACCCCGTCTCTACTAAAAATACAAAAAATTAGCCGGGCATGGTGGCGGGTGCCTGTAGTCCCAGCTACTCGGGAGGCTGAGGCAGGAGAATGGCGTGAACCCAGGAGGCGGAGCTTGCAGTGAGCGGAGATCGCGCCACTGCACTCCAGCCTGGGCGACAGAGCAACACTGCATCTCAAAAAAAAAAAAAAAAAGTAAGTCAGCCGGGCGCGGTGGCTCACGCCTGTAATCCCAGCACTTTGGGAGGCTAAAGGGGGCCGATCACCTGAGGTCGGGAGTTTGAGACCAGCCTGACCATCATGGAGAAACCCCATCTCTACTAAAAATACAAAATTAGCCAGGCATGATGGCGCATGCCTGTAATCCCAGCTACTTGGGAGGCTGAGGCAGGAGAATCACTTGAACCCAGGAGACAGAAGTTGCAGTGAGCCAAGATGGTGCCACTGCACTCCAGCCTGGGCAACAAGAGCGAAACTCCGTCTCAAAAAAAAAAAAAAGTAAGTTATCCTTGAGGCCGGGCACAGTGGCTCACGCCTGTAATCCCAGCACTTTGGGAGGCCAAGGTGGGCGGATCACCTGAGGTCAGGAATTCGAGAACAGCCTTGTCAACATGCTGAAACCCCATCTCTACGAAAAATACAAAAATTAGCCAGACATGGTGGTTCACACCTGTAATCCCAGCTACTTGGGAGGCTGAGATAGGAGAATCATTTGAACCTGGGAGGCGGAGGTTGCAGTGAGCCGAGATCTCACCATTGCACTCCAGCCTGGGCAATAAAGCAAGACAAGAAAAAAAGTAAGTTGTCCAGAGTTCGGTTTTATTGTTTGCAACAGAAGGAACACTAATATACACAGTATTTTTTTTTTTTTTTGAGACAGAGTCTTGCTCTGTCGCCCAGGCTGGAGTGCAGTGGTGCAATCTCAGTTCAGTACAACCTCTGCCTCCCCGGTTCAAGTGAATCTCCTGCCTCAGCCTCCCATGTAGCTGGGACTACAGGCATGTGTCACCCAGCCTGGCTAATGTTTGTATTTTTAGTGGAGACGGGGTTACACCATGTTAGCCAGGCTGGTCTCGAACTCCTGCCCTCAGGTCATCCGCTCTCGCCTCGGCCTCCCAAAGTGCTAGGATTACAGGTGTGAGCCACCAAGCCTGGCCCACAGTATTTTATTTTAGTATTTTGTATTTTTTATTTAATAGACTAGGGATGGGGTCTTGCTATGTTGCCCAGGCTGGTCTCCAAATCCTGGTCTCAAGCAATCCTCCTGCTTCAGCCTCCGAAAGTGCTGGGATTCATACACAGTGTTTTATTTATTTTATTTTACTTTAATTTTTTTTTTTTTGAAATGGATTCTTGCTCTGTTACCCAGGCTGGAGTACAGTGGCACGATCTTAGCTCACTGCAACCTTCGCCTCCCAGATTCAAGCAATTCTCTTGCTTCAGCCTCCTGAGTAGCTGGGATTACAGGCACCTGCCATCATGCCCAGCTAATTTTTGTATTTTTAGTAGAGACGGGGTTTCGCCATATTGGCCAGGCTGGTCTCAAACTCCTGAGCTCAGGTGATCTGCCCAGCTCAGCCTCCCAAAGTTCTGGGATTACAGGCATGAGCTACCATACCCAGCCATACACAGTATTTTAAAAACAGAGGAAACAGTTTAGATTGTATATTTCATTTTATTATTAAAGTAACTAAAGCGAAGTAAGATGGTTGTGAGTAAAATCATGCAGATGATGGCAGTTAAACCAGAACCGAGGAACCCCAGCTTCTAATCTAGTGTCGTTTCCAAGTGTATAAATGTGCTCAAGAACTTGAACTAGGATGGAACTAGAATTTATCTAGAGGCCAGAAGAGGGATGGAGGAAGAAAGAATGAATTGAACAAAATAAGACTGGTATCACTATTACCCTCACTTACATGCAGGGAAACTGAGGCTTCAATGATCAGGTAACTTGCCTAAGGTCATAATTTGCATGAAGCAAAACTGACACTGAGCCCAGAGCTGTCACCAAAGCCAGTGTTCTAAATCAATATATTATACTACCCCTAACATAGGAGAAAGAGAGGAGATGGTAGAGTAGACTGTAAGAAAAGGACTCCTGGCTGGGCATAGTGGCCCACACCTGCAATTCCAGAACTCTGGGAAGCTGAGGCTGGTGGATCACTTGAGTCCAGGAGTTCGAGACCAGCCTGGGCAACATAGCGAGACTCTGTCCCTACAAAAAATACAAAAAAAATTAGCTAGCCATGGTGGTGTGCCTGTAGCCGCAGCTACTTGGGAGGCTGGGAGGATTGCTTGAACCCGGGAGGCAGAGGTTGCAGTGAGCTGAGATAGTGCCATTGTACCACTCCAGCCTGGTCAACAGAGTGAGACATCTCAAAAAAAAAAAAAAACACACACACACACACACAAAAACAAAACAGAGAGAGAAGGACTCCTGTTTCCAAGCATAGGGGCAACCTAGACAATGGTAGAGTCATTAGAAATCCACACAGCTTTAAAAGAGCAGCACAGAGGGGAGAAGATTCAGGAACGTGGAAGAGGTACTTCTAATGGCCAAAGCACCCTTTTCTTACTGACAGGATTAGTAAGAGCCACTATTTACAAAGTGCTTACTCTGCTCCAGGAGTGTGCTTTACACATGATATTACGTTTAATGATCATAGCAGAATTAGCAGTAGGTACTATTATGCCATTTCCAGATGCAGAAGTCAACTGACTTGCCTTAGCTCAAAGAGTGAGTAAGAGGCAAACCTAGAACAGAAAAGCACATCTACCTGACTTTAAAAACTGCAGTTCTTGGCCAGGTGCAGTGGCTCAGGCTTGTAATTCCAGCACTTCGGAAGGCCAAGGCAGGTGGATCACTTGAGGTCAGGAGTTCGAGACCTGCCTGGCTAACATGGTGAAACCCCATCTCTACTAAAAATACAAAAATTAGTCAGGCATGGTGGCAGGCGCCTGTAGTCCCAGCTACAGGCTGAGGTGGGAGAACTGACTGAACCTGGGAGGTGGCGGTTGCAGTGAGCCAAGATCACACCACTGTACTCAAGCCTGGGCGACAGAGTGAGACTCCATCTTAAAAAACAAACAAACAGACAAAACTGCAGTTCTTTTCATAATGACGAACTACCTTACACTGAATGAAATCAGATTTGCTTCCTGGGGAGAAGGCAAAGGCAAAGGGGGGCGGGAAAGGACAGACATACCTTCTATGAGAGCAAAGGATTATCTGGCTGTATTCTGTCTTTAGCAGTCCTCACAGAGCCTAGGCAACCCTCAGAATCCCTGAACTGCCTTAAGCCCACCTTTTTTTTTTTTTTTTTTGGAGACGGAGTCTTGCTCTGTTGGCAGGATGGAGTACAGTGGCGCAATCTCGGCTCACTGCAACCTCTGCTTGCCGAGGTTCAAGAGATTCTCCTGCCTCAGCCTCCTGAGTAGCTGGGACTATAGGCACGCACCACCACGCCCAGCTAATTTCCGTATTTTTAAAAGAGATGGGGTTTCACCATGTTGGCCAGGATGGTCTTGATCTCTTGCTCTCGTGATCTGCCCGCCTCAGCTTCCCAAAGTGCTGGGATTACAGGTGTGAGCCACCGCACCCAGCCTTAAGCCCACTTTTAAATTCTTCCCTAGGCTAATCAGTAACCAGCAGAGGAACAGAAGGGGGAGGAAGTAGGAAAGATAGCCAAATCTGGATCTAGATCACTTCTTTACAGAGTTTGCACTATACAGAATAATTAATCCCTGCATAGTAAGTAGCAGAAAAGGTCTCTCGTATTTCTAATTTTCAAGGCAACAGCATAATTCCAGGGGTGAGGAATTAATGATTAAACCAAGAATAGAGTTTTTGTTTTTTTTTTTCCCCAACAGAGATGAGGTCTTGCTATCTTTGCCCAGGCTGGACTCAAACTTTCCAGCTCGGCTGGGCGCGGTGGCTCACGCCTGTAATCCCAGCACTTTGGGAGGCCAAGGCGGGCGGATCACGAGGTCAGGAGATCGAGACTATCCTGGCTAACACGGTGAAACCCCGTCTCTACTAAAAATACAAAAAATTAGCCGGGCGTGGTGGCGGGCGCCTGTAGTCCCAGCTACTCGGGAGGCTGAGGCAGGACAATGGCGTTAACCCAGGAGGCAGAGCTTGCAGTGAGCCGAGATTGTGCCACTGCACCCCAGCCTGGGCAACAGCACAAGACTGTCTCAAAAAAAAAAAAAAAAAAAAAACTTTCCAGCTTAAGCAATCCTTCTGCATCAGCCTCCCGAGTTGCTGGGACTACAGGCACGTGCCACTGTCCCTAGCTCAAGAAGGGAATTTTAACTCCGGATTTATAACATTTCCTTCTAACTAGATTTCGTTCTTTCAAAGTAGGAATTGAATCTCTAGTTCTCTTTGGAATTCCCCCTTTCTCAACAATGCTATGATTAAGGATGTTCATTAAAAAAAAAAAAAGGATATTCATATAGAGAGAGAATGGGAAAAAGCAGAAAGGGGAGGAAACAGGTCCAGAAACAGGTCAAGGGACCTCATGTAAGTACATTAATATAAGAACCTAAGAGAGGTCCTTATAGGACAGCTGTAGAGCACAGAGGTACATACAGGCAGACTCTGTAAGGCTCTTAGGTTGGAGAAGGGACACAGACTCACCGTTGTTTGGAGTGCCACATGGGGACAGAAAATAGCCAACTGCCGCACTGGCTCATTGTGAGTGTTGAAAAAGATAGTCATGGCAACCAGGACATCATAGCTGTGAGCCTGGCAGAAAGCATGGAGATCTGCAAGGAGGTTAGACCTCTGCAGAAAGGCCTGAAAGGGAAGAAACGGAGAGGGATGAAGGACTTTCTCATCATCATCAATAAAACATCCTTGGGCCGGGCACGGTCGCTTACGCCTATAATCCTAGCACTTTGGGAGGCCGAGGCAGGTGATCACTTGAGGTCAGGAGTTCGAGACCAGCCTAGCCAACATGGTGAAACCCTGTCTCTGGTAAAAATACAAAAATTAGCCGGGCATGGGGGCATATGCCTGTAATCCCAGCTACTCAGGAGGCTGAGGCAGGAGAATCGCTTGAACCAGGGAGGCGGAAGTTGCAGTGAGCTGAGATTGCGCCATTGCACTCCAGCCTGGGGGACAAGAGCGAAACTCCGTCTCAAAAAACAAAAACAAAACAAAACAAAACAAAAAATTAGCTGGGCATGCCGGCACGCACCAGTAATCCCAGCTACTAGGGAGGCTGAGGCAGGAGAATTACTTGAACCCGGGAGGCAGAGGTTGCAGTGAGCTGAGATCATGCCATTCCACTCCATCCTGGGCAACAGAATAAGACTCAGGCTCAAAACAAACAAACAAACAAACATACATACATAACTGCTAGAGGTTTTTTGAGCATAGGAGATAGTACTTCAGTTAGGGTGGTCAGGAAAAACCTCCCAAAACAAGAGACATCTGAGCTGAGTACCTGAATGTTAAGAAGGAGCCAGCTTTACAAAGAAAAAAGCTCAGCTGGGAATGAGCTTAATGGTTCTGAGGAACAGAAAAGAAACCAGTGTGGCTGCAGTACTGTAGAACAGGAGTGGAGCTGGAATGAGATGAGGCCAGAGAAAAAGACAAGGGCCAGATCAAGCATGGCGCTGTAAACCACAGTAAGTCCTTTAGATTTTATTAAAAATACAATGAGGCCGGGCACAGTGGCTCACGCCTATAATCCCAGAACTTCGGAGGCCAAAAGGAGAACTGCTTGAGGCCAGGAGTTTGAGACCAGCCTGGGCAACATAGTGAGACCCCATCGACACATACATACACGCGCGCGCACACACACACACACACACACACACACACACACACTAGTTAGGTGTGGTGGTGTGCACCTGTGGACCCAGCTACTCGAGAGGCTAAGGTGGGAGGATTGCTTGAGCCTGGAAGGTTGAGGCTGCAGTGAGCCATGATGGTACCACTGTACTCTAGCCTGGCAACAAAGCATGACTCCCTTAAAAAAAAAAAAAAAAAATTAAAAAAGACCACTCTGGCTGCTGCGGGGAGAATGGTTTGTAGGGCTGCAAAAGCAGAGGCAGGGACACCAGTACTGAGGCTAATACAGCGGTGCAGTGAGAGATGCTGGACTCTGGTGGTCACAGTGGAGGTAGAGACAAAGATAGACACAAGATACATTTTGGAGGTGAGCCAGGAATGAGGTGCAAGGCCACATGCATAACATGCATAGCTAAAGGCTTTCTCTCCCCACCCACAGCCACAACTTGCTCTTACCTCCAAATCCATATATATTGCACTAATGGCCACCTTGACGCCTTGTCTATAGATAGTCTTCTGGTCTTTTCTCAGCATCTGCTCAGTGGTCAGTCCTAGAAAGCAGATGAGAGACTAGGGGTCAAACAGGGTAGGCCAGGGTCCCAAGACCAAGAAGGCAAGGACAGCCAGATGGGTCAAGGAAGGAAAAACAGCCTCTCTTTGGGGCAATGAATGGGGGAGATAATTGAAAATGTAATCATAGCCGGGCGCGGTGACTCAGGCCTGTAATCCCAGCACTTTGGGAGGCTGAGGTGGGCGGATCACCTGAGGTCAGGAGTTTGGGACCAGCCTGGTCAACATGATGAAACTCTGTCTCTACTAAAAATACAAAGAATTAGCTGGGTGTGGTGGCGGGCACTTGTAATCCCAGCTACTCAGGAGGCTGAAGCAGGAGAATCACTTGAACCTGGACTCTGTCTCAAAAAAAAAAAAAAAAAAGAAAGAAAGAAAATGTAATCACATAATCAAAAGCCATCTTAAATAACTGGTGACAATAGGTACCTTTAGAGCAAGTAACTTTGGAGAGAAGGATGAAACCCAGAACAGAGGCTTTTACTTTTTATCTTTCCCTCTTCCTATACTGTTTACATGTGAGTTCTTTCTTTCTTTCTTCCTTTTTATGTCAACAGGTGGTAGCTGAGTACAAGAATACAGTTTTTTTTGGGTTCTCTTCATCTTTTGTTTACTCACAAAATATTTCTTTTGCCTCCCTAACCAATTCTATAGATTTCACTCTGATAATTTAGTATACTCTCAGCATATTTTATATATATGTCCTGTATTCTCTGAATAGACTGGAACCTATGAGGCTCTTTTTGTTTTTTTTTGAGACGGAGTTTCGCTGTCGTTGCCCAAGCTGGAGTACAATGGCGCAATCTCGGCTCACTGCAACCTCCACTTCCCGGGTTCAAGCGATTTTCCTGCCTCAGCCTCCTGAGTAGATGGGATTACAGGCACACACCACCACGCTCAGCTAATTTTTCGTATTTTTAGTAGAAACGGAGTTTCACCATGTTAGCTAGGCTGGTCTTGAACTCCTGACCTCAGGTGATCTGCCCACCTCGGCCTCCCAAAGTGTTGGGATTACAGGCGTGAGCCACTGCGTCTGGCCCTTCTGAGGCTCTTAATACATTCCTCCTCATCCTAACCAAGAGCCAGGATAGAACAATCCAGTAAATGACTGATTATTTCATGCTTAGGCTAATATGGTACTTCATTTCTTTCTGGTATAAAATTTAAATAATTGGCCAGGCGCGGTGGCTCATGCCTGTAATCCCAGCACTTTGGGAGGCCCAGGCGGGCAGATCACCTGAGCTTCAGAGTTCAAGACCAGCCTGGTCAACATGGTGAAACCCGATCTTTACTAAAAATACCAAAATTAGCTGGGCGTGGTGGTGGGCGCCTGTAATCCCAGCTACTCGGGAGGCTGAGGCAGGAGAATCGCTTGAACCCAGGAGGTCGAGGTTGCAGTGTGCCAAGATTGTGCCACTGCACTCTAGCCTGGGTGGCAGAGCAAGACTCTGTCTCAAAAAAAAAAAAATAATATAATGAACAAGGCTTGCCTTTCTGTTTTCTTATCTGGGAGGCAGAAAAGTCAGCTAACATTTCATACCTGATACATCAAACTTTGCCTTTTGTAGGGAATCAAATATATCATTTCTCTTGGGTAGGTCTGGGAAAAGGGCCTCTAGTTTCTCCACATATTTGCTGTCCTTTGGGGTTGCCTTTCCAATTTTAAGGTCCATGTTGACACAGTCCAGGATGATGGTTCCTGTGGAGAAGGGAGATGGTGGAACTTGAATCCTGTGACCCTTCACACACAACCACCAGAACATATATAACCTTCACACCAAATGGACACACACAAGGAGATTTGTATAGCAAAATCTCTGAAAGCAAAATGAGAAACTGGGATGGACAGTGTCCTCAGACCTCCCAAATCCAAACTAAAATGTAGGAAGGGAAATGGGGAAAAGGTAGAAAGAAAGCCTGAGCATCTCAAACCTTGGAGATTTTACAGCCTAGTCAGACAGAGATACACCTCTTCAGTAGGCCAAATCCCATCAAAGAATCTTCTAAGTTGGAAAAGACAGTCTAGTCCAACTCACTCTCTCTCTCTTTTTTTTTACAAGTGGAAAAATGAGAACAAGAAAGGTTAAGAGATTTGCTCAAGGTCACCTATTTCCTGGAGGAATTGGTATTGGAATCTGTTTCCTGCTTCTTTAGCTAATCCTCCTTCCATCATAAAATGATGCCAATAGGAAGCTTCTTGGTCTGTTGCCCTGCACTTCCTTTCTACTTTCTCCAACAAGTATCCCACAGGCCTTTAAACACATGCTCAATTGTCCCCTGAAAGAATCCTATCTTTTGGTATGAGCTGAATGGCTCTGAGAGCATATGGTTAGGCTGGAAGCGTCTAGACTTTTCCACCCTCCCTTCTCAGGGACAGGAATAGAACTACTGAGGTCCCAATCCAAAAGCCACCCTTACCATGCAGAAGGGCTGCAGTTTGCCTGTCCAAGATCTCTGGTGCCCCCTGCAGGATTCTCTCGGTCACCAGGGTAGCACAGGACCCCACCAGCTCAACTGAAACATGGCAGGGAGGGCAGTGTTTCGGCTCGATGGGTCGATGGTCTAGCACCTCTGCTACTGCCTCCTCTAGGGCTGTGTCACTTCTGTGGAGGGGAGGGTATGGGAAAAGAGGAAGAAAGATAGGTACGGACACTCCAGCTGCTTCTAGCCAACCTCTACCCCACACATCAAGGAAAATGCAGATGTCTTTTTTTTTTTGAGACGGAGTTTCACTCTTGTCGCCCAGGCTAGAGTGCAATGGTGCGTTCTTGGCTCACTGCAACCTTTGCATCTCGGGTTCAAGCGATTCTCCTGCCTCAGCCTCCTGAGTAGCTGGGATTAAAGGCGCCTGCCAACATGCCCAGCTAATTTTTTTGTATTTTTAGTAGAGATGGGGTTTCGCCATGTTGGCCAGTCTGGTCTCAAACTCCTGACCTCAGGTGATCTGCCAGGCAAGCATTTAAAACTGACCTTTGGTTACTTTTACCTCTGCCTAACTCCTCTCAATTCTTTTTTTTTTTTTTTTTTGAGACGGAGTCTCACTCTGTTGCCCAGGTTGGAGTGCAATGGCACGATCTCGGCTCCTGCAACCTCCACCTCCCGGGTTCAAGTGATTCTCCTGCCTCAGCCTCCTGGGTAACCAGGATTACAAGGCACGTGCCACCAAACCCGGCTAATTTTTTTTTTTGTATTTTTAGTAAAGATGGGGTTTCACCATGTTGGTCAGGCTGGTCTCGAACTCCTGACCTCGTGATCTGCCCGCCTTGGCCTCCCAAAGAGCTGGGATTACAGGCGTGAGCCACCGCGCCCAGCAATTCTTTTCTTTAATGTTATAATTGGAGTCATCTTTAAATAGTGTATAAGCAAATTCTGTGAAGCATCTGCTGCAAATATCTTACCCCCACATTTGCTGTCCTTTAGCGTTGCCTTTCCAACCCTATACCCTTGACACCCTTGATACCCAACATCTAAATTTCTCCTTTTTTTTTTTTTTTCTAAGACGGAATCTCGCTGTGTCGCCCAGGCTGGAGTGCAGTGGTGCAATCTTGGCTCACTGCAACCTCCGCCTCCCAGGTTCAAGCAATTCTCCTGCCTCAGCCTCCTAAGTAGCTGGGAGTACAGGCGCCCACCACCAGGCCCAGCTAATTTTTGTATTTTTAGTAGAGACGGGGTTTCACCATATTGGCCAGGCTGGTCTCGAACTCCTGACCTCGTGATCCGCCCGCCTCGGCCTCCCAAAGTGCTGGGATTACAGGCATGAGCCACCGCGCCCAGCAAATCTCTCCTATTTTTATAACCCACTCAATACTTAGATTCCATGTGGGTCACCAGGTCCTGTGAATTCTATCTTAATTCCTATCCATGCCCTAGTTTCTAACTCTCTGTTACTGCCCCACTCTAGGCCCTCAATATCTCTCGTCTGGACTATTCCAGTAGTCTCTTAACCAATCACCTGCTTCCAACCAAGAGCCCTCCTGGGCTGTCCTTCACAAAGTGGCCTGAATGATCATTTGAAAAAAGAAAATCTGATTCTTTTAGGACCCAGAATATAATTTAAAATAGTTCCCCACGGCCTAAAATAAAATCCAATCACCTTAGAAGGGCCTATGAGGCCTCCATAATCTGCCTCCTGCCTGCCCCCTCTGTCTCATCTTTTTCCATGTCCTACTTCTCCCTCAAATTTTATGCTCCAGCTGTGCAAAACAAATTCCATTTCCCCTAGCTCACCATGCTATTTCACGCCTGCCTGCATTTGATTCTATTAATTACTCCCTCTGCCTGGAATGCCTTTCCTAACCACCTTCCCTCCTCCCTCCCAATTCACCAAGCAAACACCTAGTCCTCTTTCAAGACTGAGATCAGTGCTCACTTCAGCAGCACATGCGCTAAAATTGGAATGACACAGAGAAGATTAGCATGGCCGCTGAGCAAGGATGACATGCACATTTGTGAACTGTTCCATAAAAAAAAAATATATATATTTAAAATAAAAAATAAAGGCTGGGCATGGTGGCTCACATCTGTAATCGCAGCACTTTGGGAGGCCAAGGCGGGCGGATCACGAGGTCAGATCGAGACCATCCTGGCTAACACGGTGAAACCCTGTCTCTACTAAAAATACAAAAATTAGCCAGGTGTGGTGGCGGGCACACCTGTAGTCCCAGCTACTCGGGAGGCTGAGGCAGGAGAATGGCGTGAACCCGGGAGGCGGAGCTTGCAGTGAGCCGAGATCGCGCCAGTGCACTCCAGCCTGGGCGACAGAGCGAGACTACGTCTCTTAAAAAAAAAAAAAAAAAATTAGCCAGGCCGGGCGTGGTGGCTCACGCCTGTAATCCCAGCACTTTGGGAGGCTGAGGCGGGCGGATCACTTGAGGCCAGGAGTTTGAGACCAGCCTTGCCAACATGGTGAAACCCCGTCTCTACTAAAAATACAAAAAATTAGCTGGGTGTGGTGGCGCATGCTTGTAATCCCAGCTACTTGGGAGGTTGAGGCAGGAGAATCACTTGAATCTGGGAGGCTCACTGCAGTGAGCCGAGATGGTGCCATTGCACTCCAGCCTGGGCAACAAGAACAAAACTCAGTTTCAAAAAAAAAAAAAAAAAAATTAGCCAGGAATGATGCTTTTACACAGGAGGCTGAGGCGGGAGGATTCCTTGAACCCAGGAGCTCAAGGTTATGATGATGCCGCTGTACTCTAGCCTAGGAGACAGAGCGAGAGAGACACCATCTCTTAAAAAAAAAAAAGGTGGTGGCACGGTGGCTCATACCTGTAATCCCAGCACTTTGGGAGTCCGAGGTGGGCGGATCACCTGAGGTCAGGAGTTGAAGACCAGCCTGACCAACATGGTGAAGCCCCATCTCTACTAAAAACACACACACACACACACACACAAAATTATCCCGGGAGGCGGAGGTTGCAGTGAGCCTAGATTGCACTATTGCACTCCAACCTAGGCAACAAGAGAAAACTCTGTCTCAAAAAAAAAAAAGAAAAAAAAAGGAAAGTTTATTACTGAATGAATCCATAGATGGATAATGCTCTCTCAGGCTGCCTTCTGTCAGTATCCTGCTATAACCACAATGTGCTCAAGAAAAAAATATTAGCAGGAGCCAAACAGACTTAGGAAAGTCACATAATCGTGTTGCTTTTTTGGTAGTTTTTTCCAGTAGTAAATTAGGGATGGAATTATTATAAATGTGTACATTTGTTAAACAGACATTATTGAGATATTTATAGATTAAAAAAAATTTTTTTTTGAGACGGAGTTTCGCTCTTGTTGCACAGGCTGGAGTGCGATGGCATGATCTCGGCTCACCGCAACCTCTGGCTCCCATGTTCAAGCAATTCTCCTGCCTCAGCCTCCTGAGTAGCTGGGATTACAGGCATGTGCCACCACGCCTGGCTAATTTTGTATTTTTAGTAGAGATGGGGTTTCTCCATGTTGGTCAGGCTGGTCTCAAACTCCTGACCTCAGGTGATTCTGCCCGCCTCAGCCTCCCAAAGTGCTGGGATTACAGGCGTGAGCCACCACGCCCGGCCTGGCTAATTTTTTTTTTTTTTTTTTTGAGACAGAGCATCACTCTGTCGCTCAGACTGGAGCGCAGTGGCGCGATCTTGGCTCACTGCAACCTCCACCTCCTAGGTTCAAGCGATTCTCCTGCCTCAGCCTCCCAAGTAGCTGGGACTTACAGGCGCGAGCCACCACGCCCAGCTATTTTTTTTTTTTTTTAAGATGGAGTCTTGCTCTGTCGCCCAGGCTGGAGTGCAAGTGGCATGATCTCAGCTCACTGAAAGCTCCGCCTCCCGGGTTCATGCCATTCTCCTACCTCAGACTCCCGAGTAGCTGGGACTATCGGCGTCCGCCACCATGCCCGGCTAATTTTTTGTATTTTTTAGTAGAGACGGGTTTTCACCATGTTAGCCAGGATGGTCTCCATCTCCTGACCTCATGATCCGCCCCCCTCAGCCTCCCAAAGTGCTGGGATTACAGGCATGAGCCACCGCGCCTGGCCTGAGATATTTATATATTCTAACATAATACATTATTCTAAAATCGTAAGAGTTTATGTAGAAAAACTTTTGCTAACTTTTTGTGTGCTTTTAAATTTTTTTGTAGAGATGGGATCTCACCATCTTGCCCAAGCTGGTCTTGAACTCCTGGGCTCAAGCAACCCTCCTGTTTCACCCTCCCAAAGTGCTGGGTTTACAGGTGTGAGCCACCACACCTGGCCCTTTTGATAACTTAAAAAAATTTTTTTGGAGACAAGTTCTTGCCCTGTCACTCAGGCTGGAGTACAGTGATGTGATCATGGCTTACTGAAGCCTCAATTCCTAGGCTCAAGTGATCCTACCACCTCAGCAGCCTCCTAAGTAGCTGGGACTACAGGCATGCACTACCACACCTGGCAAATTTTTTTATTTTTAGTAGAGACAAGGTCACACTATGTTTATAGATTTTTGTATTTATTATTTTTTTTTAGAGAACAGGGTCTCGCTATAGTGGTCAGACAGGTCTCCCTAAGTGCTGGGATTACAGGCGTGAGCCACCACACCAGGCCACTTTTTAAAAATTAAAAATAGGCCAGGTGTGGTGGCTCACGCCTGTAATCCCACCACTTTGGGAGGCCAAAGTGGGCAGATCATCTGAGGTCAGGAGTTCCAGGCCAGCCTGGCCAACAGCGCAAAACCCTGTCTCCAGTAAAAAATATAAAAATTAGCTGGGCATGGTGGCGCGCACCTGTAATCCCAGCTACTCAGGAGACTGAGGCAGGGAGAATCGCTTGAACCCAGGAGGCAGAGGTTGTTGCAGTGAGCCGAGATCACACCACTGCACTGAAGCCTGGGTGACAGAGCAAGACTCCATCTCAAAAAAAAATAATTAATTAAAATTAAAATTAAAAATAGAGTTGCAGGCCAGGTGTGGTGGCTCACACCTATAAACCAGCACTTAGGGAGGCAGAGGCAGGAAGATAGCATGAGCCTAGGAATTTGAGATCCGCCTGGGCAATATAGCAAGACCCTCTTCTCTAAAAAAAATTTAATAAGTAAGTACAAAAATAAATAATAAGTAAAAAAATAAAAAGAGAATTGCAAACATTTTTCAAAGGTTTCTATTACAATAAATCTGTCTCAGAATCTTTTTTTTTTTTTTTTTTGAGACAGGGTCTCCCTCTGTCTCCCAGGCTTGGAGTGGAGTGGTGTGATCTTGGCTCACTGCAGATTCGACCTCCTGGGCTCAAGTGATCCTCCCACCTCAACCTCCCGAGTAGCTGGGACCATAGGCATGCACCACCGTGCCTAATTTTTAAAAATTTTTTGTAAAGACATGGTTTTGCCATGTTGCTCAGGCGGGTCTTGAACTCCTGGAGCTTAATGGATCTGGCTGCCTTGGCCTCCCAAAGTGCTGAGATTACAGGCGTGAGCCATCACACCCGGCACACAAAATCTTAAATAATGATACCAAAGGCAGATTTAAATGATTTTTGAGTTACCCTTTAGTTTGAACTCAACACGTTCTATTTCTTTTTATTATAGGGTATGTCTATATGCCACAGACATACATATAACTGCAGAACTGACAATATTTTGTGTTGTTTTTCTATATCTAATATGACCTATCAATTATGATTAGCCTATGAGATCCCTGAAAGCAAAAACTCTTTCTTTTTTGAGACGGAGTCTGGCTCTGTCGCTCAGGCTGGAGTGCAGTGGCACGATCTCGGCTCACTGCAACCACCACCTTCCAGGTTCAAGTGATTCTCCCGCCTCAGCCTCCCAAGTAGCTGGGATTACAGGCACTTGCCACCACGCCCAGCTAATTTTTATATTTTTAGTAGAGACGGGGTTTTGCCATGTTGTCCAGGCTGGTCTCAAAATCCTGATCTCAGGTGATCCGCCCGCCTTGGCCTCCCAAAGTGCTGGGATTACAGGCATGAGCCACCATGCCCAGCCAGCAAAAACTCTTTCTTCCTCTCTTTATATCTCACTCATCAGAGCCCAGCATGGTACATGATAGGTAGCAATTTAATTTCCTTGTGCTTACTTGGATAAGATATGATGGTCGACAAGGATGAGGGTGAGTTGGCCAGCCTGGTATAATGCATGGAGGTCAATCTCATCCCGAAAAATCAAGATACTCTCTGGAATATGAACCTTCTGAAGAAAGAAGACAATGTCACCTCGCAGAGGTAGTTCAGAACGTTTTATATTTAAAACTGGCACAAAGACTTCCTCAGCCTCAGTTGTCTAGATAGGAAAGTGAAAAGAAGGTATCACAAGGTTTTATAATGACAGGAAAAAGTAACAAGACTACTGGGACCAAAGGAGACATACTTAGGTAAGTTACCACCTTTCTCAAAGCCATAAGTACCCAGTCTATAAAAATGAAAGGATGACTTTTGCCCTCCCTCCTTCTTAGTAATAACATGAAAGTCAACAAGGTAACTCATGGTAAATACCTATTTCTAGATGCAATGCTGCAGAGAAGGAATTTTTAGTCCTCAAGAACTAACCTGGGCAGAGGAATACACACTAGATCACTGATACCTATACGGAACTCAGTAATAAACTGTTTGAATATTGCTTTATGGTTTACATATCCCTCGAAATATATTTGCTCACTTTTTTCCTCACAGCAACACTGCAAAATATCATTTTAGTTTTTATGGATGGTGGCATGAGACTCAGCAAAGTTAAGGGATTTAATTTACCCAATGCTAAATGCTGGTAAGTGGTAGAGCTGGGTCTTGAATCCAGATCTTTTCGTTCTGAGGGACTCAGATCCTAGGTACTACGTTTTTTTACCCACCTTTGCTAGGTAAAAAGCCAGGGCAAGAGCAGACACTGTGGAGTCCAAATCACAGGCTTCATTTCCCAGCACAACATGTAGAGGTCGGGACTCCTGGAGAGAAAGGAAAATGGGAAACTAACAAAAGTATCTCTATTCATTTCCACTTATCTTTTTTTTTTAAATAATATATATATTTTTGAGACAGGTCTCACTCTGTCGCCCAGGCTGGAATGCAGTAGCGTGATCACAACTCCCTGCAGCCTCAACCTCCTACTAGGTTCAGTCGATCCTCCTGAGTAGCTGGAACTACAGGAAAGCGCCACCATGCCCAGCTAATTTTTTGTATTTTTTTGTAGAGACGGGATTTTGCCATGTTGCACAGGCTGGTCTCAAACTCCTGGGCTCGAGATCCAAAGTGCTGGGATAACAGGTATGAGCCACTGTGCCTGGCCTCTCCATCTACCTTATACTCATGTAGGGCTTCACACACTTCCTCTCATTGATCTTCACAGAGGAGGTAGGTCAAATAATCTAATGGGTCCTCATTCCATAGATGGCATAAGTGTTTCAGCTAAGCTTATAGCATTCTACCTATATCCAGTTTGTAGAAAAGTGTTCTTTCCTCCTATCTCCTTCAATGTTAACTTATAGAGCAGTAAATAAACTTCGGATTTCTTATCTTCTTTGGGCACTCAAACAGTCAAAAAAGGGAATTTGGGGTAGCTGATACATTCAAGGCATGCTCTTGGGCATATCAACCCTGGTTGATTATTTTCTTCCCATTTTCATAATAGGTAAAAGAATGCTTATACTTTTTTTTTTTTTTTTTTGAGATGGAGTTTTGACCAGATTCTCATGCCTCAGCCTCACAAGTAGCTGGGATTACAGGAATGCGCCACCACACCTAGCTAATTTTGTATTTTTAGTAGAGATGGGGTTTCTCCATGTTGGTCAGGCTGGTCTCGAACTCCCGACCTCAGGTGATCCGCCCGCCTTGGCCTCCCAAAGTGCTGGGATTACAGGCGTGAGCCACCGTGCTCGGCCGAATGCTTACACTTCTAAATCATGATTGCAGGTGAAGAGGCTTTGAGAATAAAGGTTAAAAGTAAGATCTAGTCCAGGGCTGGGCGTGGTGGCTGGCGCCTGTAATCCCAACACTTTGAGAGGCTGAGGCGGGCGGATCACCTAAGGTTAGGAGTTTGAGACCAACCTAACCAATATGATGAAACCCCATCTCTACTAAAAATACAAAAATTAGCCAGGCATGGTGGTATGCGCCTGTAATCCCAGCTACTCAGGAGGCTGAGACAGGAGAATTGCTTCAACCCGGCAGACGGAGGTTGCAGTGAGCCGAGATTGCGCCTTTGCACTCCAGCCTGGGCAACAAGAGCGAAACTCCATCTCAAATAAATAAATAAAATAAAATATACTAAAACTGGAGTGCCCAAAATCGGGGTGACAGGGTCTTGGGTTTTGTTTGGTTTTAAGCATTTATTGAATGTGCCAGGCATTATTCTCATATTTTTTCATGCATTAATCAATCATTTAATCTTTAACCCAATGAGGCAGGTACTTATATCATTTCATTCCAGGTATAAGCATTCTGCTGGGTGGAATGAGACCAGAAAGCCTATGGCCCAGCATATGGCACAATACTTCTGTCTTACCTGCTTACTTTTTTTTTTTGAGACAGGGTCTTACTTTGTTGCCCAGGCTGGAGTGCAGTGTCACTATCTTGGCTCACGGCAACCTCCACCTCCTGGGTTCAAGCAATTCTCCTGCACCATCCTCCTGAGTACCTGGGACTATAGGCATGCGCCATGATGCCCGGCTAATTCTTGTATTTTTGGTAGAGATGGGGTTTTGCCATGTTGGCCAGGCTGGTCGTGAACTCCTGACCTCCAGTGATCCGCCCACCTCAGCCTCCCAAAATGTTGGTGTGAGCCACCATGCCCAGCCCACCAGTTTACTTTTGAACTTCTATCTCAGCCTGGTTCTGAGAGAGGATGGGATGAGACAGACAAAATGAGACACACTAAATATAGCAGGGTTTCTCAATTTCAGCATGACTGGTATTTTGGACTAGATAATTCTTTTTCTTTTTTTAACTTTTACTTTTTGAGACAGGGTCTCACTCTGTAACCCAGGCTGGAGTGCATGGCGCAATCACGGCTCACTGCAGACTCCACCTCCCAGACTCAGGTGATCCTCCCATCTCAGCCTCCTGAGTAGCTGGGACTACAGGCACCCGCCACCATGCCCGACTAATTTTTTTTTTTTTTTTTTTTTGAGATGGAGTCTCACTCTGTCGCCCAGGCTGTAGTACAGTGGTGTGATCTCGGCTCACTGTAACCTCCACCTCCTGGGTTCAAGAGATTCTCTTGCCTCAGCCTCCTGAGTAGCTGGGATTACAGGCACATGCCACCATGCTCGGCTAATTTTTGTATTTTTAGTAGAGACGGGGTTTCACCATGTTGGTCAGGCTGGTCTTGAACTCCTGACCTCGTGATCCGCCCGCCTCAGACTCCCAAAGTGCTGGGATTACAGGCATGAGCCACCGTGCCCGGCCCTTGTTTTTTTTTTTTTTTTTCAGATGGAGTCTCACTCTGTCGCCCAGGCTGGAGTGCAGTGGTGCAATCTGGGCTCACTGCAACCTCTGCCTCCTGGGTTCAAGTGATTCTCCCCCTTCAGCCTCCCGAGTAGCTGTAGTAGACTACAGGCGTGCGCCACCACACCCAGCTAATTTTTGTATTTTTTAGTAGAGACAGGGTTTCACCATGTTGGCCAGGCTGGTCTTGAACTCCTGACCTCAGGTGATCCGCCCGCCTCAGCTTCCCCAAGTGTTGGGATTACAGGCGTGAGCCACCACGCCCAGCCAAATTTTTGCATTTTTTGTAGAGATGGGGTTTTACCATGTTGCCCATGCTGATCTCGAACTCCTGGGCTCAAGTGATACAGCTGCCTCGGCCTCCCAAAATGCTTGGATTACAGGCATGAGCCACCATGCCCAGCCGGATAATTCTTTTTTTGTGGAGGCTGTCCTGTGCATTATAGGATATTTGGCAGGATCCCTAGCCTCTACCCACATGGATGCCAGTAGCACCCTAAGTCGTGACAAACAAAAATGTCTCCAGACTTGCTGAATGTTCCCTGGGGGGCAAAACTGCCCCCAGTTGAGAACTACTGGGTTACAAGAAGGTGAAAATCCATATAGTCTGACTTCTTCAATCAGGGAAGATTTGCTAGACTCAAGAGTTTAGCAAAGTGGGAAGGTTCAGAGGAGTAACACATAGCAAAGAATAGTTATCAACTAATGTAACTTTAAGAAAAAAAGGGAATCTAGGGAAACCTAGAATCATCTTCCCTATACAGGCTATCACTCTTCTCTTCCCCCACTGGAAAGCCACAGCTCAAAAAGGGCAATTTTAGAAGACTTCTGGTGGTATCAATTGCCCCATCCAGTTACGAGATAGGTTTTTGTTTTTAAACCACCCTCGTCGCCATCTCCTACTCCCATCCCTGGAGAGAAATACAGAAGACAGAGGTTATCTGTCCGGGTTCTGCCCAAAGGGCCCCTAAAGAAGTTTGCCCTGAGGTCCTCCCCATGCCTATTTCTCTAAGTCTACTTCAAGAGTTTGGAAGCAGGCCGGGCGCGGTGGCTTACGCCTGTAATCCCAGCACTTTGGGAGGCCGAGGCGGACAGATTACAAGGTCAGGAGATCGAGACTATCCTGGCTAACCTGGTGAAACCCCGTCTCTACTAAAAATACAAAAAATTAGCCAGGCGTGGTGGCGGGTGCCTGTAGTCCCAGCTACTCGGGAGGCTGAGGCAGGAGAATCTTTTGCACCCGGGAGGCGGAGGTTGCAGTGAGCCAAGATCGTGCCACTGCACTCCAGCCTGGGTGACCGAGCGAGACTCTGTCTCAAAAAAAAAAAAAAGTGTGGAAGCAAAGGCCCATTCATACTGAACAGCACTGGGGTAGGGGGATTCTTTACTTTTTTCCAAAGCAGTAAGAATTCTACCCAATACCCCAGTCCTATAGTAACTCCTCTGACTTGTAATTCCTCCTCCTGATACCAGAGACCTCTGTTTCCTGGAGACCAAGAACTGCCCAAATGGCTGTGGACCAAAGTGACAGCAAAGCACTTGAGATAAGAGGCTGCAGAAATAACTTGCTCACTGAAGCAGTTAGGGGGAGCGAGTGTTCTCTAGAGAGGAAACTATATAAACATGAGGCATATGGCCCTGACTGGAGGAAAAACATAAGAGCAGTGGAGAAAAGGCAGAGCAAGCAGGAGAGACCTACTGCAGGGTCCAAAGAGATGCTGGAGAACCTTTCCACGCTTATTTACATCAGTGTTGCTTCACTGCAAGCAGCAGCTGAATCAGGTTCAGTTAGATCCTTACCATGAAGAGAATGCTAAGCAGAAAAGCACAAAGTAGGGACCAAATACAGTGGTATGGTTCTGAAGTCAGGAGAAACCATCTACAGAGGAAGGTGAACAATGAACCCCTTGCGCTCAGCCAAACCTAGACAGTAACCAAAAGGAATGAATACAAAAGGAATACTTTGGGACTTGTAGCAAATCTTGGAACTGGAGTGACCAAGGGAGGCAGCAGCATTCCTCTCCCCTGTCAACACCCACTGTCACCCCGGCCTGACTGGACTATTCACCACCCGCAAACCATGATGTGCACATTCCCAGCTCTGCCCTTTGCACTATTTGTTCTCTGTTTGAATGCAGAACTACTATTTGAAAAGATCACAGACTTTGGGGTTGAATTCCAGCTCTGCTTCTTACTTGTTGCAGGACTTTGGACCCTCTAAGCCTCATTTTCCTCATATAAAAATGAGAATAGGCCGAGCGCGGTGGCTCACACCTATGATCCCAGCACTTTGGGAGGCCAAGGTGGGCGAATCACCTCAGGTCAGGGGTTCGAGACCAGCCTGGCAAGCATGGTGAAACTAAAAAGCACAAAAATTAGCCGGGTGTGGTGGCAGGTGCCTGTAATCTCAGCTACTCCAGAGGCTGAGGCAGGGAGAATTGCTTGAACCCGGGAGGCGGAGGTTGCAGTGAGCCGAGATCCCACCATTGCACTCCAGCCTGGGTGACAGTGTGAGACTCCATCTCAAAAAAACAAACAAAAAAAATGAGAATAATATCGTAACCAATTTCATGATGTTGTTAGGAGGATTAAATGAGATAGTACCATAAGTGCCTACGCTGTAAATAGTAAAGATGTGATCTCCCATCTTCTTTCTTTACTTCTCCCCGTTGTTCAAGTCTACCTAATGTCTTTCTCTGTGAAGCCTTCCTGAACACCCAGCCCAGAGAAATCCTCTTCCTCTAAACCTCCAGCTTCTAGCACTTGTGGCTCTGAGACAGACCTTAACTTCTATCTTAAGGAGCTCCCTGTCTTTTCATGGTCATGTATCCCTGATCCTTAACATGGCTTATGTGGTGGGTGACTATATATTTGATTGTTCAAACTGGGACGCTTATGAGAATGAAAAGGGGTGCTATTAATGATTACACAGGGGAAAACCAAGACTGCCCTGGGCAAACCGTGTGTGGGGCTGCCCAACTTATAAGACATCATTCTCTTCTTTATTTAAGAAAAACATGTGTAACCCCTAATTCCAAGCCCATCCTCCACCAGCTGAAAGCACAAGCCAAACAGCCTCAGTTTTCTGACCATCAGAGAAAGAGTTCAGGGAAAATACAGCTATACTTAGCAGCATGAGGAAATCTAAGCTGCCAATGGAAAAAATACAATCTGAGGGCCACAAGTAAATAAATACAAACTTTTTTTCTTTTTTCTTTTTTTTAAAGACCCACTAGTTGGCCAGGCACGGTGGCTCACGCCTGTAATCCCAGCACTTTGGGAGGCCGAGGTGGGCCGACCACGAGGTCAAGAGATTGAGACCATCCTGGCCAACATGGTGAAACCCCGTTTCTACTAAAAATACAAAAATTAGCTGGGCATGGTGGCACATGCCTGTAGTCCCAGCTACTCGGGAGGCTGAGGCAGGAAAATCACTTGAACCTGGCAGGCGGAGGTTGCAGTGAGCCGAGATCATGCAACTGTACTCCAGCCTGGTGACAGAGCGAGACTTTGTCTCAAAAAAAAAAAAAATTAATTAATTAAAATAAATAAATGAATAAACACCCACTAGTTGAAATGACTCTCTTATCCTGATATGTTCTTTGTGGCCTCAAGAGGAGGGGGCAGGGAGGGGATTCTAGGCCTGGCAAAGTAAACCACTTCCCTTCTAAAGCTGAATATGGTATGATAACTACTCTTCAGAATAGTTAATGGGGGAGAAAAATAAACGAGACAGAAAGCCAGAGAGAGACAAACCCTCTCAGCAGAGAAAACAGGAACAATACTGATGCCAGGACTGCAAATTTCTAAGGAGAGCCAGCTCCTGATTCCTGCCTCATGCCTGAGAACTGCACACACTACATTATCCAAGGGGTCCTGGATGAACACCTAAACTGCAATGCAGCCCCACCCTGAAGCAAAGATTTCTCCCCTCAGAAGTGAAAGATGAGTCACCATAAATAGGACATTTGGTTAAATGATTTTTTTTTAATGGAACATCCTATTGTCTCTGTGGCAGAGGCTATAGAAAATTTCTGTGGTATCAAATACTAAAAATATGGTAGCAACGGGAGACTTGGCTGGATTACCAGCTGTCTTTATCCTGCACAAAGAGGAGCATTCATGATTTTCTGAAAGTTATAATTAAACTGTAGTTTAACAGAAACATTCAAACTTAAGAGTGTATCTGTCTAAATCACCTCTCTCTCTTTACACAAGAAACTTAACGGTGTCCTCTGGAGAACTGGATGGAGAGGAGAAAAGAAAAATGATCTTTATCTTTTTCATTTCATATCCCTTTGGTATTTAAATTTGTTCATGAAATACACATTTACTACTTCTATAATTTAAAGCAATCTAGGCTGGGTGTGGTGGCTCATGCCTATAATCCCAGCACTTTGGGAGACCAAGGCAGGCATATCACTTGAGGTCAGGAGTTCAAGACCAGCCTGTCCAACATGGTGACACCCTGTCTCTACTAAAAATACAAAACTTAGCCAGGCATAGTGGCGCACACTTGTAATCCCAGCTACTCAGGAGGCTGAGGCAGAAGAATCGCTTGAATTCGGGAAGTGGAGGTTGCAGTGAGCCTACTCCAGCCTGGGCGACAGAGTGAGTCTATCTCAAAAAAAAAAAAAAAAAAATTAAAGCAATTTAAATTGTTGGCATCTACCAGTATGTCTTGCCATCAGTTCCCCTGTTAACCTTCCTAGAGTCTAATTTTCTCATTTCTCCAGGCCCTGGAGAGGCTATGTGATGATGCAAGCTCTAAGACACAATCTCACCTTTCACAAGTTCACAAGTTTGAAAGGAAGATCTAGATCTTGCTCCTTGGGGGATGAATGCAGGGAGAGAAAGGTCGAGATGCCAGCAGTATTGGAAAAATCAAGTATTTTTCCAGCTTCATATTGCTGTAGAGAATATACTATTCGGGCTGGGTACAGTGGCTAACACCTGTAATTCCAACACCTTGGGAAGCCAAGCCAGGGGGATTGTTTGAGTCCAGGAGTTTGAAACCAGATTGGGCAGCATGGCGAGACCCTGTCTCTATAAAAATACAAAAAATTAGCCCTGCGTGGTGGCACTGCCTATAGTCGCAGCTTTTTCGGGAGGCTGAGGTGGGAGGATCACTTGAGCCGGGGAGGTGATCACACCATTGCACTCCAGCCAGGGCAACAGAGTGAGACCCTGGCTGAAAATAAATAAACAAATACAAAATAAAAATAGAGAATATACTACTAACCTGGGGGTCGGGGGAGGCTCTGGAGGATATATGCTGGAGAGTAGATGCATGCAAAGAAATACTATTTGGTGAGGTTTCAGGTCCAAGGGCACTTTACCAAATGGTGGAAGAGACCAGTCATTTGGGTTACTGGGGGGTAAAATCCAACTGTTTAGCACTTAGAACGGTGCCCCAAAAACTCTACATTAGTCCTCCAATAAGCGCCCTGTGGTGGACTCAGAGGTAACAAAAAGGGATTGGTTCCAAATGGCCTTATGCATTGAAATAACTCCCCAAATTTGTTTTTCACAAGGAAAATGTCTATGTAATTGGTGTTAAAATGGACCTTCTCCCCAATTCAATATGAAGACAATTCATTTATTCCAGCAGCTGAGTCTGCAGCAGGAATTAGTGACTTTCAGGATTTGTTAAAGACCAGAATCTGTCCCTCAGGGGAATTTGTAGAGTTTAAGATATCTAAAAAGGAAAGCTCAGCAAGCCATCTATCTAGGTTTCTTCAGGGCAGTATAACTCAAAGTAGAGGGGCCGGGTGACCTCCTGGAGCCTGTCTCTGGTTAGCTTTTTGCTGCTAACTGGGGATAACAGCCTAATGCCTCATGACGGCTCAGCATGGCTGGGTGAGTCCAACTGAGTCAGAGAGCACCAAAAATAAGCCACAAAGCATTGAGTAGTCATATTTATGGTTTTGATTCCAAACACACTTTGTGCTTATCCCTTCCAAGTGGAGAATTTTTATGTCATTTGTGTGCGTTAAGGCCAAAGGAGAAACCTGGAGGCAAAGGAATGCTGGTTGTGGGTCAACAAATATGCCTGATGGATTTTGTATGTTTGGCTTAAAAACACTGACTTAAAGTAAAATACTGTGACTACTTCTAACCTAGAAATGAGTTCAGCCCGCCAGACAGAAACTGCCATTCGGAGGAAATAAGGCCGTGAGCACCGGTTCCCTCCACACCCCCGAGGTTCACCTGGAGGCCAGTGGGCCAAGCGAAGCCTTGGGAGCGGAGAACTCAAAGAGGGGCGGGGAGAAAAGAATAAACACACCTCGCGGGGCTAGGCTGGCGGCGGCACAGTCCTGGTTTTTTTGATGGAACTGACCAAGATGACAGCAAGCAGAGGCTCAAATGCAGGATTCAGACCCAAGACTTCTCCCCGCTCTCAGGCGGACCCCAAAGGCGGGGAGCCAAAAACCGGGAGACTGAACAAGCAGCATTCTCACGCTCCTAAACTGGCTTCTCGCTCCTCGCTCCTCATGCCCCAAAACTGATCAGGCCCCAACCCCCCTCCCCACAACTCAGTGTTCCCTCCACACGGACCGTCGAGGCTCCCCCAGATCCCACGTCTTCGTCCTTCCTGGACCCCGTGCTCCATTCCTTACAGTCACAGACAGGGATTCGTTACCTGCAGAGCAGCTCGACAACCCTGCAGGTAGTCCTCCATGATGAAGCCCAAAGTACGCCGTCGCCCCTGGTCGAGTAGAGGTGCCCCTGGTCGAGGAGAGGTTTCCCCGACGAATGCAGCCCGCCCGGGACTCAGGGACTAGAGGCCAGAGTCAGGAGGCGGGACTCGAACCCGCCACACGGCGAATCGGCCTCCGACCCCGGGAGGAACTGCGTAAGCGGGCGCTCCGGAGTCCGGCGTCGCCCCGCCCCCAGCGGCGGAGGCGGGGCTCTACGCCCAGAGGCTCCTGGGACGTCTTTCCGGCGAGGCCAAGGGGGCGTGGCGTGGGGCGACGTGGGAAACGTAGTCCCGCAACTCCGCAATGTCCCTAGCAACCGAGGGAAGGATTGTTTTCTGAGGGATCAGTCGTTCGGTAAACAAATGTGTATGTGTCACAGTAACCCATTATTGTGGCATCTGAACTTTCCCTCTCAGATCAGGCCAAGTATAACATCTTTACATATATCACACCGAGCATCTGGTGACATTTTAAATGACACTTGGCAAAACAGATCATCTTCTTTCTACAAATTCTGCCCTTTACCAAACTGACTCAGTCGCCACCAATTTTGTGGTTGTTCATGTTAGGAGAACATTAGAATAATCTTTGACCCCTCTTGTTAACACCTACAGTCTCCTGCCAACTCCTGCTGCTTCTCCCTTTGCAACTCTGTAGCCTGTTTTTTTCTACAGCCTCGGCAAATATCTTCTTCCTTTCTTGGACGGTTGTAACCTTGGCTTTTTGCTCTCTGCCACCCTAATTGTTCCAATTGCTCTTTCAGCCTTTAGAGTTGCTTGAAATTTCATCCTGTGGCGGCCCTGTACATAGAGTTTAGGGAACCCTTCAGAATGTGGAGTTAGGTTCCAACCTCCCTTAACTGCCACTTTCCAGCCGCAGAGTAGTGCAGGTACTGCAAATAAATGGACACTCATCATCAAAAATTCCCTCATTTATTTATCTATCCCTTTATTTCCTACCGTCAGCCTCACACCAGCTTTTCCTGCTTCCCCAGCTGTAAATCGAGAGGAGGTGACTGATGAGAGGCCTGCAGTGGAACCAAGATCCAGAGCACAGGCGTGTTGGATCTCCTGCCTGCTCTGCCAGTTCTTTTCTTCTTCTTCTTCTTTTTGAGACGGAGTCTTGCTCCGTCTTCAGGCTGGAGTGCAGTGGCAGGATCTTGGCTCACTGCAACCTCCACCTCCCGGGTTCAAGCGATTCTCCTGCCTCAGCCTCCCGAGTAGCTGGGACTACAGGCATGTGCCACCATGCCCTGCTAATTTTTGTATTTTTAGTAGAGATGGGGTTTCACTATGTTGGCCAGGTTGGTCTTGATCTCTTGACCTTGTGATCCGCCCGCCTTGGCTTCCCAAAGTGCTGGGATTACAGGCGTCAGCCATCGCGCCCAGAGCCTGGGGCTTCTACCACACCCTCTGCACTCTACCAGGTGCACAACCCAACCAGTTTCATTTCTAGACTTAAAAATGATACAGCAAGGACTTGGAAAGGAGCTCTCTGGAGGGCTCCAGAGGGAAAAGAGCTGGGTTTGTTTGTTTGTTTTTAACATTAATTGAGTAATACATGCAAATATCGTGCTCTTTGCTCCTGCTTCTGTGGATCCAGAGCAAAGGACTGCCATACCCAGAGAGAGAGCCCAGATCCAACAAGCTGCTTCTGTCCAGCCCTTCTCCTCCCTACTTAGCAAGGGCACTTGCTCTTCCCTATTCTCACCAGAGAGGCACAAGCGCTCCGTCCCTTCTAGAGGCAGGCAGAGGGAAGAGAAAGGGTCTGTTGTTTTTCTCTCCTGTTTCTCGCTCCCTCTCTGCTGATCACAAAGCTGCTGACCGGGTCAGAAAGTCCTGATGGAAATCCACCAGCGCTGGGCAGGCCCCTCCTCCTCCAGGGAGCTTGTCCTTGCCTAATTTTTCTTCGTCCTGATGAGAACAAAAAAGAGAGAGAGAAGAAAAGAAAAACCACAAACTTCCTTTGAAAACCAGCTTGTAGTCAGGGCCCGGAGCGCATGCCATAGACTCGGCGACTCAGGAATCCTGAAGACTCTCTGAGCGACCTGGAGCACCTTGGCTGTGTCCCTGCCTGCCTTCACCCTCCTCCAGTGCCCCCAGTACTGGGCGTGAGTCCGGAAGTGGCCACAACCCAGCCTGGACCGTCGCTTATAAAGCTGTGTAAACCTGTATAAGCTCAGGCGTTGACAGCTGGAAGGCAGCTGGCACTGGCAGCCCCCTTCATTGCACCTATCTCCCCCATCTCATTGCCACGGCTGAACCCTCCTTCTCAATCTTGGAACAGCACCCCCTTCTTTAAGGTAAAAACTTTATTTTAATCATCTTCTTCACCTCTTCTCCCACCCTTCTCTATTTCCTCTCCAGCTTTGGGGAGCTGACACCTGCTGTCCTTCCACCTTTGGTCTGCAAGTCTGGATTGCTTAGAGGAGCTAAGTCAGGAGAGACATGTAAAGGGGATGCTGCTTGGTCCTCCTCCTTTTAATGAAAGCACGAAACCTTCCCCCTCTCCTTGTGAGCAAGTATACAGGGCACTGTGGCCATGGTTGACATATTCTGAGATGAAAATCTAAACTATTGATTGCACAAAGACATAGGTCAGACTAAGAAGGAGATTGGTGTGAGACAGTAAGGGAACTGTTCCTACAGAGAAGGAGTGTCTTCTTGAAGCTACATACCTGTTTTACGTGCTTCTTCCAACTTTCGGCTCTCTACTGCCATTGATTAGGGAGGAGCCAGGATTATTTTAACTCCCTCACTCACCACCATAATTCCAGCTGGAGAGAAAGTGTAGGATTTGACGAGCTAAGAAAGAGGAGGAAAAGAATGAAACTTTGATTTATCTGACTATCCTCTCCCTCATTCTTTCCTACTCTGAAATACTCCATGCCCTCCCCAGCAGGATTGGACGTTGTAGAGTAGAAAGCCTCCATTACATTTCCTGCCCCTGCCTCTTAAGACTTAGCCCATTTAGCTCTGCCCAGTTCCTCTGAGACCCCACTCCCTCAGGTGTCCACTCCTGGGTTCCTTTGGCTCACCTCTCCAGCCAGCTAGCTGCCCAACCCCCACTTCATCATTGATCATTTCTGGCACTGGAGAGAAAATATAAAAAATAAGGCCTGCTTTTCTTTTTTTTTTTTCTTTTTTTCTTTTTTTTTTTGGAGGCAAGAGTCTCACTCTTGTCACCCAGGCTGGAGTGCAGAGGCACAATCTTGGCTTACTGCAACCTCCACCTCCGGGGTTCAAGCAATTCTCCTGCCTCAGCCTCCTGAGTAGCTGGGATTACAGGTGCCCGCCACCGTGCCCGGCTAATTTTTGTATTTTTAGTAGAGATGGGGTTTCGCCATGTTAGCCAGGCCGATCTTGAGCTCCTGACCTCAGGTGATCCGCCCGCCTCGGCCTCTCAAAGTGCTGGGATACAGGTGTGAGGCACTGTGCCCGGCCAAGGCCTGCTTTTCTTCAAGCTTTTTCACTTTTCCAGGCTCTGGCATCTGCTTTGAGGTTCACCCTAAGTGTCATTTAAGGGGAGAAGGAAAGGAGAGAGAGAAAGAGAGAGAAAAAAAAGCATAAGGCCTGCAGGCAATTTTTGCTACTCTGATTCTAAATTAACAACACGTAAATGATATGCAGCTAGCATAAACATATGTGAATCAAGAGGATAATCAATTTGAGTGACTAGGCTTATTTTGTTTCAGTAACTTTAATGTTCCTCAACCTCATCTCCCAGGCCTTCCCCTAGCCCCAAATTCCTGTAGGTTTACAAGAAGGAAGCAGTCTCAGGCTGGGAGGAGGGTGGAGAAAAGACAAGATTTCTAACTAGTTTAATTTATTTTATTTTATTTTATTTTATTTTATTTTATTTTATTTTATTTTATTTTATTTTTGAGATGGAGTTTCGCTCTGTCACCCAGGCTGTAGTGCAGTGTCACCATCTCAGCTCACTGCAACCCCCTGCCTCCCAGGTTCAAGCAATTCTCCCACCTCAGCCTCCCGAGCAGCTGTGACTACAGGCACGTGCCAACACACCTGGCTAATTTTTGTACTTTCAATACAGACAGCGTTTTGCCATGTTAGCCAGGATGGTCTCGATCTCCTGACCTCAAGTAATCTGCCCGCCTCAGCCTCTCAAAGTGCTGGGATTACAGGCGTGAGCCACCGCGCCTGGCCCCTAACTAGTTTAATTTCTCCCTGTTTCTCTCCCTGATAAAGAGTGGGAGGGGAGCAAGGAGATTGAAGGGAGATGTTTTCCAAAGGGCAGGATTTGTGGTTTTTTATTATTTATACCCACAGTATTAGTTAAATGTCTATCTGTGCTTGCCTCAATGTGCCTCCAGTGCTGATAGAGAACAGGTTAAACAGGTCCGGTGTTCACATCTAAAATGACCTGGAGAGGACTGGGCACGGTGGCTCATGCCTGTAATCCCAGCACTTTGGGAGGCCAAGGTGGGAGGATCACCTGAGGTCGGAAGTTCAAGACCAGCCTGACCAACATGGAGAAACTCCATCTCTACTAAAAAATACAAAATTAGCTGGGCATGGTGTTGCATGCCTGTAATCCCAGCTACTCGGGAGGCTGAGGCAGGAGAATCACTTGAACCCAGGAGGCAGAGGTTGCAGTGAGCCGAGGTCGCACCATTGCACTCCAACCTAGGCAACAAGAGCAAAACTCTGTCTCAAAAAAATAAAAATAAATAAATAAAACCACTTGGATGGGAATAGACATAAAACTTTAGGTAGGTGAATGTACAGGAAGTATTGTTATGTAAATTAATAATCAGCATTTTCATATTTCATAGAAATAGCAGGCAAGAGAGTACCTCTGGGTTTAGGTAGTTTCTGGGGAAAAAAAATGAACTGAGGAAAAGTTGCTGTCTCAATGCTAGCTGTCAAGAGATGCTTACTGGGTCCAGGCACCGTGGCTCATGCCTGTAATCCCAGTCCTTTGGCAGGCTGAGGAGGGCGGATTGCTTGGGCCCCCAGGAGTTAAGACCAGCCTAGGCAACAAAGCAAGACCCTGTCTCAGTTTAATTAAAAGAAATTTGATATCTTTATTAATTTTTTTTAAAGAGAAGCTTACTGGAAGAACTTGTGGGGAGTGCTTTTTGTGCCCCTAATCTGAAGTTATTTATCAAAACCAGTCTCTGATTCCAGCCCCCACCACCTACATTTCCCCTCCCAGCTTACAGGAAACCCCTCCCAAGGCCTTTATACTGTGGTTTGGGATTGTGTAAGGTTCAGTAGAGCCCTTTGAGGTGGAAGACTTCCCCTTCCTCACCAGCATTTCACCTTTAGGGGCATGAAACTGACTCTCTGTGCCTCCTCCATTCTTCACCCCAAGTACTATGTGACTTAATCTTTTTATCCTTGGGTGAGGCAGAGAGAAGGTATCCCTAAACATACAAGCACTGTGTATTCTTAGTATGTTGTGTGAAGGGGCAGGGTGTGGGGTAGGGCAGAGGAATTATCTCTGTCATGGCTATGAGGGGGTTACTGATGTGATGCCTATTAGAGTAAGCTAAAGATCATCATATTAATAACCATTAGCGTAGATTTAACATTTCTTTCTCCACCTCTTATCCTTCTTTCTCCTTTGTGCTCTCCCTTTCTCTCTGTCTTTCCTCCCTTCCCTGTCATGATCTGTTTCAGGGAAGCTGACTCCACCCATGTGTTCAATCCCACCAGTCTTCCCTCCCAAGTCTGGAAGCCCCACGACCTCTTGGTCTCATCTGGTCACAGCAAGTTAGAGGTGGAAAGAGCTCAGCACGGGGCCCTTCTGTTTACACATATACTGCCCATAGCCAGGAGTTACTGCACAAACACTAGCCAGCCTTCTACACTACATTCCTTTTCCAAGACTTTTCTGGGTTAGTTTGCTTTCCAGCCCACTGATTTCCTTCTTATTGGACAGGTCACTCTTTTGCATCCCAAGCCTGGCTTAGGCAAGTCCCTGAGGTTAGTAAACACCTTCAGTGCCCCTCAGCCAAGTCCCTTTTGACCATGGAATACCATCAGCCTGAGGATCCAGCCCCTGGTAAGGCCGGGACTGCAGAAGCAGTCATCCCTGAAAACCATGAGGTTCTGGCAGGCCCAGATGAGCACCCTCAGGACACAGATGCAAGAGATGCTGATGGGGAGGCTAGAGAACGGGAGCCAGCAGACCAAGCTTTGCTGCCTAGCCAGTGTGGGGACAACCTTGAGTCCCCTCTGCCTGAAGCTAGCTCAGCTCCACCGGGGCCAACCCTTGGGACACTGCCTGAAGTAGAGACAATAAGGGCATGCTCCATGCCCCAGGAGCTTCCTCAGTCCCCCAGGACCCGACAGCCTGAGCCAGATTTCTACTGTGTCAAGTGGATCCCTTGGAAAGGAGAACAGACACCCATCATCACCCAGAGCACTAACGGCCCTTGCCCTCTCCTTGCCATCATGAACATCCTCTTTCTTCAGTGGAAGGTAAGAGAACATGCAGTTAGGGGTGCAAAAAATATCAGGGAGTACTCTTCCCTGACTTACTTCCTTGATCATCCTGATGTCCTCAAACTAGTCAAAACTTTTCAGATTGTTCTCCCTATTTCTCCAGCTTGAGCAAATGAGATAAGATGTTCCTAAAAACAAAGAAAAAAAAAAAAGAGGAAGATCTGTCCTACCCCTGTATCTCCTACTCCCTAGCAAATGCACATGCCTTGCAAGATTTCACATTCATTCCCTTGTGCCAGTTGCAAGCCTTTTTTCCTACCCCACCCTACTACTGGAGCTCCCCCTTGCCTTTCCATGGGTTCTTCCTTCAGTGCTCTTTGGAGGAAAGCACACACGTGATCACCCCTTCTGCCTCCAGGTGAAGCTCCCCCCGCAGAAGGAAGTGATCACATCGGATGAGCTCATGGCCCATCTTGGTGAGTGACTGGGCGTTGAAGAGGAATTACCCAAGGGGCTCCAGAGCTATCCACTCAGCCAGAAATCCAGACTATTCAGGGATCTCCATTTGGGGGTTCTGATACAGCAGGGAGGGTAAGGGTCTATGGGGCTTCTCTGCAAGGCTGGAGAATGAAAAGCAAAGGCGTCGGGAGTCCTGGGTTGTAACACCAATTCTGCCCTTAGCTTTTGTATCTGACCCTGGGTGGGCCGTTCACCTTTATGAGGCTGTCGCCTCCTCTGAGAAATGAAGAGTCTGGATTAGACTCTAAGTATTTTCCAGCTCTGAAAATCTGTGTTCTGTGACATTACCCGCATTCTCCAGGAGAAGAGGAAACTTAGCTTTTGGGATGATTGGTGGGGTAAGCTGATAAGGGGCCCTGTCTTGTAGGAAACTGCCTCCTGTCCATCAAGCCCCAGGAGAAGTCAGAGGGACTTCAGCTTAATTTTCAGCAGGTGAGGCAAAAGGTCTGCAGGCATAGGGGTTTGCAGGTTTGTAAGGGGACATCTTGTAATACTAAGATAAGCTTTTGTTGCTTCTTCAGAGGTTTCCTTGAACCATGATTTCATTCTGCAGGAGTCAGAGGAGAGTTTATCTTTGTCCTAGAAAATATGTTCATTGGCCGGGTGCTCACACCTGTAATCCCAGCACTTTGAGATGCCAAAGCGGGAGGATCACTTGAGGCCAGGAGTTCGAGGCCAGCCTGGGCAACATAATAATACCCCTGTCTCTAAAAAAAACCATTTTTTTTTTCAAGAATTAGCCAGGTATGGCGGTGCGTGCCTGTAGTCCCAGCTACTCAGGAGGCTGAGGTGGGAGGGTCACTTGAAACCAAGAGTTTGAGGCTGCAGTGAGCTAGGATCACACCACTGCACTCCAGCCTGGATGAAAGAATTAGACTTAGACTCTCAAAGAAAAACAATGTTCATTTATATAAGATAGAGAAGGGTTGAGGCAAGGGAGAAATGGAGTGGCTTGTAAGAGAATCAGGGAAGAAGAGCAGCAAGGTTAATTTTTAATTTCTGCAGGTGGGAGTGGAGTGGTGGGAGAGAAGGCTAGAATCTCCATCATTTTTTTTTCTACCCCCAGAATGTGGATGATGCAATGACAGTGCTGCCTAAACTGGCCACAGGTCTGGATGTCAATGTGCGATTCACAGGCGTCTCTGATTTTGAGTATACACCCGAGTGCAGTGTCTTTGACCTGCTAGGCATACCTCTGTACCATGGCTGGCTTGTTGATCCACAGGTGAGGGTGGGAGGGCCCACTGGGACCTTATCCAGCTCAAGCTGACATGAGAGAGGCAAATTTTTGTCGGGTAGAGGTTAGGGAGTTAGGGGTTAGATTGGCTTGGGAGGGAAATAGTGTTTAGAGACTGGACCCAGTACAGAATTCCTTGAATTTTAATCTATTTTGGGGGTAACATGCAAATACAAGCAAACTACATGCAAATAGGTCAGTTCTTTAGACATCAAAAATTCAGGAAGCAGATGGGTTTGGTGGCACATGCCTGTATTCCCAGCTACTTGGGAGGAGTTCGAGGCCAGTCTGGGCAACATAGCAACCCTATGATGAATGGTTCCTGAAATTTTTTTCTTTTTTGAGAGACCAAAAAAAAAAAGTGTTTAGGAACCATTCATCACAGGGTTGTAGTCCTTGTGAGCTTTGTTCATTTCCTTCCTTAAAAAAGAAAAAAAAATCCCAATTTTTTTGGTATCCCACATCCCACTACCCAAGCAGAGTCCTGAGGCTGTGCGTGCAGTTGGGAAACTGAGTTACAACCAGCTGGTGGAGAGGATCATCACCTGCAAACACTCCAGTGACACCAACCTCGTGACAGAAGGTGACATTCCTCCCCTTCTCATGGATAGTATGTGGAGGGAATGACAGCTACTTAGGCTTATTTTTTATTGGGTGTCATCTCCTACCACATCCCACTAGATATAAGCTTCACAAGAAGGAGCTTGGGGAATTTCTGTTTAGTTCATTGAGGTATCCCCAGTGCCTGGCACAAGGTAGCTGCTCTATTATAAGTATTTGTTAAGTGAATGAATACAGCCAGGTTTCAAGAAAGGGACGTCAGAAGGTGGGACTGACCCCCCGGGGCTTTTGACAGGGGCTCTCTGGATGGTCCTTCCTGTTGTGGACCTTGAATTTAAGCCAAGTTTCCCCCGACTCGTCCCTTTCTGGCAGGCCTGATTGCAGAGCAGTTCCTGGAGACCACCGCGGCCCAGCTGACCTACCACGGACTGTGTGAGCTGACAGCAGCTGCTAAGGAGGGTGAACTTAGCGTCTTTTTCCGAAACAACCACTTTAGCACCATGACTAAGCATAAGGTAATGCGAGTTTGGGGGTGGCGTGCTGCGGTGCTGTCATTTCCTGGTGCCTTTTTCTCGTGGGTCCAGCTGGGATCAGCTAGATTAAGCCGTGGTAGCAAGTGACCCCTCAAATCCCTGTGGTTTACCACAACAAAGGTTCATTTCCCGCTCCTGGTGCGTGTCCACTGTGGACTGGCTACGGTTCTGTCCCACACCATCTTCACTCTGGGACCCAGCTGACAAAAGATCCTTTATCTGGAATATATGTGGGAACAGAGAGAGAGAGGGGCACTGTGCACTCATGCTTAGAGCTTCTGTTTGGAAATGACACATGTCATTTCTGCTCACATCTTCTGGCCAGAGCAAGCCATAAGGGATAAGCCTGCCGTCGATGGGACAGGAAAGTATGATCCTCCCCTAGGAGGGGGCAGTGGAATTTTTAAACAATGCTGGTCTTCAAAAGTTAGAAACTGCCAAAGCTCTCTAGGATTTGAGCAGCAGAGGGAGGGGTCTCTGGTTCTCAAAGGATTTATCCTAAGAGCCATCAGGCAAGCCCAGAGAACAATGGGAAATGGGGGGAGCAGGGTCTTATGTGGCATCTCAGCCCCAACGACTCCATGCCACGCTTAGCCAGAATGACCACCGTGCTCACACCCAACTGGACATACACTCAGACATCCCTTTCTTCCCCCCAAGGCCACACATATTTGTAAAAGGTCCGCATGCTCAGGGTCCGGGTGCGGTGGCTCATGCCTGTAATCCCAGCACTTTGGGAGGCCGAGGCGGGCAGATCATGAGGTCAGGAGATCGAGGCCATCCTGGCTAACACGGTGAAACCCCGTCTCTACTAAAAAAATACCAAACATTAGCCAGGCATGGTGGCGGGTGCCTGTAGTCCCAGCTACTTGGGAGGCTGAGGCAGGAGAATGGTGTGAACCTGGGAGGCAGAGCTTGCGGTGAGCAGAGATTGTGCCACTGCACTCCAGCCTGGATGACAGAGCGAGACTCCATCTCCAAGAAAAAAAAAGTCCACATGCTCATACCGAGATTTCTGGCAGTGAACTGCCTCCGTATCAACTGTCCCCCCAATGAGCTCTGTTCTTTTCTTTGTAGAGTCACTTATACCTACTGGTCACTGACCAGGGCTTTCTACAGGAGGAGCAAGTCGTATGGGAGAGCCTGCACAATGTGGATGGAGACAGCTGCTTTTGTGACTCTGACTTTCACCTGAGTCATTCCCTGGGCAAGGGGCCTGGAGCAGAAGGTGGGAGTGGCTCCCCAGAAACGCAGCTGCAGGTAGACCAGGTGTGTAGGGCACTTAGGAAAAGTGCAGAGAGCACATGTGCCTCAGAGAGCTTTTTACTGCATACATTTTAACTGCTAGAGGCCATGTGAACCCATGCCTCTCTCTCTGGGTTACCTCAGACCGTCTCCTCACTTGGTGTGTATTCTCTGGCACCACAGATAATGCATTTGGCTGTGTGTGCTGCTCTGTGGGGAGAAAGAGCTAGAGAATTTGAGGGATGTGGGAAAACTGATTTGGAAACCTTGCCTGAATAGCCACGGCTCTGGGCCTCAGCCCACTGCACAACTCTTGTTCTCCCCAGGACTACCTGATTGCTCTGTCCCTGCAGCAGCAACAGCCACGAGGCCCGCTGGGGCTTACCGACTTGGAGCTGGCCCAGCAGCTTCAGCAAGAGGAGTATCAACAGCAGCAGGCAGCGCAGCCAGTGCGGATGCGGACGCGGGTCCTGTCACTGCAGGTGGGCTGCTGCCTGGGCGCCCACACTCCCGGTTTCCACCTCATGCTTTGCCGGGTCCAGAACACCTGTTATTCCTGCACTGGTCTCTTCAAGGTTTCTTCTCTCAGAGTCCTTCCCCTGCCTGTCCCTCTCCCCTGGAGCCCCTTCCTGTCTTCCTCTCCCTACTCTCTGTCCCAATCCTGACACCCCTTCTTCTAGAATCTCTTCTTGTGCTCTTCCAAGGAAGTTCAGTGACCAATTGTTAAATCCGATACAGGGGAGAGGAGCCACATCTGGACGCCCAGCCGGGGAGCGTCGGCAGAGGCCGAAGCACGAGTCAGACTGCATTCTGCTGTAGCTCTGCCCCAGTGCCAGGCTGGCCTGCCCCTTCTTCCAGAGGCTATGGCTAGTTGGCTTGCTCCCCCGCCTCCACCCCTGAGATGTGCTGGATAACTTATTTATGGACTGTTGGGGATGAGAGCAGGCAACAAATGCCAAGGTCAGACTTGGTAATGTCCTTGACCTCACGTGCTGCTGCCTTCTCTGCCTCCCATCCAGGGCAACACTAGGATTGGTGGGTTTCTGGTTCTCAACTCCCGGTCCCTGAATAGTCACACGTATGTACAGACTGAGGCTCTGGGGTGAGGTCCCTATCCAGAATGCATCTCTTCTGCTTCCCATCCCTGCTGCCTGGATGCTCCTGATCACCTAGGCAGGCCTGTCTCCAGTTGTTTCAGAGCTTAATTTGGGTTTCTATCTCTTATTTGTAATGCCTTCCTGGGGTTTGGAAATAAAACTTCTGGCCGGGCACGGTGGCTCACTCCTGTAATCTCAACAATTTGAGAGGCCAAGGTGGGCGGATCACCTGAGGTTAGGAGTTCGAGACCAGCCTGCCCAAAAAGGTGAAACCCCGTCTCTACTAAAAATACAAGAAATTAGCTGGGCGTCATGGTGGGCGCCTGTAATCCCAGCTACTCGGGAGGCTGAGGCAGGAGAATCACTTGAACCTGGGAGGTGAAAGTTGCAGTGAGCCGAGATCGCACCATTGCACTCCAGCCTGGGCGACAAGAGCAAAACTGTCTAAAAAAAAAAAAAACCTTCTTTCCTGAGATCTGTTGTTTGCCTTACCCTGAAGCAATAGGGTTAAGTATTTGACCCAATTGAAGAATGCAAAAAGCGGGAGGTGGGTCAGAGGCAGGAAGGTGGTTACCTGTCATTTCTTTTTTTCTTTTTTTTTTTTTTTTGAGATGGAGCCTCGCTGTATTGCCCAGGCTGGAGTGCAGTGGTGCAATCTGAGCTCACTGCAACCTCCGCCTCCCGGATTCAAGCGATTCTCCTACCTCAGCCTCCTGAGTAGCTGGGACTACAGGCATGCGCCACTGCGCCCAGCTAATTTTTGTATTTTTAGTAGAGACGGTTTCGCCACTTTGGTCAGGCTAGTCTTGAATTCCTGACCTCAAGTAATCCGCCTGCCTTGGCCTCCCGAAGTGCTGGAATTACAGGCGTGAGCCACTGCGCCCAGCTACCTGTCATTTCTAATATAGCCTGCAGGGGGAACCAAAGCCTGACTTTTTGTTTTTGTTTCTGTTTTTGTTTTTGTTTTCTATGGGAAATAGTGCTCTCCTGGGAGGTGGGTTTCCAAATCTCTGCTTGGACACATGAATTTGAGGGTTGTGCTCTCCACTAACCCAAGAATTCCCATGCTGGGGAGGGTAGCTTGGCCCTCCGCTTGCTTCCCAGTTCATACAGATGGTCCTTTGCTCCCTCTATTTCTCACCTTGTTCTAATGCCTGTTTCTCAATTATTTTGCCTGAAGTTTCCTGGAGAATGAGGGTGAGGGGAGACCTGGAGTGGGAGACCTGGGTGTGGATTACTGTAGCACTAAGGCAAAACAGGATTCCTGCGGAATAGCCAAGTGCACATCAAAGGCACTTCCAACTCCAGTGCCTCTTCCCGGTCCATGTCCTGCTCCACCCAACCTTCAATCAGGGAACACAAACAACAGCGAAGTTTGCCAAAAGAATTCGAGTATCAGTGAGATGTTCTGGCCAGGGTACAGGAGGGATGAGTGAGGCAGAAACTATCAAAGAAAACTCATTTCCCCACACCCAAGAAGGAGCTGGATGACCCAGGTACAGATATAATTTTGAGATGGGAAAATTAAGGGATTTTAAAGAAACAGTTCCAGCCTCAACAAGAAGCTAGAGAATGTGGTGCTCAGTGAGGGGTTATCCTACTTGGAGGCCCAGCTGGTCTCCCAGGTTCAGCCAAACACGGAAATCTCAGATCCTCGGATGTCATGTGGGGTGGGGCAGGGAAGTCTCACATGTCTTCAGCCCTGCACAAGGCCAGGAGGGCTGACTGGCAATCCCCTTTCACTGCATCCTGCAGACAAGGGAATTCAGTGTTAGAAAGATCCACCACCACTATGGCCCAAGTGCTCTCTCCCCTCCTTTGGGCTGGTCCATCACAGTTCATCTGGGAGGGAAGGGTCCTCCCGGGAGCTCAGAGTCCTGCACTACATTAACCAAAGACTCCTGGGTTTTCTTTTTTAAGATGGAGTCTTGCCCTGTCACCCAGGTGGGAGTGCAGTGGCACGATCTTGGCTCACTGCAACCTCTGCCTTCTGGGTTCAAGCGACTCTCCTGCCTCAGCCTCCTGAGTAGCTGGGATTACAGGTGCACGCCACCATGCCTGGCTAATTTTTGTATTTTTAGTAGAGACGGGGTTTCACCATGTTGGTCAGGGTGGTCTTGAACTCCTGACCTCGTGATCCGCCCACCTCAGCCTCTCAAAGTGCTGGGATTACAGGCGTGAGCCACTGTGCCTGGCTAACTACTGGGTTTTCTATGGGGCAAGAATATGCTCAGCTGTGTGCAGGGAGTGAGGGTGGAGGTGAGGAGTGAAGGCCTGAGGCTCCAGGCTAAGAAGTAGCCAAGTTTCACCTGGAGAGAAGAGTAGAGGGACTTCCCAAATTTCTTCCTGAACTCAGCTCTGATACTCAGAAGGTCAGTCTCACATCGAGAGATAAGGATGCGAATCAGGACTTGGTAATTGGGCTCAGTTTCCTAGTAGGGGAAGAAAGAGATGGGGGGTAGTTAGTGAGAGTCTCACTGAGAGTAGGGGTTGAATGGCTTGGAGGGTTATTGTAGGAAGGGGAGGCAAGGTGGGAGTCAAGGGATAAGAGTGTACATTATACATTATCTCGGGACAAAAGTTATGTTTGTCCATCCTCAAGGAAGATGACACAGCAGGAAAGATCAGTCTCTGTGGGGGCAGCTTGAGTATTTATTTCTTTCCACATGTCTTTCCTGCCCCTACCATTAGCTTAGAGCTGTGTACCTCCAGAATTTGGTGGTGAGCAGCTCCAAAGATAGGTACACCAGGAAGGCTAGAAAAGATTTGGTGCATATAAAGACTGCCAGCATGAAAACCAGGAAAACTGCTTTTAACTTTCAAGTTAGTGAATATCCAAGGAGGATATACCTGCCCTATCCCTAAACTGAGCTGATGAGGCTCTGATAGGGTTCAAGGTTGTGTGACTTCTAGTTCTGATTCCAACCCAATAGGGCCATCTCACAGCCCCATCTCTGCATATTAGTTTCTCCGGTTGGACCCTTAGGCTGAAACATTGCTATCTTCCTCCTGTACATGCAGCAGGCCTGTTTTTTGGCTAAAGAAAGTAATGAAAGGTTCAGTTTAGAAATAACAGGCCAGGCACAGTGGCTCATGCCTGTAATCCCAGCACTTTGGGAGGATGAGGCGCGTGGATCATCTGAGGTAGGAGTTCGAGACCAGCCTGACCAAAATGGTGAAACCCCGTCTCTACTAAAAATACAAAAATAAGCCAGGCATGGTGGTGGGTGCCTGCAATCCCAGCTACTTGGAAGGCTGAGGCAGGAGAATTGCTTGAACCCAGGAGGCGGAGGTTGCAGTGAGCTGAGATCGCGCCACTGCACTCCAACCTGGGCAAGAAGAGCAAAACTCCGTCTCAAAAAAAAAAAAAAAAAAGAAAGAAAGAAAAAAGAAATAACAGGCCAGGTGTGGTGGCTCATGCCTGTAATCCCAGAATTTTGGGAGGCCAAGGCAAGCAGATCATTTATGGTCAGGAGTTCGAGACCAGCCTGGCCAACATGGTGAAACCCCCGTCTCTATTAAAACTACAAAAATTAGCCAGGTGTGGTGGTAGGCGCCTATAATCCCAGCTACTGAGGAGGGTGAGGTAGGAGAATTGCTTGAACCTGGGAGGCGGACGTTGCAGTAAGCTGAGATCACACCACTGCACTCCAGCCTGGGACAGAGCAAGACTCCGTCTCAAAAAAAAAGAAAAGAAAAGAAATAACACAGGTACAAGTCATCAAAATCCTGAATTATAATTGATTATACTAAGTAATGTGTTGTTATGAGAGATTTTTAAATAAAAACTTTTAATTGTAAAATTCCTGTGTTTTTTTTTTTCTGTGCACCAGTGTTGTCATCAATTCCTAATATCCTCATTTTCAGAGTTTCCTGAGTCACTTTACTCACAAGACTCTTCCCAGAACTGCCTACAACACATACTTAGGGCATCCCAATAGATCATAAACTCCTTTGACAAAACAAAAGAAAATGAAGTAAAACAGGATGCTCCAATTCATTTAGACTCATTACCTAATTGTCAGTGGACCTAATGTCTACTTCATTTTAACTTTTATGCATCATTAGTTTTGTATTGTCATAAAGATTGCCAATTGCTCCCCAGTATCCATTCTTCTCTTCTTCCAACGCTTGTTACTCTAAAGTTACAGAATTGGGCAAGAGTCACTCATTAACTGAATACTCTCATTGTTGTACAAGTATTCTTTTTTCTTGCTCTGTCACCCAGAGTGGAATGCAGTGGCGTGAATTCAGCTCACTGCAACCTCCGCCTCCCAGGTTCAAGCAAGTCTCCTGCCTCAGCCTCCCAAGCAGCTGGGACTATAGCATGTGCCAAACGCCCAGCTAATTTTTTTATTTTTAGTACAGGTGGGGTTTTACCATGTTGGCCAGGCTGGTCTCAAACTCCTGACCTCAAGTGATCTGCTCGCTTCAGCATATATATATATGGTTTGTTTGTTTAGATGGAGTCTCACTCTGTTACCCAGGCTGGGGTGCAGTGGTGCGATCTCAGGTCACTGTAACCTCTGCCTCCCAGGTTCAAGCAATTCTCCTATCTCAGCCTCCCAAGTAGCTGGAAATACAGGTGCACACCACCACACCTAGCTAATTTTGTATATTTAGTAGAGACGGGGTTTCACCATGTTGGTCAGTCTGGTCTCGAACTCCTGACCTCGGGTGATTCACCTGCCTTGGCCTCCCAAAGTGCTGGGATTACAGGCATGAGCCACCATGCCTGGCCTAATTATAATACTTAATCGTATACCTGGCATTGCATATGGCCCTAGGATCTTCACCAGGAACATTAATTTTTACTACAGATTGGTGGAAATTTGTCCTGAATCAGCCATTGCTGATTTTCTGAAGGTTGTTTTTCTGAATAAATATTCTTCACAATTTATGTTTTCATATATCTACATATCTCTCATAAAAGAATAATACAGGCTGGACACGGTGGCTCACGCCTGTAATCCCAGCACTTTGGAAGACTGAGGCTGGTGGATCACCTGAGGCCAGGAGTTTGAGACCAGCCTGGTCAACATGGTGAAACCCTGTCTCTACTAAAAATACAAAAATTAGCCGGGCGTGGTGGCGGGCGCCTGTAATCTCAGCTACTCAGGAGGCTGAGGCAGGAGAATTGCTGGAACCCAGGAGGCAGAGGTTGCAGTGAGCCAAGATCGCGCCATTGCACTCCAGCCTGGGTGACAGAGCAAGCCTCCATCTTAAAAAAGAAAAAAAAAAAAGTTTGCCACCAGCGTGGCCAACGTGGTGAAACCCTGTTTCTACTAAAAACAAAAAAATTAGCCGGATGTGGTGGCGGGCAACTATAGTTCCAGCTACTTGGGAGGGTGAGGCAGGAGAATTGCTTGAACCCAGGAGGTGGAGGTTGCAGTGAGCCAAGATCGTGCCACTGCACTCCAGCCTAGCGACAGAGTGAGACTCCATCTCAAAGGAAAAAAAAAGAAGAAGAAGAAGGCCGGGCACCTTGGCTCAGGCCTGTAATCCCAGCACTTTGGGAGGCTGAGGCGTGTGGATCACGAGATCAGGAGTTAAGGACCAGCCTGACCAACATGGTGAAACTCCGTCTCTACTAAAAACACAAAAATTAGCCAGGCATGGTGGTGAGCGCCTGTAATCCCAGCTACTCGGGAGGCTGAGGCAGAAGAATCGCTTGAACTCGGGAGGCGGAGGTTGCAATGAGCCGAGATCGCGCCACTGCACTCCAGCCTGGTCGACAGAGTGAGACTCGATCTAAAAAAATAAAAATAAAAATAAATAAAAAGAATAATACAGATGTATCATGATTTTTTCCTTATTTATTTATTTTATATTTGTTTATTTATTTATTATTATTATTTTTTTTTTAGAGATGGAGCATCACTCTGTTGCCCAGGCTGGAGTGCAGTGGCGCGATCTCGGCTCACTGCAAGCTCCGCCTCCTGGGTTCAAGCCATTCTCCTGCCTTAGCCTCCAGCGTAGCTGGGACTACAGGCGCCCGCTACCACGCCTGGCTAATTTCTGTATTTTCAGTAGAGACAGGGTTTTACCTTGTTAGCCAGGATGGTCTCGATCTCCTGACCTCGTGATCCGCCCGCCTTGGCCTCCCAAAGTGCTGAGATTACAGGCATGAGCCACCGCGCCTGGCCTGTTTATTTATTTTTTTTGAGGCAGGTCTCACTTTGTCACCCAGACTGGAGCGCAGTGGCGTCACCTCGGCTGACCGCAACCTCTGCTTCCCAGGCTCGAGATTCTCCTGCTTCAGCCTCCCAAGTAGCTGAGATTACAGGCGCTCACCACTACCCCCTGGCTAATTTTTGTATTTTTAGTAGAGATGGGGTTTCACCATGTTGGCCAGGCTGGTCTTGAACTCCTGGCCTCAAATAATCCACCCGCCTCAGCCTACCAAAGTCCTGGGATTACAGGCATGCGCCACAGCGCCCAGCCCGAGTTTTTCCTTTTTAGAAACAATTCAGAATTAGCCAGATATGGTGGCCTACGCCTGTAATCCCAGCTACTTAAGACACAGAGGCCAGAGAATCACTTGAACCCAGAAGGTGAAGGCTGCAGTGAGCTGAGATCACGCCACTGCACTCCAGCCTAGGCAACAGAGCCAGACTCTATCTCAAAAAAAAAATTTTTTTTTTCAGAAAAATGGGCCTATGTTATTTTCTGACTACCACTTCTTTTTTTCTTTTTTTGAGACAGGGTCTTGCTCTGTTACCCAGGCTGAAGTGCAGTGGAGTAATCACAGCTCACTGTAACTTCTAATTCATGGGCTCAAGCAATCCTCCCACCACATCCTCCTGAGTAGTTGGGACTAGAGGCAGGTGCCACCATGCCTGGCAAATTTTCTTCTTATTTTTGTAGAGACGAGTTCTTGCTATGTCGCCTAAGTTGGTCTTGAACTCCTGACCTCAAGCGATCCTCCCACCTTAGCTTCCCAAAGTGCTAGGATTACAGGTGTGAGCCACCATGCTTGGCCCCTGACTACTACTTCTAAGATAAATCTTTTATCTACACTCAAGAGTGTGGGTCTTGTAATCCAAATACACTACAAAATCATCTACTGCTGGGATAGTTTGTATTTATGACAGGAATTTGGACAGATAAGTACAACTCTTCAAATGAATCTTAGTGTTGACTCATTATAATCATACAGGCTTTATTGGGCAAGTATAATAATCTACTGTCAAGATAGAAATCTCTAGATGACAGAACAATTGCTTATATTTACTAACTTTTGGGCAATCATCAACATGGCATGATGGCTTCTCAACCAGTCTACAGAAAGCTATTCCATCTGCCAAAATGATAACTACTTTTTTAGTCTGACTGTGTCACCCAGGCTGGAGTGCAGTGGCGTGATCTTGGTTCACTACAACCTCCGCCTCCCAGGTTCAAGCAATTCTCCTGCCTCAGACTCCCAAGTAGCTGGAATTACAGGTGCCTGCCACCATGCCTGGCTAATTTTTGTATTTTTAGTAGAGACAGGGTTTCACCACGTTGGCCAGGCTGGTCTCGAACTCCTGACCTCAAGTGATCCATCCACCTTGGCCTCCCAAAGTGCTGGGATTATAGGCGTGAGCCACTGCGCCCTTCCTGAACTTTTTATTTATAGATTTTGGGGGACAGTTCTACTAATAGGAGACCTAATTCAATCAACAGAATAACTGGATTCTATTGGTGGAAGCACTCAAGCCACAGTCAGCAGTTTAAGTACGGATAATATGGGCTGGGCGCAGTGGCTCACGCCTGTAATCCTAGCACTTCGGGAGGCCGAGACAGGTTGATGACCTGAGGTCAGGAGTTTGAGACCAGCCTGACCAACATGGTGAAACCGCATCTGCTAAAAATACAAAAAATTAGGATAATGTGGTGGCGGGCGCCTGTAATCCCAGCTATTTGGGAGGCTGAGGCAGGAAAATCGCTTGAATCCAGGAGGCGGAGGTTGCCATGAGCCGAGATTGTGCCACTGCACTCCAGCCTCCAGCCTGGGCAACAAGAGTGAAACTCCATCTCAAAAAAAAAAAAAAAAGTATGGATAATGTGGAACAAAATCTGACCAGCGTGGAGAAAGGGGGCCTTGGGTGCTAAGAGCACTTATCGTATAGCTGACAAGGATGGTCAATATCTTACATCGTGAAGTGTTGTGTAGGGAGACTGTATAACTTACTAGCTACGTGACCTCAAGCAAGGTACTTAACTTCTCTGGGCTTCAGTTTTTTCATCTATAAGATACGGATGGATATGGTTGTGAGGATTAATTGAAATATGTGTGCCCTGCTCAGGATAGGCTGTGGCACACAATCAGCACCTGCAAAATGCCAGCCCTTGTCATTATTCTTGCTAGTGTTATCACCATCACTCTGGCAACAACTAAGCCTGCACAAGGCACTGTCTTACAGAGCAGATTCATATCTCTATTTGGCCACCTAGACATTAACAAGGCCAAAATGTTAGTTTCAGGGCCCCTGGGAGCCAACTAAGTTAGTTCTCACCACAGCTCATTCCTCCACCCCTGTGTAAGCCCTGGTGTGTAAGCCCTGGGAAGGAGAGCGGCTTGAGGTTTAGACGGTGTATATAGGATGGTTACATAAGCAGCAAGCTGAGACTTCCTCTCTCCTCCCCAGTTTCTGTTCTGGGGAGGGAAAGGAGTGCCCCTCTCACCTGGAGGGCTTGATGAAGTTTGTCAGCAAAGTACAGCGGTGTGTTCTTGATCACCGAAGCTGGAAACAAAGATGGAAGGATGGAGGTTCACAACTAGGACCACAATCTCCCATCCCAAGAGAGACTTACTTCACAAATCCTGAGCAGGCCCCTACCTAGGCCGAGCAGAGCCACCTGAGCATCTCCATGGAAACGGTTCTGGACAGCCTCCTCCAGCTCTTGCCCAGTGCTCCGCTGGTACTGATCAAACACTTGTGTGTGTAGGAGGCAGTTAGAAAGATGGATGGGGGATTAATTATCTCTGGAAAGGATGGGCCCTCCCCACCTTCCTCAGCCCAAACTGATCATTAGAGCAAGCTAGGGGGACAAGAAGGCTTGTGTGTACCTCGGATGAGGTGTTCAGGATTTCGCTGGGTGAAGACTGGGACCCATGTTTCCTCTCTGCTAGGTCCTTCTGCCCGCTGCAGTGCCTAGGAGGGAGGAATGAGTCAGGGAGGAGTCAATCAGGATCATTGGTTGGGGCCTAGGGAGCCATGGGTATGACGTTCCAGAATCTATCATCATCATGATGGAAATGGGATTGAGGGTGGAAAAGGATTTTTTTTTTTTTTTTTGAGAAGGACTCTCATTCTGTCACCCAGGCTGGAGTGCAATGGTGTGATCCCAGCTCACCACAACCTCTGCCTCCCAGGTTCAAGTGATTCTCCAGGCTCAGCCTCCTGAGTAGCTGGGATTACAGGCACTCACCATCATGCCTGGCTAATTTTTGTATTTTTAGTAGAGACGGGGTTTCACCATGTTGGCTAGGCTGGTTTCGAACTCCTGACCTCAAGTGATCCACCTGTCTCGGCCTCCCAAATTGTTGGGATTATAGGTGTGAGCCACCACGACCAGCCAGAAAGTTTATTTTAACCCGTAAACTAGGTTTGTGTGTGTGCGTGTGTGTGTGTGTGTGTGTGTGAGAGAGAGAGAGAGAGAGAGCGAGAGAGATGGGGTCTCTCTCTGTCACCCAGGCTGGAGTGCAGTGGCATGACCAGGGCTTACCTCAGCCTCAACTTCCCAGGCTCAAGCGATCCTCCCACCTCAGCCTCCTAGCTAGCTGGAACTACAGGTGCAGCTAATTTTTAAAAATATTTTGTGGAGATAGAGTCTCACTATGTTGCCTAGGCTGGTCTTGGACTCCTGGGCTCAAGTGATCCTCTTGTTTCAGCCTCCCAAAGTGCTGGGATTACAGGTATAAGCCACCATGCCTGGCCTACTAGTTGTTTTTATTTATGTTTTTTTATCTTATGTTTTTTATTTTTTAAGAAAGAAATAGGGCTAAGAGAGGGCTCTGCCCTTACAGCCTCACAGCTCTATTCACTGATTTGGAAAAATCCTGGTACCCGAGGATTAAATAATCCCCAAAAGGTCTGAGGAGGCTTTCTGCCCCCAAACGCTCATGAGAGGAGAATATGTCAGTTGATGAGCTCAGGAGTCAGAGGCTAGATGAGTGAAAAGGCTTCAGCTATGACGCTACCTGACACCTCCTGCCCCTACCACATAACTGAGAACTCCCTCTCCAAGGCAGGGATGGGTTTGCGGGAAAAATGGGCACGTAGGTCACCGGCTCTAAGATATGGTGGAGGAAGGCATCTTATGTGCATGGCGGCTGTGCACACTCCTAAACCCCCTGCTCACCTGGACATCTTGTTCTGCCAGATTATAGTCAATGATTCCAGAGTAGCTGTCACGGCCCCCCTAGGAGGAGAAACTGTTCTTAGAGGGCTCTTTGAAGGGCACCTTTTTATCTTCAGACCAACAAGCGAAGGCTGGTCTCCCCTAAAGCCCTCTCTTGTCCATTACAGGACAGCAATGCTCCCTGCTCCAGCGTGTCTCCTTGCCTGGTGAACGTGACTCCCTTCCTTGCAGGTCAGTCCTCCTCACCTTGGCCAGGGCCAACAGCAGGTCCTGCAAGATGCCACTGGTCTCAGATGTGATGTCATCCACAGCCTCCACCTGGAAATCTGGGGTGGGGTGAGGAGCTCTCTGAATCCTCCTGAGTTTTCCTAGTGTAGATATCCCCAGGACCTGCCAAATGCCTGACCCGCTATACCCTGCCAGCCCTGCTAGCCCCTGCTTGGAGTAGCTTGATGGCTGCTAATTCCCAGGATGTAAGGCACAAGTACCATCACGGCCACTCTAAAAACATCTCTAAGTTGTGAGGTGTGCAGTGGCTTCATCACCAAGCACCAACCTGCTGGGCAGGAGGCAACCATTATTAGAGTTGGGGCCAGGCAGTGAAGAAGAGCTAGGGAAACCCGTATTATAACACAAGATGGTTAGGACCTGGCACCCTCATTGGAGGTAAGGAAAAATGATATGAGAGGTGGGATATGAGGAAGGAAAAGAGCAGGAAAGGGAGAAAAAGAAAGAGAAAAGGGAAACAGATGCAAGAAGGAAGGAAGGTAGGAGAGGGATTAAGAACATAGGCCACGGCCAGGGCGGTGGCTCATGCTTGTAATCCCAGCACTTTCAGAGGCTGAGGCAGGAGATGGCTTGAGCCCAGAAGTTCGAGACCAGCCTGGACAACACAGCGAAACCCCATCTCTACAAAAAATACAAAATTTAGCTGGGCATGGTGGTGGCACACCTGTAGTCCCAGCTACTTAGGAGGCTGAGGTGGGAGGACTGATTGAGCCCAGAAGGGTCAAGGCTGCAGTGAGCCATGATGACATCACTGCACAGCCTAGGCTACAGGGCAAGACCTTGTCTCAAAAGAAGAACATAGGCCAAGATTAGACATCAAAGGAAAATTGGGGAAAGCAAGAAAAAGAGGTAGGGGTGGGGGGAAGGGGTGGTAAGATGAGGATGGGAAAAAGCCACAAATTAGTGGGTGAGACACTTGTAGCCAAGCAAGGCCAGCCATCAGGGACATGAAAGGTGACACCCATGACTCAGAGGGCAGATTCCCACCTTTTCCTCAGGCTGCAGCATGGCTGGGTTCAGCTTGGAATGTGGTGTGATGGCAGGGATGGCAAGGGGCTGGGAAGGTGACATGAGTACCTTTGGGACTGTCACTTTGGAATCTGCCTTGGAGCTCCAGATTAAGATGGTTAATCATTGCTTCTCTCTCTTTATTTGTGTGTGTGTGTGTGTGTGTGTGTGTGTGAGAGAGAGAGAGAGAGAGAGAGACATGCTCTCACTCCTGTCACCCAGGCTGGTGTGCAGTGGCAGTGGCACGATCTCAGCTCACTGCAGCCTCAACTTCCCAAGCTGGGGTGATCCTCCCACCTCAAACTCCTGAGTAGCTGGGACCACAGGCGCACACCACCATGACCAGCTGGTTTTTTTGAATTTTTAGCACAGATGAGGTTTTCCTTTATTGCCTGTGACTGGTCTTGAACTCCTGGGCTCAAGTGACCTGCCCACCTCAGCCTCCCAAAGTGTTGGGGTGACAGGCATGAGTCACCGTACCTGGCCTGCTTCTCTTTTTTTAATGATCACATCTGGGTCTCTCCCCTGAGAGACTGAGGCACTGGTGGGGGCAAGAGGAAAGACCCCAAGGGAATAGAACTTAGGCAGCCAGGTTGCCAGATAGCTCACCTATGGGGAGTACAGGAGAGGAGTGGCCTGTCCTACAGCCCCTTCTCCAGCATCTGGGACCCCTCCCTCTATATTCTTACTGTGTTTGTAGACTGCCAGGCACTCCTGCAGCTGGGGTGGGGTTCGAGTGGCAAGAATTTCAATGGCCACGTCCACAGCAGAATCTGAGGCCTACAAGAAATTGGGAGTCTACTCTCAGACTGGCCGTGTCATTAGGATGGCAGACAGAGGGGCAGACGCTGGCTGCTTCTCCTTCTAAGAAACAATATGGGACGACGAGAGGGGGACTCTCGTCTTGCAAAAGCAAGGCTGACAGCCTTCTCCCTTCCCCAGACACCCCAGCAAGTCTCCCCTCCTGCTACCTTCAGAGCTGTCCTCAATTCCTGGGCGTCAAACTGGGCTGTGGGCTGCAGCAGAGCCATCACAATCCTCTCCAGGTTGCCGGAAAGTGCTGCCTGTAGAGACTTCATCAGGTCCTACAATAAATGGTCCTCACAGCAGAGGGACGGGGGTGAGGGGAAGGGCCCCAGAAGTGTGGGGAGGTTTGGGAAGATTTGGCTGGTTTTCATCTCAGGCCCTGTTTAGCCAGGAAGCAGGGGCTGGCCTCAGCGGCTGTTGCTGTCTCTCGAGTCCTCCAGGGGGTTTCTCACCCCAGTCCACTGCTGTGGGAGGTCAGCATGGCCTCACCTGTTGGGTGCGCTCCTGGAAGTTTCGTGAGATGAGCTGCCTTTGCTCTCTGCTCCGGTTGGTCAGCACGTCCACAATGGCACTGCGGTCCACGCCTGAACCGAGATGAGGGCTGTGCTGTGAGCAGGGTCTTTACATAGTGGGATGTTCCTACTCCTTGGAGGAGGGAAGGCGCTCCAGGAGAGGGCTGGGAAGGAAAGGAGCAGGGGCTATATCACCCCCACTTCCATTTTATCTCAAAAGAAGTTGCAAATAAAATGTCAAAACAGCATGCAAATCTGACCCAGACCAAGGCAAAGGTGGCCTGGTGTGGTGGTTAAAAAAAAATACGACTTGGGGGGATCGGCTGACCTAGATGAGAATACCACCTCCGTCATGAGCTGAGTGACCTTGGGCAAGCCTCTTAATCTCCCTGAGCCCCAGTTTCCTCATCTGGAAAATGGAAATAATAAGCCTTGCCTCACAGGGGTGTTGTGAGAATGGGTTTGACACACCTACTGTGGCGCCTGACATACAAGAATGAAGGCATTCCACAAACATTTCTCCAACATCACTAGTTCCTCCTTCCTGGCTCCTCCTTGGTCTACAGATTGGCTCTAAAAGGCAGTCTCAAGTGCCGGGGGAAAGGGGCTCACCTTGGCCAGTAATGGCCCTCAGTAGCCTCTGCGCATCCTTGTCCACGCTGAAGTTCAAGAAGGTCCTGAGGGTGCCCAGGGTCCCCCACGCTGCAGTCTGTGGGAGCACAGGGTAGTTGGCAAGGGCCAGGGCCAGGCTGCCTACACCTCCTCAGCATAACCTCAGGGCCTGTCCTCCACTTTCCTGCCTCCCATCCTCTCACAGCCCGAGCTGAGATACTAAAAGTGATCTCTAAAATCCCAACAGCCCCTACCTTGCTGGCCAGGCCCAGGTGGCTGAGGATCTCCTGGGTGAGGGACGGTGCCATCTTCCCGCCAGTCACAGACATGGTGCTACTGGTTGCCCTGGGGAAGGAAACAGGAGCCCACAGAGCTGAATTTCCTGGCCCTTCAGGGACTCCTTATGACCCCCCCGAGACCCTGGACCCTGGGTTCCAGTCACCTGTTCCTTTCCTTGCTGCAGAAAAAAAGATCAACCTGCTTAGGCTTGGAGCCAGAAATGGAGCTGAAATGGTGAGGTAAGAGGGGAGCCCCCACCTTCCCCACCTCTCCCCACTCCTTTAGGAAGTGGGGATTGATGCGGAATGCTCCTGGACCAGGCGCCAACCCTCCCTGATGCCAGGGTCAGCACCAAAGCTCCTCAGGCCTTGGTCCGCGGTAGATGCCTCCCTTCTGAGGTCTATGGCCCTCCTTCCTGGGCCTGGCTGGGGTCTCCTGGGCAGTGCAGGGGAGCTGAGGTGAGGTGGCAGGATTAACCACGCAGAGTGGAAGACAACTCGAAATAGCATCTTCCCCCACCGGCAGCCCCAGCTGACAAGCAACCCTCAATTCCTGCCTGTACAGCTGCCTACCTGCTCAGCAGCACAGGAGCACAGGCCGGAATCTCTAGGTCAGCAGGTGCAATCTCTTAGCTGATGTGAGCAAGAGTTCTTGCAAGTACGTGGATGCCTGGACAGAAAGGAGGCACTCTCATGTTGGAAAAGGAAAACTCATTTTTCCCTCCCCCAAGCAATCAACAAGCCCTCCTGGCATGGGGCCGTGGGCCCAGTACTTACTCAGAGGTGCCAGAGGTGAGGTGGGTGTCGTTGTTGTGGCCTGGTAGCTTGCCTGTGTGAGCACTGCCTCCGGTGTGGCCTGGTAGAGGAAAGTGGGGGTGTGTGCAGCCTAGGCTGAACAGCCAGTCAGATGACCTCTCTTAGGGACGAACCCAGCAGTTGTCTGACTCTGGCCCCTCCCAGACGTGGGAGAGGACCGGGCTGTACAGAGTCCCACATGCAGACACCTTCCTGCCCAGCATCTCTTCTCCCAGGAACTGGGCCTCAATCCATGTGAGTGAACTCCACTCAGCCTCTCAGCGGCTCAGCCTCAAACACAGGAGGCTTTTATGCACTGCCTTCCCTGTGGGTCCAGGTGGGACCACAGAGACCTAGTCTCAAAGTCCAGCTTCTGACCTGGCTCTGCCCCAGCTTCTGACCTGGCTCTGCCTCTGGCTCCAGCTCCCTGGGGGGCAGGTCAGACAGGCTGCAGGCTGATTTCAAGGCTGATAGGGAAAAACCTGTTGGGGCACATACCAGCAGGGCACCCCAGCCTGCACCCCAGAGGGGGTCCCAGCCCAGAAACTCCCTTGACTGCTGCCTTACTAGAGCCAGCTGACCTAGGTGGAGAGTGCCCAGGGATTGTGTATATCTGTGGAGAAGGAAGGGCACAAGTATTTGGGAGTGGAAGTTGATGAACAGAGTCAAGAGAGAAAAATGCAAAGGGTGTTACCTTCAGAGGGAAGCTCTATGCTCCCAAAAGGCAACAGGGAGATGGGGGAGGCTCCCTTGCCTGGTTTCTTAGATTGCTTCTGTTGCCTTTTGGCAGCCTGGGCCCTGTGGCTGTTTTAGCTGCAGGTGATGCAACCCCAGCAGCTGGACTTGAGGCTGTCTCTGCACAGAGCAGCAGGTGAACAGCCCTGTGGAGCCCCCGCCCCGCCATGCAGCAACTGCTCCAGCCTCACAGCTGGCTCCCTCAGGTCTAAACACAGCCTCTTTCCTGCCTCCCTGGAGAGCCTGGGTAGGGGCGGGGCACAGAAGCTACAGCCCTGCCTCCACTCACTCCTCTGCCTCTCTCCCAACTCAGGAAGGCCTTCACTGGCATTCCTACATCCCTGGAGGAGGGACCTGCAGTGGCTCCACCACACTGAGTAGACCATGCCGGAGGACACGCCATGAAAGGATATTTCTGTGGCGGTAATCACTGCTCCTCACTTTTCTCTCCTGTTAAAAGGAAAACATGCACCTGTGTCAGAACTGGAGAATGAGGGTTCAATATCCAGCTCTGCCACCTATGTTCTGTAAGCTTCGCTAGTCCTTTCAGCTCTCTAAATGGGAGGATTGAGAGAGACGGAGGCTGTGGGACATGCTGGGGCCTCCGAGGACAGGTTTCCTGGGATGATTAAATGAAGTAATGTGTCCACTAAAGAACTTATCCATGTAACCAAACACCACCTTGTCCCCAAAAACTATTGAACTCATAAAAATAAATAAATAAATAAATAAATAAATAAGGTAATGTGGCCAGGCACGGTGGCTCATGCCTGTAATCCCAGCACTTTGTGAGGCCGAGGCGGGTGGATCATGAGGCAGGAGATCGAGACCAGCCTTGGCTTACACAGTGAAACCCCGTCTCTACTAAAAATACAAAAAATTAGCCGGGCATGGCGGCGCATGCCTGTAATCCCAGCTACTCGGGAGGCTGAGGCAGGAGAATCACTTGAACCTGGGAGGCAGAGGTTGCAGTGAGCTGAGATGGCGCCACTGCACTCCACAGCCTGGGCGACAGAGTGAGACTCCGTCTCAAAAAAAAAAAAAAAAAAAAAAAGTAATCTGTGTAATTGCATGTGGCAGAGAAAAGTGCCCTGTAAAGTAGGGGTATTAGATTAAATAAATAAATATACAGGACATGCAGCTTAATCAGAATTTCACGTAAATGAGGAATCATTTGTTGGTACAAGTATGACCCAAATATTTCATTAAATATACTAACATTTTTTTTTTTGAGGCGGAGTCTCTCTCTGTTGCCCAGGCTGGAGTGCAGTGGCATTATGTTGGCTCACTGCAAGCTCCACCTCCCGGGTTCAAGCGATTCTCCTGCCTCCGCCTCCCGAGTAGCTGGGATTATAGGCGCCTGCCATCATGCCTGGCTAATTTTTTGTATTCTTAGTAGAGATAGGGTTTCACCATGTTGGCCAGGCTGGTCTCGAACTCCTGACCTCGTGATCCACCTGCCTTGGACTCCCAAAGTGCTGGGATTACAGGCGTGAGCCACCGCCTGTAATTATTATTTTTTGTTTATCTGAAATTATAGTTTAACAGTGTGTCCTGTATTTCACCTGACAACCCCAAAATGGAACTCAGTCTCAGCGTGGTGGCTAAAAGCAAAGCTTCTGGAGCCAGACTTCTCAGAGTCGGGATTCTGGTCTTCTGTGTGACCTTGGGCAACTATTCTGTGCTCAGTTTCCTCATCATCAACAGACAAGTAATAGTGTTTATGTTATAGGTTGTTGTGAGAATTAAATAACTACAGTGCATATAAAGCACTTAGAAGAGTTCTGGGCACAGCGCTGTTAAGTAGAAATGTCACAATGTTATCAAATATATAACGATAAGTATTGTTATATGGTAACTGTTACTGTTGTTATTACTTACCTCCTTAAGAATTCCGATCTTGGCTCGCTTCTGAAACTTTTCTGGCCAATCCCCAAAATGGCCACAAGAGGGCGTCAGCAGCCACTGAGAGTCTCGAGCCCCCTAGTGGCCCCTTGAGGTCTCTGGCTCCAGCCCCACATATTAAGGGGCTGTCTCAGCCCACTTGGGAAGTGCAGCCTCCTGAGGACGCCAGGTTCCTGGGTGGAATTGGTATGCAGGTAGCATCAGGGGAAGAGCCTCAGGTAGATACCTACTCAGGGGAGCCCCCGAGGCTGACCTCAGACACATGCAGGAGACTGGGTGACCGCAGTTAGGCTGGGTAAACACGGTACTGCAGCTCCGCAGCCGGGGTCCCCCTGGCCCTCGGCTTTCTGTACCCTTCAGAGTTTCTTCTGGCTACCTGCCCAGCAGATTTAGGGAGAACCGAAGGAAGCGTGAGGCCTCCTGTTTCCTCACGCCGAATCTCTCCAAGGGGCTCCTGGCCGGCATGCCAGGCTGAACTCTGAATTTGGAGAAGTCCAACAGAGTCTCAGTCACATGGCAGAAGCGAAGTCCTTGCCTGTGAGGAGTGTGTGTGTGATGCGTTCACAATCGCTGCATTGAAACCTGCTACAAACTCATTCCTCTCCCTAGGTTTTGTTTTGTTCAACTTCAGGGCCGGATTGCAGTTGTTTACAGTTGTACTGATCACCTTCCTTCCCCATGTTGTACATTTTAGAATTGCAGAGTTGGAGGAAATCTTAGAGAGGATCTAATCTACCACCTTTTCTTTTCTTTTTTTTGAGACAGAGTCTCACTCTGTTGCCCAGGTTAGAGTGCAATGGCGCGATCTCGGCTCATTGCAACCTCCGACTCCCTGGTTCAAGCAATTCTCCTGCCTCAACCTCCTGAGTAGCTGGGATTACAGGCATGCACCACCATGCCCAGCTAATTTTTGTATTTTTAGTAGAGACAGTGTTTCACCATGTTGGCCAGGCTGGTCTTGAACTCCTGACCTTGTGATCCGCCCACCTCGGCCTCCCAAAGTGTTGGGATTACAGGCATGAGCCACTGCGCCCAGCCTCTAATCTACTACCTTTTCATTACTGACTCAAGGAGTCTGAGTGACTTCCCGAGGCCATGGAGTTGGAACTAGCATCCATGTTTCTCAGCTGCCTCTCAGTGTTTTCTTCATCCCTCAATGCAGGCGAGGCAGATTTGGGCTCCCTCTCAGTGGAATACAGGGGAAAGGCAGCCACATACACCGCCTCCACTGTTCATGCATGTCCACCTCTTCAGCCTCCAAGTCCCACATTGCTTTTATTTATTTATTTATTGAGACCGAGTCTTACTCTGTCACCCAGGCTGGAGTGCAGTGGTGTGATCTCAGCTCACTGTAACCTCTGCCTCCCAGGTTCAAGTGATTCTCCTTCCTCAGCCTCCCGAGTAGCTGGGATTACAGGGCCCACCACCACACCCAGCTAATTTTTGTATTTTTAGTAGAGACAGGGTTTCACCATGTTGGCCAGGCTGGTCCCAAACTCTTGACCTCAGGTTATCCGCCCACCTCGGCCTCCCAAAGTGCTGGAATTATAGGCATGAATCACTGCACCCAGCCTTTTATTTATTTTTGAGATGGAGTCTCACTCTGTTGCCAGGCTGGAGGGCAGTGGCATGATCTCGGCTCACTGCAACCTCACCCTCCTAGGTTCAAGCAATTCTCCTGCCTCAGCCTCCAAAGTAGCTGGAACTACAGGCATGTGCCACCATGCCTAGCTAACTTTTGTATTTTTAGTAGAGATGAGGTTTCACCATGTTGGGCAGGCTGGTCTTGAACTCCTGACCGCAGGTGATCCACCCACCTCGGCCTCCCAAAGTGTTGGGATTACAGGCATAAGCCACCACGCCTGGTCCCTACATTGCTTTTCTGCAAATACTTTCCATTGCCTGATTTCAGAATACATAGAAACTCCTCTTGGCTATTTTACCTCTCTGTTAGGAAATGTTTCCTCCCCGATACTCCTGGCCCCTGAATCTCCATTAGGTACTAGCTAGGCTCTGCTTCTTACCCAAATAGGCTTCAGTGTTAACAGTTCCACCTGACCTGAAAAAACCTACCTTCCACATTTGGGCTCCCTGTATGCTTGCCCATCCACAAAGCCTGCCCAGATATCTAAACTCGGGGCTGAAGGCCTGGAGATGGCCTGTCCTCTCCTTGGGACAGTTCAGCAGCCCATACAGAGGAAGTGAGTCACTGCAAGGCAGGCAGCACTTGGGGCACTGTGGGCGTGGCCATGCCAGCCTGCGTGTTGGGGGATGGGTTGGAAGGGTGGTGATCACAGTCTCCGGTCCAGCCAAGGCAAGCGGTGTGTATGCTCCCCAAGCGTGCTGACAAAGCTGGTCGCATCATCCCGGTGCTGGCTGAGGCCCAGTTTCCCCTTCTCCATCCACCTTCTCTTTTGTCTCCTGGGGGAGGAATATACCCTCTTATCTTTATTTCTCAGGCCCTGGTTATCCAACTTCTGCCCCAGAACTTCCCCTCCCCACTGCTATCTTAAAAAAAAGAAAAAAAAGTTAACCAGTCTTCAGTTCTCCTGAGGAAGCATTTGAAAAGTCTGGTAGGGACTACAGGAAAGCCTGGCACTTAGGAAAACCACAAGAAAGGGATTCAGAACTAAAAGAAGGAAGATGAATAGGACGGAGGTGTGGAGAGTGTTAGAGACCCGAAGGTGAGCTGCGGCCCAAAGAGCCCTGGAACTATGCTGGAAAAAAGGTGTGTAGGTGTGTAGCAGATAAGGACTCTGGGGAGAGCACTGAAGAAAGGAAGAGGGAACTTTGGAATTAGAAGGCTGAAGGAGGAGAGTTCCAAGGGGGTAGAAAGAGACAATTGGGATGCAAGGTGGCTCATGCTTGTAATCCCAGCACTTTGAAAGGCCAAGGCGGGTGGATGGTTTGAGCTCAGGAGTTCACGACCAGCGTGAGCGACATGGTGAAATCTCAAAAATACAAAAATTAGCCGGGCATGGTGGCGTCGCCTGTGGTCCCTGCTACTTGGGAGGCTGAGGTGGAGGATAGCTTGAGCCTGGAAGGTCGAGGCTGCAGTGACAGAGTGAGACCTCCTCTCCAAAGGAAAAAAAAAAAAAAGAAAGGAAAGAAAGATACAATGGAAGATATGCTAATAAGGGAGGGAGGAGAAAAACACAGCTGGAGGGGTTGCTGGAAACTGGGAGATCAGGCAGGCCTGGGGCTTAGAAAAGCCTAGAGAAACCCTGGGAGCTGGTTAGGGGCCACCACTCTCATCTTTCCCATGGTGTGTCAGGGCTGCGGGTCCCCCTGAAAAGAGAGGCAGAACAAACAGTTGGGTCGGACAGCCTCTACCTCCTTACCCTCCAGAAAGGGCCTGAGATGAGGGATGGGCCCTCCAACTGGATTAGTGGGGGTTGCACTCCTTCCTACGAGTACTTGACCAGATAAACGGGGAAACAAGCTACTGTCAGAGGCTCTGATTGCAACAGCATAAAAAAGGCAATACTTCATCTAGGTGAGAAATTTGACAAAAGTACCTCTCCATGGAGTAAGCTGCAGCTCTCCCTGTATAGGAGCCCTCAAATACATCTTAGTCACCACTCGTTCACGTTAGGAGTTAAGACCAGCTTTCTAGGAAAACCATGTTGCATCTTCCAACAGTAATTACTTCTGAAACAGTAATTTTACCACACGACTCAAGGGGAAAACTTTTTTTTTTTAAATTTATAAAGGAGTTGGGGGTCTCGCTATGTTGACCAGGCTGGTCTTGAACTCTGACCTCAAGTGATCTGCCCACCTCGGCCACCCAAAGTGCTGAGATTACAGGCATAAGCCACGGCGCCAGGCCAAGGGGAGAACACTTTTTTTTTTTTTTTCCTGAGACGGAGTCTCACTCTGTCGCCCAGGCTGGAGTGCAGTGGCGAGATCTCGGCTCACTGCAAACTCCACCTCCAGGGTTCAAGCGATTCTCGTGGCTCAGCCTCCCGAGTAGCTGGGATTACAAGCGCGAGCCACCGTGCCCGGCTAATTTTTGTATTTTTAGTAGAGACAGGGTTTAACCATGTTGGCCAGGGTGGTCTCGAACGCCTGACCTCAGGTGATCTGCCCGCCTCGGCCTCCCAAAGTGCTGGGATTACAGGCGTGAGCCACCGCGCCCGGCCGGAAAACACTTTTTAACACGAAATCGAATACGGATAAACGTGGTGTCATTTGAAAACTCATACATTTTACAAAACAAAAGTTGGGGTGGCTCTTTCAGACAGGGCCGCCGGGTGTGCGCAAGTTCGGGTTTGCTCTTCCTTGCCACGGGGGTAGGTCCCGTAGCACCTAGGTGGAAAGGCCGCGGCTTTTACGGCGGGGTAGGCGAGGGTCGCCCGAGTGATCGCAGGCTCCGACTGGGTCTCGAGGGTCGGCTGCTTCGGTCTGCCCTGGAGAGGTTTTCAGCTTCGGCGCGAGGCACTTGGGCAGGATCCCCGGGCTGCACCCTCCTCCGCCCGCGCCCCGTGGGGCTGGAAGTGGGAATGTGCCCACCCTGGCGGGGACCGGGGGCCGCACAGCAGTTGGGGGTGGGTGGGGGTGGGTAGGAGTAAGGGGACAGGGACACCGCCGCTCGGAGCCCGGGACCCCGCGGCATCCAGTGCGTCTGTGTCGGTCCCAGTGGGAGACCTCCCACCCCGAAAAGAGACCGAAGTGGCGGAAGGAGCCCGCACCCGCCTCCCCAGGTCGGCGGTTTCTCTAGCGCAAGGTGACGGGCGTGGACGCGGCTGTGGGGCCGGGAGCGGAGGGTTGGGGTCTGGCCTCCCGCGCCGGGGCGAAGGGGCAGCCGCAGCGCAGAGGCCCGCCCCGCCCTCCCCTCCCGTCACGCCCAGCCTCCCGGCCCTTGGGCTGCTCGCGGCCTTTTTTTCCCGGCTGGGCTCGGGCTCAGCTCGACTGGGCTCGGCGGGCGGCGGCGGCGGCGCCGGCGGCTGGCGGAGGAGGGAGGGCGAGGGCGGGCGCGGGCCGGCGGGCGGGCGGAAGAGGGAGGAGAGGCGCGGGGAGCCAGGCCTCGGGGCCTCGGAGCAACCACCCGAGCAGACGGAGTACACGGAGCAGCGGCCCCGGCCCCGCCAACGCTGCCGCCGGGTGAGTCGGGGCCCCCGCCCGGCGCCCGAGCCCCGCGCGGGGGTGGGAAGGGGCTGCGGAAAAGTTGGGAGCCCCGGGTGCCGCTTTGTCGCGGGGCCGCGGAGGGGTCGGGCTGGGAAGGCCGCGGGGCCGGGGCGAGGAGGGAGGCGGCGCTGGCGGGGGGCGCTGCGGGCGCTCATGGCGGCGGCCGCCGGGTAAGGCGGGCGCAGCGCCTCAAGGGAGCGGCCGGGGCCGGCGGGCCTGGCGCCGCGGTGTCCGCGGCAGCGCCGCCCTGAGCCGGAGAAGCTTTCCCGGGCAACAGGTAGGGCGGAAGGTGGGGACGCGGGGGCTGCGGGCGACGGGGCCGAGCCGTGGGCTTCCCTTTGTTGGGGAGTGGAGGAGCTTGGTGACCATTGGCGCGAGAGCCTCCACCCTGGCAGCGGCCCGCGGGGTTGCCCTGGCCTGGACGCGTCCTGTGGCTTGGGTGGGAGGAGAGGGGAGGGCCCTGCCCCGTTTTCTTCCTACCGGCCCACCGTGCCCACCTCGCAGGCGAGGTCAGAGCTTCCATGTGCTTAACGGGAAACAGGAAGGAGCGGCCCGGAGCGCCTGCCCCGGCCCGGTAGGGCTAAGGCATACCGTTATGAGGTGTGGATGGCTGGCAAGGGAGCTCCTGGTGGAACTGGCTTTCTGGGCCGTAGCTTGTTAATCACTAGAGGCCCGTGGCAAGTGGGTTGACTGCAGGTGTAGAGCACTCATCTTTAGCCTGCAGTTGGAGTCTCTCCCTCCCTAAGCCTAGCTCCTGGCATCAAAACCTGGTTTCAGTCACCTGAGTTGCCAGGCCCAGGTTCAGGGGGTTCTGAGGATCGTGGCGAATGCAGTGAGCCCCTGTTCCTGGAGAAGTGAGTCCGAGCAGGCCTCCAGCAGGCAGTCACCCCCATATCTGTGCTGGGGCAGGGGTGGGTGGCGGTTGCTGCCGCATACCGGAGTCGGGATGACCGCACCGGGGTGTGAGTGGCTGCACATGTAAAGGGGCTCCTAAGGGTAAGGACTTGCCTGCAGTCCTGTCCCTGAGGACCTGGCGCTGACCATACCGTGATCTGCACAGTCTGTTCCAGAGAGGGATCCTTTTCTCCCCTGGTCCCCCACTTCCCTCACTGGGGCCTCTGGCCAGATTTTCCCCTGGGAGGAAGGGCCTCCTTTTACCCCTGTCACTGGCCATAGGCTGGCTGATCCCTCACTGTGTCCTTCAACACCGCCCCAGCTGTCTCTCAAACCCACCGGCGTCTCCCTGCCCCTGGGGCCATAGTCTCATGCAGTGTTTTGGTCCGTGGAGGCCTTTGGTGGGACTTTGCAGACAAGCTGTAGGCCAGATGAGGCTGAGGACTACTGTTCTGACTGCCTCTCACCCACCTCTTTTTTACAATCTGGCTTATTTTGAGGCCCATCCTGCAGCCTGGAGGGATAACACACCTCTCATTGGCTCCATCCATGGCTTGTAGACTTCTAGTACATGACCTGCTTCTGTTGCCTGAAAGTTTTCAACAAGGAAGACTATTCAGGACTTCTTCAGTGGAAGCAGGGAGCCGGTGGGACCTTTGTCACTCCTCCCTTGTCAACAACTCCTTTCTATTTTCCTCAGTTATTCTTCCAAACTATGAGAGCCAGTCAGACTGACCACCTGGAGTCTGAGAGAATTCCTTCCTCTCAGGCCGAAACTTCTGCCTTCTCAGCCGTTTGGATCTACAAACTCCCATGGGGATCCTCTGCTCCTTTCATCCACCTAGAGGGGTCTTGTGGGGGTGTCAGTCAGAGTTGGGGCAAAGGTTGGGGCTGGACAGAGTCCTGCTCAAGTTCCTGCTAATCTAATGCCAGTTAAATCCCTGCTCTTCTGGCCCCTCTCCAGCCTGTGCCTCAGAAAGTGGCATCTGTGCCTCCAAGGCAGGTGTGTGTGAGAGAGAGCGTAGACAGATACCATGTCTCTTCATGTGTATGGGGGAGTGAAGTCTGGGTGGAAAAGTGTTTCTAGATGTGATTTTCTCCATAAGAAGTCAAGTAACTGCCCTGAAGGCCCAGGGGGCCTGGAAAAACAGGGTTGTCTCCTTACCGTGTGTACACTTCAGCTTTTCTTGCCCCAGCCTCTTGTTTATGGGGTCTTGCTTGGATCTGTGTGCTGGTGCTAAGAGGCCTCCCCAGTACTGCCACAGGGACCCAACTCTTTGGTTCTGTGGGGATGTGTAAGTGAGGCCGGCCAGGCCCCAGCTGTCCTCCCCTCTCTTCATGTTGAGTCAGAGGTCCTGACCCTGCTGAATCTGGGGCCTCCCTGCTGGGGAGATGGGGGTAGTGCCTCTCTGCTAATGGAGGTGCAGGACCACCAGGGAGGGCTGTGGTCATGGGAAGCCTGCAACCTCAGTGTAAAAGCCCCCATTAATCTGCATTTCCCAAGTCTTCCACTCTCCCTGCTTGGAGTGGAAGAGGACAGGCGCTATCTCATCTTGGGGATGAGGAAGTTGCACTGCCCAGGTGTCTGTCCTTGACCATGCTCTAGTGCCTACTTTGCCTGCCCCCCACCCCCTGTTTTGCAGGCATGAGACATTCCTGGGCCCCAGGAGTCCAGCAGGGGCTCCACCCTCCCTCTGCGACTCCAGCCTGCCGCCTGACTAGAGAAACATCCCTGCCAGTTTTCACAGACCTGGTTGGGGATGGGATCTGAAGTCTAGGACTGCCAGGGCAACATGGTACCTTTGGCTTTACATTTCCCTGGAGAAGTTGGGCTCCAAGAGACAGCAGTCAGGTGACTGGGTCAGGCTGATTTCTCGCTTCCAATCAGGCTGAGCAAAAAAGTGGGAAGAGGGGGCCATGTGCACACATCAAAGTGTTCCGCATTGTCCCTTCTCTGTGCATTTTCTACCCTTGTCCCTTCTTTATTCAATTTTCTACAACTTTTCTCTAGGAAAAAAGTGTGTGTTTGTGTGGGGAAAGTTCCACTGTGGATAATTACATTTAATTTTGTTCAGTTCAGAAGGCTTCCATCTGTTTAATTAAATATTTATTCTGGCTGAGGTGGAGGGGGCAGGGGCAGTGTCTGGAATGTGTGTGTGTGATTTGGGGGAGGAGGAGGGGAGAAGGTGGAGCTGAAGCTCCTTTACTGGCAGTGCTGACCTCTGATTTCATCCGAGAGAGCAGTGACCAGGAGTGGGGACAAGGGGGTAAAGTCCTTGAGCTGGAATACTGACCCGTGACAGGCTGAGGGATTTCGCAAGGGCTACAGTGGTGGGTGGGGGTGGAGCGGGAGCTGTCAGAGCAGCAGCAGGACCAGCCCAGCCCAGCTGTGGTCTCAGGCTCTGTCTTCAGTCAGTGGCACCAACTAGTCTCCAGGTCACTGTGGATAACAATTTCACCACTCTCTTTTCTTCCTGTCTCTGCTTTCACTTTCTGGGCCAGCCTAAATCCCACCGCCTCATCTCCTTCCCAGGAGAACAAGGGGTGGGGAGCCTGGAAAAGACTGTCATGGTCATCCTGCTGCGGCTTCTTGCTGAGTCCTAGGATTGCCAGGTGTTTGCTGGACCCAGCATCCCTGGCTCTCCTGGACCATCTTGCCATTCCTCTCAGCTTCAAGCAGCTGCTCTTCCCTCATGAGCCACACACGTCTGACCGTTCCCTCCCTCCTCTGGGTATCCAAGTGGTCACTCCCACCATGTTGTTCGTCTTTCAGTTGGGGGAGGAGGTTTACATAGCGGCTCTTTCCTAGACTGAGAGGGTATGGGTGTTCCCCTGCAGACTAGGATTCTGTTTTCTGGATGAGCATTTATACGAAATAGCTCTGACCAGGCACCGTGGCTCATGCCTGTAATCCCAGCACTTTGGGAGGCCAAGGCTGGCAGGTTGCTTGAGCCCAGGAGTTCAAGACCAGTCTGGGCAACATGGCAAAACCCTGTTTCTACCAAAAAAAAAATTCAAAAATTAGCCAGATGTGGTGTGTGCTACTTGGTAGTGCATGCTACTCATAGCCCCAGGCACTCGGGAGGCTGAGGCAGGAGGGGAGGATGGCTTGAACCTGGGAGGTGGAGGTTGCAGTGAGCTGTGATTGTACCACTGCACTCCAGCTTGGGTGACAGAGGAAGACCCTGTCTCAAAAGAAAATAAAAGAATAGCTCTTAATTCCATCAGATGTATTGGTCCGCTCTCTTGGTTCCCTGCCCCACAATCCCTGACTCTTTGCAGCCCTACCTTCACTTTTCTTTCTGAAGAGTTATACATAGGGTCCTTCTGCCTTGTGTGTAGGGACTAGATGGCTTGGCATGGAGTGTCAACCTTGTGTGCAGTAGTTCGATGTCCAGTGATTGTGGAGCTCAGTGTCATTTGGGGACATAATTTTGCTTTACCTTGGCTTTTTTTTTTTTTTTTTTTTTTTTGAGACAGAGTCTCACTGTGTTACCCAGGCTGGAGTGCAGTGGCAAGAGCATGGCTCACTGCAACCTTCACCTCCCAGGCTCAAGTGATCCTCCCACCTCAGCCTCCTGAGTAGCTGGGATTACAGGCATGTGCCACCACATCCAGCTAATTTTTGTATTTTTTGTAGAGATGGGGTTTCACCGTGTTGCCCAGGCTGGTCTCAAACTCCTGAGCTCAAGTGATCAGCCTGCCTTGGTCTCCCAAAGTGCTGGGATTTCAGGCGTGAGCTACTGCCCAGCCTACCCTGTCTCTTAATTTTTCTTTAGGGACTTGCTACTCAGATGGGTTGTAGGTTGTAGGGAAGGGGAAGAAGGGTTTGCCTCAGCCCTGCAATGTTTTGGGGCACCCCCTGGAAGCTTTCAGCTGAGTTGGCTTGGAGGCTCGAGGAAGTGGCCAGAGTGTAGGGGGATAAGGGAGGGACTTTACTCAGATTGTTGGCTACAGCTTCTAGGGCCAGGTCCTGCCTGTCTTGCAGGTTAAGATAGCAAAATGACAAGACCCCCAAGGTTCTTCCCCCACTCCCCGAAATCAGAGGTTGTAAGGACCCCAAGTTTCTTAATTCCAGGGAATCACGTCTGCAGGTTGCTGTAGACAATAAATGCTTTTTTTTTTTTTTTGAGACAGTCTCGCTGTCACCTAGGCTAGAGTGCAATGGCGTGATTCCGGCTCACTGCAACCTCTGCCTCCTGGGTTCAAGCGATTCTCCTGCCTCAGCCTCCTGAGTAGCTGGGACTATAGGCGCCCGCCACCACACCCAGCTAGTTTTTTGTATTTTTAGTAGAGATGAGGTTTCGCCATGTTGGCCAGGCTGGTCTCGAACTCCTGACCTCGTGATCTGCCAGCCTCGGCCTCCCAAAGTGCTGGGACCACAGGCATGAGCCATCACGGCCGGCCTAACAGTAAATGTTAAAACTGGAAAGCCACCGTATTACAGATGAGGAAACTGATTTGCCCAAGGCTACATAGCCAGGATAGGGATCTAGAGTTCGACTCTCTGCCCCCTTCTCCTTTTGATACATCCTGAAAACTTTTATTCATCTATCTCTTCCTCCATAGCTACTCCCTCTTGATGCCCTCCCCTTTGCCCCTCACTCAGGATGCTCCAGACCTTGTATGATTACTTCTGGTGGGAACGTCTGTGGCTGCCTGTGAACTTGACCTGGGCCGATCTAGAAGACCGAGATGGACGTGTCTACGCCAAAGCCTCAGATCTCTATATCACGCTGCCCCTGGCCTTGCTCTTCCTCATCGTTCGATACTTCTTTGAGCTGTAAGCATGCCAGCCTACCCTCATGCCTTCCCCTGTTGCCAGTTGCAGTTTCTTGGACTTCAAGTTTGTTCCTTGCTGTTTAATTAGCCCTTGACCCTGATGTTCTGGCTACTCAGGTTCCTGCCCACTGTGCACCCCCTCCCCTGAAGGCACCATTGTCTTCCTGAAGGCTCAGCACCCCCAGGCCCTTTCCATCAATGGTTATTTGTTCTCACCCTCTACCCGCCGCCCGCCTGGCCACTAGTGAACACACAGGCAGCTTTGTCAGCTGTGGGCAGCCCTGGAGGCTAGAGAAAAGGGGGTTGCCAGGAAGCTGGGGAAACTGAGGCCAGGGTAAAGTTGCCTTAGCTTGCAGCCCTTTCCCTTCCCAGCAAGCTAGATACCTTACTCATATCCCTTCCCCAGGTACGTGGCTACACCACTGGCTGCCCTCTTGAACATAAAGGAGAAAACTCGGCTGCGGGCACCTCCCAACGCCACCTTGGAACATTTCTACCTGACCAGTGGCAAGCAGCCCAAGCAGGTATGAGCCGCATGCTGCTCTGGCTCTGGGAATCACTGAGTTTGGTGGTGGGGGGACAGGGTTTGAATGTTAGCTCTGGCAGGTGAAGAGATGGGGAAGCAGTGGTGCTGACTGAGGTTGTTACTGGGAGAGGCTGGGGATGCTGCTGAGTTCCGAAGGTAAACATAACAATGGGCTTCTTCACTGTGCCCAGGTGGAAGTAGAGCTTTTGTCCCGGCAGAGCGGGCTCTCTGGCCGCCAGGTAGAGCGTTGGTTCCGTCGCCGCCGCAACCAGGACCGGCCCAGTCTCCTCAAGAAGTTCCGAGAAGCCAGGTGGGGGAGGCTGGGGCAGAAGCTGGGTGACAAGGAATATCCTGATGTGTCTTGCTGGGAGGGATAGGCGGTGGCTATACGCAGGGAGATGTGAGGAGGTGAATTCAGTTATTAATGGTATCTTGTGAGGGTATCTGCAGGTATTTGGGGGCTGCTGGGGGACTGTGCTATCCTCTGACCTAGCCATTTCTGCTTCCTCTGCCAGCTGGAGATTCACATTTTACCTGATTGCCTTCATTGCCGGCATGGCCGTCATTGTGGATGTGAGTGGGGATTACTGGGAGGTGGGAGTAGGTTCTCTGGCAAGGTCAGGTGAGGCCATGGAATTTGGGTTCCTCCTCTTTTAACTTCTCACCATCTCTCTGCAGAAACCCTGGTTCTATGACATGAAGAAAGTTTGGGAGGGATATCCCATACAGGTATGAGTTCTGCTTCCTCATGTGGGGGTGGACTAAGACACACCCTAGTGAAGAGACGGTTTGTGGAATCCATGGCAGAGGGATTAGAGTGATGGAATGAAGAACCTCAGGGGCTAGGGGGTTTGTGGAGTGGGGACACCCTTGCGGCTGGTTGCTCTTACCTCTCTCTCCTCTCCCAGAGCACTATCCCTTCCCAGTATTGGTACTACATGATTGAACTTTCCTTCTACTGGTCCCTGCTCTTCAGCATTGCCTCTGATGTCAAGCGAAAGGTGGGTGAAGGGGTTGTGCAATTAAGCCTCAGAGCCAAAATGAGGCCCTGGGATGAACACCCTCTCCTTTGACTTCTGGGTACTCTGAATGGAGCTGTTGGTATATGGGGAACCAAAGGCAAGGGGTAAGAAGGCATAGTGAGAGCTGGGGAATAAAAAAAGGCCCTGGGGCCTGCATCATCTCTGCAGGATTTCAAGGAACAGATCATCCACCATGTGGCCACCATCATTCTCATCAGCTTTTCCTGGTTTGCCAATTACATCCGAGCTGGGACTCTAATCATGGCTCTGCATGACTCTTCCGATTACCTGCTGGAGGTCAGGCTTCCTCAAATCTAGAGACCCTGGTGCAGGTTCTTCTGTCCCTTTGGTTTTCTTTGGGAGGGAGGTGCGGGGTGGGAATTTGGAGGATGACATTCCTGGGACCAAGGAGGAGGGCACAGAGTCAGTGCTCCTAACTGGAGTGTACATATGAATGTACTCGAGGGAGTCAGGAGCCCATGATGATGGATGGGGGCTCTCTATGCAGTCAGCCAAGATGTTTAACTACGCGGGATGGAAGAACACCTGCAACAACATCTTCATCGTCTTCGCCATTGTTTTTATCATCACCCGACTGGTCATCCTGCCCTTCTGGTGAGTAGGCAGCTAGGCTACACTCCTGTTCTGAAGAAATCAGGAGCCTTGCCTTTCTTCCCCTCCTGTATCTCCCCGGTGTCTGACCTGCTCTTGTCCACGTTCTCTCTCTCCTTGAATCCTCAGGATCCTGCATTGCACCCTGGTGTACCCACTGGAGCTCTATCCTGCCTTCTTTGGCTATTACTTCTTCAATTCCATGATGGGAGTTCTACAGCTGCTGCATATCTTCTGGGCCTACCTCATTTTGCGCATGGCCCACAAGTTCATAACTGGAAAGGTGAAGCCCTGTTCCCATTGTGTAGGCCTTACTACTCTCTACAACTTCCTGAACTCCCATCTTGCCAGTAACTCTCTAAAAAACTAGTGTGGAGCCCTGGGTATAACAGGAACAAGCCCTCAGAGAGAAGCAGTACTTAGGGGTTTGAGGATCTCATGTAATAACCCTTCTTGTCCCTTTTCCACAGCTGGTAGAAGATGAACGCAGTGACCGGGAAGAAACAGAGAGCTCAGAGGGGGAGGAGGCTGCAGCTGGGGGAGGAGCAAAGAGCCGGCCCCTAGCCAATGGCCACCCCATCCTCAATAACAACCATCGTAAGAATGACTGAACCATTACTCCAGCTGCCTCCCAGATTAATGCATAAAGCCAAGGAACTACCCCGCTCCCTGCGCTATAGGGTCACTTTAAGCTCTGGGGAAAAAGGAGAAAGTGAGAGGAGAGTTCTCTGCATCCTCCCTCCTTGCTTGTCACCCAGTTGCCTTTAAACCAAATTCTAACCAGCCTATCCCCAGGTAGGGGGACGTTGGTTATATTCTGTTAGAGGGGGACGGTCGTATTTTCCTCCCTACCCGCCAAGTCATCCTTTCTACTGCTTTTGAGGCCCTCCCTCAGCTCTCTGTGGGTAGGGGTTACAATTCACATTCCTTATTCTGAGAATTTGGCCCCAGCTGTTTGCCTTTGACTCCCTGACCTCCAGAGCCAGGGTTGTGCCTTATTGTCCCATCTGTGGGCCTCATTCTGCCAAAGCTGGACCAAGGCTAACCTTTCTAAGCTCCCTAACTTGGGCCAGAAACCAAAGCTGAGCTTTTAACTTTCTCCCTCTATGACACAAATGAATTGAGGGTAGGAGGAGGGTGCACATAACCCTTACCCTACCTCTGCCAAAAAGTGGGGGCTGTACTGGGGACTGCTCGGATGATCTTTCTTAGTGCTACTTCTTTCAGCTGTCCCTGTAGCGACAGGTCTAAGATCTGACTGCCTCCTCCTTTCTCTGGCCTCTTCCCCCTTCCCTCTTCTCTTCAGCTAGGCTAGCTGGTTTGGAGTAGAATGGCAACTAATTCTAATTTTTATTTATTAAATATTTGGGGTTTTGGTTTTAAAGCCAGAATTACGGCTAGCACCTAGCATTTCAGCAGAGGGACCATTTTAGACCAAAATGTACTGTTAATGGGTTTTTTTTAAAAATTAAAAGATTAAATAAAAAATATTAAATAAAACATGGCAATAAGTGTCAGACTATTAGGAATTGAGAAGGGGGATCAACTAAATAAACGAAGAGAGTCTTTCTTATGCCTTCCTTGCAGTTATGTAATATTTTCTTTTTTAAATTTCACATGCATGTAATTTGAGCACTTTGAGGGGCCAAGGAGGGTGGATCACTAGAGGTCAGGAGTTTGAGACCAGCCTGGCCAACATGGCGAAACCCCATCTCTACTAAAAATACATCTAGCTGGGTGTGGTGGCGGGCGACTGTAATCTCAGCTACTTAGGAGGCTGAGGCAGGAGAATCACCTGAACCCGGGAGGCGGAGGCTGCAGTGAGTCGAGATTGCACCATTGCACTCCAGCCTGGGTGACAGAGCGAGAACTCCATCTAAAAAAATTCACATGCAAGAAGCAAAGGTAGACAAGGTAGAAGATGAATGACAGCAGCCCACAGGGGAGGATGGGGATAATACCTCACTGAAAGATCCAGAATTGGGAGTATCGGGCTGAGAGAGAGAAACAAAACCACAATCTTAGTTTTATCATATTGTTAAAAGACTTTCAAGAAATAATACAAACTGGAGATAGTAGATACACAGGCTCCATTCTAAGAACAAAGTCTGTTAGAAGCAGGAACACTTGGACAAATATGGGATGGGAGGGATGTCAGGCCGAGGTTAGAGTGGTGATCTCTCCCCACCCTTTAGGGCCTTTGGAGGTGGAGAAGGGATCCTGCCTGCTAGCACCACATTGGAAGGGATCATCTGGTCCAGAACCCCCATTTCTATCAACTAGGAGCTGGGGGGAGTAGCTAGCCCAGAGACTTCGGGTCAGGGTTCAACAATCAGGAAGACCCAGTTCCTGAGGAAACGACAGTTCAAGAAGGGTTGGGAAGAAGGCTGTCCTCTAAAGAAGACGTCCTCTGCATTCAATGGCCCCACAGCAACAGAGTAGCTCCTTGCCTTCCACACTGCCCACCTCGTAGTTGTAGTCCCAAGTAAGTTCTGTCCCAGCCCGGATTCTTCTGAAGAGGAAGAAAAGGATGGTGTGTGGCAAAGACAGCAGATAACCCAGGCACTTGGGGTTACTGAATATGTAGGTGGAGTTGGATCATGAATGGAGGAGGGGCCCTTAGAACTTCAGTGGTCCTTGCCCCTCCCCAGTCATCCCCTTTCCTGACTCCTTACTTGCTGGCAAAGAAGGCCACCCAGGGGAAGCGAAGATCATGGGTATCCACGAAGACATTCTGGACAAACAGGTTGGGGCTGCAACTGTGCTGTAGGTTTAAGGACAGGATCAAATAAGAACCAGGGAAACTGAACCTGGCTTTGCAGGGAGAGTGAGAGTTGGAAGAAAAATGATGCCATCTGACCCTCCCCATTATAATAGATGCTTTGAAAGAAAGCTACCTCTTTAAGATCCTTTGAGATCAAGAGTTTATAACAAGAAAAGGGCTTATAGAGTATGTTAAAAGAAATCTGAGGACCATGGGATAATCCAGCATCTAGAGGTGGGGAGAGGGGTCTCACGTTGAGGTAGCGGCCCAGGTTGCCTTCAAGCTTGGCATCAATGATGTAGCAAGACTCCTCGCCATCATAGAATTGGCGTGTGTTCTTACGAACAGGTGCGCTCTCCCCCTTGTCCACAGAGGCCATGTTGGTTGATTTAATTGCAATCCCATGGGTTGATTTAAGAGCAAAGCCTCGGGTTGATTTTACTGCCACTTGACGCTTCATTGGACCTGGACAGGAGGGAGAATGGGGTCAGGACCCATCCCAACTCATGAACAGACATTCTATCATGAATGGACATTCTACCCCTATTTCTCTCCCAACATTGCAGCTGAGAAACACCAATAAGCTGGAACTCAAAGATCCTAAGTAGCAGGTTTTTTTTTCAAGCATAATTAGATCTGCTAGACAAAGGAGCTGAGGGGAAAGAGTAAAAAAATGGAAATGAGAGAGGATGTGTCAAACAATAGTTTAGCTTGGAGTCAGAAAGCCCTCCCAGAGATGCTCCAATTCTTAGGATCTGAATTTTTACCCACTACTTCTTTAGCTTCCTTAAAAAATGCTCTATCCCAAGTTTCTTACTATTTCTTCCCACCATTCCCAAAATTTTTCCAGGCTACCAGTCATGTTCTTCTTGTCCTCAAAGTCATCCCCTTCAGAGCCAGAGGATATGGTCTGGATATCATCACTGTCAACCGCTGTAGCCGAAGTCTGACCAGCAGTGGGCTTTCGGCTGGTCCCACTTTCCCCCTCACTTTCTGTGCTGCTGGACAGTGTCAGGACATCCTGGGGAAGCAGGAGGGTAAGAAGTAAGAGAAGTAAATGGGAAGGGCTCCTTTAAGTCCTTGCTGTTACCCACGGTTTGGCAGGAAAGGGCGGTGGCAAGAGGAAGATTAGATGCTGGATGAAAGAAAATAAGGCAGGAAGTCAAGGCTAAAGAAGTAGGAGAAGACCTAACAGTAATTATAGTGAAGGACTTGATGAGGTGACAATGGCCCATTTTCCTTTATTAGACTCTGAATAAGCTTGAGGTGACTTACATCAGGGTTGGACTGAGCAGAAGCCATGAGTCTTCGGCTTTGATGCATACTAGTCTTACTAGGTGGGCGGCGAAGTCCTTCAGGCTTCACAGGAGAAGGATTGTAACCGTAATTTCGAGAGCTTTCAGTAACTCTAATGGGAGGGGAAGGAATGAAGCCAACAGGTTACTGGCTGTTTCTTAGGCTTCTAGCCTAGGTTTGAGAGAAGGCAGATTTGGAGACAGGTCAAAAAGACAGGCACTGGGCTGGACACGGTAGCTCATGGCTGTAATCCCAGCACTTTGGGAGGCTGAGGATCCCCTTTGGGAGCATCGCTTGAGCCCAGGAGTTCAAGACCAGTCTGGGAAACATGGTGAAACCCCGTGTCTACAAAAAATACAAAAACTAGCCAGGCATGGTGGTGCACACCCGTAGTCCCAGCTACTAGGGAGGCTGAGGTGGGAGAATCTCTTGAGCCTGGGAGGGGGAGGTTGCAATGAGCTGAGATTACGCCACTGCACTCCAGCCTGGGTGACAAAGCAAGACTCTGTCTCAAAACAAAACAAAACAAAAGGCACTTACACTGACATCTTGTTTCGGTCGTCAGTGTCCTGGAAAAGAACAAGTGAAGGGTTAAATGCTTTCACAGCCTCGGGTAACAAGTCCAATAATCAGACTTCAAATGACCTCCACAGATAACATCAGCCAGTGACAGGTACACATTCTAAAGTGGGGTGGGTAAACCACTCTGCAACTTGACAGAAATCCTCACTACACTCCCTGGCTGGAGCCTTTAAGCCTTCTCAGTGATGGGGCTTAATGCTCATGGAAAACACCACGAGCAGGATTACATCAACCAGGGACAGTTTCACCATCTGTAATGTGGAAAGCAGCATAATCATCAAAGAGATACTTAAAATCAATTCTTGTTTCTCTACTTTAGTAGAAGGAAACAATGATGTGAATAACTTGAAACAGCATTTAACATTAAAAAATCACTTATAAATCTTTCATTTTGTAATTAATCAGATACTTGTCCACCCTCTACCACCAGGCAAGTGGATTTTAAAATAATTTTTTTTTTTTTGAGACAGAGTCTCGTTCTGTCACCCAGGCTGGAGTGCAGTGGTGCGATCTCGGCTCACTGCACCTCCACCCTCCAGGTTCAAGCGATTCTCCTGCCTCAGCCTCCCAAGTAGCTGGAAATACAGGCATGCACCACCACGCCCGGCTAATTTTTGTATTTTTTAGTAGAGACGGGGTTTCACCATGTTGGCCAGGATGGTCTCCAACTCCTGAACTTCAAGTTATCCACCTGCCTCGGCCTCCCAAAGTGTTGGGATTACAGGTGTGAGCCACTGTGCCCGGTCAATAATTTGGTTCTTTAAACAAACACTAGGAATGTGCTAGTTAGGGGGAGAGATAACGAGGTGGCCACAGAAATATCCATCAAGTAGAATAATCTACATGCAAAGACTCATGGTGAGACTGCATTGTTACTGCACCAAAGTTAAAGCCATAGCTCTCAGAGTGTTCTGCCACTGCTTACCTCTTTCTTGGCCTGTTTGATGTCTCCCTCATCCTTGATGCCTAGTCCTGAGGTGGAGGCCTTCTCAGCCTCCATTCGGCTTCCCCCAGCCCGGCCCTCCCCACCTTCATTAGTCTTGAAGGATGAATGGCTATCAGAGTCAGCAAAACCACCTTCACTGACACTATTGCAGCTCAACCATGAGGCCACCTTGTTCTTGGGTGTCTCTTCGGAGGAAGGTGGATTGCAGCCACCTACAGGGATTGAGGGAGGAACAGGAATATGTGGGGGTCCAAGATCTGGGGGGTGGGAGTCCTTGGAAGTTGTCTCAGAGAGTCCGTTCTCTTTCTGGCCCCGGGTCTGCCTCCGGGTAGCATAGCTCCGCCACACTGAACTGGTGCTGAAGTCCTCATCCTTACAGAAGTTATCATCTGAGCTATCATCATTGGACTCTTCAGGGTCCTCTGTACCGCTGTTGCCATCTTCCTGGTCCTTCAAGTCTACACCACTGCTGTCAGAGGAACAGGGGGCATCACTCTCATATCCTTCTTTGAAGTTCTCCACGCTCTCGATATGGTCCAGATTTGCAAAGTACTCATCACCCATTTCCAGACCCTCCTTGTCTGCAAAGTCATCTGTCAGGATTTTGCCTGAGAATGAAGAGAATTAAAGGCCTTCTAGGGTTATGGGGACCTATTAGTTTTTTTTTTTGTTTGCTTTTTTTTTTTTTTTTTTCCAGATGGAGTCTTGCTCTGTCACCCAGGCTGGAGTGCAGTGGCGCGATCTCGGCTCACTGCAACCTCTGCCTCCCAGGTTCAAGTGATTCTCCTGCCTTAGCCTCCTGAGTAGATAGGACTACAGGTGCACGCCACCATGCCTGGCTAATTTTTTTTGTATTTTTGGTAGAGATGGCGTTTCACCATGTTGGCCAGGTTGGTCTCGAACTCCTGACCTCAGGTGATCTGCCCGCCTCAGCCTCCCACAGTGTTGGGATTACAGGTGTTAGCCACCGCACCCGGCCACGGGGACCTATTAGAAAGAATAAGGATTATTCCATCAATACCCGCTCTACCAGCATATAGAGTCAAAAAGCCTCCATTCTGGTCTCTCATTTCTGTTTTTTTTTTTGTTTTGTTTTTGAGACAGAGTTTCGCTTTTGTCACCCAGGCTGGAGTGCAGTGGCATGATCTCGGCTCACTGCAATCTCTGCCTCAAGGGTTCAAGTGATTCTCCTGCCTCAGCCTCCCAAGTAGCTGGGATTACAGGCATCCACCACCACACCTGGCTAATTTTTGTATTTTTAGTAGAGATGGGGTTTCAACTATGTTGGCCAGGCTGGTCTCCAACTCCTGACCTCAGGTGATCCACCCACTTCGGCCTCCCAAAGTTTTGGGATTACAGGCATGAGCCACCACGCCGGCCCAGTGTTTCTCTTTGATAATACCTCCCTTTGTATCTTAACTATGAAAGTATGGAGAACTTACTGTCATTTTAAATCTTGCCCTTTCTGTCTTTCCATTTCTTCTACTTTATTGAAACAGAGTACTGGGCTATGCTAAAAGATCTCTGAGTGGAGTGACATGGGAGAAAATGATACACTGGACTCTATAATCATGTCTGTTCTCTGAAATATCACCATGTCCAAAATTTCATCCCTTTTCATTCTCTTATTTGTGAAACACTTGTGTCCCTCTCTGGTCTAGCTAGACAGGTACATCACTCATCACGTTCTTTGTAGAAGTCCCTGGCCTCCTCTTACTCCAGTTCACATGTCAAGCACTTTCTTCTTATGTTCAATTTGTCTCTGGTTCAATTCCCTACCATGTCCCAGTCTCAGGAAACAACCCTTATATTTTATCACCAACCTGCATAAATACAAACAAAAGAGCCTTTGGCAATGTCATCCAAGCAGCGGATACCCCAGCCCTTGTTCTGTGTCTTGAATAGCTGTAGCCGAACTTGTAGTCCATGTTGCACCAACCGGTTTGTGCACATGTTTGGGTCACATTTGCAGCGTTTGTTACACTCATATACCCTGGGAGGAGGTTAGAATAAAATCAATCACGGTATGATCACTAGAGCACAAAAAAATCCATAAAACTATTATAATTCTTAAGCTATCATCATTTATAATGTGTTGTGGATAAAGATTAAAAATTAGGTAATGATCTAAGTGAGTGGATCTATTGAACCATCTATGCTCTTTGATTCATTTGGAAATGTAGCCCAAGGAAAAAATTTAGAGGGCGGAGAAATATTTATAAAGATGTCTATAGCAAGACAGCTCATAAAAGTGAATGCTAGAGTGCCTAACACCTGGAGAAAAGCTAAGTAAACTATAATGGGAATACAGATTACAGAGCCATTAAAATAAGCACTATATGGACGGTCAATTTGTAGAAATAGATGCACAAAATAAAGACATGTGAGAAATTCCTGGTGAGGTTTCTTACTAACAACAGCAAAAATAATAATAATAATAAAAATAAATAAATGTGAGAAAAACAGAGGCCAACATAACAGATACGAAAGGGAATAAAGAGATAGGAGGAACTGTGACTAATGTTCATGGTAAAGTTGATTTTCATTCTTTCATTCAGTAAACAATTATTAAACACCAAGAGCTCTACTAAACACTGGAAACATAACAATGAAAAAGATCGTGCTGGGCGTGGTGGCTCATGCCTATAATCCCAGCACTTTGGGAGGCCAAGGTGGGTGGATCACGAGGTCAGGAGAGTGAGACCATCCTGGCTAACACAGTAAAACCCCGTCTCTAATAAAAATTAAAAAATTAGCCGGGTGTGGTGGCATGCATCTGTAGTCCCAGCTACTTGGGAGGCTGAGGTAGGAGAATTCCTTGAACCCAGGAGGCGGAGGTTGCAGTGAGCCAAAATCAAGCCACTGCACTCCAATCTGGGCGACAGGGTGAGACTCTGTCACAAAAAAAAAAAAAAAGAAAAAAGAAAAAAAAGAAAAAAAAAAAGGTCATAATTTCTACCCTCAGGGAGCTCTTTTTTTTTTTTTTGGAGACAGAGTTTCGCTCTCATTGCCCAGGCTGGAGTGCAATGGCGCAATCTCAGCTCACAACCTCCACCTCCCGTGTTCAAGTGATTCTCCTGCCTCAGCCTCCCAAGTAGCTGAGATTACAGGCACGCGCCACCGTGCCTTGCTAATTTTGTATTTTTAGTAGAGATGGAGTTTATCCATGTTGATCAGGCTGGTCTCGAATTCCCGACCTCATGTGATCCGCCTGCCTTAGCGAACCAAAGGGCTGGGAGTACAGGTGTGAGCCACCGTGCCCAGCCCAGGGGAGCTCATATTCTATCTAATTTAAGAATTTGGGCCAGGCGCAGTGGCTCATGCCTGTAATCCCAGCTACTGAGGATGCTGAGGTGAGAAGATCACTTGAGCTCAGGAGTTCGAGGTTTCAGTGAGCTATGATCATACCACTGCGCTCCAGCCTGAATGACAAAGCAAGTCCACCCCATCTCTGAAAAAGAAAAAAATTTTAATTATTTTTAAACAACCATTAAAGGTAATCAGAGGGATCTAGCACATACCAACATTAAAGGAAGATAACACAGTTATACTAAGAAAACTAATTGTTTCAGGTAACAATGTTTTTGCTCTATTTGCCCAGTGTTAGAATTTTACTTATTTTCTTGGTATGTAAAATCAATGGAAGAAATTTACTTTGGAAATGTATCAACAGCTCAGTTAGTTCACGATTTTAGTCATATCCTCTCTCCAGATAAAGATGGTAAGAGCAGCTTCTAGTTACTAAGCATATACTTTTGTGTTTGGCATTGTGTGAATGCCTTATATATACATATTCTATCCTTAAAGCTGCCCTAATACAGGTGGTGTTTTTTCTTTTTGAGACACAGTCTCGCTTTGTCGCCCAACCTCCGCTTCCTGGGTTCAAGCGATTCTCCTGCCTCAGCCTCCCAAGTAGCTGGGATTATAGGTGCATGCCATCATACCCTGCTAATTTTTGTATTGGAGACAGGGTTTTACCATGTTGGCCAGGCTGGTCTTGAACTCCTGACCTCAGGTGATCCACCTGCTTCGACCTCCCATTTTTTTTTTTTTTGAGTCATGGTCTTGCTCTGTCACCCAGACCATAGTGCAGCGGCACAAACACAGCTCACTGCAGCCTTGACCTCCTGGGCTCAAGTGATCCTCCTGCCTCAGTCTCCTAAGTAGCTGGGACCACAGCTGCATGCCACATGCCCAGCTAATTTTTAAAACTTTTTTTGTAGAGACAAGGTCTCATCACATTGCCCAGGCAAGTCTGGAACTACTGAACTCAAGCCATCCCCCCACCACGGCCTCCCAAAGTGCTGGGATTACAGGTGTGAGCCACCATGTCTAGCTTTTTTTTCTAACTTTAAAAAAGATTATTTCCCATGTCGGTAATCCCAGCACTTTGGGAGCAAGACTCCATAGCAAAAAAAAAAAAGAGATTATTTCCCTGGTGGTCTAGTGGGTAGGGGGAAATAAAAGATTATTGAAACGTAATATACACAGAGGAAAGTACACGTAAGTCTATACAGATCAATGAATTTTACAAACTCAGCATACCATGTAACCTGCACCAGATCAAGAAACAACTTTGTTAGGTCCCTTAAAACCCCACTGGGGACATGGGGGTGTTTATGTTAATATCCTCTGTTTACAGCTGATCAAAAAAGATCAGCTCAGTAGGGGCAGGGCTGGAATTTGAACTCAGGTGTCATTATTACCACATGAAACCTTTACAGTAGCTATACTATCATTCATTCATTCCACAAAATTTAAGTGGTTACTTTTTTTTTTTTTTTTGAGGCGGAGTCTCACTCTATTGCCTAGGCCGGAGTGCAGTGGTGGGATCTTGGCTCACTGCAACCTCCACCTCGCGGGTTCAAGTGATTCTCCTGCCTCAGCCTCTGGAGTAGCTGGGATTACAGGCGCCTGCCACCGCACATGGCTAATTTTTGTATTTTTAGTAGAGACGGGGTTTCAACATCTTGGCCAGGCTGATCTTGAATTCCTGACCTCGTAATCCACCTGTCTCGGCCTCCCAAAGTGCTGGGATTACAGGCGTGAGCCACTGCGCTTGGCTTTTTTTTTTTTTTTGAGACGAAGTCTCCTTCTGTCGCCCAGGCTGGAGTGCAATGGTGCAATCTCGGCTCACTGCAACCTCTGCCTCCTGGGTTCAACCAATTCTCCCATCTCAGCCTCCTGAGTAGCTAGCACTACAGGCATGTGCCACCACGCCTGGCTAATTTTTTATACTTTATTAGTAGAGACAGGGTTTCACCATGTTGGCTAGGCTGGTCTCGAACTCCTGACCTCAAGTGATCTGCCCGCCTTGGCCTCCCAAAGTGCTGGGATTACAGGCATCAGCCACTGCACCTGGCCTAAGTGATTACTATGTGCCAGGCATTGGGTAAACTGGTGATACAATGGTTAGCAAGACAAAGAGACAGATAAGATCCTTGCCCTCATGAAGGAGCTTATATAATAGAAAAAAAGAAAAACAAGTCAACAAAAGTTGTCATAAATGCTATAAAGAACACAAACATGGTGCTCAATGAGAGAATTAAGGGAGTAAAATGACCTAGTTTTAAAGTGGTCAGGGAAGGTCTCTCTGAGGAGGTGACTTTACAGCTGAAAGCTCAAGGTTAAAGAAGATAGCCACACAAAGAAAAGTGGAAGGATGCCAAGAAGAAGGCACAGCATGTGCAAGTCTCCAGAGGCAGGCTGGAAAACACTGGTTGAACTGGATCCAGGAACTGAAAAATATCAGTGTGGTTGGAATGACTTTGGAGGGAGACAGGAAAGGGCCAAATATATAACCTAAGGTTAAGAGTCAGAATAAAATCCAAACAGCAGAGGGACTATATTATAGAGTTAAGCAGGGGAGTGATATATTATTTGTGATTATTTGAAAATATTTTTATGAAACATTTCAAACGTGTAAAAAAGATATGAACACTCATGTACCACCCAGCATTATCAAATCTAAACGCTATTGTTAGATTCAAAATTTTGTTAATAATTAAAACATACATGATACAGCAATGCAACTAAACAACTGTCTATTCCTTTGTTTAGTTTTTCAATGTTATCAGTACAAATTCATCCTATGATCTCCCCAGTAGTCTCGATCTCCTCTGAATGTATTCAGGCACCTCAGGTTTTCTGTTAAACCAATTTTCCTGAAGAAGTCGCTCCTACAGCATCTGACCTGCTCCTGCAGTGGCTCTTCTCTATGCCTAGTACACAGCTGTCAGCCTGGAAGCCTCTTTCACTGCACTGTCACCTGTCTTCCCCTTTCCTGCCTTTCCCTCTCATTTTTGCAAATATTTCCAGAAACTTTCTGAGAAGGGGAATGATGAAAAACTCTGAGGTACTGCATGTCTAAAAAAATGTATTTAGCCTACTGTAACACCAAATTGATAGTTTGCCCGAGTTTAAAATTCCAGGTTGGAAATAATTTTCCCTTAGAATTCTGAACAGATTCTCCAATTGCTATCTAGCTTCTAGTGCTACTTTCAGGGAAGGCTGAAGTCATTTCAAGTCTATTTTTTAACGTGTTCTATTTCTCTTCTCTAGAAGCTTTTAGGATTTTTTTTTCCCTCAGTGTTCTGACATTTTATGATAATGTCTCTTAATGGGAACCTACCTTTATCCTTCATTATGTTGGGACCTAACTGGCCCTTTCAATTCAGAAACAAAGATCCTTCAATTATGGGACACTTTCTGAATTATTTCACTGATGCTTTTCTCCTCTGTTCTGTTAATTATGTATTCTGATCACTAGGTTTATTAGTTCACGTGTTTATATATACCAGTTTACCATGCTATACCCCACTCTTTTGTTGTCCTCCTCTTGTTTTAGAGATAAGAGTCATGCTCTGTCACCCCAGGCTAGAGTGTAGTGGTGTGATCATAGCTCACTGCAGCCTTGAACTACTGGGCTCAAGTGATCTTTCTGCCTCTGCCTCTCAAGTAGCTGGGACTACAGGCATGCATCTACCATGCCCGGCTAATTTTTTAAAAAATAATTTAGGCTGGGCGCGGTGGCTCACGCCTGTAATCCCAGCACTTTGGGAGGCTGAGGCAGACGGATCATGAGGTCAGGAGATAGAGACCATCCTGGCTAACATGGTGAAACCCTGTCTCTACTAAAAATACAAAAAAGTAGTCAGGCGTGGTGGTGGGCGACTGTAGTCCCAGCTTCTCGGGAGGCTGAGGCAGGAGAATGGCGTGAACCCGGAAGGCGGAGCTTGCAGTGAGCTGAGATCACGCCACTGCACTCCAGCCTGGGCGACAGAGCAAGACTCCATCTAAAAAAAAAAAAAATTTTTTTTTTAATTTTTAAATCATTTTTTTTGAGACGGAGTCTTGTTGTGTTGTCCAGACTGGAGTGCAGTGGTGCAATCTCAGCTTACTGTAATCTCTGCCTCCCAGCTTCAAGCGATTCTCTTGCCTCAGCCTCCCAAATAGCTGAGATTACAGGCGTGCACAATCACGCCTGGCTAATTTTTGTATTTTTATTACAGATGGGGTTTCACCATGTTGGCCAGGCTGTTCTTGAACTCCTGACCTCAGGTGATCCACCCACCTTGGCCTCCCAAAGTGTTGGGATTACAGGCATGAGCCACCGCGCATGGCCAACAATTTTTTTTTTTTTTTGAGATAGAATTTTGCTTTTCTTGCCCAGGCTGGAGTGCAATGGTGCGGTCTTGGCTCACTGCAACCTCCACCTCCTGGGTCCAAGTGATTCTCCTGTCTCAGCCTCCCAAGTAGCTGGGATTACAGGTGCTCGCCACCATCCCTGGCAAGTTTTTTGTATTTTTAGTAGAGATGGGGTTTCACCATATTGGCCAGGCTGGTCTTGAACTCCTGACCTCAAGTGATCTGCCTGCCTCAGCCTCGAAAAGTGCTGGGATTACAGGCGTGAGCCACCACGCCCAGCCCCAACAATTTTTTTTTAGACACAGGGTCTTACTATGTTGCCCAGTCTGGTCTCAAACTCCAGGCCTCAAGTAATCTTTCGGCCTCACCCTCCTCAGTAGCTGTCCTCAACCTCATGCTGGTTCCACCTCCTCTGCTCAACCTTTAAATGTTGGGGCACCCAGGGCTTACTCCTGAGCCGCCTTCTCTATTATCAACATTGTCTCTAGGTGAACTTATTCAGGCTTTAAATACTCCTGTGCTGATGATTCCTAAATTTTTATATCCCACTCTCTCCAGAAATCCCAGTGTCTTCTTGACATTTCTACTTGGATTGCCTGACAGGCATTTCAAACTTTTTGTTTTGTTTTGTTTTCTGAGACTGAGTTTCGCTCTTGTTGCCCAGGCTGGAGTGCAATGGTGCGATCTTAGCTCACCACAACCTCCGCCTCCCAGATTCAAGCAATTCTCCTGCCTCAGCCTCCCGAGTAGCTGAGATTACAGGCATGCGCCACCATGCCCGGCTAATTTTTTTTTTTTGTATTTTTAGTAGAGACGGGATTTCTCCATGTTGGTCAAGGCTGGTCTTGAACTCCCGACCTCAGGTGATCCGCCCGCCTCAGCCTCCCAAAGTGCTGGGATTACAGGCGTGAGCCACTGCGCCCGGCGGCATTTCAAACTTAACATGGCCAAAACAAAAACTGAATTTCACTCAAACCTACTACTCCTTCGGTCTTCCATCTCAGTAAAAAGCACCAACAACCACTAAGATGCTCAAGCCAAAAATTTAGGAATTGTCCTTGATTCTACTCTTTCCCCCCACTCCATAATCTATCCAATTCTGTAGCTCTACCTATTAATACAGCCCAAATCTATCCTTCTTACCTCTACTATCACCTCCATTCTATTGCAAGTCATAGCTGCAACAATGTCTCTCTCTGCTGTACTCCTATAACGATCTCCTAATTGGTCTTCCAAAATCTACTTTTGCCATCCTAAGACCTATGATCTACAAAGAAGCCAGAGTAATCTGAAAAAGGCAGGTCACATCACTTGGCAGCTTAAAATCCTGTAAGAGCACCATGAATTTGATTCTAACTTTTCTTTTTTTTTTTTTAAGGCAGAGTCTCGCTCTTGTCACCCAGGCTGAAGTGCAGTGGCATGATCTTGGCTCACTGCAACCTCTGCCTCCTGGATTCAAGCGATTCTCCTGCCTCAGCCTCCCAAGTAGTTGGGACTGCAGGCACCCGCCACCACCCCCGGCTAATTTTTGTATTTTTAGTAGAGACAGGGTTTCACCAGGTTGGCCAGGCTGGTCTCAAACTCCTGACCTCAGGTGATCCACCCACCTTGGCCTCCGAAAGTGCTGGGATTACAGGTGTGAGCCACTGTGCCAGCCTGATTCTAACTTTTTTCATTCTGATTTACAAAGCCCTATGTAATCAGGTCCCTGCCTACTTCTCCTCTCTGAACACATTTCACTTACAAGTGTAAATCACAATCTGTTAAGACATTCATTTAGCTATGAAATTAAGATAATCTTTTTTTGCAACAGAAAATTGCTAGATACTATTCAATCATTCTATGTCTTCATTTCAAGGAAGGTCCAAGAAAAAAAATGTGTTTTGGAAGTCATGAAATAAGATCTAATTAATAAAATGCCTCATCTGGTATTCTATTTTTGGTTCCAATTTTTAGATTTCTGATGATTTCTATAAGCACAGAAAAACAAGAACATGCTCCTCAGTCTCTCTGAGGTACTGTGCCATTCCTTGACCACTTACCCTGTGGGTAGACACTCTTCTAGTCTCTTGTACTGGTAGCCAGAGTTAGGGTTGATTTGGCCTCCTGGGGTACAGGCTGTAGCCTGGATAGTTAGTTGATGGCAGGCACACTTGGACCTATATGACAGAGGGAAATAAAGGAAAGGAGCGGGGGGATCAGAGAACAAAAATAACACAATACACATGTACCCAAGGTTGCTCAGTGTGGCCATGTCAGACTCCAGCCTCCCTACCTCATAGCTTTCATGGAGGCCTTATAGCAGGAGTTCCAGGTGAGGGAGGAGGTAAAGGAAGATGGGGAAAGCAGTACAGATACAAGGCAAAGGAAGAGGTGAAACAGACACCATAACAAAGTTGGAAGCAGGGGCAGCAATTCCCCCCACCAACTCACTTGTCCCGACACCCATCCTTGCAGTCACAGCCAACCAGAAATTCAGGGCCTGTGTTAATGAAAACACCCTTGCCCGGGATACGTTCCTTGCTGTAGGCCACCTGGGGTGGAGGGGTTGTGTCAATCTCATTGACACAGGATAGGGGAACATCTTCCTTCCCATAAGTGATGTCCAAAATATAGTAAAAAGGCTTATAGGGCTGAAACTTTCGGTCCACAAGAACATATGGATCCAAACAGAACATCTCCAGGAAGAGGAAGTCACAGCCAGTCTCGAAAAGGTAGCGTTCTATCTCCTGCATTGTCCGAAGGCAGAGACCACAAGGTGTCTTATAGATAACATGAAAGCCCATCTTGCGGTTAACTCGACGCCGGGCTGTCATCCGCCGGAAGTCATATAGTAACGGGACCAGCAGAGGGTTCTTGCCCCGGTACTGCTCATTCCTCATAGGTCTGACTCGAGACAGACAGGTATAGCTGCAGACATGAGGTAAGTAGAAAAGCTTCTCCATGGGAGCACGGTAGGAGGGCTCTGCTGGGGCCCGCTCCAGCATGCCATGGAAGACTGGGGGTGCTGGAGGGGCCGGGAGTGCTGAGGGTGCTGGGGCAGAGGCTGTGGAGCCTAAAGGTGATCTGCAAATGAGATGCAAGTGATCAGATCGGAAGGCAACAGGACCTCTGTTTTATAATTAACCCTCCAGGTAGCTAAGCCATTTCTCTCATCTTTCAAACAGCTGTGCTCCTGAAGCTAAAGATGATTCAAGAAAGATCTTCCCTTGCCCTACCAAACCTGGACAATGAAACTCCCTGGTTACTCTTCACTGACTGATAACATCTCTATTTCTCTTTTTTTTTTTGAGACAAGTTTCGCTCTTTTTGCCTAGGCTGGAGTACAATGGCACGATCTTGGCTCACCACAACCTCTGCCTCCTGGGTTCAAGCGATTCTCCTGCCTCAGCGTCCTGAGTAGCTGGGATTACAGGCATGCGCCACCACGCCTGGCTAATTTTGTATTTTTTAGTAGAGACAGGGTTTCTCCATGTTGGCCAGGCTGGTCTCGAACTCCCGACCTCAGGTGATCCACCCGCCTCGGCCTCCCAAAGTGCTGGGATTACAGGCATGAGCCACCGCGCCCGGCCTAACATCTCTATTTCAACAGTATACCTTTTCCTAAAATGTATTTGCCTGTGAATTATGGAAGTAGAATCCAGTCTTCTACCAATGTTTTTTTGGTCTGCTGCGTGTTCTAAAAATGTCCTTACTAACTCCAAGGAAAGAGGCTGTGGTGTTTCCTTTCTATTTTAGCAATGATGGCACCATGTTCAACAAGAAGTTTTAACAAATGGCTTTCAGATGATACCATATTTCCAAGCACCCAGCTTCCAATTCAATTATTCTTACTTTCTATTTCTTAGGAACTTCTATGGGTAAAGCTTCCTTTTCAAGTCCAAACTCCTCACTATCATAAGCTTAAACTAAGCCCTTCGCTTACAGCCAAGGAACCTTCCCCTACACAGTGACCACTCATTGCTATCCTGCCTACAGAGAGCCTCAGATTTTCTCACCTATATGTCTGGTTGATCCCAGGTTTCCCACCAGAGACATTTTCACTGAGTGCAGGAGATGTAGGGGAGGAATGACCAGAGCCCACAGATCCTGGTCGAAAGGACGTGCTCTTTTTGGCTACCTGCTTCCGTGACTGGGCAAGCTGGCTTTCCAAGCTTCTAGGAGATTAGAGAAGAGGGCATATAGTAAGGGATGTGGAAAATATAATATGAAAGAAACTGAAGAAAAAGAAAGAATAACACTCACTCACTGTCACCTGCTTGGGGGGATAGAGGTGGAGCAGGTGGGAAAGGTGGGGCAGGTGGAGCTGTAGGCTGTGGGGGTTCCACTGGCTTGAACTGGGTTCCAGTACCGGTCAGATCCTGTGTGTACTGGACAACAGGGCCTTTGCTCCTCACAGCACCTATAGGAAAAAGGAAATTGAGCACTGAGAAGATGATAGCTATGACGCTTGTATTCAGTCACACATCTGATCCTTAACTTATACAATATAAAAAGGAAGCAATGGCTGGGCGCAGTGGCTCTTGCCTGTAATCCCAGCAGTTTGGGAGGCCGAAGTGGGCAGGTTGCTTGAGGTCATGAGTTTGAGACCAGCCTGGCCAACATGGTGAAACCCCGTCTCTACTAAAAATACAAAAATTAGATGGGCATGGTGGTGCACATCTGTAATTCCAGCTGCTCGGAAGGCGCAGGACAATCACTTGAAACCAGGAGGTGGAGGTTGCAGTGAGCCGAGATCACATCACTGTACTCCAGCCTGGGCAACAGAACAAGACTTCGTCTCAAAAAAAAAAAGCAGCAATGGACACATTTTGAGTAAGTGCTTAGACTCTCAGTTCCCATTATTGACTGGCATGGACGCTGGCATACATTGTTTTTTGACTTAGATAATACTTTTTCTTTTATTAAAGTGAAAGCAAGTTTATTCACAAAGTAAAGGAATAAAAGAATAACGGCCAGGCGCGGTGGCTCATGCCTTTAATCCCAGCACTTTGGGAGGCTGAGGCGGGCAGATCACCTGAGGTCAGGAGTTCAAGACCAGCCTGGCCAACATGGAGAAATCCCGTCTCTACTAACAATACAAAAATTAGCCTGGCATGGTAGCAGTCGCCTGTAACCCCAGTTACTCGGAAGGCTGAGGCAGGAGAATTGCTGGAACCCGGGAGGCGGAGGTTGCAGTGAGCTGAGATGGTGCCACTGCACTCCAGCCTGGGCAAAAGAACCAGACTCCATCTCAAAAAAAAAAAAAAAAAATTGCTACTCTGTCGGCAGAGTAGCCTCTTTTTTTTCTTTTTATAGACAGTGTTCCACTTTGTTACTCAGGCTGAAGTGCAGCGGTGTGACCTTAGCTCATTGTAACCTTGAAATCCTGGGCTTCAAGCAATCCTCCTGCCTCAGCCTCCAGAGTAGCTAAGGCTACAGGTGCACACCACCACACTCAGCATTTTTTTTTTTTAAGAGATAAGAGTCTTTCTATGTTGCCCAGACTGATCTCCAACTCCTGGCCTCAAGTGATACTCCCACCTCAGCCTCCCAAAGTGCTGAGACTACAGACACGAGCCACCATGCTGGGCCTTAGATAAGACTTTATATCTTCCTATCTCAGATGATTTACCTAATTATGTTATACTTTGGGGAAATATTTTCAGAAATATATTCTTTAACCAACTAATTTTGGCAGGAAAAATCAACCAGAAAGTATGACAGTAATATTAAAAAAGAAAACCAAATCTGTTTTTTGTTTGTTTCTGAGACAGGGTCTCGTTCTGTCACCCAGGCTGGAGTGCAGTGGCACGATCTAGCTCACTGCAACCTCGACCTCCTGGCTTCAATTGATCCTCCCACCTCAACTTCTTGAGTAGCCTGGACTACAGCTTAATGCCACTGTACCCAGCTAATTTTTGTGTTTTTTTGTAGAAACAGGGTTTCACCATGTTGCCCAGGCTGGTCTTGAATTCCTCAGCTCAAGCAAACCACCTACCTGTCTCAGCTTCCTAAAGTGTTGGGATTATAGATGTCAGCCACTGTGCCTGGCCAGGTCTGGGTTTTAAAGAAAACTGACTATACGCTGGATGTGGTAGCTCATACTTGTAATCCTAGCACTTTGGGCAGCCGAGGCAGGTAGACAGCTTGAGCCCAGGAGTTCAAGACCAGCCTGGGTAACATATCAAGCCCCGGGTCTATTTAAAAAAAAAAGAAAAAGAAAAAACTAACCATAGATAACACACAAAACTGACAATTCTCATGTGGATAACAGAGGGTAACTACTATCACCCTAACCTAAAGCCAACTGTTTCAGATTTTTATGTGGTTGTTTAGAACAAATTAGAGCCACAGCATGTGGAAGCAGCAGCACAAATTGATCACCATGATTGGAAACAACTCAGGGCACATATCCTGTTTCCAATGAGTATACAGTGTAACCATGCTAATCAAAGGATAGCCATTGTATATAATCTCCTTTGCTGGTTGGCCTGTTTCTTCCTTCCTCCAGGAATCTTTCAGGACATACCCATATTTGGACGTGTCCTGAGCTGTCCTTGCTTCTTCTCCAGTGCAGAGGCTGAGGATGTTTTCATGCTGAACATGGGCTCCAGCCGTGTAGAGCCTCGATAGATCCACTCACATCTTTTGTCATCCTGGGGAATTGAGAGAAAAGAATGAAGGGAAATAGCTTAAAGGCTAGAATCTATCCTGTCCTGTGTAGAGGATATATACCATGTGTCACCTCTGGGAATCCTCCCTGATGAGCCTTAAATTCCTTAGTCTAAGCTAAGCACAGTGGCTCACGCCTGTAGCTTGTAATCCCAGCACTTTGGGAGGCTGAGGCAGGTGGATCACCCGAGGTTGGGAGTTCAAGACCAGCCTGACCAACATGGAGAAACCCCGTCTCTACTAAAAATACAAAATTAGCCGGGTGTGGTGGCGCATGCCTGTAATCCCAGTTACTCGGGAGGCTGAGGCAGGAGAATTGCTTGAACCAGGGAGGCGGAGGTTGTGGTGAGCCGAGACTGCACCATCGTACTCCAGCCTGGGCAACAGGAGCGAAACTCCATCCCCCCCAAAAAAAAATTCCTTATCTACTTAATAAAGTATGTGCCAGGATCCATGATGGGTATCAGGAACACAACAATGAAAAATATATACTCCTTGTTTAAGGAATTACAGGAGCAACAGATATCTATACTGAGTATAAGAGGTATGACAGCTGGGCACAATAGCTCACACCTATAATCCTGGTATGTCGAAAGGATGAGGCAGACAGACTGCTTGAGCTCAGGAGTTCGAGACCAGCCTGGGCAACATGGCGAAACCCGTCTCTACTAAAAATACAAAAATCAGCCAGGTGTGGTGGCATGCACTTGTAGTCACAGCTACTTGGGAGGCTGATGTGGGAGGACCACTTGAACCCTGGAGGTTGAGGCTGCAGTGAGCTGTGATTGCACCACTGCACTCCAGCCTGGGTGGCAGAGTGAGACTGTCTCAAAAAACAAAACAAAACAAAACAAAACAAAACAAAACAGGCCAGGCGTGGTGGCTCACGCCTGTAATCCCAGCACTTTGGGAGGACAAGGCAGGTGGATCACTTGAGGTCAGGAGTTCGGGACCAGCCTGCCAACATGGTGAAACCCCGTCTCTACTAAAAATACAAAAAATTAGCCAGTCCCAGCTACCCGAGAGGCTGAGGCAGGAGAATCACTTGAACCCAGGAGGCGGAAGATGCAGTGAGCCGAGATCGTGCCATTGCACTCTAGCCTGGGCAACAAGAGTGAAACTCCGTCTGAAAACAAAACAAAACACCAAACAAAAAGCATGATAAGGATCATAAGGCCTTAGAAGTAACGGGCTGAGGTAACACCAAGAAGAAATATAACTTCTAATTTCTTCTGGCTACTCTGGGCACACTGCCTATCAGGTAGCCTTGTTCTGCAAGCAGCAGTATTAAAAAATGTTTTTAAAACTTTTAAAAATAAGAAATATGATTCTAAGAAGGGAGAGAGAAGGGAGAAAAGGATGAGTACAAAATACCTAAGAGTTAAACTGAGCCTTGAAAGATAATCAGGACTCCTTGATCCCTCTTCTTCGTCCCACTATCCTACTAAAACCTTAACCCTGGAAAAATGGAATTGGCTGCCCTTTCTGTACCTACACACAATGTGAATACTCCTAAAGAAAAAAAATAAATAAATCAAAACCATGCAGATTCGTATTATAATTCAGATAATTTATTTTCAACAATGACCTGCAGAGGAACAACAAAAAGGGCAAAGTAAAATTTGACCAAAAACAGTGAGAACACATACGAGGATAAGAAAGAGGAAGGCTATGGAATAGCTATAAAACCATCCTCATTACTGCTTCTTAAGTTCCCCCCCCACCAACCTCTGCCTCCAAAATTGTAGAGAAGAACAGTACCAGGAAGAGGATCCTGACTAGGCTGCCATCCACCTCCTCAACTCGGGACTTCCACCACGTGCCTTCCCACTCAGTCTTGATAAGCTGGCCACTCTTGAGCAGTACCATGGGGCGGTTGGGGTAGGCAGTGACATACTCCTCTATGAAGTCACGGCAGGAGATGTCTTCTATGTCCTCCCAAGTCTTTTTCACTGTTTCAAGGAAGAAGTAGAACTGAGAGGGCAGGTAGGGCATGTCTTGATAGGGAAAAGACTTGGCCAGGAGACATTTGATACTTTTTAAGTTGAAAAGGAGAGAAAAAGTAAAATCAGAACCTCAAGGGAAGCAAAGCCAAGACCACCTAAGTAATAAACCTAATGTACAAACTGTACATACTTACAAATCAAGTAAATACTAAATAAGAAATGTACAATATAGGTGATTCACTTATTTTACACAAATGGATGTTTCTCCTCTGGAAAATTCAAGTGGAAATTCTTGCTCACTTGTTGATCAGTCTAGTGGTAAATTTAAAAAGATCAGGTGGCATCATGAAATGAAAAAAATTAGTCCTTCCTTCTCATTCTCTATCAGGTTTTTAAGAGACTCAGAATGTGTTTACTGTCATGTTATGTGTAAACAAAAGTGTTAGTTGATTCTTCTGCAGTTAAAAATGATTGTTTCCATAGGAGTCTGCTCCCAAGCCAGGGTAACAAATATAGTGGACACTATGAGGTTCCATCTAACACAGCTTCTGTGGAAAGCATTATGCAGACTACACATTTATACAAATGTTAGGTGCAGTATGACACTAGGAAAGAAGTAACACCTTTTCCAACGTAACTCACTTAGAAATGAAATTGAAGCACATCTATAACGTGAGCAGTCTACTCAAGGCCATTCATGATCTTCTAGTGTCTCACTCTTTGTCTACAAAGACCCAGTCCTGGAGATGAACAATAAAACTGTATCTCTTTTGGGAGCAAACTGACCTTTGGGAGCAAAAGACATCAACCAAACTTATGCTCTTTGAGACTGAAATACCAAAAACACTAGGGCTTTTCAACTGGATGTCCTAAGAAGAAATACAAGGTAGAGGAGAAAACTGAGCTAAGGAATAAGGGAGAAACACTCACGTGGCCGGCAAATGGGATACAGTTCCGACTGTGTGACATAGGAAGCATAGCCATCATCAAAGAAAATGAGAAACCTATAAAAGAAGAGTGACAGCAGAAAGATCTGGGGGTTATGATATTTAACATGATCCACAGAAATTATTTTATCATAGCTTCTACTTCTCTGGATCACAACACGATGCACTCCAGGGAAGACAATCCAGTCCACTACTTTCTTCCTGTTTTTCTTTCTTCTCAACTTGAGAGTTAGGAGTTCTCCCTTAATTTAACCAATACCTCCCTACTTTTAAAAAAACACATATACATATAAATATTTTTGAGACGGAGTCTCCTTCTGTCGCCCAGGCTGGGGTGCAGTGGTGCAATCTCGGCTCATGGCAACCACTGCCTCCCAGGTTCAAGGAATTCTCCTGCCTCAGCCTCCCAAGTAGCTGGGATTACAGGCATGCGCCACCACACCCAGCTAATTTTTGTATTTTTAGTAGAGACAGGGTTTCACCAGTTGGCCAAGCTGGTCTCGAACTCCTGACCTCAGGTGATTCACTTGCCTTGGCCTCCCAAAGTGCTAAGATTACAGGGATGAGACACTGGGCCCGGCCAAAAAACATATATTCTTTTTCCTCTATCAGATTCCTATGCTGCCAATAACCATTTAGTCTCCATTTCTTTCTTCTGTGTGAATTGTATTCCCCTGACCATTAATCAATCCTCATTATTCTCTTCCTAGTTTTCTCTTTGAGGAAAGAAAAGGAAAAAAAACAGGAGGAGAAAGAGGAAGAAAGAATCACCCACATGACTCCTGTGGTAAAGAAAGAGTAAGGGTTTCAGTCCACTGGGGACTAAGAAGACAAAAGCTAATTGTGGTATCTGGTCTATGGCACGAACAGGGCAGGTGCTGTGCTCCCAGCCTCTACCCCTTTACAGTCCTCTGTCCAGGTACCTGAGCTTGTTTTTGACGTTTGGTGTCTCAGCTACAATGCCAGCATAGAGCCAGACCTGATTCCCATCTTTGTATTTGGCGACCACCCGACTGCCCACATACAGCTTGTCAGCAGGAGGGTGGTAATCATAGGCAATATGGTTCCCCGACAGTAGACTCTTTCCTTTGTTGTCAAATTTCACCTTGTATTTCTTCCCTGGCCCTGAGTAAAAGGGAAAGATAAATCTTTTTAAACACTGCCAGTTTCTGTATAAATCCAGGCTGCTATGTGAGAGACAAATGGGAAGGTTATGGGGAAAAGAAACAATCAGCAGTGGAGGGTGCAGGTTGCCTTTCAGGAGTGGTTCCTCCAAGTTTGCACATACCAACTGTCTGGATGGCAATAAGGGTGCCTTTGTGCCAAGTCTTAGTTCTCTTCTTGCCCAGAATTCGCATGCTGACTATCAGGTCACCATCTTTGCTTAGTTCTCCAGACATCTGACTCAAGGTTCCTATAGAAGAAGCAAAGTTATTCTCAAGAGTTATGACATAGATTCGGTAGAGAACGGGAAGGTAAAGAGGGTAGTATGGTAATTAGGGAAAGTGGGGTAATTTTTTTTTTTTTTTTGAGATGGAGTCTCACTCTGTCACCAGGCTGGAGTGCAGTGGTGCGATCTTGGCTCACTGGAACCTCCGCCTCCCTGGGTTCCAGCGATTCTCCTGCCTCAGCCTCCCGAGTAGCTGGGACTACAGGCACGCAAGGTGGCACCACTACACCCAGCTAATTTTTATATTTTTAGTAGAGACGGGGTTTCACCATGTTAGCCAGGATGGTCTCTATCTTTTGACCTCATGATCCGCCTGCCTCGGTCTCCCAAAGTGCTGGGATTATAGGCATGAGCCACTGTGCCCGGCCAATTTTTTTTTTTTTTTTTGAGATGGAGTCTCGTTCTGTTGCCCAGGCTGGAGTGCAGTGGCATGATCTCGGCTCACTGCAACCTTCACCTTCCGGGTTCAAGCGATTCTCCTGCCTCGGGCTCCTGAGTAGCTGAGATTACAGGCGTGCGCCACCACGCCTGGCTAATTTTTGTATTTTTAATAGAGACAGAGTTTCACCATGTTGGTCAGGCTGGTGTCGAACTCCTGACCTTGTGATCCGCCCACCTCGGCCTCCCAAAGTGCTGGGATTACAGGCGTGAGCCACCGTGCCTGGCCCATCTGGAGAATTTTTAAACATTTTTTTTTGTAGAGATGGGGTTTCACTATGTTGCCGAGGCTGGTCTTTAATGCTGGGCCTCAAGTGATCCTCCTGCCTCAGCCTCCCAAAGCTGCTAGAATTACAGATATGAGCCACCACACCTGGCCTCAAACCTTTTTGTAACAAGAGTCTGAGTGATTCTCTTCTCCCTAATCTCCACCTGGAAGCAGTCATGAGGATGGAAACAGCCTAAATGTAGGACGCTAAAGAGGTATTGAGATAAAACCATCACAGACTGGAAAAATCACCATCAATGTAACTGGGATTTCATAACTACTAAGGATACTGAGTCTGGCATGTCACAAACAATTAGCAGACATAAGACTTAAGACAAAATCTCTGTAAGAATTCACCTCCCATCTGTACCCAGGTATTTCTTGACCCTAACCTTTATGCAGATCCTGGGAACTGCTCTTCTTGTTGACAGCATCCATGAACTTCTGAACATCTTGAGCTGACTTTCTTAAGGCAGCCATAGCTTCACGGAGCTGTAGAAAAGGGGATGAGGAAAACAAGTTTTGAAACAGTAGCATGGGTTACAAATAACTTCAGAATAAGAAACAACTTGTATTTCACAAAACAAAATGGAGTGAGTTATGTTTGGAAGCTTATGGTTACTTTATCTGGCAAAGCTGCCCTTACTCTTTTTTTTTGATATGGAGTTTAGCTATTGTTGCCCAGGCTGGAGTGCAATGGCACAATCTCGGCTCACCATAACCTCCACTTCCTGGGTTCAAGCGATTCTCCTGCCTCAGCCTCCGGAGTAGCTGGAATTACAAGCATGCGCCACCATGCCCAGCTAATTTTTTTTTTTTTTTTGAGATGGAGTCTGGCTCTGTTGCCCAGCCTGGAGTGCAATGGCATGATTTAGGTTCACCGCAACCTCTGCCTCTCGGGTTCAAGCGATTCACCTGTCTCAACCTCCAAAGCAGCTGGGACTACAGGCACGTGCCACCATGCCCAGCTAATTTTTGTATTTTTAGTAGAGACAGGGTTTCACTATGTTAGCCAGGCTGGTCTCAAACTCCTGACCTCGTGTTCCACCCGCCTCAGCCTCCCAAAGTCCTGGGATTACAGGCGTGAGCCACTGTGCCCAGCCTGATTTTGTGTTTTTAGTAGAGATGGGGTTTCTCCATGGTTAGGCTGCTCTTGAACTGCCGACCTAAGGTGATCCACCTGCCTCAGCCTCCCAAAGTGCTGGGATTACAGGCGTAAGCCACCACGCCTAGCCTCTTTTTTTTTTTTTTCTGAGACAGAGTCTTGCTCTGTCCCCCAGGCTAGAGTGCGGTGGTGCGATCTCAGCTCATTGCAACCTCTGCCTCCTGGGTTCCACTGATTCTCCTGTCTCAGCCTCCCAAGCAGCTGGGATTACAGGCATGCACCACCATGCCCAGCTAATTTTTATATTTTTTTAGTAGAGATGGGGTTTCGCCATTTTGGCCAGGCTGGTCTTGAACTCCTGACCTCAGGTGATCCACCCACCTGAAACTCCCCAAGTGCTGGGATTACAGTCGTGAGCCAATGTGCCCAGCCCAAAGCTGCCCTTGCTTAGAAACCTAGTTCAAAAATCAACGTTTCAATGTTAGGAAGCTTTTCTTGATTAATTTACCTAGCAAACACTGCTAAATTCCACTTTCATACAACACTCCTTTCTAGTGAAAGCATTTTTTGCTAACCTCTTTTTGAATTCTTACAGCATCAATCAGAGGACTGCAACGCAAAGGGCTGATCACAGGGTGAATGATTAGATACTGACAGCTAAACTGATTAAATGGTTAGGCCAAAAAATTCTCCTATTTTCATATTCTTATCTCTCACCCTTCCCTTACCATCCTAACTTACCTTCTGGTCTTTTGGAGTTCTGCTCCCAGCATCACCTATGGACGAGAAGAACTCTAATGAGTGTCAGAGACTTACACAGAGGAACTTCTGGGAAATTAAGAACTAACTTACTCAAAAGCATTATTATGGGAGCATTATCAACAATAACTGAAAATAATCTTGATATAGGTATACACACAAATATAAAGTACTCAAAAGGGTCTGGAAAGACACAAAGTAAATAGCCAGGTGTGGTGGCTCACACCTGTAATCCCTGCTACTTGGAAGGCTTAGGTGGGAGGACTGACTGAGGCCAGTTCAAGACTAGCCTGGGCAACATAACAAGAGCCTGTCTCTTAAAAAAAAAATTAGGCCAGGCGCAGTGGCTCATGCCTGTAATCCCAGCACTTTGGAAGGCCAAGGTGGGTGGATCACCTGAGGTCAGGAGTTTGAGATCAGCCTGGTCAACATGGTGAAACCCCGTTTCTACTAAAAATACAAAAATTAGATGGGCATGGTGGCACATGCCTGTAATCCCAGCTACTTGGGAAGCTGAGGCAGAAGTGCTGGAATCCGGGAGGCAGAGGCTGCAACGAGCTGAGACTGCACCACTGCACTCCAGCCTGGTTGACAGAACGAGACTCTGGCTCAAAAAACAATAATAATAAAAAATAAAAATGTATAGTTCAAGCCTGAACAACACAGCAAAACCCTGTCTTTACCAAAAAAAAAAAAAAAAAAAAATGCTGGGTGCAGTGGCTCACACCTGTACTTCTAGCACTTTGGGAGGCCGAGGTGGGTGGATCACCTAATGTCAGGAGTTCCAGACCAGCCTGGGCAACATGGTGAAACCAAACCCCTTCTCTATTAAAAACACAAAAATTAGCCAAGCGTGGTAGCAGGCACCTGTAATCCCAGCTACATGGCTTCACGAGAAGCTGAGGCAAGAAAATCGCTTGAACCAAGGAGGCAAGGGTTGCAGTAAGCCAAGACTGCACCATTGCACTCCAGCTTGGTGCAGCGTAAGACCAGTGGAGTGCAGTGGCGTGATCTAGGCTCACCGCAACCTCTGCCTCTCGGGTTCAAGTGATTCACCTGCCTCAACCTCCAAAGCGGCTGGGACTACAGGTGACAGAGTAAGACCCCGTCTCAAAAAAAAAAAAAAAAAAGTAGGATAAAAATAAAACGTGTAGGCCGATGGTGGTGGCTCAAGCCTATAATCCCAGCACTTTGGGAGGCCAAGGTGGGCAGATCACCTGAGGTCAGGAATTCCAGACCAGCCTGGCCAACATGGTGAAACCCCATCTCTACTAAAAATACAAAAATTAGCTGGGCATGGTGGCACGTGCCTGTTATCCCAGCTACTCGGGAGGCTGAGGCAGGAGAATCACTTGAACCGGGACCTGGGAGGCGGAGGTTGTAGTGAGCTGAGATCGTGCCACTGCACTCCAGCCTGGGCTACAGAGCGAGACTCTGTCTCAAAAAACAAGAAAAAATAAGTGTAATTCAGTGGTTTTTGGTAATTAAACTAACATCACTATCGAATTCTGGAGTGATGAAGAATTTCATCACTCCAAAAATTTCCTCATACCTATAGCAGTCATTTCTCATTCCTCCCTCCCCCAAACTCTGGCAATCACAAATTTACTTTCTGTCTCTATGGATTTGCCTATTCTGAACATCTCATATAAAGAGAATCATGTAATATGCGGTTCCTCAAACAAGGTTCATCTATGTTGTACCACGTATCAGTACTTCATTCCTTTTTTTTTTTTTGAGATGGAATCTTGCTCTGTCGCCAGACTGGAGTGCAGTAGTGTGATCTCAACTCACTGCAACCTCCACCTCCTGGGTTCAAGTGATTCTTCTGGCTCAGTCTCATGAGTAGCTGGGGTTACAGGCACGCGCCACCACACCCAGCTAAATTTTGTATTTTTAGTAGAGACAGCCATATTGGCCAGGCTGGTCTCCAACTCCTGACTTCGTGATCCACCCACCTCAGGCTCCCAAAGTGCTAGGATTACAGGCATGAGCCACCGTGACTGGCCCCTTCATTCCTTTTTATGGCTGAATAATATTTTATAGCAGTCAATACATGGGTGTATGTGTATACCACATTTGGTTTATCCATTCATCAGTTGATAAACATTTGGGCTGTTTCTACTTTTGCCTATTATGAATAATGCTGATATGAACATTCATTTATCAGTTTTTACATCAACAAATGTTCTCATTTCTCTTGGGTATATGGCCAGCAGTGGGTGGGTTATGGTAATTCTATGTTTAACCTTTTGAGGAACCAAAAGACTATTTTCCAAAGTGGCTATAGCATTTTATATTTCCATAAACAATTTATGAGGTTTTCAATTCCTCCATATCCTTGTCAACATTTGTTATTGTCTTTTTAAAGAGACAGGTTCTCGTTACGTTGCCCAGGCTGGCCTTGAACTCCTGGGTTTAAATGATCCACCTGCCTCAACCTCCTGAGTAGCCAGGACCGTAAGCAAAACCCAACACCTGACTCTAATCATTTTTAAGTGTACAATTCAGTGGTATTAAGTATATTTATATTGTTGTGCAACCATAACCGCCATCCATTTCCAGAACTCTTTTCATTTTGCAAAACTGAAACTCTGTACCTATTAAACACTCCCCATTTTCCCCTCCCTCCAGCCCCTGGCAGCCACCACTGAATGCTAGATATCTCATCTAAGTGAAATCATTTGTCTTTTTGTGACTGGCTTATTTCACTTAGCATAATGTCCTCAACGTTCACCTATGTTTGTCTTTTTTTTTTCTTTTTTTTTTTAGTGGCTGTGTAATAATCCCTTGGGTGGTAATACTATATATATACACATATATTTTTTCTTTGAGACAGATTCTTACTCTGTCATCCAGGCTGGAGTGCGGTGGCCCAATCTTGGCTCACAGCAACCTCCGCCTCCCGGGTTCAAGCAATTCTTGTGCCGCTGCCTCCCCAGTAGCTGGGATTACAGGCACCCACCACCATACCCAGCTAATTTTTGTATTTTTAGTAGAGATGGGATTTCGCCATACTGGCCAGGCTGGTCTCGAACTCCTGACCTCAGGCGATCCACCCGCCTCGGCCTCCCAAAGTGCTGAGATTACAGGTGTGAGCCACTGTGAGCAACCTACAAATTTTTTTTTTTTTAAATCAGGCAGGCGTGGTGGCACTTGCCTGTAGTCTCAGCTACTTGGGAGGCTGAAGTCGAAGTGAGCTATGATAGCACTACTGTGCTCCAGCCTGGGTTACAGAGTGAGATACTGTCTAAAAAAATATATATCAAATAAAGTTGAGGTTTCTATATCCTAAGAACTAGTGACTCTCTTACAGTATATACACTAAAAAGACTCCTGCACATGTGCATCAGGAGACATGTACAAGAATATTTGCAGTAGTGTTATCTGTAATCTCAAAAAATGTAAATCAATGTCCACAATCAGGAAAACTGATAAACTGTGGCATATTCATACAATGGAATACCATGCTGCAAAAAGCAAATAAGCTAATCATCATGCATCAACACAATGTTGAAGAAGTCAAAGCCAAGGGAGACGTCAGAACTAAATGTAACTCTGAATGCATTCGCCTCACTAGCTAAACTATTCCAAAAAATAGAAATAAAAAAGTCAATACTTGGAAGCCAAGCTAAAAAATTAAAAGTTAAAATAAAAAAACTGAACAGAGGCCTACAGGGTGGCTCACGCCTGTAATCCCAGCACTTTGGGAGGCCGAGACGGGCAGATTACGAGGTCAGGAGATCGAGACCATCCTGGCTAACATGGTGAAACCCTGTCTCTACTAAAAAAATAGAAAAAAATTAGCCAGGCATGGTGGCGGGCACCTGTAGTCCCAGCTACTCGGGAGGCTGAGGCAGGAGAATGGTGTGAAACCGGGAAGTGGAGCTTGCAGTGAGCCGAGATTGCGCCATTGCACTCCAGCCTGGGCGACAGAGCGAGACTCCGTCTCAAAAAAAAGAAAAGAATAACTAGGATATGGAACTCTCAGGAAAATAAATTAAAACTCAGAGTTGCTAGATTATCTAAAAGTCAATATTCAACAAAAAGATAAGAGACATGCAAAGAAACATGAAAGTGTGACCTACACTCAAGACAAAAAACCCTGTCAATAAAACTGACTCTCAGTGATCCCAGATACTGGATTTATAAATATGCTCAAAGAACGATAGGAAATTAAGTTAAAAGGTTAAATGAAAATATACTAATACTTAATCAACAAGAGAATCTCAAGAGAAACTGAAACTATGAAATAAGGAACCAAATAGAAATTCCAGAGTTGAAAATGCAAAAACTGAAATGAAATACATATTAGAGGGGCTAAGTGGCAGAGTCACAACAGGAGTCAATGAACTAGAATATATAGATACCCATATAGAGAAATTATCCAATCCAAAGCACAGAGAGAAAATTGAAGAAAAATGAACAAAGCTTCAGAGACTTGTGAAAAGATGAATGTCAAGCATTCCACCATATATGTAATGGAAATCCCAGAAAGCAGGGAGAGACAAAAGGGAACAGAAAAAAAAAACCATGAAGAAATAACAGATGAAATACTTCCAAATTTGGTGAAAAACTTGAATCTACATACCCAAGAAGTTAAATGGACCTCAAGTAGGATTAAGAAAGAACTTGGATACATCCCAGTCAAACTAACACCAGAAGACAAAAAGAAAACCTTAAAACCAGCAAGACAAAACTGACTCATATACATGATACAAAAATAATTTCCTCTGACTTTCCATCAAAAATAATAGAGGCCAGAGGGCACAGGGATGGCGTATTTGAAGTACTGAAAGAAAACTCTGTCAATCAAGAATTCTATATCCCAGGTAGGGCCGGGCACAGTGGCTCACGCCTGTAATCCCAGTACTTTGGGAGGCCAAGGCGTGTGGATCACCTGAGGCCAGGAGTTTGAGACCAGCCTGAACTACATGACGAAACCCTGTCTCTACTAAAAAGACAAAATTAGCCGGGCGTGGTGGTGCACACCTGTAGTCCCAACTACTTGGGAGGCTGAGGCAGGAGAATTGCTTGAACCTGGAAGGTGGAGGATGCAGTGAGCTGAGATCTCACCACTGCACTCCAGCCTGGGCAACAAGAATAAAGCTCTGTCACAAAAAAAAAAAAAAATTCTATATCCTGGGTAAACGAAGATTGAGGGAATCCACTGTCAGCAGAACTGTACTGCAAGAAATATTAAAGGAAACCGTCTGGCTGGAAAAACATGACACTGGATGATAACTCAGATCCACAGGAAGGAATGAAGAGCAACAGAAGTGATAAATATCTGGGTAAATACATATTTTTCTTTTCTTCCCTTACCTTCTTTAAACATGAGACTGCTTAAAGCAGTAATTATAACACTAGATTATTGGCTTTAAACATGTAGCTATAATATATTTGACAATAGTATCACACAGGAAGAGAGTGAAAGTAGAAGTATGCTGGTGCAAAGTGGCTGTGTATATATATATATTTTTTGAGATGGAGTCTCGCTCTGTCGCCCAGGCTGGAGTGCAGCGGTGCGATCTTGGCTCACTGCAAGCTCCGCCTCCCAGGTTCACGCCATTCTCCTGCCTCAGCCTCCCAAGTAGCTGGGACTACAGGTGCCCGCCACTACGCCCAGCTAATTTTTTTGTATTTTTAGTAGAGACGGGGTTTCACCGTGTTAGCCGGGATGGTTTCGATCTCCTGACCTCGTGATCTGCCCGTCTCGGCCTCCCAAAGTGCTGGGATTACAGGCGTCAGCCACCGCGCCCAGCCAAAATGGCTGTATTTTTACCAGAATTAAGTCAGTATTAATTTGTAATAGATTATGATTAGGTACAGATGCAACCCCTTTTATGAAAGCTAAAAAAAAGAAAAATCAGGGGCCGGGTGTGGTGGCTCACTCCTGTAATCCTAGCACTTTGGGAAGCCGAAGCAGGTGGATCACCTGAGGTTGGGAGCTTGAGATCAATCTGACCAACATGGAGAAACCCTGTCTCTACTAAAAATACAAAATTAGCCAGGCATGGTGGTGCATGCCTGTAATCCCAGCTACTTAGGAGGCTGAGGCAGGAGAATCGCTTGAACCCAAGAGGCGGAGGTTGCAGTGAGCAGAGATCCTGCCATTGCACTCCAGCCTAGACAACAAGAGCGAAAACTCCATCTCAAAAAAAAAAAAAAAAAAAAGAAAAAGAAAAAGAAAAAGAAAAAGAAAAAGAAAAATCAGAAGAATGACAGTGGTTTTCTGAAATGTTTGTTTGACTTTAAGAAGGCAACAAAGAAGAAATAGGGCTAGGCACAGTGGCTCACGCCTGTAATTCTAGCACTTTGAGAGGCTTAGGTGGACAGATCACCTAAGGTCAGAAGTTTAAGACAAGACTGGCCAACACAGAGAAATCCTGTCTCTACTAAAAGTACAAAAATTAGCTGGGTGTGATGGCGCGTGCCTGTGGTCCCAGCTACTCAGGAAGCTGAGACAGGAGAATTGCTTGAACCCAGGAGGCAAAGGTTGCAGTGAGCAGAAGTTGCAGTGAGATCATGCCACTGCACTTCAGCCAGGGCAATGGAGCAAGACTGTCTCAAAAAAAAAAAAAAAAAGACAAAATAGGCCAGGCATGGTAGCTAAGGCCTATAATCCCAGCACCTTGGGAGGCCAAGGCAGGAGGATTGCCTGAGCTCAGGAGTTCGAGACCAGCCTGGGCAACATAGTGAGACCTTATCTCTACTACAAAAAAAAAAGTTAGCTGGGCGTGGCGGCATGTACTTTTAGTTCCAGCTACTCAGGAGGCTGACGTGGGAGGATCACTTGAGCCCAGGAGGTTGAGGCTGCAGTGAACTATGATCATGCTATCACACTCCAGCCTGGGGAACAGAGTGAGACCTTGTCAATCAATCAATTCATTCATTCATTCATTCATTCAAAAAGACTAAAATTATACAAAGTATATTCTCTGAACACAATAAAATTAATTAAAAATTAACAACAGAAAGATATCAAAAAAACCCCAAATATTTAGAAATCAAACAACCACAAGGAAAATTAAAAATGATGCCAAGTTTAATGAAGCTGAAAACACAACATAAAAAAAGTATGATATCCTGAGAGTGACACTGTATGGAAAAAAATTTATGAGATGCAGCAAAGCAATGCTTACGGGGAAATAAATAGCTTTAGAGCTTATATTAGAAAGGAAGAAAGGTCTAAAATCAATCCTGTAAGCTTCCACTTTGAGAGGCTAGAAAAAGAAGAACAAATCAAACCCAGTAAGTAAAAGGAAGAAAATAAACATCACACTGGAAATATATTTAATGTGATATCCTGGATTAGATCATGGAACAGAAAAAGTCCAGAAGCTGAATAAAGCCTGAAGTTTATATAAAAGTAATATACCAGTGTTTGCTTCTTAGTTTTGACATATGTACTAGATGAGGGATATATAGGAACTCTATTACTTTTTCAATTTTTCTATAAATCTAAAATTATTCCAAAATAAAAGATTTTAAAAATCCACAAAGAAAAGTCCAAGCCTAAATGGCCTCAGCACTGAATTTATCAAACTTTTTAGGAAGAAATATCATTCCATACAAACTCAGAGGAGGGAACACTTCTCAACTCATTTACAAGGCCTATATTACCCTGCTACCAAAGCCAAACAAGGACACCACAACAGAACTATAAACCAATAGCCCTCATGAAACAGATGTAAAAATTTTTTTCTTTCTTTTTTTTTAAAAAAAAAAAAATTAGAGAAGGGGTTTCACCATGTTGCCCAGGCTAGTCTTGAACTCCTGGGCTCAAGCAATCTGCCCAACTCGGCCTCCCAAGGTGCTGGGATTTCAGGCATGAGTCACAGCATCCAGCCAAGATCTTTTTTTTTTAAATCAGCAAATCCAATCCAGCAACATATAAAAAGAATTATACATCAAGACCAAGGCTGGTTTACTCCAGGAATGCAAGGTTGGTTTAACATCTAAAAAAACAACTACTGTAATACATTCTTAATATGATAAAAGACAAAAGGAACATAGGAGAATGATACAGAAAAAGCTGACAAAATCCAAAATCCAATTAGGCTATGATAAAATCTCTCAAACTAGGATTAGAAGGGGATTCCTTTAATTTAATAAATGACATCTATAGAAAACCTACTGCTAACATAATTAATGGTTAAACACCAAATGCTTTCATATCAACATCAGGAAGAAGAAAAGGATGTCTGTTTTTTTTTTTTTTTTTTTTGGGTGAGACAGAGTCTCACTCTGTCGCCCAGGCTGGAGTGCAGTAGTGTGGTTTCTTTTTTTTTTTTTTTGGTTTATCTTTATTTTTTTTATTTTTTATTTTTTAATTTTTTTTTATTATACTTTAAGTTTTAGGGTACATGTGCACATTGTGCAGGTTAGTTACATATGTATACATGTAGTAGTGTGGTTTCTGTTCACTGCAAGCTCCACCTCCTGGGTTCACGCCATTCTCCTGCCTCAGCCTCCCAAGTAGCTGGGACTACAGGCGTCCGCCGCCACGCCCAGCTAATTTTTTGTATTTTTAGTAGAGATGGGGTTTCACCGTGTTAGCCAGGATGGTCTGGATCTCCTGACCTCATGATCCGCCCTCCTTGGCCTCCCAAAGTGCTGGGATTACAGGCGTGAGCCACCACGCCTGGCCAGGATGTCTGTTCTGGAAACCCTTTTTTTTTTTTTTTTTTTTGAAGACAAGAGTCTTGCTTTGTCACCCAGGCTGGAGTGCAGTGGCACAATCACAGCTCACTGCAGCCTCAACTTCCTATGCTTAAGAGATCCTTCCACCTCAGCCTCCCAAGTAGCTGGGATTACTGGGGTGCACCACCATGCCTGGCTAATTTTTTTATTTTTAGTAGAGATGAGGTCTTGCTACGTTGGCCAGGCTGGTCTCAAATTCCTGGGATCAGGGGATCCTCCCACCTCAACCTCCCAAAGTGCTGGGATTACAGGTATGAGCCACTGTATCTGGCCTGCTCTTAAAACTTATTCAACACTGTACTGAAGGTTTTAGTGAGTACAATAAGAAAAGAAAAAGAAAGATATCCAGGGTAGAAAGGAAGAAGTAAAACAGACTTTACTTGCATGAATTAGTTTTAGAAAAACCTAAGGAATTGGCTGGGTGCAGCAGCTCATGCCTGTAATCCCAGCACTTTGGGAGGCCAAGGCAAGTGGATCACAAGGTCAGGAGTTCAAGACCAGCCTGGCCAAGATGATGAAACCCTGTCTCTACTAAAAATACAAAAATTAGCTGGGTGTGGTGGTGGGGCAGGGGGTTTGCCTGTAATCCCAGCTAGTTGGGAGGTCGAAGCAGAGAATTGCTTGAACCCAGGAGGCAGAGGTTGCAGTGAGCTGAGATTGCGCCACTGCACTCCAGCCTGGGCAACAGAGCGAGACTCCATCTCAAAAAAAAAAAAAAAAAAAAAAAAAAAGAAAATCCTAAGGAATCAACAAAAAGCTTCTAGAACTATGTGAGTTTAATGCGGTTGCGGGCTACAAGATCAATACACAAAAACCAACTGTATTTTTTATATTCTAATAACAGAACATACACTCACTATAAGTCCTGGCAATTCCACTCTTTGATGGAATACCCCAAAATAGGGGTTACACAGAATGAGGAAAGCAAAGTAATACAATCAGGGTGTAGCACATAGGGAACATCTATGATACTAACAATGTTGCATTTTTTTCTTTAATAGCCAACTCAGGCAGTTAGAAATATGGAGTTAGTGACAATGGTTTCTCCTCTCTTCTATTATCTTCTATTTGCTCATCTTCCAGTGTTTCAACTTCAGTCCTGAGACTCTCCTATCCAAAGCTCATCCCTTACCTGAATCAATACTGAGGACATCATCATCTTCATCAGGAATCTCAATTATTTCTGTAGGCCGGGAAGATTCGTCCTCAGAGCTACTGTCCCGGTATTGTAGTCCCAGCTTGGAGTAGAAGTCCTTCACCAAAGACTCACAATTAGTCACTGCCCTAATATTGGAACACATGCAGAAAAGGTCAAAGCCAGTAGAGGAATTAAGAGATATAGAATCCATTACGATGTATATATATTTAAGTATAGACAGTCCTCAATTTAAATGGGCCACATTCCAAAGTGTCTCTGTTTAGAATTTAGAATGCTTTTTCTATAGAAAAATGTTTTAAATAGTGGTTTAGTTTCCAGACTAGTTCCTCAAAAATCCAAAGTAAGCCCAAAGTACAGTACTTTCACCCTTACCTCATTATTTACCTTGCTGTTATCTGAAAATGTATCCTGGCTGGCAGTGGTGGCTCACACCTGCAATCCCAGCAATTTGGGAGGCTGAGGCAGGTAGATCACTTGAGGTCAGGAATTTGACCTCCCCAGCCTGGCCGACATGGTAAAACTCCATCTCTACTAAAAATACAAAAATTAGCCGGGTGTGGTGGCACACGCTTGTCGTCCCAGCTACTCCGGAGGCTGAGACAGGAGAGCTGCTTGAACTCGGGAGGCGGAGGCTGCAGTGAGCCGAGATCACGTCACTGTACTCCAGCCTGGGTGAGACAGAGCAAGTCTCTGTCTAAAAAAAAAATAAAATAAAATAAAAATAAAATAAAAAAATGCTCATTATCAGTGGCCATCAGAGAAATGCAAATCAAAACCACCATGAGATACCGTCTCACACCAGTTAGAATGGCGATCATTAAAAAGTCAGGAAACAACAGGTGCTGGAGAGGATGTAGAGAAACAGGAACACTTTTACACTGTTGGTGGGACTGTAAACTTGTTCAACCATTGTGGAAGACAGTGTGGCGATTCCTCAAGGATCTAGAACTAGAAATACCATTTGACCCAGCAATCCCATTACTGGGTATATACCCAAAGGATTATAAATCATGCTGCTATAAAGACACATGCACACGTATGTTTATTGCGGCACTATCCACAATAGCAAAGACTTTAAACCAACCCAAATGTCCATCAATGATAGACTGGATTAAGAAATGTGGCACATATACACCATGGAATACTATGCAGCCATAAAAAAGGATGAGTTCATGTCCTTTGTAGGCACATGGATGAAGCTGGAAACCATCATTCTGAGCAAACTATAGCAAGGACAGAAAACCAAACACCGCACGTTCTCATTCATAGGTGGGAATTGAACAATGAGAACACCTGGACACAGGATGGGGAACGTCACATACTGGGGCCTGTCGTGGGGTGGGGGGAAGGGGGAGGGATAGTATTAGGAGATATACCTAATGTAAGTGACACCAACATGGCACATGTATACATATGTAATAAACCTGCACGTTGTGCACATATACCCTAGAACTTAAAGTATAATAAATTTAAAAACAATGTATTCTAAGTGACAACTAGAGCACCAGAAACAAATCTTTTGGGGGTATGGGAACTTACTAATGCTTCAGAGTTACGTAAGACAGAAATTCTTTACAATCCTCACTCCCTGGATGATCTTACTAGGGAAATGAAGCAATTGTTCTAAGATAGAGCACAGGAGGAAGAAGGGGAAAGGACTTAAGACTTGGACTCCCTTACTGCTGATCATGTATTAGCTGCTGACAGATGAAAATTATATTTACGGCTGATTGTAAGGTCAGATTTTTGACCATAAACTTTGAGGAAGAGTAAGGTTCTAAACATCTGTACTTCATAAAGTATAAAATGTTTGGTACACAGCCTGGCCAACATGGTGAAACCCTGTCTCTACTAAAAATATAAAAAATTAGCTGGGTGTGGTGGCGGATGCCTATAATTCCAGCTACTCGGGAGGGGGAGGTGGGAGAATCACTTGAACCCGAGAGGTGGAGGTTGCAGTGAGCCAGGATCACTCCACTGCACTCTAGCTTGGGTGACAGAGCGAGACTCCGTCTCAAAACATAAAATAAAATGCTTGGTTCAATGTCATGAACAATTATTCTCTAAAAACATCTCCCAATGGAGAGATTTCCTTCTATTTTCCATGGAGTTCTCACCTGGATGCATCATCAAAGAGTTGGTCAACGTGAGCCACCTCAGATTCTTTCTGTATTACCCATGTCTCTAACTCTGCTAGCTGCTTCTTGCGTTGCTGTACACAATCCATCTTCTCCAGTTCCTCATCGATGAAATGCCGAAGTTCCTCCATAGAGATACCCAGTTCCTCAACCACTGCCTGTTGCAGCTCTGCAATCTCTTCAGACTCCACTGTAGCTGTTGCTGCATCCAAACCAATGCACCCAGGAAGGGAAGACATGCTTTTGTCCTCTGCATGGAACAGAAAACAAATTAAATTGGAGTCCTTATAACTACAATCAATCAATAGAGAATTTCAGTTCCCTAATAAAACTAATTCCTACTCTGCTGCCTGTTATTCTATTCAAATATTCCATGTTCTCCCTCCCTATTCTCCAGAATCTGATGCTGAGATTTTTAAGAGTTCTTATCTTCTGCTGTACGCTAACACTCCTGAAAAAGATTTAAGAGTTTGAGACGGCATGGAGAACATTCATTAAGCAGTAGAGAGCTACTGAAAATAATGTTTTGGGCTGGCACAGTGGCTTACACCTGTAATCTCAGCACTTTTAGAGGCCGAGGCAGGAGGGTCGCTTGAGGGCAGGAGTTCAAGACCAGCCTGGGCAACATGGCAAGACTCGTCTTTACAAAAAAATACAAAAATTAGCCACGTGTGGTGGTGCACGCCTTTAGTTCCAGCTACTCAGGAGGCTGAAGTGGGAGGATCGCTTGAGCCCAGGAGTAGCTGCTGTAGTGAGCTATGTTCGCGCCATGCATTCCAGCTTGGGTGACAAAGTGAGACCCTGTCTCAAAACAAACCGAACTTTAAAAATAATCTTTTGGGATACTGAAGAGAACCAATCTATAAGATATTTTTGTGGTCTATATGTGTTCCTTAACTAATGTGATAAATCTTTGTATGCTATGCCTAATTTAAACAAAACCCCACCTGGGGATGGAGTTGATTTGGAACTCACTAACTCAGTGTTTTCTCTTTCATTACTTGTTCCCCTTATATTACTTTGCTTCCATGTGGAATTTTACTTTTTAAAAAGTCTATGATATTCAAACACACGAAAGCTTGCAGCAAAAAGGTTTCCCCCAAAGTACAGAGAAGTAAAGCAACCTGGGAATAAAACGTGGGTACCTAATATCCACAATCCAAATACTTCACACATTCGTGTGAACTGCTTTTTTAATCAAACGGTTAAAGAAAATCTGATTTTCAGCGCCTCCATTTTCCTCTGCCCACACACCAGCCCACCCCCGTGCTACCCATTCTAGGGGTGCGTCCTACCCATTCGCAAACCCAGTTCAGCCCCGCCCCCGTTCGCCTCTGGGGAAGACTTCCTTCCCACCCTCGCCCGACCCCCTCCCACAAACAAAACGTCCCAGATAAGCCTTTGGTCACCAAATAACTCAACAGTATTCCCCGCACCTCCCGTCTTCCAGCTTCAAGGGCTCTTTTTCACCAACCAGACCCCAGACTCACAACTCAGGGGTCGGCCTCGACGGAAAAGAGCGAAAGCGAAGGGATAAGGGAGGAGGGGGAGGGGAGGAAGCGTGAAAGAGGGAAGGGGAAGCAAAAGAAACGCCCGGAAGCAAACCTTTAGTGCCGTTCCGGTCACCGCGACGGTAGCCTGACGGGGTCAAATCCAAAGCCGCGGGGCGCCCCTCAGAGGCGACGAAAACTAAGGTAACTACGCATGCGTTAAGGCAGAGCCTTCCAGGGGCACACGTGAGAAGAGACTGGCAGGGCAGAGTAGGCGTGGCCAGTATATTACCGAGTCTCCGCCGCTCCTACCACCCTCGACTAGTGGCCCCATTACTATATTCATTGTGTAAAGACTTAGGGAAACGCTCATAGGTTCAGAGCTTTATTCTCTCAGTTTTACTTGAGTTTGTTTTGTTACATAAGTGATACAAATTGTAAAGGCTATCAAGATGTAATAAGAAAAACGTGATAATATTCTCTCTTGCCCCATCACCACTCCGCTCCTTTCAGGTAATACAGCTTCATTTTCCAGTCTTGTATGTACGAGTTTCTGTATTTGGATTTTTGTTGTTTTCATTTAACATGTGGACATTACCTGAAGCCAATAAAAAAGGTAAAACTTGTATTTTTGGCCGGGCGCGGTAGCTCACGCCTGTAATCCCAGCACTTTGGGAGTCAGAGGCGGGCGGATCACGAGGTCAGGAGATGGAGATCATCCTGGCTAACACGGTGAAACCCCGTCTGTACTAAAAATGTTAGCCGGGCGTGGTGGCGGGCGCCTGTAGTCCCAGCTACTCGGGAGGCTGAGGCAGGAGAATGGCGTGAACCCGGGAGGCGGTGCTTGCGGTGAGCGGAGATCGCGCCACTGCACTCCAGCCTGGGCGACAGAGCGAGACTCCGTCTCAAAAAAACCAAAAAAAACAAAAAAACAAAAAACCAATAACTTGTATTTTTGACACCTGAATAGTTTAGATTGTTTAGATTGTTTTCCGTTCTCAGCCCCGACAAATAGCGCAACAATAAAAATAAACATCCTTTTGAAGTAGTACTTTTATTTCTGTAGAAAAGATTCCCCAGGCCGGGCGCTTTGTGTCCGAGGCGGGAGGATTGCTAGAGCCCAGGAGTTCCAGACCAGCCTGGGCAACACGGCGAAACGCCATCTCGACTAAAAATACAAGGTAAAAAAAAAAAAAAAAAAGCCAGGCGTGGTAGTTCGCGTCTGTGGTCCCAGCAACTCCGCAGCTGAGGCGGGGGGAGGATCGCTTGAGCCCCGGTGGCAGAGGCTTCAGTGAGAGGAGATCGCGCCACTGCACTCCAGCCTAAGTGACCGAGCGAGACTCCGTCTCAAAAACAAAACAAAACAAAAAACAAAAAGAAAAGATTTCCCAAAATGGAATTTGAGTAAAATAATATGTGCTTTTTTCCTTTTTTTTTTTTTTTTTTTTTTTTTTGAGAAGGCGTTTCGTTCTATCGCCCAGGCTGGAGTGCAATGGCGCGATCTTGGCTCACTGCAACCTCCACCTCCCGGGTTCAAGCGATTCTCCTGGCTCGTCCTTCCGAGTAGCTGGGACTACAGGCGCGTGCCACCACGCCCGCCTAATTTTTTGTATTTTTAGTAGAGACGGGGTTTCACCGTGTTAGCCAGGCTGGCCTCGTCACACCTCGGCCTCCCAAAGTGCTGGGATTACATACAGGTGTGAGCCACTGCGCCGAGCCTTCCTTTTTTTGTTTGTTTGTTTGTTTTTGAGACTGAGTTTCGCTCTTGTCACCCAAGCTGGAGTGCAATGGTGCGATCTCGGCTCACTGCAACCTCCACCTCCCGGGTTCAAGCAGTTCTCCTGCCTCAGCCTCCCGAGTAGCTGGGATTACAAGCCCCTGCCACCACACCCGGCTAGTTTTTGTATTTTTGGTGGAGACGAGGTTTCGCCATGTTGGCCAGGCTGGTCTCAAACTCCTGACCTCAAGTGATCCACCCGCCTCGCCTCCCAAAGTGCTAGGATTACTTACAGGCGTGAGCCACTGCTCCCGGCCCTTTCTTTCTTTTTCTTTTCTTTTCTTTTTTTTTTTCTGAGACAGAGTCTCGCTCTGTCGCCCAGGCTGGACTGCAGTGGCACGATTTCGGCTCACTGCAACCTCCACCTCCTGGGTTCAAGCGATTCTCCTGCCTCAGCCTCCTGAGTAGTTGGGACTACAGGTGCGTGCCGCCACGCCTGGCTAATTTTTTGTATTTTTAGTAGAGACGGGGTTTCACTGTGTTAGCCAGGATGGTCTCAATTTCCTGACCTTGTGATCTGCTCACCTTGGCCTCCCAAAGTGTTGGGATTACAGGCATGAGCCACCTCGCCAGGCCTTTTTTTTCCTTTTTTTTTTTGAGACGGAGTCTCGCTCTGTAGCCCAGGCTGGACTGCAGTGGCGCGATATCGACTCACGCAAGCTCCGCCTCCCGGGTTCCGCCTCCTGGGCCTCCCAAAGTGCTGGGATTGGGATTACAGGCGTGAGCCACCGCAACCGGCCTTTTTTTTTTTTTTTTTTTTTTTTTTTTTTTTTTTTGAGACGGAGTTTCATTCTCGTTGCCCAGGCTGGAGTGCAATGGCTGGATCTCGGCTCACCACAGCCTACCTACGCCTCTGGGTTCTCCTGCAACAGCCTCCCGAGTAGCTGGGACTATAGGTGCCCACCACCACGCCCAGCTAATTTTTATATTTTTAGTAGAGACGGGGTTTCATCATGTTAGCGAGGCTGGTCTCGAACTCCTGACCTCAGGTGATCCACCCACCACCTCAGGTGATCCACCCACCACCTCAAGTGATCAACCTGCCCTGGACTCCCAAAGTGCTGGTTTTATAGCGGTGAGCCACTGCACCCGGCCATTCTCCTGCCTCAGCCTCCCGAGTAGCTGGGACTACAGGCGCCCGCCACCACGCCCGGCTAATTTTTTGTATTTTTAGTAGAGATGGGGTTTCACCGTGTTAGCCAAGATGGTCTCGATCTCCTGACCTCGTGATCTGCCCCCCTCGGCCTCCCAAAGTGCTGGGATTACAGGCGTGAGCCACCGCGCCTGGCCTTTTTTTTTTTTTTTGAGACAGAGTTTCATTCTTGTTGCCCAAGCTGGAGTGCAATGGCAGGATCTCGGCTCACCACAACCTACGCCTCTGGGGTTCAAGCGATTCTCCTGCCTCAGCCTCCCCAGAGGCTGGGATTACAGGCATGCACCACCACGCCCGGCTAATTTTGTATTTTTAGTAGAGATGGGGTTTCTCCATGTTGGACAGGCTGGTCTCAAACACTCGACCTCAGGTGATCCGCCCGCTTCGGCCTCCCAAAGTGCTGGGATTATAGGTGTGAGCCACTGCACCCGGCCCCTTTTTTTCCATTTTAATAGAATCTGCGGTCAAATTACCTTTCTAAAAGGTTGTAACAATTATTACTCTCACTAGCAAATCTGAAAGTGTTTCCCCACACCCCTATTAGTACTGGGTGTTAACTACTTAATTTTTAAGAACTTGATATGTATTAAAATAGTATCAGTATCAGGATAGACTAGGTTATGTTGTGGAAACAACTCCAAAATCTGAGTGGCTTAAAAGAAAAAAAAAAGGCGTGTTTCTTGCTCACACTACATAATCATCTCTGGAAGGTATGGTGGGGCTCTGCTAATGATAGCTACTGGGGAAACCCACACTGATGAGTAGTAATACCAGAGGGAAAGAATGCTAGAGGGACTCATATTAACAAAATGACTCAAGACACTGATTTTTACAACTCATTGACCTGAATGAATCACAAAGTCCTACACAACCACCAGGGGGCCAGGAAGAGCAGTTATCTTACCTCTGGGAGGAGGGAGAACCTGGTGTGTCTGATGAACCAGCTTTATTGACTACCACAGCGTCTTATCATTGCTTTAATTTGTTCATGTGTCTTTACACTAACTGTACTAGTTATTGAATCTACATTTCATTTAAAAAGTACAAACCAGAACCTTGTGTGTGAGGCTGGAAACACAGCCCAAGCGCCAGAACTGCCAAGTCCTTGAAATTCTCTCTTGTTGACCACATTTTCACCTGTGCTCATTTCACCTGCTCAACAGTTTCCTGGGACCACCCTAAGTGCCTATTTTCAATTAAGACAGCAGAAATTGAGGTGTGGAGAAGTGAAGGGTTCCTCCAGATAATTGAAATTCATCATGTTCTAAACTCATTTCATTATGGTATCACCTAACCTGAGCTAAAAATTTTAGACATACTACTCCCTAAACACACACACACACACAATATTTGTTGAATACTTGCTACATACCAGGAACTGTTCTAAGCACTTGCCAGTTATTAATTCATTTAAACTTCACAATTATCCTATGGGGTAAGAACTAATATTATTGTCCCTTTTTTATAGATGAGAAAACAGAGGCACAGAAATAAATTTCCCAAAGCTACACAGCTAAAAAGTGACAGACCCAGGCAGTTTGGCCATACACTTGGTGGTCTTGAACCATCATTCAGTGTAGCTTGTTTCCTCTTCTTTCTTTTCCTATTCGTATTCTTTTTTTTTTTTTTTTTTTTTTTTTTGAGATGAAGTCTCACTTTGTCATCCCAGACTGGAGTGCTGGAGTGCAGTGGTGCCATCTCGGCTCCTCAGCCTCCCAGGTTCAAGTGATTCTCCTGCAACAGCCTCCCGAGTAGCTGGGACTATAGATGTCCACCACCATGCCCAGCTAATTTTTATATTTTTAGTAGAGACGGGGTTTCATCATGTTGGCCAGGCTGGTCTCGAACTCCTGACCTCAGGTGATCCACCCACCACCTCAGGTGATCAAACTGCCCTGGACTCCCAAAGTGCTGGTTTTATAGCGGTGAGCCACTGCACCCGGCCTCTTTTCCTATTTTATTGGCTTTGTTTAGCTCTTATTTCTTTTCTTTTTCTTTCTTTTCTTTTTTTTTTTTTTTTGAGATGGAGTCTCGCTCTGTCGCCCAGGCTGGAGTGCAGTGGTGTGATCTCGGCTCATTGCAAGCTCTGCCTCCCAGGTTCACTCCACTCTCCTACCTCAGCCTACAGGCGCCGACCACCATGCCCGGGTAATTTTTTTGTATTTTTAGTAGAGACGGGGTTTCACCGTGTTAGCCAGGATGGTCTCAATCTCCTGACCTCGTGATCCGCCTGCCTTGGCCTCCCAAAGTGCTGGGATTACAGGCGTAAAACACCGCACCTGGCCCTTTTTCTTTCTTCCTTCCTTTCTTTTTTTTTTGAGACGGAGTTTTTGTGTTCTCGTTGCCCAGGCTGGAATTGCAATGGCGCAATCTTGGCTCACCGCAACCTCCGCCTCCTGGGTTCAAGCAATTCTGCCTCAGCCTCCGGAGTAGCTAGGATTACAGGTATGCGCCACCACGCCTGGCTAATTTTGTATTTTTAGTAGAGACGGGGTTTCTCCAGGTTAGTCAGGCTGTTCTCGAACTCCTGACCTCCGGTGATCCGCCCACCTCAGCCGCCCAAAGTGCTGGGATTACAGGCGTGAGCCATGGCACCCGGCCTTAGCTCTTGCTTCTTGCCAGGATAAAGTAACCTCCTGATTGGTAGGCCTTATTGTAGATTCTTCCTATATGTAGCTCTAAAATATAGTTCTGATCATGTCATATACCCTGCTTTAAAACTTTTTTCTTTATGTCTACAAAATAAAGTTTATCTCCACAGTATAAAATTTGAGGCTCTTCATAATTTGGCCCCAATTTACCTCTTTGGCCATATTTCCCACCCCTCTCTTCACACTTCTGATTATGTGCTGTTTCCCTAACAAATTTATATATTTCACTTTTGTATCTCCACATCTTTATTTATCATGGTCCACCTCCTATAATTTTCCCTCCCTTTTTCTGTCTAGTAAAATATTAATTGTCTAAAGTTTAAATAATGTCTTCTCTGAGTAGTTTTCCTAGACTGGGAATTGAAAAGCATTAGCATGTATCAGAATCACCTGGAGGACTGTTTTTTTTGTTTTGTTTTGTTTTTGTTTTCTTTCTTTTTTGTTTTTTGAGTGGAGTCTTGCTCTGTCATCCAGGCTGGAGTGCAGTGGCACCATCTCGGCTCACTGTAACCTCCACCTCCCAGGTTCAAGCGGTTCTTCTGCCTCAGCCTCCTGATAGCTGGGACTACAGGCACGCACCACCACGCCTGGCTACTTTTTGTATTTTTAGTGGAGACGGAGTTTCACCATATTGGCCAGGCTGGTCTCAAACTCCTGACCTCATGATCCACCCGACTCGGCCTCCCAAAGTGCTGGGATTATAGGCGTGAGCCACAGTGCCCGGCCAAGAAGGGCTTGTTAAACCATATTGCTGCCCCACACCCAATGCTGGAGCGGGTCTGGATGCAGTCTGAGAATCTGCATGTCTAACATTTTCCCAGGTGATTGATGCCCATGCTATTGATCCTGAGACCAGAATTTAAGAATCAGTGTCCTAGACCGTCACTCATCCTCTAAAGAATTAACTTCTACCTCTGTACTTCCATTATTGTAGTTCATGCCACTTGTGAGTTATCACTGTATGCCTGTCTCCTCTACTAGTTTGTGAACAGCTCAAGGCTAAGATCCTGTCTTAATCATTTTTGTTTTCCCTAGCGCCTGATATATTGCCCCTGCACATCTGGTGGTCCTTGATATAGAATGAATAAAAAAATTCCCTTTATCTTTGCTCTGATTGAATTATATTTCTACTAGTTACATTCTTTCAACTTTCCATTATTAGGAGCAGGTGGGGTGGGGAATGAGGAATGGGGAATGTTGATGAGAAATAATGCTATTTTGGCTCGTCATATTCTAGTCTGATTTCTTCATTGCCCTGAGAAGGCTGAAGTGGTCAGTCCTGTAGATATCAGCAGAGGGAACTCAGGAGGTGTCTTCTAAGGTCTTGCTACTCAGTGTGCAATCAGGGAGCTTGTTAGAAATTTTAAATTTCTGGTCCCACTCAAGATACACTGAATCAGAATTTTTTTTTTTTTTTTGAGACGAGGTCTGGCTGTGTTGCCGAGGCTGGTCTCAAACTCCTGGGCTCAAGAGATCTTCCTGCCTCAGCCTCCCAAGTAGCTAGGACTATAGGTGCATTCCACCACACTCAGCTCTGAAGACTAACTCTAGTCAGAAGTGATTAGACCCTGCATAAGTGACTTACATTATTGAAATTTACAAATTATTGTAATACACGATTTGTTGCCGTTATTACTATAAAATAATAAACTTGCTCTGTTACCCAGGCTGGTGTGCAGTGGCATGATCTTAGCTCACTGTAACCTCTGCCTCCTGGGTTCCAGCGATTCTCCTGCTCCTGTGTCAGCCTTCCTAGTAGCTGGGATTACAGGCGTGCACCACCACACCTGGCTAATTTTTTTATATTTTTAGAAGAGACGGGGTGTCACCATGTTGGCCAGGCTGGTCTTGAACTCCTGACCTCAAGTGATCCGCCCGCCTCAGCCTCCGAAAGTGCTGGGATTACAGATGTGAGCCACCATGCCCGGCTCACAACCACATAGTTCTTAATACTTGACTGAGAAATCAGCATAGGGGTCAATACCTTGGAATGCCAAATGATCCTTTCTTTTTTTTTTTTTTTGAGACGGAGTCTTGCTCTGTCGCCCAGGCTGGAGTGCAGTGGCGCTATCTTGGCTCACTGCAAGCTCCGCCTCCCAGGTTCACGCCATTCTCCTGCCTCAGCCTCCCGAGTAGCTGGGACGACAGGCGCCTGCCACCATGCCTGGATAATTTTTTGTATTTTTAGTAGAGACGGGGGTTTCATCGTGTTAGCCAGGATGGTCTCGATCTCCTGACCTCGTGATCCACCCGCCTCGGCCTCCCAAAGTGCTGGGATTACAGGCATGAGCCACCGCACCCGGCCGATCCTTTCTTTGCACACAGACTCAAAGGAAATTAGATTATAATCTGAAGGTTGTTGAGTGATCTCAGAATCAAAACTAAATAACTTTTCAGGGATTAAAAGCTCAAAGGTTGCAGACACGAGGAAAGTAATGTAAAGGAGCTAAGTGGGGCAGGTGAGGACTGTGGCCACTTGGGTAGTCCATATCTCACCTACAGGGAGCAGTTGCTACTTAGTTTCAGCTAATTTTTGTCGTGTGGGATACAGTATTATTAGATATTCCCATTTTTCAAGTGAATTTAAACATCTATATTTTGTATGAAAGTGTGTTTAAAATGTTGGCAACTCATTCAAAAATTCTGTAAATTCAGCAATACTCTTTCTGTTTTTTTAGAGACAGTGTCTTGCTCTGTCACCCAGGCTCCCAGGCTACAGTGTAGTGGCATAATCCTAGCTCATTATAACCTTGAATTCCTGGGCTCAAGGGATCCTCCTGCCTAAGCCTCCTGAAAGGCACATGCCACTAGAGATGGGGTCTTAGGGTCTTGCTATATTGCCCAGACTGGTCTCAAACTCTTAGCCTCAAGCGATTCTCCCTCCTCAGCCTCATAAAGTGCTGGGATTACAGCCGTGAGCCACCATGCCAAGCCTGCAATATTATTATTATTTTTTTTTTTTGAGATGGAGTCTTGCTCTGTCGCAGTGGCACGATCTTGGCTCACTGCAAACTCCACCTCCCAGGTTCAAGTGATTCTCCTGCGTCAGACTCCCGAGTAGCTGGGATTACAGGCGCCTGCCACCATGCCTGGCTAATTTTTGTATTTTTAGTAGAGATGGGGTTTCACCATGTTGGCCAGGCTGGTCTCAAACTCCTAACTTCAGGGATCCGCCCACCTTGGCTTCCCAAAGTGCTGGGATTACAGGCGTGAGCAACTGCTGCCCAGCCCTGCAATATATATATATTACAGGTGTGAGCCACGGCACCCGGCCAGCCCTGCGATATTCTTTAAATCAACAATTCAACTTCTAGGACTTTAAGTGACATACTTTGTTTGTTTTGAGACGGAGTCTCACTCTCTTGCCCAGGCTGGAGTGCAGTGGTGCAAGTGGAGTGCAGTGGAGCCACCGTGCCTGGCTTTTACATACTTTTGAATTTGCATACTTTTGAAATGATTTAAGTGCTAAATTATTTTCTTCAGCATAATTATTTGAAACAGCAGAAGATTTGAAAATAATGTAAATTTCTATTGGCAGGCATTGGTTAAATTATGGCACACTCAAACAATAGAATACTCTTTAACCGTGTTTAAAAAAAAAAAAGCTAGGCCGGGCTCACGCCTGTAATCCCAGCACTTCAGGAGGCCGAAGCGGGTGGATCACAAGGTCAGGAGATCGAGACCATCCTGGCTAACACGGTGAAACTCTGTCTCTACTAAAAATACAAAAAAATTAGCTGGGTGTGGTGGCGGGCGTCTATAGTACCAGCTACTCAGGAGGCTGAGGCAGGAGAATGGCGTGAACCCGAGAGGCAGAGCTTGCAGTGAGCCGAGATCGCGCCACTGCACTCCAGCCTGGGCGACAGAGCGAGACTCCGTCTCAAAAAAAAAAGAAGCTAAGGAGGCTGTGTGTGTATTGATGTGGAATGATCTTCAAGATACAATATTAAATAAAAATTGGTGCAGAACATGGTATATAGTGCAGCATCATTTGTGTAACTAATGGTAATAATATATATTTTTTTCTCACATATACATAAAATATCCCTGGAAGGATACACAAGAAATTTTTAACGTTGGGCCGAGTGCAGTGGTTCACACCTGTAGTCCCAGAACTTTGGGAGGCTGAGGTGGGTGGATTATTTGATGTCAGGAGTTCGAGACCAGCCTGGCCAACATGGTGAAACCCCGTCTCTACTAAAAATACAAAAATTAGCTGGGTGTGGTGGTGGGCACTTGTAGTCCCAGCTACTCGGGAGACTGAGACAGGAAAATTGCTCGAACCTTGGAGGCTGAGGTTGCAGTGAGCTGAGATCGCACCACTGTACTCCAGCCTGGGTGACAGAGTGAGACTCCATGTCAAAAAAAAAAAAAAAAGAAATTGTTAACATTGGTTGTTTGTGAAGAGAGAACAGAAGGTTGAAGAGGAGTAAGAATTTTCACAGTACACCATTTTGTACCTTTTGAAATTTGACCCAGCACGTTGGGAGGCCGAGGCAGGTGGATCACCTGAGGACAGGAGTTCCAGACCAGCGTGGCCAACATGGTAAAACCCCGTTTCTACTAAAAATACAAAAAATGAGCCAGCCATGGTGGCAGGTGCCTGTAATCCCAGCTACTAGGAGGCTGAGGCAGGAGAATCACTTGAACCTGGGAGGCAGTGGTTGCAGTGAGCCGAGGTTGCGCCATTATACTCCAGCTTGGGCGACAGAGCAAGACTCCAACTCAAAAAAAAAAAAAAAAGAAACAAAAAAAAAAGAAATTTGAAACACGAAAATGGATAGCCTATTCAAAAAGTTTAGATTAAAAAGAAAGGAAAATATTTGGATAGATATATGTGTATATATATATATATATATGCACAAATGGACTTTATAGCGATTACCTTTGGAAAGAAGGAATGGGAAACAAGGCAGTAATCAAATAACTTTTTGCCTTTTTTTTTTTTTTTTTTGAGATGGAATCTCACTCTGTCACCAGTGGGGTGATCTTGGCTCACTGCAAGCTCCACCTCTGGGTTCATGCCATTCTCCTGCCTCACCCTCCCGAGTAGCTGGGACTACAGGCACCCACCACCATGCCCAGCTAATTTTCTGTATTTTTAGTAGAGATGGGGTTTCACCGTGTTAGCCAGGATGGTCTCGATCTCCTGACCTCATGATCCGCCCGCCTCAGCCTCCCAAAGTGCTGGGATTACAGGCGTGAGCCACCATGCCCGGACCTACTTTTTGCCTTTTTATCCCTAGGTGATGTTTGAAAAAATTGTTTTACAATATGCATGTATTACCTTTATAATAATAATTTTTAAAATGTTGATTCAAACACAAATGTAGAACCCCAACACCCACCAGACACACCCACATTAGTAGTGGGAGGGTCCTGGCCCAATGTAACTTCTCTGCAGACCAATTGGACCTGTAAATTGTTAGTTTGAGGTGGGTGGAAGGGATGATTAAGAACATCAGGTTAACAGAGATCATGTGATCAATAAGACCAAACAAACTGAAGGTCCATGGGCTGCAACTCCCTGAATCTCCGTACCAAGGATTATCTGGCCACCCAGGCTGGATGGAGTGCAGTTGCACGAGCACAGCTCACTGCAACCTCCGTCTTCCAGGCCTAAGCAATCCTCCCACCTCAGTCTCCCAAGCAGCTAGGATTACAGGCACGGGTCACCATGCCCAGCTAATTTTTTATTTTTTAGTAGAGATGAGATCTCACTATATCGCCCAGGCTGGTCTCAAGCTCCTGAGCTCAAGCGATCCTCCCACCTCAGCCTCCCAAACTCCTGAGATTACAGGCATGGGCCACCACACCCAGCCTCCCCTTTCTCTTGAACAGTATTCGTACTGGCTCCATGTGGATTTGCTTTAGATTGTTCATCTTTTTCTGCTTTCACAAATGATCCACTTCTTCTAACTGATGCATCTTTTCTTAGGTTACTGGAGAAAGTCAGATAATTGTCAAACCTGTGATTCTCCAGTGACTGCATATTGATGCTCTCATTAATCATGTGTTAGTCATGCAGTTTATGTTAAGAAGTGGTGGAGAGGTTAATCTCTGAGTTCCTGGAGGGAATGCACTGCAGTCCTCAAGTGCTGACATCAACCCTTTATTTATTTATTTGAGATGGAGTCTTGCTCTGTTGCCCAGGCTGGAGTGCAGTGTCGTGATCTTGGATCACTGCAACCTCCACCCCTACGTTCAAGCGATTCTCCTGCCTCAGCCTCCCAAGTAGCTGGGATTACAGCCACCTGCCACCATGCCCAGCTAATTTTTGTATTTTTAGTAGAGACGGGGTTTCACCATGTTGGGCCAGGCTGGTCTCGAACTCCTGACCTCTGGTGATCCACCCACCTCGGCCTCCCAAAGTGCTGGGATTACAGGTGTGAGCCACTGCACCCAGCCTTTATTTTTATTTTACTTTTCCACAAACACCGACATAGCTGACATCAATCCTAATCTGCTTTTCACCTGATCTGCACCTTGCCCTGAGTTTCTTTTCATCAAATCAAATCATGTATCTCTCTTGTCCCCCTCCCCACATCCTCACTTTACCTCCCTGCCAGCTTAACCGATACAATACAGTACCTTGTTCTGGTGCAGGCAAAGTCTAGTATCTTCCGCTTTGATTCCCCTGTCTCCATTTTCCCTGGAGGCTTACTCAAGCTAAGGAAGTGGGCAGTCCCACATCCAGGAGTCAGAAACAGAGACCAATGATCAGGTCTCTGCTAACAGTGCATGGCTAAAGTTGTGTCTCTATACCATGTGGTATTGCTGTTAAAACCCAGTCCAGCTTGGTCCCATGGATACATGTCTCCACTGAAGTGGCTACTTGCTGGTCCAAGTCACTGCATAAGCCCAAGTGATACCCTCCCAGTTAGATTCCAAGGTTATGGCTCTCAGTTCATACTCATATGCTAGGTTACTGTTGACTAGAATATTAGGCCATCGTGGCTGGATGTGAGGGCTTTGATTCTCCATCAACTGCTGTACTAAAACCAATCCTCTTCAGCCAAACCCACATTGAGTCTTGTTCAGCAATTTAGGTGCTCCCTTTCTTTCTAGTGAATTCTCTTAAAAGCTTCCCTGCCAGTTGGCTCATACACCACACCACTCTATCAAAGTCCCCTAACTTCAGACTTTGGAGAGTAAGGGCTATGATTTTCTTCCCTTTGCTCTTAAAAGATCCCTGGGGGCTGGGCGCAGTGGCTCACGCCTATAATCCGAGCACTTTGGGAGGCTGAGGTGGGTGGATCACTTGAGGTCAGGAGTTCGAGACCAGCTTGGCCAACATGGTGAAACCCTGTCTCTACTAAAAATACAAAAATTAGCCAGGCATGGTGGCGGGTGCCTGTAATTCCAGCTACTCTGGAGGCTGAGGCAGAAGAATTGCTTGAACCCAGGAGGCAGAGGTTGCAGTGAGCCGGAATCACACCACTGCCCTCCAGCCTGGGCAACAGAGTAAAACTCCGTCTCAAAAAGAAAAAAAGATCGCTGGGATGATGGTCAGAATCATGACCATCATCTGCATCATCATATATTATGTATTAATTTCCTATGACTGCCATAACAAGTTACCACACCACGTGCCTTAAAACAACAGAAATTTATTTCCTCACAGTTGTGAAGGCCGGAAGTCCAAAATCAAGGTGTTAGTAAGACCATACTGGGGTACCAGAATCTCTAGGGGAGTCATTGGATTTAAGTCTCACCTAGATAATTCAGGATGAATTTATCTTGAGATTCTTAATTATATTTGCAAAGACCATTTTTCCAAATAAGCTCACATTCCAGGGGTTAGGACACGGATATATCTTTTCTGGGGCCCTCACTGAAACCTCTACATATTATTTTATAGATGAGGAAATTTGGGATGAGAGAGATTAAGGAATTCACCCACAGCAAATTAGTCCCCTTCTACCAGAGAGTTCTGCCCACTTAAGAACAGCAGATTTTATAAAACTTCACACACTAAAACAATCTGGTTACACTCTTCTTATAGGACATTTGGTTTCTGCTGAGCCTACATTTGCATAACTAAAGGGATCATTCAAGTCTGCCACCTCTAGGTGAGCTTCTAGTTTCAGGTGGACCTTACCAAGCATGATGACATTATGTTACATTACATCATAAAATTATGGCCCACTGTCTCATCCTAAGGACCTTAGGCACTGAAGAATTAAAATCTATGGCCTTATTCTAGCCAATAAATTCAACCTTTATCTCACTTTAGTAGCCATTTCCCTGAACAGGAACAATACAAACTGGCTTGTGTTTCATCTCACTGTGGAATGCAAGAGTGAGAAGGCTGAGAAACAGGGAGGTGAAATAATATAAAGTGTGTATAACAGATTTCAAATCTCTTGCTTGGGGGAGTCTACCAGGTTTTATTATACTTCAGCTCAGAGATGGTTCTGTGGTTGTGGAGCTGGCCTTGTAGGGATTCTTCACCAGCTTGGCACACCGAAAAATCATCACTATTAGGAACAGAAACAGAAGAACAACAAAGGCAATGGCAAAGCCTTTGTCCACATCAACACCACTGGACAGGCTTGAATCTTCCATGGGGACTTGCACCTCGTTACTGTTGTCCAGCTCCAGCTAATTCCTCAGGTATAGCTTCAGATTTGTCATATTCCTAGACAAAGGAGGATAAAACAGGCTTATCGGTTTGTGTGTGTATGTGTTTTCTTAATAACACTGTGAAAAACCAAAAAGGGACCAAGGGTTGAAAAAATATCAGTAAGATTTACTTAAGAAGCAGTTACAAAACTGATAAAGTTAATATAGATGACTGACAAGATACACACATACACACAAGTATAAAATATCCGAAGAATTACTCCAAGGCAGAACGTGAGCAAATGTATATAACCTAGGAATCAGTTGGGCCTGCCTTGTCCCCTAAGATCCAGGTAAAACTGTCTTAAACATCTGAATTCTGTGTTAAGTCAAAATCCTCCTCTAAGATTACTTCAAATTCCAAGAGTACTTATTGTACCTAGTTGTTGTATAACTCACTGGCTATGAACATGAAATTGTTTTATTTTTTCTGATCACTACATTTAATTGTGCTGTCATTCTTACATCTTCATGAAAAATCAGGTATATCCCAGAAGTGATCAATTTCAATTATTAAAACTTACAGGCCGGGCATGGTGGCTCACGCCTGTAATCCCAGCACTTTGTGAGGACAAGGCAGGTAGATCACCAGAAGTCAGGAGTTCGAGAACAGCCTGGACAACATGGTGAAACCCCGTCTCTACTAAAAATACAAAAATTAGCCAGGTGTGATGGCGGGCACCTGTAATCCCAACTACTTGGGAGGCTGAGGCAGAATTGCTTGAACTCAGGAAGCGGAGTTTGCAGTAAGCCGAGACCGAGTCATTGCACTCCAGCCTGCGCAACAGAGCGAGACCCCACCTCAAAAAAAAAAAATAAATTTACATAAGGAAAACAGGAAAAAAAAACCCAAAACCTTACTCCATCAAGAAAATTCTGAAAAAGAAAAACAAAGTAAGAGGACTCATACTTCCCAATTTCAAAAACTCACTAAAAGCTACAGTAATCAAAACTATGGTACTGGTACAAAGACAGACATACAAATCAATGGAATAGAATTGAGAGTCCAGGGCCAGGCACGGTGGCTCACGCCTGTAATCCCAGCACTTTGGGAGGCCGAGGCAGGCGGATCACTTGAGGTCAGGAGTTCAACACCAGCCTGGCCAACATAATGAAACCCTGTCTCGACCAAAAAAAAAAAATACAAAAATTATGGCCAGGCACGATGGCTCATGCCTGTAAGCCCAGCACTTTGGGAGGCCGAGGCAGGCGGATTATGAGGTCAGGAGATCGAGACCATCCTGGCTAACACGGTAAAACCCCGTCTCTACTAAAAATACAAAAAATTAGCTGGGCGTGGTGGTGGGCACCTGTAGTACCAGCTACTCCGGAGGCTGAGGCAGGAGAATGGTATGAACCCAGGTGGCAGAGCTTGCGGTGAGCCGAGATCACGCCACTGCACTCCAGCCTGGGTGACAGAGCGAGACTCTGTCTCAAAAAATAAAAAAAAATACAAAAATTAGCCAGGCATGGTGATGCATGCCTGTAGCCCCAGCTACTTGGGAGGCTGAGGCAGGAGAATCACTTGAAACCAGGAGGCAAAGGTTGCAGTGAGCCGAGAGCATGCTACTGCACTCGAGCCTGGGCGACAGAGTGAGACTCTGTCTCAAAAAAAAAAAAAAAAAAATTGAGAGTCCAGAAATAAACCCATGTATCTATGACCAAGTAATTTTAAACTAGGGTACCAAGAAAATTCGGTGAGGAAAGAAAACAAATGGTGCTGGGACAACTGGATAGCCACATGCAAAAGAATTAAGTTAGACCCTTATTTTGAAATGAACCCAATAGTCCCATAGTTTTTTTTGTTTCAACAGAAATTGACCCTTCTTGCTGGGCGTGGTGGCTCACGCCTATAATACCAGCATTTTGGGAGGCCGAGGAGGGCGGATCACCTGAGGTCAGGAGTTTGAGACCAGCCTGGCCAACATGGCGAAACCCCATGTCTACTAAAAATATAAAAATTAGCTGGGTGTGGTAGCACACACCTGTAATCCCAGCTACTCAGGAGACTGAGGCAGGAAAATTGCTTGAACCTGGGAGGCAGAGGTTGCAGTGAGCTGAGATCATGCCACTGCACTCCAGCCTGGGTGACAGATGGAGACCCGTCTCAAAAAAAAAAAAAAAGAAAAAAAAAAAACAGAAAAAAGAAAAAGAAATTGACCTTCTGGTCTTAAAGCTTAAAACTTACATTTGTTTTATGTTGAGTTCCTTCTTCAGGAAAGGGCCACCAGGCCTCTCAAAAAAAGTATCAAGGAACTGAAACTCAACCAGATCATCCCATCCTGACAATGAAGTGCAAGACCCCTCATTGGTCACAAGTGCTTTCTTGGCCTCCTGAGTTCCTGTTTTCCTACACATTGTTACATTTCTTCCTTGCTATATAAACCTCTAATTTTAGTTGGTCAGGGAGATGGATTTGTGACTGAGTTCCGGTTTCCTCTGCTGCAGCACCTGAGTAAAGCCTTCTTCTTTGGCAATACCTGTCATCTCAGGGGCAGGTATTGCTCATCTTTCTGTGTGGTGAGCAGCAGGACCTAGACCGAACTCCTGGTGTTTTGGTAACAATTTCACACCACATACAAAGATAAACTTAAAATGGATCAAAGACCTAAATGTAAGGATTCTTAGATATGACAGCAAAATCACGAGCAACAAAAAAGAGAGAAACTGGACTTCATCAAAATTTAAAACTTTTTTCTTTGAGACAGGGTCTCACTTTGTCACCCAGGCTGGAGTGCTATGGTGCCGTCTGGGGTCACTGCAGCCTCGACCTCCCAGGCTAAATTGATCCTCCCATCTCAACCTTCCAAGTAGCTGGGACTACAGGTGCACGTCATCATGCCCGGCTAATTGTTTTTTGTTTGTTTGTTTTGGTAGAGATGGAGTTTCACCATGTTGCCCAGGCTGGTCTCAAACTCCTGGGCTCAAGAGATCTGCCCTCCTTAGCCTCCCAAAGTGTTAGGATTGTATGAGCTACTGTGCCTGGTCAACACTTTTGTACTTTTTTTTTTTTTTTTTTTGAGAAGGAGTCTTGCTCTGTCGCCCAGGCTGGAGGGCAATGGCGTGATCTCGGCTCACTGCAACCTCTGCCTCCCAGGTTCAAGCGATTCTCCTGCCTCACCCTCCCGAGTAGCTGGGATTATAGGCGCCCCCACCATGCCCGGCTACGTTTTGTATTTTTAGTAGAGTCGGGTTTCACCATGTTGGCCAGGCTGGGCTCAAACTCCTGACCTCAGGTGATCTGCCCCCCTTGGCCTCCCAAAGTGCTGGGATTACAGGCGTGACCCACTGCGCCCAGCCAACTTTTGTACTTTAAGAAGCTTATTATCAAGAAAATGGGCTGGGCACGGTGGCTTATGCCTGACCAGCACTTTGGGAGGATGAGGTGGGAGGATCACTTGAGGTCAGGAGTTTGAGACCAGCCTGGGTAGTAAGGAGATACCTTGTTTCTTAATTTTTTTTTTTTTAATTAGCTAGGTGTGTGGCATATGTGTGTGGTCCTAGCTACTGGAGAGGCTGAGGCAGAAGGATCCTTTGAGCCCAGGAGTTCAGGGTTATAGTGAGCTATGATCGCACCACTGTACTCCAGCCTGGGTGACGGAGAGAGACCTGATAACCAAAGTTACAACGAAACAATGAAAAGACAACTCAATTAAAAATTAGGCAAAGGATATGAATAGAAATTTCTTTTTCTGCATAAGGAAGATATGCAAATGGCCAATAAACACATTTTTTAAATGGTCAACGTAATTAGTCATCAGGGAAATGGAAATCAAAACTTTGAGATACCACTTCACACCCACTAGGATGACTAGAATCAAGTCAGATTAAGTGTTGACAAAGGTAGAAAGTAATTGAAACCCTCATTGACGGTTGGTGGGAATGTAAAGTGGCAAAGTTACTTTGGAAAACAGTCTGGAAGTTCCTAAAATTATGAAACATAAGAGTTACTGGCCAGGTATGGTGGCTCACGCCTATAATCCCAGCACTTTGGGCAGCCAAGGTGGGTGGAGGATCACTTTAGTCCAGGAGTTCAAGACCAGCCTGGGCAACATGGCAAACCTTCCTCTCTACAGAAAATACAAAAATTAGTTAGATGTGATGGCGCACACCTGTAATCCCAGCTACTTGGGGGGCAGAGGCGGGAGGATCACCTGAGCCTGGGAGGCTGCAGTGAGCTTTGATCATGCCACCATACTCCAGCCTGAGTGACAGAGTGAGACACTGTCTAAAAAAAAAAAAAAAAGCTGGCTGGGCACGGTGGCTCACGCCTGTAATCCCAGCACTTTGGGAGGCCAAGGCGGGTGGATCACAAGGTTAGGAGATCAAGACCATCCTGGCTAACACGGTGAAACCCCATCTCTACTAAAAATACAAAAAATTAGCCGGGCGTGGTGGCAGGTGCCTGTAGTCCCAGCTACTCGGGAGGCTGAGGCAGGAGAATGGCGTGAACCTGGGAGGCGGAGCTTGCGGTGAGCCAAGATTGCGCCACTGCACTCCAGCCTGGGTGAGAGTGCGAGACTCCGTCTCAAAAAAAAAAAAAAAAAAAAAAAGCCACCATATGACGCAGCAATTCCACTCCTATGGCTGTCCCCAGGAGAAATGAAAACATGTGACCACACAAAAACTTATACAAGAATGTTTGTAGCAGCATTATTCATCATAGCCAAAAGGTAGAAACAACTCAAATGTCCATCAACTTATAAATGGATAAGCAAAGTGTGGTATGTCTACACAATAGACTATTATTGGCCATAAAAAGGAAGTACATACTACTTGGATGAAACTTAAAGCATTAAGCTGAGTGAAAGAAACAAGTCACAAACGCCCCCAGCATATTATATAATTCCATTCACATGTAAGTCTAGAATAGAGAAATCTATAGAGACAGATTAGTGGTTGCTTAGAGCTGGAGGTGGGGGATGAGGGGGTGAAAGTTAAATGATACAGGTTTTCTTTTGGAGGTGATAAAAATGTTCTACAACTGTGGTAATGGTAAAACATTTCTGTGAATGTGCTAAAAACCATTCAATTGTACATTTGAAATGGTTGAATTGTATGTGAATTATATCTTAATAAAGCTGGTTTTTGTAAAACCTTAGTTCAGTTTTAAATTCCTAATCTTATAGAGGATTTAGAGTTCTATTAGCTCTTCTCCCTTTTCAGGCTTCTTCTTCTGCATTGTACAGGATCAGGAAGAAAGGAAGGGGAAAATGTGAAGTGTTTCTCTATTTAATGAATCAGCTGTGGCCAACTGTGAGTAGGTGACCTGGTCTTACTCTGGTTAGATCTGGTGGTTTCAGAGTGAAGGATGTTTGTAGTTTTTTGAGTAGCGTTTCTCTTCATTCTGGACTTTTCTGTCATTGAAGACCCCTTCAAATGGTGCTGCTTATCCTCTATTCTCCCAACCTAAACTCACGTTGGATATCACATGGCTTGGTACAGTGGTCTCCTGGCACCTCCCACTGCTCCTGCTCCTTCGGAGACACCTGAAGTCCTTCAAGGGGAGTGGCCAGACTGTGATGGGTTGGGGGGATTGGCCACATTTTCTTCCTAGGCATACTCTGCCAAGGTACCTATAAACCCTGCCAGCACAGATTATTCCAGTGGGCCTTCCACTTTCAGATCTCTGTAGCCAAGAAATTGACATGATTTTTTATGTTTGCACAGGTTAAAAACTCACACCATGCTTTACTCCAACCTGACCAGAGTGGTTTGGCAGGTTCTACAGTTTAAAGCATCTATCTAGGGAATGAAATGCTGTTAGTCTCTCCTTGCTGGTGTCACCAATTGTACCAATGTCTCTCTTGGCATGCCCTCATCTTTGGCTTTGGGAGGAAGGGGAAGTACTTTTATCTTTGCTTCTCATCACAAATTTTGTACATCCCATAATGCCGATAATGAGAATTCCCAGTTGCCCTCCCAGTTCATTCTTTTTGTTGTTGTTGTTGTTGTTTTTGAGGTAGGGTCTCACTCTGTCACCCAGGCTGGAGTGCAGTGGCATGGTCATAGCTCAATGCAGCCTCAACCTCCTGGGCTCAAGTGATCCTCCTGCCTCAGCCTCCTGGATAGCTGTGACTACAGGTGCCCACCACCATACTTGGCTGATTTTTAAATTTTTTGTAGAGACGAGGCCTTACTATGATGCCCAGGCTGGTTTCAAACTCCTGGGCTCAAGCAACCCTCTGCCCACCTCAGCTTCCCAAAGTGCTGGGATTATAGGCATGAGCCACCACACCCGGCCCCAGTTCATCCTTCTTTTTTTTTTGAGATGGAGTCTCGCTCTGTCGCCCAGCCTGGAGTGCAGTGGTGTGATCTCAGCTCACTGCAAGCTCCGCCTCCCGGGTTCACGCCATTCTCCTGCCTCAGCCTCCCGAGCAGCTGGGACTACAGGTGCCTGCCACCACACCCGGCTAATTTTTTGTATTTTTAGTAAAGATGGGGTTTCACCGTGTTAGCCAGGATGGTCTCGATATCCTGACCTCGTGATCTGCCCGTCTCGGCCTCCCAAAGTGCTGGGATTACAGGCGTGAGCCACTGCGCCCGGCCTTATTCTTTATATATACTGTGGTGGGACAAGGGGTGGGAGTTGGTGGATATACGATTGACTACGCCATCTTCTCATGAGATTTGGAAGAGGTTCTGGCTCTAATTGTTGCAGCTTTCTTTAGATTATAAGTAGTATTGTGCCTTCAATAAGACTTGACCACAATTCTGGGGCAACAGGGTAAGTTGCACTCATATCTTTTACACTGGGTTTTCATGCCACCCCCTGGACTCCTCCCAGATGTGCAGATGGAATGGGCAGATAAGGCCGGGTGCCACGGCTCATGCCTATAATCCCAGCACTTTGGGAGGCCGAGGTTGGGGGGGATCACCTGAGGTCAGGAGTCCGAGACCAGCCTGGCCAACATGGTGAAACCTCATCTCTACTAAAAATACAAAAACTAGCTGGGCATGGTGGTGTGTGCCTGTAGTCCCAGCTACTTGGGAGGCTGATGCAGGAGAATGACTTGAATCCGGGAGGTAGAAGTTGCAGTGAGCCAAAATTACACCCTTGCACTCCAGCCTGGGTAACAGAATGAAACTCGGCCTAAAAAAAAAAAAAAAAAAAGAATTGGCAGATTCTGCAAGTTCCTTATGAAGGGTGATTTGTGTGTGTGTGTGTGTGTGTGTGTGTGTGTGTGTGTGTGTGGTTTTCTTTTTGATTATCTTGTCTTATGATCACACATAATTTTAAAATTTGTGTGTATCTCCTCTACTTTAATCCTTTTAAGTTGGCAAAAGCATCATTCCCAATCACAAATACATAGCAGTTCTACAGTTTTATGTTTCTGAATGGCTGTTTAAAGACTATCCTAAATTATAACTTAGTTTGACAAGCATTCAAGAGTGAAGTTTAACTTGCTACTATTTTAAAAGCATGTGACCTTATAGATCATTTATAAAATGTGAGAAATGCTAAATAATCTTTGATATTACACATAAAACACACTAAAATGTCTTTCAATAAGTAAAAGGAACCATTTTAAATACAGGGAATTCTAATTAGATTGGCATAGTTAAGGCCAAAAATATAAAGTAGACATTACTACCTTATTTATCTTCAACCCTTGCCTTTATGGACACAAAACACAGGTGAATCTTGCTTGGTTCTGAGACAGTGAAGGAATTTCTCCAGTATTCAAATATATTCACATAACCAGTTATATAAATCTAAATATAAAACCAATCTCCAGTAAGTTTGAAGATGGTACTCACCATCTTTGTGAAAAGTTTAACATTACTAACAAAGTCTAATCATATCTTTAGAAGGGGTAAACAGTGATAGCATTTACTGAATTGGAATTACTATTAAAATTCAAAAACTGAACATATTCATTTAACCACAAGCCAGTCTTAGTTTTAAATCAGGACTGTCCGACAAAATATTCTGTCAGTCATTCATGATCTGAATTCTGGTGTATAAGCTCTGTTAAAGTATGGTACACATGAAAAATTCATGAGACATTTGTTTTGTAATAAATAAGGCAGTGGCCAATTATTACTCATTAGTAGCTTTTTTGAGATAAGCTGTCAAGTCGGCCTTTTCTGCCTTCTTTTTAATGCCGGCAAAGATCATTTTTGTTCCAGGGATGTACTTCTTGGGATTTTCCAAATACTCCATCAGCGTATCCTCTCCCCAGATGATGCCTTTGTTCTTATTGGCATCTGTGTAAGAGAATCCAACAGCCTGACCTGTCTTCTGACTGAAGAGACCATGGAGATTAGGCCCAGTCTTGTGCTTGCCTCCCTTTTCCACGGTGTGACACTGGGCACACTTCTGAACAAAAATCTTCTTGCCTTTCTCAACATCACCCATATTTAATTCTCTTTTTCATCACTGGTGCAACGTAGGTTACCACTCTGAAGCCGGACATCCCACTCTCTCCATAAAGGCAATTTTTTTTTTTTTTTGAGACGGAGTTTCACACTGTCGCTCAGGCTGGAGGGCAAAAATGGCGCAATCTCTGCTCACTGCAACCTCTGCCTCCCAGGTTCAAGCGATTCTCCTGCCTCAGCCTCCCGAGCAGCTGGGATTACAGGCGCCCACCACCATTCCAGCAAATTTTTTGTATTTTTAGTAGCGACGGGGTGTCACTATGTTGGCCAGGCTGGTCTTGAACTCCTGACCTCCTGATCCACCTGCCTCAGCCTCCCAAAGTGCTGGGATTACAGGCGTGAGCCACCATGTCTGGCCAGAAGGGTGATTTTTATTTTTAATTTTATTTTATTTTTTCATCTCATACTGGTATCTTTTAATTAAAAAAAAGTTAAAAATCAAAGAGAACGTCTGGCCAGGGCTAGGTTAAGACAGACAGGAACACTTCAGAATCCAAGGCAGGGAAAGGCTGTTGGCCTCTCTTAAGAGGACTGCAGGGGTGGGAAGCGGGAGGGACAAATCATGCACAAAAGTACTTATAATAAAATTATATACGCAACCCCCACCCCTCAATAAAAAGAGAAGAAAAAGCCCCATCACTTAACAGAAGGGTGATTTTTAATAAAATATGTTGTTGTTACAGAATGATCAGATTTTCAAAACAAAACATAGGGATTGGCAGAACAGACGCATCAGGTTATTAAAAGGAGACTATTTCTGTTTCAATTACAGCTGTGCTATAAATTTAGGCCAAAATAAAACAATAGATAGCAGGAGCCCTATGTTCCAAAGAGGGATCTGATAACCAGGCATTGCAGAGCAAGTAGCTAGACAATTTTTGAAATATTTAGTTCAGTATTCACCTTGAGGGGATAAAAAGGGTTGAGAGTAAAGAGGCAATAGGTTTTCTTGGGGAAAGTTGCTGGAATGTTGGTATTTTCCCTCTGTACTCTGTAGGAGAAAGGTGTACAGAGGGAAAATACCAAAGGTGACTACTTTCCCTTCAAGCTTGATATATGTTCCCTGCAGTTTATGGGACATAGTGGTCTGCTTTTTTGTCATTTTGTCTTGTTTATATTCCACTTTAAGAGTTTTTTCCCCTACTATTATTGCATTTATTTTTTGAGTATGTGAAATAGTAACATAGTTACCAGAACTATACAAAAATTACACTCAAAGAAGTATCACCCCTCCCCGACCATTCTTTCCATTCCATTTCACCCACATCTCATCCTTGCCACCCATTCCTACCTACCTCCTATAGGTGATGAATCTCATTCATTTCCGTCGGCCAGGCTGGAATGCAGTGGCACGATCTTGGTTTACTGCAACCTCTGTCTCCTGGGCTCAAGCAATTCTCCTGCCTTAGCCTCCCAAGTAGCTGAGATTACAGGCGTGTGCCACCATGCCCAGCAATTTTTTTTTTTTTTTGAGGCAGTCTCTCTCTGTTGCCCAGGCTTGAGTGCAGTGGCCCAATCTCAGCTCACTGCAAGCTCCGCCTCCCGGGTTCATGCCATTCTCCTGCTTCAGCCTCCCGAGTAGCTGGGACTACAGGCACCCACCACCACGCCTGGCTAATGTTTTTTAAAAATATTTTTAGTAGAGACGGGGTTTCACTGTGTTATCCAGGATGGTCTCAATATCCTGACCTTGTGATCTGCCCGCCTCTGCCCCCCAAAGTGCTGGGATTACAGGCGTGAGCCACGGCGCCCAGCCAAATTTTTGTATTTTTAGTAGAGACGGAGTTTCACCATGTTGGCCAGGCTAATCTTGAACTCCTGATCTCAGGTAATCCGCCTGCCTCGGCCTCCCAAAGTCCTGGGATTACAGGAGTGAGCCACTGTGCTCAGCCTCTAGCATTATTTATTAAAAAGACTATTATTTCCCCATTGAATTTATTTTTTTTTTTTTAGATGGAATCTCACTCTGTCGCCCAGGCTGGAGTGCTGGAGTGCAGTAGCACAATCTTGGCTCACTGCAAGCTCCACCTCCCAGGTTCACGCCATTCTCCTGCCTCAGCCTCCCAAGTAGCTGGGACTACAGGTGCCCGCCACCATGCCCAGCTAATTTTTTTTTTGTATTTTAAGTAGACACACGGTTTCACTGTGTTAGCCAGGATGGTCTTGATCTCCTGACCTCATGATCTGCCCGCCTCGGCCTCCCAAAGTGCTGGGGATTACAGGCATGAGCCACTGCTCCCAGCCCCATTGAATGTTCTTGACACCCTGGTTGAAAATTGCTTGGTCACAGATACATTTCTAGACTCTCAATTCTATTCTGTTTATCTGTATATCTAACCTTACACCAATATCATACTGTCTTGATTACTGTAGCTTTGTAGTGTTTTGAAATCATAACATGTGAGCACCCCACCTTTCTTCATTTTCAAGAGTGTTTGGTTATTCAGAGTCCCTGAGTTTCCACATGAATTTCAGAATCGGCTTGTCAGTTTTTATAAACAAATCAGATGGGATTCTGATACAGATTGTGTGTCTTCTATCTATAGAGCAATTTAGAGAGTACTGGCATCTTAACAATGTTAAGTCTTCTGATCCGTGAACATGGTGTATCTTTCCATTTGCTTAAGTCTTTTCAATTTCTTTCAACAATGTTTTGTAGCTTCCAAAGAATACATTTTGCATTGCTTTTCTTAAATGTATTCCTATTTTATTCTTTTGTTATCTTAAGTGGGATTGTTTTCATTCTTTCTGTTTGTGTTTTTCTGAGACAGGGTCTCACTCTGTCACCCAGGCTGGAGTGCAGTGGCATGATCGTGGCTCACTGCAGCCTCAACCTCCTGGGCTCAAGGGATCCTCCTGCCTCAGCCTCCCAAGGAACTGGGACTACAGGTGCATGCCACCATGTGCAGCTAATTTATTTTTATGTAGAGACAAGATCTCACCATTTTGCCCAAGCTGGTCTCGAACTCCTGGACTTAAGTGATCCTCCCACTTTGGATTACAGGCGTGAGCCACCATGCCCAGTCTCGAATTGTTTTTTTAACAGTTATATATTTTATGTAAATGGTCTGTTCATGTATTTTGTCTCTTTTTCTATTGAATGTGTGGTCTCCTTCTCCCCTCGATTTTTAAATATTGTTTATACACTAGGGATATTACCCCTTCATATATAATATATATTGCAAATATTTTCTCACTATTCGTCAGGGTTTTTTTTTGGTTTGTTTTTTGAGAAAGTCTTGCTCTGTGGCCCAGGCTGGAATGCAGTGGAGCAATCTCAGCTGACTGTAACCTCCACCTCCCGGGTTCAAGTGATTCTCCAGCCTGTTTCCCAAATAGCTGGGATTACAGGTGCCTACCATTGTGTCGAGAATTGGTTCCTTCCAGTGAGTTCTTGGTCTCACTGACTTCAAGACTGAAGCTGCAGACCCTCACGGTGAGTGTTACAGTTCTTAAAGATGGTGTGTCCAACGTTTGTTCCTTCCAGTGTTCAGATGCGTCTGGACTTTCTTCCTTCCAGTGGGTTTGTGGTCTTGCTTGACTTTAGGAGTGAAGCCGCAGACCTTCGCAGTGAGTGTTACAGCTCTTAAAGGTGGCAGTCCGGAGTTGTTCGTTCCTCTCGGTGGGTTCGTGGTCTCACTGACTTCAGGAGTGAAGCTACAGACCTTCACGGTGAGTATTACAACTCATAAAGGTAGTGCAGACCCAAAGACTGAGCAGCAGGAAGATTTATTGAGAAGAGCAAAAGAATACAGCCTCCACACGGTGGAAAGGGACCCGAACGGGTTGCTGCTGCTGGCTCAGGCGGCCAGCTTTTATTCCCTTATTTGGCCCTGCCCGTGTCCTGCTGATTGGTCCATTTTACAGAGCACTGATTGGTCCATTTTACAGAGTGCTGATTGGTCCGTTTTTACAGAGTGCTGATTGGTGCGTTTACAGATCTTTAGCTAGACAGAGAGCGCTGATTGGTGTGTTTACAATCCTTTAGCTAGACAGAAAAGTTCTCCAAGTCCCCACTCCACCCAGGAAGTCCAGATAGCTTCATGTCTCACTATCACACCTGGCTGGTGTTTTGTATTTTTAGTAGAGACAGGTTTCATCATGTAGGTCAGGCTGGTCTCAACTCCTGACCTCAAGTAATCTGCCCACCTTGGCCTCCCAAAGTGTTGGGATTACAGGCATGAGCCACTGCATCAGGCCATGTTTTGTTTTTGTTTGTGGTGCATATTTTTGTCATGCAAAAAATTTTTATTTAACATAATGAAATTTATTTTTGTCTTTTATTACCTCTGAATTTTGAGTCATTATTAGAAAAATTTTCTCCACATTCAGTCTATAGAATGCACCCATGTTCTTTTTTTACTATTTGTATGGTTTCATTCTTTTCCATTTAGATCCCTGATCTATTTGGAATTTTTAAATTTTTAAATTTTTAAAAATACAGATAGAGTCTCACTGTGTTACCCAGGCTGGAGTGTAGTGGTGCAATTATGCCTCACTGCAGCCTTGAACTCCTGGGCACAAGTGATCCTCTTGCTTCAGCTTCCCAAGTAGCTAGGACTATAGGCATAATATGCCTGGCTAAAATTTTTAAAAAAAATTTGTAGAGATGGGGGTCTTGCTATGTTACCCAGGCTGAAGTTCTGGCCTCAAGTGATCCTCTCACCTAGCCCTCCCAAGGCACTGGGATTACAGGCGTGAGCCACCATGCTTGGACTTTTTGAGTTTATTATTGTTTGTTTGTTTATTTATTTATTTATTTATTTATTTATTTATTTGAGACGGAGTCTTGCTCTGTCGCCCAGGCTGGAGTGCAGTGGCGTGATCTCAGCTCACTGCAAGCTCCCCCTCCCGGGTTCATGCCATTCTCCTGCCTCAGCCCCCCAAGTAGCTGGGACAACAGGCGCCTGCCACCACGCCCAGCTAATATATATATATATATATTTTTTTTTTTGTATTTTTAGTAGAGACAGGGTTTCACTGTGTTACCCAGGATGGTCTCGGTCTCCTGACCTCGTGATCCGCCCGCCTGGGCTTCCCAGAGTGTTGGGATTGCAGGCGTGAGCCACCGTGCCCGGGCCCCCCGCCCTGCCTTTCTTTCTTTCTTTTTTTTTTTTTTTTGAGTCAGAATCTTGCTCTGTGGCCAGGCTGAAGTGCAGTGGCACGATCTCAGCTCACTGCAACCTCTGCCTCCTGGGTTCGAGCAATTCTTCTGCCTCAGTTTCCTGAGTAGCTGGGACTACAGGCGGGCACCACCACGCCCAGCTAATTTTTGTATTTTTAGTAGAGACAGGGTTTTGCCATGTTGGCCAGGATGGTCTCCATCTCTTGACCTTGTGATCCGCCCGCCTTGACCTCCCAACGTGCTGGGATTACAAGCTTGAGCCACCACGCCCGGCCAGTAAGGGGGATTTTTTAAATCTTGAGGGCCAGATATGGACTCCACAGATAGGGTCCAGTCTGAGGTCATATAAAAGAAGATTCCACCCAAGAGGGCTTCCTCTTAGGTGGAATTCAACTTAGGATGAAGTTACTTTAACAGAATGTGGCTAGAGGTAAATATATTAGACTCAGCATTGTAAAGTCCAATGGGAAGAAGGAGATTGACTCTGAGGCATCTGCAGATAAATAACCTTAATGGGGGAATTTCTGAGAAACCTATAAAAAGCACATCATGAGAGAAAGTGCCCTGAACATCATCCTAGAAAGACAAAAAAAAAAACCCCACATCTATAGTGCTAGCTTCTTGGGAGGATTGCTTGAGCCCAGGAGTTTGAGGCTAGCCTGGGCAACAAAGCAAGACCATGTCTCTTAAATAGAAAAAAGCCAATAGATTTGTTTTGAAAAGTGGTTTAATGGGTGTTTTGGTTACACACAAGCAAAGCTAAAATCTTGTTTGGTAAAGAGTTAATTGGGATGATGCAGAGCTAAACTGCTCTGTGAAACAATATCATGAGTTGTGGTCATTATGGTACAGAGTTGTACCTTGCCAGAGAATTGCAAGGAAGTTGTCCTAAGACCTAGGATGAGAGAAAAGTGGTCCAGAGTTCCTCCCAATGGCTAAAAAGTATGGAAATATTGGTAAATATCTGTACCACCCTTTGGGTGTATATATATATTATTTATAGATATATCACATTGTTTATGTATCTTGTCCTTTCTATAGTGCTCTTTCAGAACAAGGTCATATGCATTTTTGCATTCAAAATTGCAGTGATTTCTCACTCCCTGTATCTATTAATATCCTTTTGGAGGCTGGCCTGTGGTGGCTCATGCCTGTAATCCCAGCACTTGGGAGGCTGAGGCAGGTGGATCGCTTGAGCTTGGAGTTTGAGACCAGCCTAGGCAACATGGAGAAACCCCATTTCTACAAACCATACAAAAGTTAGCCGGTGTGGTGGCTTATGCCTAAAGACCCAGCTACTTGGGAGGCTGATGCTGGAGAATCACTTGAGCCTGGGAAGTAGAGATTGCAGTGAGCCAATATTGTGCCACTGCACTCCAGCCTGGGCGACAGTGAGACCCCTTTTGGGCCTATTTCCAAAATATTTCTCACATAAATTTTCTTCTCTGTTTCTTTCCAGCCACCTCTGTACTCCAGGCCATCAAATGCCAGCCTCCTGTAAATACACTCTGATTTCCTGAAAACACTCTTATTCCCCTCCAAACTACAAAGTGATCTTTAATAAATGCAAATTGATCAGTCATCTGATCAAAATCTGTTTTCAGCTTCCCACTGTCTTAATGGGGCTCCAAGGCTCTTGACAATTTATTCTAACCTTATTTCTTACCTCTCTGTCCCTTGTACTTTCTAACCTGGCAATAGTGGGCTTCTCACAGTTCCATGAATTTTGCCTGCCCCTCTCTTCCCCTTTGCTTTCAAGCCTTTTCCTTTAACATTCTCTTTGTGTTATTCTCTTCCCTCTATATTCAACTTCTAGGCTTTGCTTAAATATAAATTTTCTAGGGAGATCTTTCAGTAATATTCACTATAATTTATTATATTACTTTAGTCTGTACTGGCTGATAAAATTGTAATCCTTTATGAGAGTAGGGATCATATAGAATTTGTTTATCCTAAAAGTCTGGGATATATTAGATGTTCAATAAATATTTGTTCAGTGAATGAATGTAGCCCTATATGTTTCTAAAGTGGGTATGTAAAACTTTGTTGAATGAATGAATGACTTTGAGATATGGTGTTGGCACTGAATTAAGACAGGAGAAGACTACTGGTGATCTAAAAGGAAATAGTGTTATAGTAGTAAAGAAGGAATCCAGGTTTTAGTGGATAAAGCAGCAAAGGACAGTGAGGAAATAAAGACACTAAGATTTTAAATCATTTATGAGAAGTTCAACTAGGAAAGAAAGAAGAGAAGTAGAATAGCAGCTGAAAGCCTATTTGCAGAATTAAGTGAGGGATTCCTTTTCACAGGCAGAACAGAAAGGTATCAGGTAGGATGCTTTTGGTTGCGAGTGACAGAAAAGCCCACTCACATGAGACTTAAAAATAAAATGGAATTTATTGACTCATATGGCCAAAAAGTCCAGAGTGAGACTACCTTTAGCTATGGCTGAATCCAGTGATTCAAAGTATCAGGGTTCTGCCTTTATGTGTCTATGGCTTTTCTTAACCCTGCCTTTCTTCTATGTTGATTTAATCCCCAGTTTGGCTTCCCTTACGGTATCAAGAATGGCTCCAGCAAATTCAAACCTCACATATTCCCCCTACCTATCATCTCTCCTGCTCCTTTCCAGAGGAAAAAAGAACACATTCTTGTTTGCAAGCAACAGGAACGGATTCTCCGTTAAACAGAAAATATATTTATTGTAAAGAGGTCAGATAGCTCTCAGAAAGAGAACTAGTCTTATAAACAGACAGAAATCAAGAGAAGCCAGCCATCAGGAACCATAGCCAGGGAGAGCACAGGAAAAGTCTGGTTAGGGCAATGCTGGCATTAGACATTGCCACCACCAGACACTGCTGTTGCCGAGCACTGCTGCTACTGTCATTGGATACTGCTGCCTCTGGCATGGCTGAATTATAAATTGTGTCATCTTTGTGTCACTCAATAGTCTAGTCTCTGGCTAGAGCATCTGACTGGTCAAGGCTGAGTCATGCACTAACACCTTGGCTGCCAGAGGGTGGAAGAGGGAATATTTGATTTCTCTAGGCCTCCGCAGTGGGAATTGTTTCTGACAGATTCATGTGAAGAAAGACTTCTTCATGGCCGGGTGCAGTGGCTCACGCCTGTAATCATCCCAACACTTTGGGAGGTCGAGGCAGGTGGATCACTTGAGGTCAGGAGTTCAAGACCAGCCTAGTCAACATAGTGAAAGCCCATCTCTACTGAAAATACAAAAATTAGCTGGGCGTAGTGGTGCGCACCTATAATTCCAGATAATTGGGATGCTGAGGTAGGAAGATCACTTGAACCTGAGAGGTGGAGGTTGCAGTGAGCTGAGATCGCGTCTCTGCACTGCAGCCTGGGCAACAGAAAGAGACTTCGTCACACAAAATTAAAAAAAGAAAAAAAAAGAAAAAAAAGATTTCCCCAAACAGGAAGGGTAGTTGGATGTTGGGCAGACAAAAAATGACAAACATCCATTCTTTGGTCTTGGCCCCAATCTAGCTATAGTCTATTTTTTAAAAATTCACCTAAAATTTAAAGACATGGAAAGGCTGAAAATAAAAGGGATAGAAAAAGGCATATTTGGTAAAGACTAGCCAAAATAAAATTTTATATCTATAAAATTTTATAGCTATATTAATATCAGACAAAATAGAACTAAATACAAAAAGCATCATATATATATATATGTATATATATATGTTTTTTTGAGGGGGACGGAGTCTCACTGTGTCACCCAGGCTGGGGTGCAGTGGTGCGATCTCGGCTCACTACAACCTCCTCCTGGTTCAAGCAATTCTCCTGTGTCAGCCTCCTGAGTAGCTGAGACTACAGGCACGCGCCACCACATCCGGCTAATTTTTTATTTTTAGTAGAGGTGGGGTTTCACCATGTTGGCCAGGCTGGTCTCAAACTCCTGACCTCAGGTGATCCACCCGCCTCAGTCTCCCAAAATGCTGGGATTACAGGCATGAACCACTGTGCCTGGCCACAAAAAGCATTATTAAGGATAGAGAGGATTAATAAATAATGATCAAGGGTTCAATTCAGTAGGAAGATATAACAATTCTAAATTATATGTACCTACATGGGTACACTGAAAGTCCAGACTTTACCACATTGATATATGCATGTGAGAAATCTGCACTTGTACCCGCTAAATAAAATAAATAAATAAATACATTATATGCATCTAATAAAACAGTCTTAAATAAGAAAGCAATAGAACTCTAGAGAGAAATAGATATAAACCACCATTATGGTAGATAGAACACACATTCTTCTCAAGTATTAATAGGTTGACTAGGCAAAAATCAGTGAAGATATAGAATATTTGAATAATACAATTAACAAGCTTGATTTATTGAACATCTATAAAATCTTGTGCCCTATAATTAGCAAATTCATATTTTTCCATTGTAGTCTTTAATCCCATTTGAGTTGGGCTTTTCGGTCATGTGTAACTAAGAATCCTACTTCTGTTTTAAATAACTAGAAAGTTTCTATTCCCTGCAAATAAATCCTGATTGACACAAATACCAAGCTGAGTTTTTCCCAGAAATGCAAGGGTAGTTTACATGAGAAAACCTGTAAGTGACATTTAATATATAGATTAAATGAAAAAATTACCTCAATGATTACAGAAAAAGCATTTGATAAAACTTAATACTAGCCAAGACAGGAGGATTGCCTGAGTCCAGGAGTTCGAGACCAGCCTGAGCAACATAGTGAGACGCCCCCATCTCTGGTTAAAAAAAAAGAAAAAAAAGATACTAATATAAAACACCTATGTTAATATTCTTAGCAAAATAGGGATAGAAAGGAGCTCCTTTAACCCATTTATGCCTGAGGGTGCAATTTTTTGAATTTTTGCAATCAGACCTTGGTGATGACCTTGAGCAGTAGGACATAAATAACCCCCACATGCTTAGGGTTCCAATAATGGAACACTAGGCATAAGTGGGGGTATCCATAAAAAATGTATAGGCTGGGTATGGTGGCTCATACCTGTAATCCCAGCATTTTGGGAGGCTGAGGCAGCAGGATTGCTTGAGGCTAGGAGTTTGAGACCAGCCGGGGCAACATAGTGAGACCCGTCTCTCTAAAAAAATTTAAAAATTAGCCAGGCAAGATGGTGCATGTCTGTACTTCCAGCTACTCAGGAGGCTGAAGTGGGATGATCACTTGAAGCCCGGAGATCAAGGCCATAGTGAACCATGATAGCATCACTGTCTTCCAGCCTGGGTGACAGAGTGACAGCCTGTCCAAACAACAACAAAAAAAACTATAGCAAACCTACTACTTAATGGGCAACAGTTGAAAGATTTTCCTTTTAAAATCAGGAACCAGACAAAAATGTTCACTATATTAACTTTTATGTAACATAATTCTGGAAGTCCTAGCCAGTGCAGTAAGATAAGATGAAAAAAAATGGATTGAAAAAGAAGAAAACAAAAGTTTACTATTCACAGACGTCATTGCCCGCAGATGAGTCTAAAGAAAAATGTGAGATAATTAGAGCTTAGCAAGGTGGCTGGATAAGATACATAAGTCAATTATATTTCTAAATACCAGCAACACACAAGAAAATGTAATTTTTAAAAAAGCATCATTTACAATGGCATTAAAAATACGTAAGATATTTAAAAATAAGTTTAACAAAAGTTGACTAGGACCAGTTTGGAAACAATTACCAAACTTTACTGATAGTCGTTAAAGAACACTTAAGTAAATGAAGGGATATACTATGTTTGTGGATTCAGCATAGTAGTTAGTTCTTCCCAGATTGATCTATGGATACAATGCAACTCCACCAAAATCCCATCAGGATTTTTTGAGAAAACTGACAAATCAATTTTCTTAAACGTATGAAGGAACTCAAAGGCTCAAGGATAGAGAAGATAGAAGCCAGGCATGGTGGCTCATGCCCGTAGTCCTAGCACTTTGGGAGGTTGAGGCTGACAGATCTCCTGAGGTCAGGAGTTCAAGACCAGCCTGAGCAACATGGTAAAACCCCATCTCTACAAAAACTACAAAAATTAGCTGGGCCTGGTGGTGGGCACCTGTAGTCCCAGCTACTTGGGAGGCTGCGGTGGGAGGATCTCTTAAGCCAGGGAGGTTCAGGCTGCAGTGAGCCGAGTTCATTTCATACCACTGCAATCCAGGCTGGATGATAAAGCGAGGCCCTGTCTCAATAAAAAAAAAAAAAAAAAAAAGAAGAAGAAGAATAAGACATTCTGAAGAAAAAGAATAGGGTAGAGAGATTTTCCTTATCAGCAATCAAGGTTTATTATAAAGCTATAGGGTTTATGACAACGGGGTAGGTATGTGGGCATAGATACCCCTAGAGAGCCCAGAGGCAAATCACACATTTACAGAAACTTGAATTATAACACAGTGGGTATTGTTGGTCACAGGAAAAGCATGAACTATTCAATAAGATACTGGAAAATAGGATATTTATTTTAAAAATTGCATTTAGTTATATGTAAAAGGAAAACTTGAAAACCTTTAGAAGAAAATATGACATATCTTTATGACTTCAGGCACATATTTTCTCATTATTCATCATTACATTCCTCAAAAAGGACATCTTGTTTTACCCTGGCACTTGCAGATCTCACTAGACTTATTCAGCCTGAATATTTTATTAATTTTCCACCTTCTCTCAATTAGTGCATTTCAAGAGACTTCCATCTTTCTTTGATTTCCTTTCATTTATTCTCCTTATCACAAATTTCTAGTATAATTTTATACTAAGTAAACTGTCTGAATCTTATAAAGTTAAAGAGAAAAATAAAAAAATCTGTACTTCCTGAAAGCAAATAATTCCAAAGCAATTTGCTGGGTAAAGTGGGAAAGAAGCCCAAAGGGAAGAATCAAGGGAGATTTTACTGAAGAGGCCAACACATGAATTGAATTGAGGGCTAAGAATGAGTTTATCTGGCAGCTAAAAGTGGGAAAGGGGAGAAGGAAAGAAGATATTCCAGGTAAAGATATGAAGGTTTAAGGGAGGACAATATAGTATGTTTGAGAAACAGCAATTGTTCAGTAAGACTTTGAGATATATTTTACTGAATAGATAGGATTGGTAGCAAAGGCAGCTCACAAGGGACCTTGTGTTGCAGATTAAACACTCAGGACTCAGCTTTGTAATCAGTGGGGAGCCATTGGAAAGCTTGTAAACATGAAAATTACATCATTAGATGTTTGTGTTAGAAATATCAGATAAGGCCGGGTGCAGTGGCTCACGCCTGTAATCCCAGCACTTTGGGAGGCCGAGGCAGGCAGATCACGAGGTCAGGAGATGGAGACCATCCTGGCTAACACAGTGAAACCCTGTCTCTACTAAAAATATGAAAAATTAGCCAGGCATGGTGGCGGGTGCCTGTAGTCCTAGCTACTCGGGAGGCTGAGGCAGGAGAATGGTGTGAACCCAAGAGGCGGAGGTTGTAGTGAGCTGAGATCTGCCACTGCACTCCAGCCTGGGCGACAGAGCGAGACTCCGTCTCACAAAAAAAGAAAAAAAAAAAGAAAGAAAAGAAATATCAGATAGGCAGGAATGTGTAGCGTACATGAGGCAAGAATTAACCTGATATTCTTCTATCAATATGAGTTTCTACAGGGCAAACGTCCATTTCCTGTAGGAAATGTTTGTCAATGTGGAAACTCCAATGTCAGAAGGAACATGCTGCTTCTCTTGGGTGTAGGGTATGAACAGTACAACCTTCATCGATTAATAAACTCAGCTGGGAGTGGTATTAGTTATAGAAGTCTTTGTAGAGGTGATGGCTGAGCTCTATTTGGAACAAGAAAAGAGCACTCCAAATAAAGGAATAGTGATGGAGACAGGAAGCATTGAAGCTTTCTGGAAAATGATGCTTAATTTAATATTGCAGAACTCACAATGCATGAAAGTGAAGGGTATAAAATTTCACATTGGGCCAGGCGCGGTGGCTCTCGTCTGTAATCCCAGCACTTTGGGGTGCCGAGGCGGGTGGATCACCTGAGGTTGGGAGTTCAAGACCAGTCTAACCAACATGGAGAAACCCCGTCTCTACTAAAAATACAAAATTAGCCAGGCGTGGTGGCACATGCCTGTAATGTCAGCCACTTGGGAGGCTGAGGCAGGATAATCGCTTGAACCCGGGAGGCAGAGGTTGCAGTGAGACAAGAACGTACCGTTGCACTCCAGCCTGTGCAACAAGAGCAAAATTCCATCTCAATAAATAAATAAATAAATAAATAAAATCTCACATTGGAAGGAAACTTTAAAGGTCATCTTGTACCACCTTCTAATCATTCCTGTAAAGCCCCTGCTTGAGCTCCTTGTGTGACAGGGGCTGGGCACTGACTGTCTCCTGGCTGTCTATCTATTTCAGAAGGTTCTGGAAGGCAGTAATTTTTTACCTTGAGCCAAATCTGTCTTCTTAGTACAGCTTCACTTTTTACTTAGGACTGTTTAAGGCAACACATATCTTTTCCATACACAAGAGTTTCAGTAATTTAAAAATAGCTATTAAGTACGTTTGATTGGTTTCTCAGAGGATGTGGTCTACCACTCTACCCTTTTTCTACTGAAGATTTTCTAGTGTGTCTATATTCCTTTTAAAATGTGGTGCCCAATACAGAATACAAGATGCATGCAAACTCAAGATTATTCATCTAGATACTATACTTCTGTTGCTTAAGACAGGACCATACTGAACCTTGAAAGTCAGGGCAAGGACTTTGAATTTTGTTCTTTCAGGTATCGGGAAGCAATGGAAGGTTTTGAGCAGATAAACATTTTGGGAGCAGGGGCCATATCTTACTGTGTATCCCATTGATTCTAACTAGAATGTAAGCTCTAGGTGTCTGTCCCATTCATAGCATGGATTCAGTGCCTGGGGAGGGCTGGCATATTTTATGTATTTAATACGTCTACATGAATGAATTAATATGAATCTCTATCGGTGTCTGGCACATAGTGCATACAACAGTTCATACTTGTTGAATTCAGGCAGGTAAATGATCAAAGCCATACTTCAGGAAGATAACTGGCAAGAGTGCGTAAAAAGTATTGGAGCTAACACACACTATAGGGTGAAAACAACAAGAGGAGTTTTAGCAGTCTCAACAAGGGGAAACAAGGGCTAGGATAACACAGTGAGTAACAGAAAGGAAAGAATGGATGTGAGATTGTGAAAGAGAATTTGTGACGACCTGGAAATTAAGTGGACATGTAGTGGGAAGAAGAAGGAAGTGATAAAGAAAACTCCTGGGCTTAAATTTGGAAAGCTGAAAGAAAAATGATGCCATTCATAGAATTATTTATTTTAGGAGTTGCTTTTTTTTTTTTTTTTGAGACAGAGTCTTGCTGTGTCGCCCAGGCTGGAGTGCAGTGGTGCGATCTCGGCTCACTGCAAGCTCTGTCTCCCGGGTTCACGCCATTCTCCTGCCTCAGCCTCCCGAGTAGCTGGGACTACAGGTGCCCGCTGCCACGCCCGGCTAAGTTTTTGTAGAGACGGGGTCTCATCCTGTTAGCCAGGATGGTCTCGATCTCCTGACCTCGTGATCCGCCCGCTTCGGCTTCCCAGAGTGCTGGGATTACAGGCGTGAGCCACTGCACCCAGAGGAGTGGCAGATATTTTAAGGTACTAGGATGAAATCAGTCTGAGGTAGGCTGAATTTAAATGCACTGATACAATATGCTCAGGAGGCTAAAATGTGGGACTGGAATTCAGAAGTAGAGTGAGATCGGCTAGGCACGGTGATTCATTCCTATAATCCCAGCCCTTTGAGAGGCTGAGGCGGGTGGATTGCTTGAGCCCAGGAATTCGAGACCAGTCTGGGCAACATAGCAAGACCCCATCTCTACAAAAAAACAAAAACAAAATCAAATTAGCCTGGCGTGGTGGCACGCACCTATAGTCCCTCCCAGCTACTCAGGAGGCTGATGTGAGAGGATCGATTGAGCCCAGGAGGTCAAGGATGCAGTAAGCCATGATCGCACCACTGCACTCCAGCCTGGGTGACAAAGCAAGCCCCTGTCTAAATAAATAAATAAATAAATAATAAAATACATTCTTATTAGAAAGGAAAATGCTGTTTTGTTTCTAAGTATGCCATGTATATTTTTTACTCATTTTCATATGCAGTGATCCAGATTTTGTATGGCCTAAAATTTATACAACATGGGGGTCTCTCTTTAAGGAAAGAATAAAAGATTTAAAATACAAAATTAGGGCCAGGTGCAGTGGCTCACCCCTGTAATCCCAACACTTTGGGAGGCCGAGGTCGCGGGGGATCACCTTCGGTCAGGAGTTCGAGACCAGCCTGGCCAACATGGTGAAACCCTGTCTCTACTAAAAAGTACAAAAAATTAGCCAGGCATGGTGGTGCACGCCTGTAGTCCCAGCTACTCGGGAGGCTGAGGCAGGAGAATTGCTTGAACCTGGGAGGCAGAGGTTGTATTGAGCCAAGATCGCGCCACTGCACTCCAGCCTAGGCGGCAGAGTGAGACTGTCTCAAAAAAAAAAAAAATAAATTAGGTAAAATGTTTTCAAAATGGGGGGAAAAGTCACAACAAATTTAATTCTTATGCAAAATAGCTTTTCTTGAGAAATACACTTTCAAAAATGGTAGAGCTAAAATCTGTTTTCCAAAGGGAATACCTGTCTTAGAATTTTTTTTAAGTGGCTTTTAAGGTTCTTGTTTTGTTTGAGATGAGTAGCAGCACTTCTTGGGATTATAGTAGGAGAAAGGAGGTGTGGTGTGAAGCTATTGGTTTATGTTAAATTTGGACCTACTAAAGTAAGAATCAGAATAATGGCATTTACAAATCCTTGGCAACATCAATTCCACTTTCAGTTCCAGAAAGATCCATTACCTTTTCCTTTCTCTGTGTTCCTTTTCCAGATCACTTCATTCTTCCCACCTGCAATGACCTGCCATTCTTGAAGAAGACCAAAATACTAAAAAGACCCAGTTTTTCTCTCCTGGCCATAAGTTTAGTGCAAAGAGAGAGATGATGGTGAAGAAACACAATAATGCAGCTTTTTTTTACTATAATCCTTAAAATCAAAGACACTCTCTGGCTAATAGGACTAATCAGAGGTCCCCCCAACTTTCCTCAAAAAGAGACTATGCTCAAGACATCCCTTCTCAGATGAAAGTTTAACTTTTCGTAAAAAGCTCTAACGAAAAAGGTCTTGGGCTGAGACAGACGGGTTGCTTGAGACCAGGAGTTTGAGTTCAGTCTGGGCAACATAGCAAGATCCTGCCTCTAAAAATAATAATAATAATAATAATAATAAAGCTCTTTACTTCCTTCAGTCATTTCCCCACGATTTCCCAAGTTCATAGCAAGGTGCTATTAAACTCAGAAGAATTCTTGGAATTTCTCCCAGTGAAAACTCCACCAGGAAGGCAATGTGGGTAGTTACCTACCTTCTGAGAGCGGATATCCAAGGCTACATTCACTTGTTGCCAGGGCAGTCTCCTCCTACTCAAGTACATCTCTTGGCAGCCTCTGTTTTTATCAACCTCTTCCCACAAAAGGAGAGTGGTTGGTAGCTCTCTCCCTTCCCCACTCCCACGCTGAACTCAGAAGCTTCATGAATAGTTCAATTGAAACAGGATCAAGTTTCAGACACTCCCATACTGAGAAAATGATCCCACTAGATTAAATTGGAGCCTAGATCAGTGGAGGAATATTTCCACAACTCTGCCAGGGCCAGGACAGCCACCATTAAAAGCTCAGGTAAAAATTTCTTTCTTTTCTTTTTTTTTTTTTGAGATGGTGTCTCGCTCTGTTGCCCAGGCTGGAGTGCAGTGGTGCAATCTTGGCTCACTGCAACCTCTGCCTCCCGGGTTCAAGAGATCTTCTGCCTCAGCCTCCAAGTAGCTGGGACTACAGGTGCATGCCACCATGCCCAGCTAATTTTTGTATTTTTAGTAGAGATGGGGTTTCACCATATTGGCCAGGCTGGTCTCAAACTCCTGACCTTGTGTTCCACCCCTCTCAGCCTCCCAAAGTGCTGGGATTACAGGCGTGAGCCACTACGCCCCGCCTCAGGTAAAAACTTCTAAGTAGGATCACATGAGTGGTAGAGGATGGATTGGTAGCCAACTTTTTGGTCTATGCAACAGGTCTCTGAATTACAGCATCTCCCAGGGACTTGCTAGAAATGCAAACTCTTGGACCCTTATCCTGGTCCTAATGAATAAGAAATTTTGGGGGTGTTGGCCTGTGTGTGTGTGTGTGTGTGTGTGTGTGTGTGTGTGTGTATTTAAGAGATGGGGTCTATGTTGCCCAGGCTGGAGTGCAGTGGCTATTCATAGGTGAATCACAGTGCACTACAGCCTCAAACTCCTGGGCTCAAGTGATCCTCCTGCCTCAGCCTCCCCAGTAGCCGGGACTACAGGCATGCACCACCACTTCCTGTGGCATTTGTGTTTTAACCAGCTTCTCTAGGTGATTGTGATGTATGCTTAAGTTTGGGAACTACTTGTCAACAGGATTAGTGATGCTTTAAAATGTTTTCCCCTCTTTCCTCAGAAGAATTTACTTGACACATTTGATTTAAAAAGTCAGGCCGGGCGCGGTGGCTCACGCTTGTAATCCCAGCACTTTGGGAGGCTGCGGCAGGCGGATCACGAGGTCAGGAAATCGAGACCATCCTGGCTAACACAGTGAGATCCGGTCTCTACTAAAAATACAAAAAATTAGCTGGGCGTGGTAGCGAGCACCTGTAGTCACAGCTACTCGGGAGGCTGAGGCAGGAGAATGGCGTGAACCTGGGAGGCGGAGCTTGCAGTGAGCCGAGATCGCGCCACTGCATTCCCGCCTGGGTGACAGAGCCAGACTCCATCTCACAAAAAAAAAAAAAAAAAAAAAAAAAAGTCATAACCGGGCCAGGCATGGTGGCTCACGCCAGTAAACCCAGCACTTTCGGAGGCTGAGGCAGGTGGATCACTTGAGGTCGGGAGTTAGAGACCAGCCTGGCCAACATTACAAAACCCCGTCTCTACTAAAAATACAAAAATTGGCCAGGTATGTTGGTGTGCGCCTGTGGTCCCAGCTACTTGGGAGGCAGAGGTTGCAGTGAGCCGAGATGGTGCCACTGCACTCCAGCCTGGGCGACGGAGCCAGACTCCATATCAAAAAAAAAAAAAAAAAATCTGCTTTATTCTTTTTAATGGCTGCTGAGTACTCAAGTAGTCCATTTTCTCTGTTGGTGGGCTTTTGTATTGTTTCAAATTTCTTATAGCAACATTGCAATAAATATCCGTGTTTGTGTGTGTATATATACATACACATATATACATACATACATATATATACACATACATATATATACATACATATATATATATATATATATATATTTTTTTTTTTTTTTTTTTTTTTTTTTTTTGAGATAGAGTCTCACTCTGTCACCCAGGCTGGAGTGACAGCCTTGTATATATATTTCTCTGGGCACTTGTGGAAATGTTTTTGTGGAATAAATTCCTCCAAATATTAAAAATATACATGCTAGGTTGTAGGATATGCACATTTGGAATTTTAATAGATATTACCAAATTACACACTAAACGGTTATAGTAATTTACACTCCAATCAAATAGGCATGAAAGTGCCTTTTCTTTTTTTTCATAGCTTCACCAATGTAAGTTACTCAGAGTCTCTGAAATATTTGTTGAGCTAATTGGTTAAAAACAATATCTCAGTTTTTAGGCTGGGAACGGTGGCTAACGCCTGTAATCCTAGCACTTTGGGAGGCCGAGGCGGGTGGATTACCTGAGGTCAGGAGTTCGAGACCAACCTGACCAACATGGTGAAACCCTGTCTCTACTAAAAATACAAAAAATTAGCCGGACATGGTGGTGTGCGCCTGTAATCCCAGCTACTTGGGTTGCTGAGGAAGGAGAATTGCTTGAACCCAGGAGGGTGAGGTTGCGGTGAGCTGAGATCGAGCCACTGCACTCCAGCCTGGGCAACAGAACAAGAAATTGAGACTCCATCTCAAGAAAAACAAAAACAAAAACAAAAACAAAAAAACCCCACAATATCTTTTTTGTTTTGTTTTGTTTTGTTTTTGATTTTTTGACACAGCGTCTTGCTCTGTCGCCCAGCCTGGAGTGCAGTGGTGTGATCTCGGCTCACTGCAACCTCCGCCTCTGGGGTTCAAGTGATTCTCCTGCCTCAGCTTCCTGAGTAACTGGGATTACAGGCGCACGCCACCATGCCCGGCTAATTTTTGTATTTTTAGTAGAGACGAGGTTTCACCATGTTGGTCAGGCTTTTCTCGAACTCCTGACCTCATGATCTGCCCGCCTCGGCCTCCCAAAGTGCTGGGATTACAGGTGTGAGCCACTGCGCCTGGCCCAATATCTCAGTTTTTTAAAGATTGCATTTCTCTAATTACTACAGTATTTGAATCTCTATTGATTTACATATTTTGCAGATACATACAAACCTATCTTCACCTTACCTATCCTTTTCCCTTTTGACTGAGCTATTAACCTTTTACTTATTGATTTGAAAATGTATATCTATCTACAAACATAAGTACACACAGATACATTTTTACACATTTTTTACTTATTAATAACTTTTTTGTGATACATGTGGTTCCCAGTGCCTATCCTCTGACTCCAACTCTCTCACTTTTGAATTTGCTATCAACATCAGCTTCCAGAATTAAACCTCTCTTCTCAGTCCAATAACTTCTGGCTTCATTTGCTTCCCAGACCAGTCTCATCCCCTTTCAGATATTTTTAAACTAGGGTCTTCTGCAATTCTAGAATCTTCCATCTTCAAGATACTGATCAGTTCATCATCTCTCCAATTGTGGGTAAACTGTTCACTTTCTTTCCTCAGGTTTCTGAGTATTGACAGAAATTACAATGCTCCATAGTTTCATGAAAATTTATGCTTTCTAACTTTGTCTAGCTCCCCAGAGCATTTGGTGATCTTTTTTTGTTTCCTTTTTCTACTCCTGTGGCAGATTATTCACAGTCGTTTTGTTCATACCTAGTTGACTTCCCAACCAATTGCTTACAGCTGTGCAGCTACACCCACCCTCATTTCTACCTCTTATTCCCAGCAGAAGTTTCACCTGTTACTTTTCTTTGAGACTCAAAGTCATCACACATGAGTTCCCTTTCCTCCACTTCAAAATGTCTACACATTTTTAGAAAAAGGGTATCTTGGTTTTCTGAGAACACTTTCACATGCTGCCCTAACCCTGTCTCCTTCTCTCCCCTAGAACCAGTCTTGTTTTCTCAGGCATATATATTTCTTGCATTTTTTTATTTTTTTGTTTTTTGAGACAGAGTCTTACTCTGTCACTCAGGCTGGAGTGCAGTGGTGCGATCTGGGCTCACTGCAACTTCCAGCTCCCAGGCTCAAGTGATTCTCATGCCTCAGCTTCCCGAGTAGGCGGGATTACAGGTGTGTAACACCACGCCTAGCTAGTTTTTGTATTTTTAGTAGAGATGAGGTTTTGCCATGTTGGCCAGGCTAGTTTCGAACTCCTGACCACAGGTGATTCACCCACCTTGGCCTCCCAAAGTGCTGGGATTATAGGCATGAGCCACCACACCTGGATGTTTCTTGCATTTTTAGTTTGCTCCTTTCCACAAGCTCAGTCTATAGAAATATTTTACTATTTCCACCCCTAGCCTAACCCCTACCGCAGCTACCATTTGATTATTTTTCTCTTCTTTGTCATGTTTCTTGAAAAAATAATCTGTGCTAACTAACTGTGTCTACTTAGTTTCTACTCACTTCTCACCCACTTGCAATCTGGTTTCCATTCCTTAGATGTGCTCGTAGGCTGGGCGTCGTGGCTCACGCCTGTAATCCCAGCACTTTGGGAGGCCGAGGTGGGTGGATCACCTGAGGTCAGGAGTTTGAGACCAGCCTCTGTGAAACCCCGTCTCTACTAAAAATACAATAATTAGTTGGGCGTGGTGGCGGGTGCCTGTAATCCCAGCTACTCGGGTGGCTGAGGCAGGAGAATCGCTTGAACCAGGGAGGCGGAGGTTGCAGTGAGCCAAGATCATGCCATTGCACTCCAGTCTGGGCAAAAAAAGCAAAACTCCATTTAAAAAAAAAAATTATTTGTTGTTTATCCAGCATTCAGATCAAACTGGCTTAGCTTTATTTTTATTTGCTAAATCTGGCAACCATACCCAGAGACACTTAATAAAACTTTGGAGGCTGGTCTGAGTGCCTTGGTGTTTACAACTAATTGATCCCAATCAGTTACAGATTTCTTTGTTCCTTCACTTGACTGGTCTTAAAAAACAAACAAAAACAAAAAACAATTTAAAAACTACCATTCTAAATAATTAAAAAAACCAGTTTACCATAAGAGTTAACAGAAAAAAACTGTAATTTTCTATTAATTTACAAATTAATATAAACATAATAGTAATAGTATTAGTAATGGTTAAATATTGATAAGCTGAAAATGTGTATAAAAACATGTAGATCAGGCTTCACAGTCAACAGATTTCTTAATTTTTTAAAATTTGCCAACTGGCATCCTGATCTGATCTGTTAATTTTTATTTCTACTAAAATTAGAAAATCTGTATTTACAGTGAGTTTGTCAGATATGGCAAGAAATGTTTGATGGCTACCAGATAATTCTGAATAGTTGGAGCTTACAAGGATCTATTGGAGAATTTCTAGTGAAAGCATTCAGTGGTTTGTCAGATTCTAAGCAGAAGAGCAAAGAGTAACCTCAAAAGTCAAATGCTTCAACTTGAGAGAGGGCAGGAGTTGTATTCAGTTGCATTGGCTGCATTCAGCTCTGGGAAGCATTTACCCCCATTTGGTTGCAACATTTGGATGTGGTTTAGAATATGTTCAATAATGTGTCATTCATTTTTTTCCTCTGATGAAGAAAGAAAATTATCATGTGTTGGGAAATAAAATACTCTTGGCAGTCAAGGCATTTGCATCATAGTCTGCTTTTCTTACAAAATCCTGATACTTTGTTCTTAACATTAAAAATGTTTGCTTTGTGATCCACCATCTGCAGGAGAACTGCTACCAAGATGCAGATTTTTGTAATGGGGAAGACATCACTCTCTTATTTGTTGGGGTTCATTGGTTGAACTCTCTAATACAATACAAAATGTAAAGTCCTGGCAGGATAAGAAAGGAATTCCTACTCATCAGCAGAGTGATCTTTGCTGGTAAGCAATTGGAAGATGGATGTACTTTGATGACAGCATTCAAAAGGAGTCCACTCTTCTTATTGTGCTGAGACTTTGTGGTGGTGCCAAGGAAGAAGTATTACACCACTCCCAAGAAGAATACGCATAAGAGAAAGAAGGTTAAGCTAACGGTCCTAAAATATTACAAGGTGGACAAGAATGGCAAAACTAGTTGCCTTTGTTGTGAGTGCCCTTCAGGTGAGTGTGGTGCTGGAGTTTTTATGGCCAGCCACTTTGAAAGACATTATTGTGGCAAATGTTGTCTGACTTACTGTTTCAACAAACCAGAAGACGAGATGGGTTAATAAAAGGCATGAACTAAAAAGCAAAAACAGGCTGAGTGTGGTGGCTTATGGCTATAATCCCTGTGCTTTGGGAGGCTGAGGTGGGAGAATGGCTTAAGGCCAGGAGTTCGAGGTTCCAGTGAGCAATGATGGTGCCACTGCACTCTAGCCTGGGTGAAAGAGTGAGACTCTATCTCTAAAACAAAAACAAAACTCCAAACCATGACATTTAGAAGTTAAAGTAATATGTTCATGTTAATGAAAATATTGCTCAGATGAACCATTTGAGAAACCTACTTAAATCCTACTTAAAATAATAAAAATGGTTTATGTTAGTATTATCTATATCATAAAGAAGAGATTTTCACTTCAATCCTTATTAAAAACTGACAGCATTTCCCCCCCTTACTGGCCTCCATACTTAACTGTGGAGAAAGCACCAATTTATCTGTTTCTTCTCAAAGATTGTGCTCACTGGATGATATTTTACTACATTTATGGTTTGTGCTAATTTGTTCAATGTCGAATCAAAATCAGGAGAAATTTTTTTTTTAGAAATGAGGCCTTGCTATGTTTCCCAGGTTGGCCTCAAACTCCTGGGCTCAAGTGATCGTCCCTCCTCAGCCTCTAGATTAGCTAGGACTACAGGCATGCACCATTGAGCCTGGCTGGGAGAAATATATTTTGGCTATGAACTGTTTTCTGAATAAAATGGAAAGTGGGCTGGGCATGGCGGCTCATGCCTGTAATCCCAGCACTTTGGAAGGCCGAGGTGGGTGGATTGTCTGAGCTCAGGAGTTGGAGACCAGCCTGGGCAACATGGTGAAACCTCATCTCTAATAAAAGCACAAAAAAATTAGCGGGGCAGTGGTGACGGGCGCCTGTAATTCCAGCTACTGAGGAGGCAGAGGCAGGAGAATAGCTTGAACTTGGGAGGCAGAGGTTGCAGTGAGCCATCATGGCACTGCACTCCAGCCTGAGCAACAGAGTGAGATTCTGTCTAAAAAAAAAAAGGAAATAAAAAGGAAAGTGGACTGACATCTTTTTTGTAGGAACAGTGTTCTTTCTGCATCCAAAGTTATAACTCCATCAGTGTTTTTTTGTTTGTTTGTTTGTTTGTGTTTTTTTTGCGACAGAGTCTTGCTCTGTTACCAAGGCTGGAGCGCAGTGGCATGATCTCGGCTCACTGCAACCTCCGCCTCCCAGGTTCAAGTGATTCTCGTGCTTCAGCCTCCCGAGTAGCTGGGATTACAGGCATGTGTCACCATGCCAGACTAATTTTCGTATTTTTAGTAGAGATGGGGTTTCGCCATGTTGACCAGGCTGGTCTCAAACTCCTGGGTCCAAGTGATCCGCCTGTCTTGGCCTCCCAAAGTGCTGGGATTACAGCCGTGAGCCACCATGCCTGGCCTGTAACTCCATCAGTTTTGATCCCAAGATATCTTTTTCAGACTGACTCATACCTCACAAAATAATTCTTATCTAAATGAAAAATGTTTTCTTTTGTATCTTGAATTTTTAATGATAAACCAGACAGGAAGTTTCTGGGCATTTCTCCTTATGTATTGCCTATATGCTGTAAGCGGATTCATATTGTGTATATCAGTGGTTTCTACGCTTAAAACAAACATCTGGTAGCAGGTACAGGGCAGATATTGCCATTTCATGTTGTGTATCATGACTCCATGTGATATTTGACAAAGAATTCTGCCAATAGCTTTGTTACACTTTTTTTTTTTTTTTTTTTTTTTTAGATTGAGTCTCGCTCTGTCACCCAGGCTGGAGTGCAGTGGCCCAATCGATCCCAGCTCACTGCAACCTCCACCTTCCAGGTTCAAGCGACTCTCCTGCCTCAGCCTCCTGAGTAGCTAGGACTACAGGCGTGTGCCAACACGCCCAGCTCATTTTTGTATTTTTAGTAGAGATGGGGTTTCACCATATTGGCCAGGCTGGTCTTGAACTTCTGATCTCAGATGATCCTCCTGCCTTGACCTCCCAAAGTGCTGGAATTACAGGCGTGAGCCACTGCACCCAGCCAGCTTTGTTGCACTGTCTCCAAACAGAATATGTTATTAACTTTGTAGCTAGTTGTGTAAGCAGCTCTATAACAAAATGATTTCTACCAATTTTTTTCTACAGAAATGTAACTTGATCTCTTTTAACCACAAAATGTATCCACATCATACAGGAAAACATTTTGCATTTATTCTGGAAAAATCCATTTTACTTGGTAAAGAAGCTACAGCATTTTTTTTTTTTTTTTTTTGAGATGGAGTCTTGCTCTGTCGCCCAGGCTGGAGTGCAGGGGCACCTCGGTTCACTGCAACCTCTGCCTCCCAGGTTCAAGCGATTCTCCTGCCTCAGCCACCGGAGTAGCTGGGATTACAGGCACGCGGCACCATGCCCGGCTAATTTTTGTATTTTTAGTAAAGATGGGGTTTCACCATGTTGGCCAGGCTGGTCTCGAACACCTGACTTTGTGATCCGCCCTCCTTGGCCTCCCAAAGTGCTGGGATTACAGCCACCCCGCCCAGCCCAGCCAATGTATTTCTTTTGGGTGGATGATTTTTTTCTTTTTGGTGACTTATAAATATAACAACAAAATGAAAGAAAAATGAAATTTTAACAGATGTAAACAATAATATGTAAATTATGTTAAAATACCTTTGCAGTAAACTAAATAAGTGGATCAATGTAATCTGCGCAGTACATATACAACTTCTAAGAATGCAAAGCTGTTCAATAGCATAATGGGATTTTTGTTAAAATTTTAATTAAATTTGTATTAAACATTTTGTGAGCGATACATGAAAATGGAAGTACTTTGTAGTGCTAAAATTGTAGTGCTAAAATAGGGGGATGGGTGGAACAGGTTTCCAGTGTCAGACTCCTTTAGTTTGCCTCCCACATTACTTACCTGCTGGATGTCCCTTGCTTACCCTCTTTGTTTCTGTTTCCTTAATTGCAAAATGGAAATAGCAGTAGAACCTACCTCATCGTTGTTGTGAGGATTAAATGAGTAAATACATATAAAGCATTTTGGACAGTGCCTACCTCGAATAGCTCAATGCTTCCTATTACCAGGAAACAAAAATTAGCCGGGCGTGGTGGTGCGCGCCTGTAATCCCAGCTACTCAGGAGGCTGAGGCAGGATAACTGCTTGAACCCGGGAGGGAGAGGTTGCAGTGAGCCAAGATCGCACCACTGCACTCCAGCCTGGGTGATGGAGCAAGACTCCGTCTCAGAAAAAAATAAAGAAAAAAGAAAATAAATCTGCACAGCCATCATCTTATTGATTCCCTATTAAAAACTCCTCACTGGCCAGGTGTGGTGGCTCACGCCTGTAATCCCAACAGTTTGTGAGACCGAGGCGGGCAGATTGCCTGATGTCAGGAGTTCGAGACCAGCCTGGCCAACGTCGTGAAACTCCATCTCTACTAAAAATACAAAAAACATTAGCCAGGCGTGTGGCGTGCGCCTGTAATCCCAGCTACTCAGGAGACTGAGGCAGGGGAATTGCTTGAACCGGGGAGGTGGAGGTTGCAGTGAGCCGAGATTGCGCCACTGCACTCCAGCCTGGGCGACAGAGAGAGACTCTGTCTCAAAAACAGACAAACAAAACTCCTCACTCTGTCCCTGTCACTGACCAAAGAAGTTACCCATTCTCAAATTACTTTCTTCATCTATTGCCTCCAATTTTGGCTGGCAATATCTCCCATACCAAACCGTTAACACCTGGATCCTTTTAGACTACCGGTTCCATAGCAGGCATTCAAAAGTTAGTCATTTAACTTTTTCACCAGGGACAAAAGTCCTTAAAAGAGGAAAAAAACTGGAAAGGATTACAAATCACCATGTGATGTTTAGGTGCTCTTTAGCACCTAAAGAGGATTTACAAGATACATTGTCTGCACGGCAACCACTCAGACGAATCCACCACCAAGCGAAGGTTTTTAGTAAAATATCCTTTTTTTTTTTTTTGAGACGGAGTTTCGCTCTTGTTGCCCAGACTGGCGTGCAGTGGCGCTATCTCGGCTCACTGCAACCTCTGCCTCCCAGGTTCAAGCGATTCTCCTGCCTCAGCCTCCCAAGAAGCTGGGATTACAGGCATGCGCCACCACGCCCGGCTAATTTTGTATTTTTAGTAGAGACGGGGTTTCGCCATGTTGGCCAGGCTGGTTTCGAACCCCTGGCCACAGGTGATCCGGCCGCCTCGGCCTCCCAAAGTGCTGGGATTACAGACGCGAGCCACCGCGCCCAGCCTAAAATACCCATTTTAATTGCATTTCAATGACGTTACTCGGTCATTGACCTCTTACGCAAGGAGGGCGAGATTAGGGAGACAGCTGGACTTCTTCCTCGCCCTCCCTTCACTGGACTGGCTGGCGCAGTGAGTAGCCCTGCCCTTGGACGATTTGGCATTTTCATTGGTCAATTTTTCTTAGGAGGCTGGCCGTGTGTTGACTCCGCCTACTATATAGGCGGGGTCTCCCCGCCGCAGGGGCTGGGATGCTGGGGGCTGCTGAAGCCGCCATCTTGGATTCCGCGGTAGCGGAGGCGGCGGTCAGGCGCCGCTTCTGGGGAGTGGCCTTTCTTTTCCCCTCCCTCCCGGTTCGGTGGCGGCGGCTCCTCCCACTGGGGGGGGGGGTGGCGCGGCGGCGGTGGCATCTGCGGCCATGGCGGCGACTACTGCCAACCCCGGTGAGGAGACGGAGGACTGGGGCGCCTCTAAAGGGGAGGGGCCGAAGGGGCTGACAACTAAGGAGACCCAGGGCTGAGGGGACGCAGCTGGAGCTGAAGGCGCCGGGGCGGGGCGGGGGCCGCGAGAGACGGTGGGGGAGCGGTGACCTGGGGAGGGGCCCGATCCCGGGGACTTGGGTAGACTCGAGTATACCCAAGGGAGCGAGGGGGCAGGTGGGAGTTGAGGGGGGCTCCCTGTCCTGACCTCCGTTGGAGCGGCAGCCAGTGCGGGGCTGGCCCGCCCTCACTCCTCGGTCGGCGTCTGGTCTGTGATGTGGTCCTCTTTTAACCCTCTGCCCGCTGGAGCCGCTTGATGCCGAAAACTGTAGGCAGAGTGTCTCGGTTTACTTTAAGAGTAGTTTGGATTCATAAACCCTGGACCACACTGCTCTTTAGTTGAGGCGTTGCTTCCAAACATTTAAAGGTTTAGATTTTAATTTAAAAAATAAAAAATGGACATTCTTTGATATATACGACGTTTCTTTAGGCTGTTACCTCCCACCCGCAACCCCCGTCCCCGTCTCCGTCCCCGGACTATACTTTGAAACTTAGATCTTGTGTTAAGAGGGCCTGTAGGTCTTTGCCTGCTGAGGGCAGGGGTTTGTGTAATGGTTATGGTTCCGGACAGGTCTTTAGTTCCACAGCCCCAGGTTTAAATCTTGTTAGGCCTACGTCGAGGCAATTTCCAAACTCTTTCAGAAAAGTTTGATTCCACACCATTTCTCAATTTCAAAAAATAATCAAATATCAAAAAGGTTTGGTCTGTTTTGTCTAAGAGATGGAGTAGGGTGTAGTGCAGTTCTAGAGAGATCAGATCTTCAAATTACTAGTCCCAGCCCTCTTTCCTCTATGTTACAGTTATTCCTCTTTAGAAGGCATTTCATTTTAGGGGTCTAGTTTATCTTGGAGACCTTGGTTATTCTTGCCAAATAAAGTCTATCCTTTTCCAAAAACCAATATATTTGATAGCCTTAAAAAGGGCCTTGAGATATGTGTGTGTGTTGCGTGGGGCGGAGAATTTCTTGAAAATAAAACAGTAGGAGTGATTACCCCCATCCCCACGTTGAAATTTAAATTAGATTTTTTTTCATGTTACTGAAAGGCAGTATGATTTTGCAATATCCAGATTTTGATAGGACAGTTGAATCACTGAAATTTCTTTTCTACCGTGTTTCTGGGAATAGCTATTTTAAGAAATGGTTAATTTGTCACGTCATTTTTTTTTAATCTTTTAAATTTTTTTTGAAGGAAAGGGAGGTAAAATTAATCGCAAAAATTACATTGCAGGAAGTGCTGAGTGATAGAATAAAACTATAAAACAGGAAAAATGCCGTTATGTCAAACCTGACCTTGTAGTAATATAACCTATCTGTGAACTATGGAATAAATAAACAAGATTTTTAACTGATCACACATTGCAAAATACTTATATAACCCTAGTTAAATTGCAAAGCATTTCTCTTATTAAGAAGTGGCCTGGGTAAACAAGTTTTAGTTCATATGTCAGAAGCTTTTTTCCAGCTGTGTGGGTGGGGTTGCTTTATTTTGTTTTGTTTTTTGAACAACAGCAACCAGAATGACAGCCTCTTGACCATATTTTCATAAGCTGATCAATATCAGCTTAAATCTTAGCAGAAAATAGCATATGTTAGTGTGTATGTGTGTGTGCAGAATCCTTGTTAATGAAACAGCTTTGTTTACTATGCTTTGGCTGCTTGCTTCTGCAATTTTTAGATTTCCTTTTTCTTTTTCTTTGTTTTCCTTTCTCCTCTCCCCTCTCTCCTGTCCCCTCTCCCCTCTTTTTCTTTTGCTACAGGGTCTTGCTCCTTGCTCTGTCGCCCAGTCTGGAGTGCAGTGGCAAGATCACTGCTCACGGCAGCCTCCACCTCAGGGGCTCAAGTGATCCTCTCACGATCAGCCTCCCGAATAGCTGGGACTACAGGTGCCTTGCCACCATGCGCGGTTAATTTTTAAATTTTTTTGTAGAGACAGATGCCTTGCTATGTTGCCCATGCTGATCTTGATCTCCTGGTCTCAAGCAAGCCTTGCCTCAGTCTCTCCAAGTTGGGAATACAGATGTGAGACACTTTGACCAGATTTCTTTTTTGATGTTGAAAAATTATTCCATCTCTTCTGACTTATTGATCCCATGTTCAGTTCAATCAAATCAGAAGATATATTTTCTTTTTTCTTTTCTCCCTTTGCTCTTGTATATCATGAGGAAGAGATCAGAGATACATTGTGGATTTTTTCAGTAGCCTGTTGCTTTTTGGGAAATGAGATTAATGAATGGAGGGACATAGGTGGAAATGTACTGTGCTTAGTGAAAGTAAATGTTTTCAGGTCAGAATTCTTTGCTACACTGTCATACCTTCTTTCCTTAGAGCCATTTTAAGGACTAGGGACACCATGCCTATTTCTTTGAGTTTTTTCTACTTTGTATTTTTGCTGGAGTACTAATTTTTTTTTTTTTTTTTTTTTTTTTACAATTCTTGTTAGTTTTGTCAAGATTTTAAAAAATATTTCACTCTTTAACCTTCACTTCAGTTAATCCTTTTTAAAAATAATACTTATTTTTATTTTTCAGACAGGTTCTTGCTCTGTCTCCCAGACTGTAGTGCAATGGTGTAATCACAGCTCACTGTAGCCTTGAACTCCTGAGCTCAAGTGATCTTCCCACCTCAGCCTCCTGAGTATCTGGGTCTACAGACACACACCACCACACCTGGATACATTTTTTAACTTTTTGTAGAAATGGGATCTTGCTATGTTGCCCAGGCTGATCTTGAACTCCTGTCCTCAAGCAATCCTCCCACCTTAGCCTCCTAAACTGCTGGGATTATAGGTGTGAGCCACTGACCCGGCCAAGTTAATCCTTAGGGTTAGTAATAGTGCTTGAACATGTTAATTGTGCTGGTGGCCCTGCAGTGTTTTTCAAGGGGACCACGTTCTTCTGCATTTTTCACTGTGGTGCTGCATTAGAAGAAGAGTAAAATATGGTTGGTACTCTCTAAGAGTTGTGTTGAAGTAATAGTTCTGTGATGATTTTTTTTCTCGAATTGATAATTCTTCATATTCTATCATTTTTCACTAGTTCTACTTATCACTGGCAAGTAGAACTCGGTGGGTAGGTGGTCCATGAAACTTTAGGCTGTTTCTTATCTATGGACTAGACAAGTTTTGTTTTGTTTTTTTTTTGTTTGTTTGTTTGTTTTGAGACAGAGTCTCACTCTGTCGCCCAGGCTGGAGTGCAGTGGTGCTATCTTGGCTCACTGCAAGCTCCGCCTCCCAGGTTCACGCCATTCTCCTGCCTCAGCCTCCCGAGTAGCTGGGACTACAGGTACCCGCCACCACGCCCGGCTAATTTTTTTTTTTGTATTTTTAGTAGAGACAGGGTTTCACCCTGTTAGCCAGGGTGGTCTCGATCTCCTGACCTTGTGATCCGCCTGCCTCGGCCTCCCAAAGTGCTGGGATTACAGGCTTGAGTCACCGTGCCCGGCCCGGACTAGACAAGTTTTGAGGAACACATTTTTTTTCCCCATAGGAGAGGGTCTTGCTCTGTCACTGAGGCTGGAGTGCAGTGACACAATCATGGCTCACTGCAGCCTTGACCTTCTGGGAGCATGTGATCCTCCCACTTCAGCCTCCTGAGTAGGTGGGACCACAGGTGTGCACCACCGTGGCTGGCTAATTTTAAATTTTTTTTAGAGACAGGGTCTTGCTATGTTGCCCAGGCTGGTCTTTAACTCCTGGCCTCAAGTGATCTTCCTGCGTTGGGCACTCCCCAAGAGCTGGGATTATAGGCATGACCACCATGCCCAGCCAAGGTGGAACACTTTTTAAATTGAATGTGTCATTTGTAATGCATTGGCTGAGGGAACAGTTGGGAGGAGATTAGGTATTTGATTTACAATTCCAAATTCAAACTAGAGATGTTGAATGAGTTTGTAGTAAGTGTAGGTTTTTATCTCTCTTGATTCTGGTATTCTCATTAGCAGAGAATTCTTTTTGTGCTATTATGTACAAGTTACTGTGGATGAAGAATGTAGAAGGAAAAGGGTAATACCGTTTGGGTTTGTAAGGCTGTCATTTAGGAAGAAAATTTTTTTTAGCTAATTTTCACCTATATAACTTAGTTTTAACTGCGTCAATTAACACAATTCTTACCTGTTACCTTTATTTACCTTTTTCAGATATGGGAAAATAGGAATTCATGCAATGTAAAGTTAAGATGTCAAGATATTCTTTTATGGCCAGGTGTGGTGGCTCGTGCCTCTAATCCCTTTGGGAGGCCGAGGCAGGCCGATTGCTTGAGCCCAGGAATTTGAGACCAGCCCGGACAACGTGACGAAACCCCTTTACTACAAAAAATACAAAAAATTTTCCGGGCACTGTGGTGCACTTCTATAGTCCCAGCTACTTGGGAGGCTGAGATGGGAGTATCACCTGAGCCTGGAAAGTTGAAGCTGCAGTGAGCTGTGATCATGCCACTGTACTCCAGCCTGGGTGTTGGAGTGAGACCCTGTCCCCCAACAAAAAAAGAGATAGTATTTTATTATATTGCAAAGGCCTTTTTTTTTTTTTTTTTTTTTTTTTGAGACAGGGTCTTACTGTGTCGCCCAGGCTGGAGTGCAATGGCGTGATCTTGGCTCACTGCAACCTCCGCCTCCTGGGTTCAAGCTATTCTCCCGCCTCAGCCTCCCGAGTAGCTGGGATTACAGGCACCTGCCATCACGCCGGCTAATTTTTTATTTTTAATAGAGACAGGGTTTCTCCATGTTGGCCAGGCTGGTCTTGAACTCCTCACCTCAGGTGATCCGCCCACCTTGGCCTCCCAAAGTGCTGGGATTACAGGCGTGAGCCGCCATGCTCCGCCGCCATCTGTTTTTAAGAATGCTGCCTTGGCCGGGCATGGTGGCTCATGCCTGTAATCCTAGCATTTTGGGAGGCCGAAGTGGGCAGATCACCTGAGGTCAGGAGTTCAAGACCAGCCTGGCCAACATGGAGAAACCCTGTCTCTACTAAAAATACAAAAATTAGCCAGGCATGGTGGCAGGTGCCTGTAATCCCAGCTACTCGGGAGGCTGAGGCGGGAGAATCGCTTGAACCTGGAAGGTGGTGGTTGCAGTGAGCTGAGATCGTACCACTGCACTCTAGCCTGGGCGACAGAGTGAGACTCCGTCTAAAAAAAAAAAAAAAAAAAAAAAAACCACGACTGCCTAATATGCCATAATGACTTTAGTAAGTAGACATCAGTGAATCTTCAGGTTGGAAATATGACAACACCTATCATTTTACACTTAAGGAGACAAACCCAGGGAAAGGAGTGGATAATTAAGTTCCTTCTATATGCCAGGCTGCACTTTCCTATTTTGTTGCTAATCTTTATGTCTAGTCTGTAGCAACTGTCTCCAACTTTTCACATAAACTCTTCAAATTTATGTCACTTTTCATAATTTCGTCAATGTATTTTCTTGTTTTAAAGTTTTTATTATTTTAGATAGTGACCGGGTCTCACTATATTGCCCCGGCTGGTCTCAAACTCCTGGGCTCAAGCAATCCTCCTGCCTCGGCCTCCCAGAGTGCCGGGGTTACAGGTGTGAGCCACCCTCTGAGGCCCATTTTATATTTTCCCTCCACGTTTTCATTGTAGTTGAATGGACAAGTAAGTTTATGGATTCAACAGTATACTTAGGGCTGGACATGGTGGCTCATACCTGTAATCCTAGCACTTTGGGAGGCTGATGTAGGTGGATTGCTTGAGCCCAAAAGTTTGAGACCAGCCTGGGCAACGTGGTGAAACCCCATCTGTACAAAAAAATACAAAAAATTAGCAGGGTGTGGTAGCATTCCCTGTAGTCCCAGCTACGTGGGAGACTGAGATGCGAGGATGACCTGAGCCTGGGAGGTTGAGGCTGCAGTGAGCCATGATTGTGCCACTGCATTCCTGTCTGGGTGACTAGGAGACAGAGTGAGACCCTGTCTCAAAAAACACAACAAAACCAGCATACTTAGGATATAAGTTCCATGAGAGCAGAACTTTTGCTTTCCTTGTTTACCAGAGCATTGCAGTGCTTACAGTGGGTGCCTAGTATGTTGGATTAGAGTTCAATGTATGTTTGTGGAATAAAAATGAATGTAAAACCCACTGTTAATATGAAATACCTTTGAAGGGATAAAACTAATTAAGCCATTGACATCATGAATTTGTACTAACTATAATAATATCTAATATTTATTAGTAATACTTACCAGCTGTTCTCATTTAATTTTTATAACAATCGTATTAGGTAAGTATTATTATTCTTGTTTTACAGATGAGGAAACTAAGGCACAGAGAGTGAATAAGTAACTTGTCTGAAGTCACATAGCTACTAGAAGTTAGAGACAGAATTTTATTGTTGGCAGTCCATCTACACAGTCATCATTCTTAATCTCCAAGTTATGATTTTTTCCATTGTGACTTAGAGTCACCTTCCTACTGAAATATAGTACAATGGATATCTTTTGAGAAGGAGGTAGGTGGAGTATTGTCTTTTTTGTAGATGAAAAGGGTGAAATACCACATTAGGCAGCCTGGGGGCAAGGCATTGCTTGGTTGGAGAACCAAGTGCAAGGTGCTAAAAAAAGGAGCTAGAACAGTAGTTTCCAGGCTGAGTGTGGTGGCTCATACCTGTAATCTCAGCACTTTGAGAGGCCAGGGTGAGAGGATTGTTTAAGCCCAGGAGTTGGAGACCAGCCTGAGCAATATAGGGAGACCTTGTCTCCACAAAAATATATATAAAAAAATTAGCTAGATGTGGTGGTGGATGCCTATAGTCCCAACTACTTGGGAGGCTGAGGTGGTGGGAGGATCTCTGAGCTTGCTAGGTCAGGGCTGCAGTGAGCCATGATCATGCCACTGGACTCTAATCTGGTTGACAGAGTGAGCCCCTGTCTCTAGGAAAAAAAAAAAAAAAGGAGTAGTTTCCTAAAATCTTTTCTGTAACATTCTATAATTCTTCATTTTGTTTTGTTTTGTTTTTTTGAGACTGAGTGTCCTTCTGTCACCCAGGCTGGGGTGCAGTGGCACGATCTCAGCTCACTGCAAGCTCCGCCTCCCAGGTTCACGCCATTCTCCTGCCTCATCCTCGCGAGTAGCTGGGACTACAGGCATCCACCACCATGCCCTGCTAATTTTTTGTGTTTTTAGTGGAGATGGGGTTTCACTGTGTTAGCCAGGATGGCCTCGATCTCCTGACCTTGTGATCCGCCCACCTCAGCCTCCCAAAGTGCTGGGATTATAGGCTTGAGCTAGCGCGCCCAGCCTAACATTCTATATTTCTTTCTCCTAGTTCTATGTTTCAATTCTTTAAATACTTTTAAGGGTTTTTTTGAGACAAGGTCCTGTTGTGTCAGCCAGGCTGGAGTGCAGTAGCGTGACCATAGCTTCCTGCAACACCTCCAATTCCTAGGCTCAAGCGATTCTCACTCCTCAGTTTCCTGAATAGTTGGGACCATAGGTATGCACCATCATGCCCAGCTAATTTTTTAATTTTGTAGAGACAGGATCTCGCTATGTTGCCCAGGCTGGTCCTTTTTTTTTTAAATTTTATTATTATTTTTTGAGACGGAGTCTTGCTTTGTCACCCAGGCTGGAGTGCAGTGGCGTGATCTCGGCTCACTGCAACCTCTGCCTCCCGGGTTTAAGCGATTCTCCTGCCTCAGCCTCCTGTAGCTGGGACTACAGGCACGTGCCACCGCGCCTGGCTAATTTTTGTGTTTTTAGTAGAGACGGGGTTTCACCATGTTGGCCAGGATGGTCTCGATCTCCTGACCTCGTGATCTGCCCACCTCGGCCTCCCAAAGTGCTGGGATTACAGGCGTGAGCCACCGCGCCCGGCCTGCCCAGGCTGGTCTTGAACTACTGTCCTCGAGTGATCCTCCTGCTGTTGGCCTCCCAGATTGCTGAGATTACAGGCATGAATCATGCACTGCAGCTTTTAGGATTGTTATTAGAATCCTCTACAAGTTCTTGATACTCCATAATTGAGCCTCTCCTAGAAACTTGGTTTCAGAGACACTGTTGCTAGGTCTTTATCACTGATTGTTCCTTCTTTGTCCTTTTTGCTTATCTTTCTGCTTGTTTCTTTCTCTTGTTCAGTATGCTTCTACTTTTCTCTTCTCACCCTTGAGGCTAGGACTCTTCTTTGAGACAGGGTCTTGACTCTTTTTTGAGACAGGGTCTTGCTATGTTGCCCACGTTGGTCTTGGATTCCTGAGCTCAAATGATCCTCCCACCTCTGCTTCCTGAGTAGCTGGGATTACAAGTGTACACCACAGTGCCCGGCTTGGGGCTAGAACTAAATAGTAAACCAAGCAGTTTCCTTCATTTCTTCCCATTTGCCCACCTACCTGCCTTTCTAGCTGCTTGCCTTCCTACTTCAATTTGACATTCACTTGGTACCTACCATAGTCCTCTTCCCTTTGTATTAGTCCATTCTCACACTGCTATAAATAACTACCTGAGACTGGGTAATTTATGAAGAAAAGAGGTTTAATTGACTCATAGTTCCGCAGGCTGTATGGGAGGCAGGGCTGGGGAGGCCTCAGGAAACTTGGAATCATGGCGGAAGGCGAAGGGGAAGCAAGCATGTCTTCACATGGCTGGCAGGATAGAGGGAGAGAAGGGGAAGGTGCTACACACTTTCAAACAACCAGATCTCTTGAGAACTCTATCATGAGAGAGCATTAGGGGAATGGTGCTAAACCTTTGGAAACCACCCCTATGATCCAATAACCTCCCACCAGACTGCACCTTCAACACTGGGGATTACAATTTGACATGATATTTGGGTGGAGACACACAGAGCCAAACCATATCACCCTTTATTTATCTTTTATGTATAAAAGACTCCAAAAATTTCATTCCTGGCTTCTCACATAAACTACTTTCCTATATTTTTATCTATTTAAAAGATATCTCTCTCTTTTTCTTTTAAAGTTGAGACAGGGTTTTACTATGTTGCCCAGGCTGGTCTTGAAATCCTGGGCTCAAGCATTCCTCCCACTTCAGCAACCTGAGTAGCTGGACTACAGGTGTGTGCCATTGTGCCTGGCTGCATCTCTGTTTGAATAGTTTTTTTTTTTTTTAATTTATAGAAATGAGGTCTCACTGTATTGCCCAGACTGGTCTTGAACTGCTGAGCTCAAGTAGTCCCCCCATCTTGGTCTCCCTAGTAGCTGGGATTATAGGTGTATGACACGATGCCCAGCTCTATTTGAGTAATCTGTTTTTTTTTGTTGTTGTTGTTTTTTTTAAAGACAGAGTCTTTCTGTGTTGCCCAGGCTGGAGTGCAGTGGTGCGATCTTGGCTCACCGCAGCCTCCGCCTCCTAGGTTCAAATGATTTTTGTGCCTCAGCCTCTCGAGTAGCTGGGACTACAGTGTGCCACCACGCCTGGCTAATTTTTTGTATCTTTAGTAGAGATGGGGTTTCACCATGTTGGCCAGGCTGGTCTTGAACTCCCGTCCTCAAGTGATCCACCTGCCTTGGCCTCCCACAGTGCTGGGATTACAAGTGTGAGCCATTGCGCCCAGCCTCTATTTGAATAATCTTTAACATCCTATATATGTATGTACTCACCAGTATTTCCTTTAAATCTGCTGTTCTTCCTACCTTTCTGTATCTTTCATCACTATCACAATTCAGTTTTTCATTTCCCCAGGCTAAGGAACTATAAGTGTTTGGATTTTATTTTTTATGTGTTTATCTGGGTTATTAACTCTTCTCAGGTCTTTTGCCAAATATACGTGTGTGTGTGTGTATATGTATGTGTGTATACATACATATATAAAAGTTATTTAAATCAAAACTATACATCCATATATTAATATTTAAAGACTTAGATAGTTTTATAAAATGTTTGTTACAAAAAAATTATAAGGGAGTCCTCTGCTCCCTTTCTCTCATTTCCTTCTCTCCAGTGGCATCATTTTTATTTCTTTTAACAGAATTCTTTGTTTCTGTTTAAATAAAGTGTCCCAGTGAAAGACATTAGTTTCCAGATCAAAGGGGCTGTGCACACATCAAGGCCCATTATGCTGAAATTTCAGCATCAGATAGAGAATATCCTATAAGCTTCAGAGAGAATAAGATTATTCACATTCAAAAGATTCAGGTATCAGATTGGTCTTTTTTCTCAGTAGTCATGCTGGAAAGTAGAAGACCTTGGAACAGGCTGACTGACCTTGGTGGCTCACGCCTGTAATCCCAGCATTTTGGGAGGCTGAGGCAGGTGGATCACCTGAGGTCAGGAGTTTGGGACCAGCCTGGCCAACATGGTGAAACCCCGTCTCTACTAAAAATACAAAGATTAGTTGGACGTGGTGGTGTGTGCCTGTAGTACCAGCTACTTGGGAGGCTGAGGCAGGAGAATTGCTTGAACCTGGGAAGCAGAGGTTGCAGTGAGCCGAGATCACGCCACTGCACACCAGCCTGGGCAAAAGAGCGAAGACTCTGTCTCAAAAAAAAAAAAAAAAACTTTGGAGTAATGCCTTCAAAATTCTGAGGGAAAATAAATTCTAATTTAGAATTCCATAGCTAGGCAAACTATCAATTAGTGAAATAGAAGAAATATTTTCATACATCCAAGGCATTTCTTACACCCTTTCAGGAATCCACTAGAAGATAGGCTCTACCAGTAGGAGATAGTAAACCAAGAAAGTGGAGATACGAAATATAGGAAATAGGCAGTATAACACAGAAGAAAAATGAAGCATGTAGTATGCATACATTGGTGTTAGTTTTCCTGTTTTCAGTACGGGTCCCTCACTTTCACCTTTACGTCGTGTTCACTAGACTGTAAGACCTTTGATTTATACTCTCCAGAGAGTAAATCTGTCTTTTGACAGAATGGAGAGGGGTAGTTGCCTTGGTTAGAAGGAATAGAGAAAAGGATCTAGGAATCCATCTCTGTAGTAAACAGATGCTGAACTAATTCTCCTTATTTTCACTTCATTCACCCTACCCTGCATACCCAGAGTTACCTGGACTCACCAGCTTCTGAGACTTTGGGGAATTCCATAGCGTAAATTGAGTTGGTTTTCTGCTTTTTCCCTTGTCAGTTTAGGATTTAGTTCTTGTCGATCTCCCAAGGCAATAGTCCATTTTATCTCTAGTTTCAAAAAAATTATTGCTCTTCTTCTCTTATTCTTTCCATCCTTGTGGTTTTATGTCTTGTGTAAAAATTTTTGCTTTTAAAAATTTTTTTCCTGTGTGTGAGTGAAGAGAGAAGAGAGTAGAAATAGATAGATACATTTAATTCACTATCCTTACTCAGAAGTTGCATAGTTTAAAATTTTAGAAGTAACTACCTTTTCGTTGTGCCATCCTCATTTAGGCCTTTATCACCTTGTTTTTTTTATTAATCTTGTCTTCCTACTTCTATTACTTCAAACTTTAAATCTGTCAGATTAATTTTAATTTATATTTTCATCTTGTTACTCAGACTTAAAGTTATATGTTTGTCTTTGTTGAATCTGATCCAGGTGTTTCATCGTGGCATTCAAAGCTTTCTCTTGGTTAGCACTTGACATCTTACCTTTTATAGGTCTTTTTCTTTCTTTTTTTTTTTTTTTTTGATTTAAAGAAAACCATTTTGTTTTCTTCAGGGGCAATTTTTTTTTTACATTCCACCACATATTATTTATATGTTTATCATATTTCTTTTATTTATTTATTTATTTATTTATTTATTTTTTATTATACTTTAAGTTTTAGGGTACATGTGCACATTGTGCAGGTTAGTTACATATGTATACATGTGCCATGCTGGTGCGCTGCACCCACTAACTGGTCATCTAGCATTAGGTATATCTCCCAATGCTATCCCTCCCCCCTCCCCCCACCCCACCACAGTCCCCAGAGTGTGATATTCCCCTTCCTGTGTCCATGTGATCTCATTGTTCAGTTCCCACCTATGAGTGAGAATATGCGGTGTTTGGTTTTTTGATCTTGCGATAGTTTACTGAGAATGATGATTTCCAATTTCGTCCATGTCCCTACAAAGGACATGAACTCATCATTTTTTATGGCTGCATAGTATTCCATGGTGTATATGTGCCACATTTTCTTAATCCAGTCTATCATTGTTGGACATTTGGGTTGGTTCCAATAGGTCTTTTTCTTTACAGCTCTTCACAGTTGCTGTTATGTGTCACCTAATGACACTTTGGTCATCAAAGGACTGCATGTATGATGGTGGTCCCATAAGATTATAATGGAGATGAAAAATTCCTATTGCCCAGTGACATCATAGTTGTCATAAGGTCTTAGCACAACACATTACTTTTTCTATGTTTAGATACATAAATAGTTACCACTGAGTTATAGTTGCCTACAGTATTCAGTATAGTAACATGTTGTACAGGTTGGGAGTAATAGGCTGTTACTGGGAGTAATAGGCTACATATAGGTATGTAGGCTATACACCTACATACCTAGGTGTGTAGTGGCTGTACCATCTAGATTTGTGTAAGTATACTCAATGATATTCACACAATGTTGAAATCTCCTAATGACACATTTCTCAGAACATATCCCTGTTGTTAAGTGATACATAACTGTATTTTCATATCTCCCTTTAGACTTGCTCATGTACTTTTATCTATGTGGAATGCCTTTTTCTTCTTCTTTACTTTTTTTTTTTGAGACGGAGTTTTGCTCTTGTTGCCCAGGCTGGAGTTCAGTGGCTCGATTGGCTCACTGCAACCTCTGCCTCCTGGGTTCAAGCAATTCTCCTATCTCAGCCTCCTGAGTAGCTGGGATTACAGGCGCCTGGTAATTTTTTATATTTTTAGTAGAGACGGGGTTTCACCATGTTGGTCAGGCTGGTCTCGAACTCCTGACCTTAGGTGATCCACCCACCTCGGCCTCCCAAAGTGTTGGGATTACAGGCGTGAGCCACTGTGCCTGGTCTCCTTTACTTTTTTTAAGGCCCAGTTTGATTTACCTTTTTGAAACTTCCCCATGGGCTGGTTGCCTGCCTTCTTTATTTCCTTTAGTTTCCTCTTCATATTGAGCATCTTCTCTGCAAGTACTATGCCAGGCCTTAATTTAAACCAGGATTATCTTCTCTGAATTTACCTGGCACTCTTTTTTTTTTTTTTGAGACAGAGTCTCATTCTGTTGCCCAGGCTGGAGTGCAGTGGCATGATCTCGGCTCACTGCAGCCTTTGCCTCCCAGGCGATTCTCATGCCTCAGTCTCCCAAGTAGCTGGGATTATAGACGTGTACCACCACACCTGACTAATTTTTGTATTTTTAGTAGAGACGGGATTTTGCCGTGTTGGTCAGGCTGGTCTCAAACTTGACCTTAAGTGATCTACCCACCTCAGCCTCCTAAAGTGCTGGGGTTACAGGCATCAGCCACCGTGCCTGGCCTCCATGGTAATCTTTTTTTTTTTTTTTTTTTGAGACGGAATCTTGCTCTGTCACCCAGGCTAGAGTGCAGTGGCACGATCTTGGCTCATTGCAACCTCCGCCTTTTGTGTTCAAGCGATTCTTCTGCCTCAGCCTCCCGAGTAGCTGGGACTACAGGTGTGCGCCACCATGCCTGGCTAATTTTTGTATTTTTAGTAGACACGGAGTTTCACCATATTGGCCAGGCTGGTCTCGAACTCCTGATGTCGTGATCTGCCTGCCTCGGCCTCTCAAAGTGCTAGGATTACAGGTTTGACTCCATGGTACTCTTATATCCTATATAAACGTATTACTAAAAGTATGAACTTTTTTTTTTTTTTTTTTTTTTTTACAGAGGCAGGATCTCACTATGTTGCTCAGGCTAGTTTTGAACTCCTGAGCTCAAGCAATCCTCATGCCTTGACCTCCCAAAGTGCTGGGATTATAGGCATGAGCCACTGCACTTGGCCCTGAACTTTTTTTTTTAATGGAAAAAGTGTTTTTTCTTAGGAAAGTAACATATGCTTACTATTTCAAATTTATAGGCTGAAATAGAAAAATTAGCAGTAACATAAAAATATACTCAGCCTTAATGTATGTTAAACTAACAGTGGTAATTGTTTTTTACCAAGAAAATGACCACAAATTTGAAGGATTCCCAAAACACAGTGCTGTTGGAGGTATGGCTAAATTGATGCAGTGGATGAGGCTTTAAATTGGTATAACCTCCTTGGCAGGTAATGGGCAATCAGAGTTTTAAATGTGTCTACCCTTAGGCCCAGGGAGTCATTTTCAGAAATAATATGGAAGTACTGGCACCTGTGCATGAAGATACACAATGATGTTCCTTGAAACATTATTTATAATAGTGAAGGTTTGAATGTCATAACTATACATTTATAGTACAGAGTACTATGTAACTGTTAAAAAGAATGATCTACGTGTGTATTTATTGCCATAGCAATATATTGTTACGTGGAAGGGAAAAAGTTCAGAATAAGTACATCTGTACTTATGGTGGGGTTATGGCTTGATAAACCCATTGTAAATTGAAAACATCCTAAGTCAAAAATACATTTAATACACTTAACCTATTCTTAGCCTAGACTACCTTAAATGTGTGTGGAATACTTACATTAGCCTGCAGTGGGCAAAATAATCTAACTTAAATTCTACTTTATAATAAAGTACTGGATATTATGTAATTTACAGAACACTGTACATTACACTGAAATTGTAATGGTTTCCCACTATCATAAAGGTGAAAAGCCCTACATGGAACCATTATAAGTCAGGACTGTTTGTATAGTATGACCCTTTTTTTTGGGTAAAAATTACCGAAACCCTGGCTGGGCGTGGTGACTCATGCCTGTAATCAGGCACATACCACATGTATGGCCAATTTTGTTCATTTTTTTTAGAGATAGGGTCTCACTGTGTTGCCCAGGGTGGTCTTGAACTTCTGGACTCAAATGATCCTCCTCCCTCGGCCTTTTAAAGTGCTAGCCTTACAGGTGTAAGCCACCATGTTCAGCCCCACAGTTTCTTTATCCGTTAACCTGTAGATAGACACTTGGGTTGCCCTCACCCTTGACTACTGTTGAATAGTACTTCTGTGAACGTGGGTATACAAATGTTTCTTTGAGACCCTGCTTTCAATTCTTTCAGGTATATACCCAGAGGTGGAATTGCTGGATCATGTGGTAATTCTATTTTTAATTTAATTTTTTTTTTGCGATGTTGTCTTGCTGTGTTTCCCAGCCTGATCTTGGACTCAAGATTCTCCTGCCTCAGACCCCGAGTAGCTGGGACTACAGGTGCGCACCACTGCACCCAGTTTTATTTTTAATTTTTGGAGGCATCTCCATACTGTTTTCTATTGCTGTTACGCCATTTTACATTTCCACTAGCAGTGCATAAGGGTTTTAATTTCTCCACATCCTTGCCAACCCTTTATTTATTTATATATTTTTGGATAATAGTCATCTTAATGAGTAGCAAATGCTTTCTCATTGTGGTTTTGATTTGCATTTCCCTAGCGATTGGTTATGTTGAGCACTTTACATGTATTTATTGGCCATTAGTATATCTTCTTTGTAGAAATGCTTGTTCAAGTTCTTTGCCCATTTTAAAATTGGGTTTGCTTTTTGTTGAGTTGTAGGAGCTCTTTATATATTTTGTTTTATTTTTTATTTGTTTATTTTTTTGAGGCAGAGTCTTTCTCTGTCGCTCAGGCTGGAGTGCAGTGGTGCGATCTTGGTTCACTGCAGTCTCCGCCTCCTGGGTTCAATTAATTCTCCCTGCCTCAGCTTCCCGAGTAGCTGGGATTACAGGTGCCCACCACCATTCCTGGCTAATTGTTGTATTTTTAGTAGAGATGGGATTTCACCATGTTGATCAGGCTGGTCTCGAACTGCTGACCTCAGGTGATATGCCCGCCTTGGCCTCCCAAAGTGCTGGGATTACAGGTGTGAGCCACCGTGCCTGGCCACTCTTTATATATTTTGGATATTCTGTGTTGCATATATGATTCGAAAATTTTTTTTTCTGCTGGGCACGGTGGCTCATGCCTGTAATCCTAGCATTTTGGGAGGCTGAGGTGGGCGGATCACTTGAGGTCAGGAGTTAAAGACCAGCCTGGCCAACATGGTGAAACCCCATCTCTAATAAAAATACAAAAATTAGCCAGGCGTGGTGGTGCGTGCCTGTAATCCCAGCTATTTGGGAGGCTGAGGCTCGAGAATCACTTGAACCCGAGAGTTGGAGGTTGCAGGGAGCCAAGATTGCGCCACTGCACTCCAGCCTGGGCGACAGAGTGAGACTCTAACTCAAAAAAAAAAAAAAAGAATTTTTTTTTTTCTATTCCATGGGTTGCCTTTTCACTCTGTTGGTAGTGTTATTTGATGCACAAAATATTGTACACTATACAGTATGAACTAACAAAAAACAATGAGATGTGTGTAGATAGATATTCATGATGTATATTGAAATGACGAGCAAGTTGAAGATCAGGCCTCCATTTTTTACTAAGAGAAAAATGCACCCTTTTTTTTTTTTTAGACAGGATCTTGCTCTGTTGCCCAGGGTGGAGTGCAGTGGTGCAATCACGACTCACTGCAGCCTCGACTTCCCAGGCTCAAGTGATCCTCCCACATCAACCTCTTGAGTAGCTGGGACTACAGGCATGGGCCACCATGCTGGCTAACTTGTATTTTTTGTACAGATGAGGTTTCACTGTGTTGCAAAGGCTAGTCTCGAACTCCTGGGCTCAAGTGATCTGCCCACCTTGGTCTCCCAAAGCTCTAGGATTCCAGGCATCCGCCACTGTGCCCAGCCTGCACCTCTTTTTGATTACAGAGTTAGGTATATATAAACTGAGATTGAAAAATAAGAGAAAATATACTCAGGGCTGGGCTCAGTGGCTCAAACCTGTAATTCCAGTGCTCTGGGAAGCTGAGGTGGGAGTATTGCTTGAGCTCAGGAGTTTGAGACCAGCCTGGGGAACACAGTGAGACCCTATCTCTACAAAGAAAAAAAAAGAAAAAAAAAATCACCGAGGTGTGGTGGTACCCATCTGTAGTCCCAGCTACTTAGGAAGCTGAGACAGGAGGATCACTGGAGCCCGGGAGGTTGAGGCTGCAGTAAGCCATGATCATGCCACTGTACTCCAGCCTGGGCTGGACAAAGTGAGACCCTGTCTTAAAAAAAAAAAAAAAAAAGTACTCAGCTGTTACTAATGGTTACTGCTGGGGGATGAGATTGAATTGGAAGGAGAGAGGAGAGGTACGGGGGGCAGGAAAGGGAGACAATAATGAGGGACTTTCAGTTTTACTTTACATAATTTTCTTTTAAGTATTGGAATTTAGGTGATTTTTCCTTTGGGGTTTTCTGTATTTTCCAATCACAATAAATAAAATAAGTTATAAATATTTGTTGCATGAATGAAATGTATAAACCCATTTATGTATGTATTTTTTTAAAATTAGTATATTATTAAGTCTATACAATATTAGTATATTGTTATGTATGTATAAGCTTTTTAACATGAAGTTTGCAGAATATAGTACTTCTTCCAAACTCTATGACATGGGGGGAACTGAAGTATGGGGATATCTTGTACCAGTGTAAGAATTCAAGAAGAGACCGTGTGTGGTGGCTCATGCCTATAATCCCAGCACTTTGGGATGCCAAAGCAGGATGATCTCTTGGAGCTAGGCGTTCAAGACCAGCCTGGGCAACATATCAAGACCCCATCTCTAAAAAAAAAAAAAAAAATTAACTGGGTGTGGTAGTGCGGGCCTATAGTCCTAGCTATTCCAGAAGCTGAGGTGGGAGGATTGCTTGAGCCCAGGAGTTTGAGGCTGTAGTGACCTATACCAGTGATTATACCAGTGCACTCTAGCCCAGGCAACAGAGTGAGACCTGGTCTCAAAAAAAAAAAAAAAAATCAAGAAGAGCAATCTGGATATGAGCATTTGGGATTTTTAGCAAACTGCTGAGATTTTGTCTATAGCTTGAACCTTTCTTTTAGCTAACTTGATGATACTGATGATAAGCAAGGACTGTCTTTTTAAAAATGTTTACTTCATTATTTTCCTGACAGAAATGACATCAGATGTACCATCACTGGGTCCAGCCATTGCCTCTGGAAACTCTGGACCTGGAATTCAAGGTGGAGGAGCCATTGTCCAGAGGGCTATTAAGCGGCGACCAGGGTGAGTTTGAGTGTAGTGTGTTATGAATATCTCTCCTATAAACCAACTTTAGTTGCTGAATTTATTTAGTTGCTGAACTCACTTCGCTATTCCTGACCATCTCACTTCAACTTGATTACTTACTACACTACTGTCATATAAGTCTCCTTAGTCCCTGTATTTTTGTTTATGAAGAATTTGTTTTTATCCAAGTTTCCCGTAAGCAGTTCTTTTTTTAAACCAAAATTTCCGTAAGATAAAGGACTGTAGCTAAGCCCAGAGATTTTACTATGCCTGAGAAAACTGTTTGCTGCTTTCATTAAGCTTTGTTTCTGTTTTCCCAAAATCATTTTGGTAGGCTGCTTTTCTGAATTTAGAGAATGCTGAGCTCTAGAATAGCTGTCTTCTAAGTTATTGATATGTTGCTTGGTTTGGAATGCAGAGTCCATTCAGCTCCAAAAGTATTTATTAAATTCCTAATTAGTGTTATGGCATTGTGCTGATTCCAAGTAGGATACAAAGATGAATAAGACACAGTCCTTGTTTCTAAGTTGGTTGTGTTCTGATAGAAATAATTATTATACACATGAATATATGATAGAATATGCCTAGTTTTGTTAGGAACAAATTTGATACTATGTTTTTCTGTGTATGGAAATATGCATTTGTTGGTAAAGACTGAGAAAAGCTTCAGAAAGGAGGTTGCCTTAGAGGGGCCTGGAAGAATGGGCACTATTTTATTTACTTTTTGGTATTAAATTTTCCTTTTTCCTTCTTTTTCTTTTTAAAAATTGTGCAGCTAATTATAACCAGTCTTTAAGTTTTGTCCCACCAATAGTAATGGAAGAGTGATGCTTGGGTTCAGTGGTAACATGAGTAACATATTAAGACTTGTTATATGTTCAGTAGCTTTACAGATTTTAACCATTTGCTGAAGCATAAGCTGAATAAGTAACTTTCTAAGATTGTAAAGCTAGTAAGTGTCAGATATAGGATATGAACCTTAGGGGTTTAGCTTTGTAGCTTACTCTTTAAACACTGTGTTATGTTTATGTACAGTAACAAACAAAAGTATTATAAATATCAAAATTAGGGCATCACTTGAGAAAGTCATAGTATATTTAAAATGGAATGCTATGTAGTTATAAGCGACAAATATGTTTCAGTGTAGAAAGATGTTCACAATCTATTAAGAAAGGTTACAGTATTATAGTATTTCACTGTCAAAAGATATGTATAACATGTACATAGGAAAAAACTGAAAGAATATATACCACATTTCTGGGTAATAGTATTATGGGTGACTTACGGTTTCTTTTGTTTTTGATTTTTCAGATTTTTGAAATGAACATGTATGATTGGTAATCAGAAAAATATATTAAAGGAAGTCTTTAAAAATTTTCTTTTTGGTTTTTTTAGAGACAGGGTCTTGTACCCTGGCTGGAGTGCAGAGGCACAATCATGGCCCACTGCAGCCTCAAACTCCTGCTCAAGCAGTCCTCCTGCCTTGGCCTCCCAAAGTACTGGGATTACAGGCGTGAGCCACTTCACCTGTCCTAAAAGAAGTCTTTTAATATTTCTTTTATTTTTATTTACTTATTTATTTTCGAGGCAGAGTCTTGCTCTTTTGCCAGGCTGGAGTGCAGTGGTGTGATCTTGGCTCACTGCAATCTCCACCTCTCTGGTTCAAGGGATTCTCCTGCCTCAGCCTCCCAAGCAGCTGGGACTACAGGCGTGCGCCACCACGCCCAGCTAATTTTTGTATTTTTAGTAGAGATGGGATTTCACCACGTTGGCCAGGCTGGTCTCGAACTCCTGACCTCAGGTGATATGCCCACCTTGGCCTCCCAAAGTGCTGGGATTACAGGCATGAGCCACCATGCCCGGCCTAATATTTCTTTTATTTATTTATTTTATTTTTTATTTTTTTGAGATGGAGTCTCGCTCTGTCGCCCAGGCTGGAGTGCAGTAGTGTGATCTCAGCTCACTGTAACCTCCACCTCCCAGGTTCACGCCATTCTCCTGTCTCAGCCTCCCGAGTAGCTGGGACTACAGGCGCCCGCCATGATGCCCGACTAATTTTTTTGTATTTTCAGTAGAGACGGGGTTTCACCGTGTTAGCCAGGATGGTCTCGATCTCCTGACCTCGTGATCCACCCGCCTTGGCCTCCCGAAGTGCGGGATTACAGGCACGAGCCACTGCACCCGGCCCATATTTCTTTTAAAGAAAGATTGGAAAATACAGAAAGTTAGAAAGAACAATAAAAAGGCCAAAATCTACTACCATGTTTTTTAGTGCATGTCCTTCAGTCTTTATATGTAAATTGTTTTTAATAGTTATGTAATTATATAGTTTTACATGGCCTAGTCTTTTCACCTTATATAAATAATAAGCAATACACACGCACACACACATTTTGGCACCTTATATAAATAATAAGCAATACACACACACACACATTTCGGAGACAGAGTCTTGCTCTGTTGCCCAGGCTGGAGTGCAGTGGCATGATCATGGCTCATTGTAGCCTCAACTTCTTGGGCCCAGGAAGCAATCCTCCTACTTCAGTTCTCCGAGTAGCTGGGACCACAGGCACATGGCACCATACCTGGCTATTTTTTTTTTTTTTTTTAAAGACATGGTCTCACTACGTTGACCAGGCTGGTCTAAAACTCCTAGGCTCAAGCAGCCCTCCCATCTCGACGTCCTAAAGTGTTGGGATTACAGACATGACCTACTGTACCTGGCCCTTTAAAAAAATATTGTTACATATTCTATATAAACATAATTTTTATTTATTTTTTTTTGAGACGGAGTCTCGCTTTGTTGTCCAGGCTGGAGTGCGGTGATGCGATCTTGGCTCACTGCAAGCTCCGCCTCCTGGGTTCATGCTATTCTCCTGCCTCAGCCTCCCGAGTAGCTGGGACTACAGGCGTCCACCACCACGTCTGGCTAATTTTTTTTTTTTTTGTATTTTTAGTAGAGACGGGGTTTTACCATATTAGCCAGGATGGTCTCCATCTCCTGACTTCGTGATCCGCCTGCCTTGGCTTCTCAAAGTGCTGGGATTACAGGCATGAGCCACTGCGCACAGCCATAAACATAATTTTTAATGGTTGCGTGAAAGGATGTACTTAACTTCCTATTTTGGGACATCTAAATTGTTTTGAAGATTTTGCTGTTACATATGATGCTAAAAAGAACTTCTTTGTACCTAAACTTTTTTTTCCTATTTCATATTATTTCTTTAGATTCTTAGAAATAGAGTTATTGGGCTGAGCACGGAGGCTCATACCTGTAGTGCCAGCACTTTGGGAGGCTGAGGTAGGAGGATTACTTGAGCCCAGGAATTCAAGACCAGCCTGGGGAAAATGGCGAGACTTTTTTTTCTTTGACTTAGCAATTATCTTTCTTTTCCTTCCTTCCTTCATTTTTTTCCTTTGACTTAGCAATTACCTTTCCCTCCCTCCTTCCCTCTCTTTCCCCTTCCCTTTTTTTTTTTTTTTTTTTTGAGATGTAGTTTCGCTCTTGTTGCCTAGGCTGGAGTGCAGTGGCGCAATTTTGGCTCACTGCAACCTCTGCCTCCCGGGTTCAGGCAATTCTCATGCCTCAGCCTCCCGAGTAGCTGGGATTACAGGTGCCCGCCACCACACCCAGCTAATTTTTGTATTTTTAGTAGAGACGAGGTTTCACCATGTTGACTGGGCTGGTCTTGAACTCCTGACCTCAAGTGATCCGCCTGCCTCAGCTTCCCAAAGTGCTGGGATTGCAGATGTGAGCCACAGTGGCTGGCCCCTTTTCTTTTTTGAGACAGGGTCTTGCCATGTCACTGAGGTTGGAGTGCAGTGGCCCAATCTCAGCTCACTGCAGCCTTGACCTCCCAGGCTCAAGGCCTGCAGCCCCTCCCGCCCCCCCAACCCAAGTAGCTAGGACTACACATGCGCCACCATGCCTGGTTAGTTTTTGTATGTTTTGTAGAGACGGGATTTCACCGTGTTGCCCAGGCTGGTCTTAAACTCCTGAGTTCAAGTAGTCTGCTCGCCTTGGCCTCCCAAAGTGCGTGGACTACAGGTGTGAGCAACCATGCCTGGCTGAGATTTTTTAAAATAAAAAAATTTAGTTGAGTGCAGTGGTGGGCTCCTATAGTTCCAGCTAATTGGGAGGCCAAGATGGGAGGATCCCTTGAGCCCAGGAGCTCAAGGTGGCAGTGAGCTATGATCATGCCACTGTACTCCAGCCTGAGTAACAGAGTGAGAGCTTGTCTCTTAAAAAGAAAGAAAGGAAGAGATAGAGAGAAAGAAAGAATTTGAGTTACTGGGTAGATAGATAGGATTTTACAGGTGACCAGATTAGGGGATTCAGGAAGGAGGAAGAGGAGCAAACACTTTCAGGATTGATGCTGTATGTGTACTTCAAATGCGACCCATCTAGAGGCCCATAATATCAAGGTATCCCAATAGTAGAAGTAAAAAGAGTGATCACTAGGTTAAGGTGGTAACATGAGCAATATTTTAGTTCAATAGTGTACAGAGATTATAAGGGGATTGGTCTATTTTATTGTTTATAATCTTTCCTAATCTCCTTTAAAGAAATTCACTTCTTCTTTCCCTGAATGTCTGTAGCATGTTGATTGTACCCCTTATGTGACACTTTCCTATTCTCACTTGTTTTATATTTGTATTTCTCTAGGTGAAGAGCCCCTTGAGGGCAAGGTTCTTGTTTTTACCTCACCTAGCACAGTGTCTTGAATGAAGTATATATTACATGTTTATTAGATCAATGAAGGAAAGAAACATTATCTAACAATCTTCGTAGGTATTAAGTCACTCCTTTATGTAAGATCACTGCTTTGAAAGATGTTTCAGAAATTTGGTAACACGGCTTAGAGCAGACTCTAGAAATGAAACATGGACCTGAATTATTTACGTTAATTTTTTCTTATTTTTTCTGAGTGGATTCCTGCTCCCTTTACAGAGGTTGTAGTCTGATTGAAAACTCTGGCAAAGATTGACTGCTACTCTAGGAAAGTGTTAAGGTAGCAGAAGGTACTTTTGTTTCTATTGCCCAGTTTTGTACTTTTTTTTTTTGAGATGGAGTCTTGCAGTTGTCGCCCAGGCTTGAGTGCAATGGTGCGATCTTGGCTCACTGAAACCTCCACCTCCCGGGTTCCAGCAATTCTCCTGCCTCAGCCTCCTGAGTAGCTGAGATTACAGGCACCCGCCACCATGCCCAGCTAATTTTTGTATTTTTAGTAGAGATGGGGTTTCAGCATGTTGGCCAGGCTGATCTCGAACTCCTGACCTCAGGTGATCCACCCACCTCAGCCTTCCAAAGTGCTGGGATTACAGGCGTGAGCCACCACTCCTGGCCCCAGTTTTGTACTTCTTTGCCTAGTTTGGGACTATGAACAAGAGGAAATGTAGCTTTGTTTGACTTCTGCCACTTCCTCTTTCCATTCTTCCATTTGGGTGGGTGTTCCGGTAGCTTGTGTTGAGAAATTTTAACTTCTTAATGTTTTGTATTATCAGCAGGCTTAAAGTATTTATTGTTGGCTTTCCTCAGGCTGGATTTTGATGATGATGGAGAAGGGAACAGTAAATTTTTGAGGTAAGAGACTGAAAAACTTTCCTTAGATGTCTGATATTAAAAATTAGTTTATGATCTTTATACTTCTGACTTGTAAATTTTTGTCCTTAGGTCTAAGGAGAGTACTTCATCCTAAAACTATAAATATTCATATATCTCAGAAAATTTTTAAGCATTCCGTTAATATCTCTAGAGAAAGGACCTCAGTGAGGAGAGGACGGCATTTACAAACCCTCTGTATCAGTTCTCTGCTACTTCATAGCCTAAAAAGAACAACAGTTCGTTATTTCTCAATTCTGTGGATTGACTGCATGTTTATTCTGCTTATCTCACCTAGACTCACTCATAAGACTGCATTCTCAGCTGGTCAGCTGAGAACTGGACTCAGCTGGGATGGCTGGGTATTTCTGTCTATGTGTTTTTTTATCCTCAAGGAGGCCAGACTGAATTTTTTCATGTGGTGATGGCTACAATCTACAGCACAAATCCCAGTGTGCAAGTGCTTATCAAGCCTCTGCTTATATGACATTTGCTTATGTCCCATTGGCCAAAGCAAGTCATATGTTCCAGGTGTGAGTGTGTGAGGGGGTTACACAAGGAAGTACATACTGAGAGGTGTAATTCATTGGTTGAGGTGTCATTAATCTGTGACTCTGTCATACCCTCTGACACCTGTTGACACCTCTTATAGGTAGCAGGAATTGGAATTTGTATTTTTTGTTTTTGTTTTTTTTTTTTTTGAGACGGAGTCTTGCTCTGTCGCCAGGAGTGCAGTGGTGCAATCTCGGCTCACTGCAACCTCCGCCTCCTGGGTTCTAGCGATTCTCCTGCCTCAGCCTCCCAAGTAGCCGGGACTACAGGTGCGTGCCACCATGCCCAGCTAATTTTTGTATTTTTATTTTTTTATTTTTTATTAATTTTCTTTTTTATTGATCATTCTTGGGTGTTTCTCGCAGAGGGGGATTTGGCAGGGTCATAGGACAATAGTGGAGGGAAGGTCAGCAGATAAACAAGTGAACAAAGGTCTCTGGTTTTCCTAGGCAGAGGACCCTGCGGCCTTCCACAGTGTTTGTGTCCCTGGGTACTTGAGATTAGGGAGTGGTGATGACTCTTAATGCGCATGCTGCCTTCAAGCATCTGTTTAACAAAGCACATCTTGCACCGCCCTTAATCCATTTAACCCTGAGTGGACACAGCACATGTTTCAGAGAGCACTGGGTTGGGGGTAAGGTCATAGATCAACAGCATCCCAAGGCAGAAGAATTTTTCTTAGTACAGAACAAAATAGAGTCTCCTATGTCTACTTCTTTCTACACAGACACAGCAACAATCTGATTTCTCTATCTTTTCCCCACATTTCCCCCTTTTCTATTCGACAAAACCGCCATCGTCATCATGGCCCGTTCTCAATGAGCTGTTGGGTACACCTCCCAGACGGGGTGGCGGCCGGGCAGAGGGGCTCCTCACTTCCCAGAAGGGGTGGCCGGGCAGAGGCGCCCCCCACCTCCCGGACGGGGCGGCGGCTGGGCGGAGGCGCCCCCACCACCCTCCCGGATGGGGCGGCTGGCCGGGCGGGGGCTGGCCCCCGCCTCTCTCCTGGACGGGGTGGCTGGCCAGGCGGGGGCTGCCCCCCACCTCCCGGACGGGGCGGCTGCCGGGCGGAGATGCTCCTCACTTCCCGGACGGGGCGGCTGCGGGGCGGAGGGGCTCCTCACTTCTCAGACGGGGCGGCTGCCGGGCGGAGGGGCTCCTCACTTCTCAGACGGGGTGGCTGCCGGGCAGAGGGGCTCCTCAATTCTCAGACGGGGCGGCTGCCGGGCGGAGGGGCTCCTCACCTCCCAGACGGGGTCGTGGCCGGGCAGAGGCGCTCCTCACCTCCCAGACGGGGTGGCGGGGCAGAGGCGCTCCCCACATCTCAGAGGATGGGCTGCGGGGCAGAGACCCTCCTCACTTCCTAGACGGGATGGCGGCCGGGAAGAGGCGCTCCTCAGTTCCCAGACTGGGCAGCCGGGCAGAGGGGCTCCTCACATCCCAGACGATGGGCGGCCAGGCAGAGATGCTCCTCACTTCCCAGACGGGGTGGCGGCCAGGCAGAGGCTGCAATCCTGGCACTTTGGGAAGCCAAGGCAGGCGGCTGGGAGGTGGAGGTTGTAGCGAGCCGAGATCACGCCACTGCACTCCAGCCTGGGCAACATTGAGCACTGAGTGAACGAGACTCAGTCTGCAATCCCGGCACCTCGGGAGGCCGAGGCTGGCGGATCACTCACGGTTAGGAGCTGGAGACCAGCCCGGCCAACCCAGCGAAACCCCGTCTCCACCAAAAAAATACGAAAACCAGTCAGGCGTGGCGGCGCGCGACTGCAATCGCAGGCACTCGGCAGGCTGAGGCAGGAGAATCAGGCAGGGAGGTTGCAGTGAGCGGAGATGGCAGCAGTACAGTCCAGCTTCGGCTCGGCATCAGAGGGAGACCGTGGAAAGAGAGGGAGAGGGAGACCGTGGGGAGAGGGAGACCGTGGGGAGAGGGAGATGGAGAGGGAGAGGGCTAATTTTTGTATTTTTAGTAGAAACAGGGTTTCACCATGTTGGGCAGGATGGTCTCGATCTCTTGACCTCGTGATCCGCCCTCCTCGGCCTCCCAAAGTGCTGGGATTACAGGTGTGAGGAATTTGTATTTTTGAGTTGTTAATATTCTGGAGCTTTTAAAATGGACTATTTATTTGTTTGTTTTTTTGAGACAGAGTCTTCCTCTGTTGCCCAGGCTGGAGTGCAGTGCTGCAGTCTTGGCTCACTACAACTTCTGCCTTCCAGGTTCAAGCGATTCTAGTGCCTCAGCCTCCTGAGTAGCTGGGACTACCACACCTGGCTAATTTTTGTATTTTTAGTAGAGACGGGGTTTCACCATGTTAGCCAGACTGGTCTTGAACTCTTGGCCTTAAGTGGTCCACCTGCCTCAGCTTCCCAAAGGGCTGGGGTTATAGGCATAAGCCACCATGTCCAGCCTATTTTCTTCTTATTTTTTTGAGACAGGGTCTTACTCTGTCACCCAGACTGGAGTGCAGTGGCACAGTCTCGGCTCACTACAGCCTCGAACTCCAGGGCTCAAGCGATCCTCCCACCTCAGTCTCCCAAGTAGCTGGGTCTACAGGTGTGAGCCATAATACCTGGCTAATTTTAAAATGATGTTGCCCAGGCTGGTCTTAAACTCCTGTGCTCAAGCAATCCTCCCACCTTGGCCTTCCAAAGTGTTGGGATTACAGGCATGAGCCACTGTACCCGGCCTGAAAATGGACCTTTTAATATATTGATGAAGGAGTTCTTTCAGAAAAGGGGGATATTCTTGCTGAAGACCAATTGCTTGTCTTCTTTTCAAGTAAGAAAAACAGTAAGACTCAAAAGGAAGAGAACTTTGACCGCAATCTGCTTTTTTTCTTTCCAGAGTTGAAAATATTACCCAGGTAGTCTGTACGTTGCTGAGTAACAGACAATTTGATAAAGGAGCCCAATGAAAAAAAAATGATTTGATTGTGTGGGTGCCCAGATTTAATATCATTTATTTATTTTCTTTCTTTCTTTTTTTTTGAGACTGATTTTCACTCTTGTTGCCCAGGCTGGAGTGCAATGGTATGATCTCGGCTCACCGCAACCTCTGCCTCCCAGGTTCAAGCGATTCTCCTGCCTCAGCCTCCCGAGTAGCTGGGATTACAGGCATGCACTACCATGCCCGGCTAATTTTGTATTTTTAGTAGAGATGGGGTTTCTCCATGTTGGTCAGGCTGGTCTTGAACTGCCGACCTCAGGTGATCCGCCCACCTCGGCCTCCCAAAGTGCTGGGATTATAGGCATGAGCCACCACACCCGGCCCATTTCTTTTTCTTATTTGTTTGTTTTGTTAACTAAGTTTTTTCTTTAATTGGGAAAGTAATATAAGTGTATTTTATTACAGAAATTTCAGGCTGGGCCTGGTGGCTTACACCTGTAATCCCAGCACTTTAGGAGGCTGAGGTGGGTGGATCGCTTAAGCTCTGGAATTCAGGACCAGTCTGGGCAACATGGCAAAACTCCATCTGTACAAAAAATGTTACAAAAATTAGCTGGAAGTGCTGGTGTGTGCCTGTAGTCTCAGCTACTCGGGAAGCTGAGGTGGGAGGGTGGTTTGAGTCCTGGAAGCAGAGATTGCAGTGAGCCGAGGTTGCGCCACTGCTCTCCAACCTGGGCGACCTTGCCTCAAAAAAGAAAAACAACAAAATTTCAAACAGTGCAGAGTTATATATAGTGAAAGCACATCTTCGTTTTACTTTGGACCTTCAGAACTCCTTTTTTTTTTTTTGAGAGGAGTCTCGCTCTTGTTGCCCACGTTGGAGTGCAGTGGTTCGATCTCTGCTCATTGCGTCCTCCGCCTCCTGAGTTCAAGCTATTCTCCTGCCTCAGCCTCCTGAGTAGCTGGGATTACAGGCGCCTGCCACCATGCCCGGCTAATTTTTGTACTTTTAGTAGCGACAAGGTTTCGCCATGTTGGCCAGGCTGGTCTCAAACTCCTGATCCACTCGGCTCGGCCTCCCAAAGTGCTGGGATTACAAGTGTGGGCCACTGCCCCCAGCCTGGACCTTCAAAACTCTTTAGACAACTACAGTTTCCAGTTTGTTGAGTATCCTTCCAAAAATAGTATATATAGAATTGTATATAAATGTGTATGTGTGAGCATACACACACTTATCTCCTCAGTTTTTTTTACACAAAGGATGTCCATATTGTAAATTGCTTGCCATTTTTTAGTTTTATATTGCTTCATACAGTTAATAGCATCTATCTTCTTTTTTTATAGTAACATTTAAAGTTAAGGCTCATATTTCTGGCTACTCACTAGATGAACTTTGCCAAATACTCTTGAAAACAACAACCGTGACTTGGCCATCATAAAGAAATAGTTGCAAGTGGAAGTATAATTCTCTAAGAGGTCTCTTGAGACTTAATGAGTCTCAGTAAATGTGAAGAAGGGAAGAGATTTCAATTTCTGGAGAAGATAGACTTTTTCAAACAGCTTTATTGAGAATTCCTCCTATTGAGAATCCTGAATTATAATGATACATGCTATTAGTGGAACTTCACTGTGTGTATGAAAGATATGAGGGTAACCACTAGTCTTTTTTTATACCCGTGAATTAGCTCTAACCCTGAGTCATTGCTTCCATAAAATCCAGTAGTCACAACTACATGCAGATCCAAAGAGAGGTTCGTTTGTCCTTTTCCTAACCATAAAAAAAGACTATCGTAGTTTATCTTACCAAGTCGGGTTGTTGTGCCTGAGAAAAGCACTGCCGAATTCCCTTTCCCCCTTCTTTTTTTTTTTTTTTTTTTTTGAGACGGAGTCTCGCTCTGTTGCCACAAATGCAGTGGTGTGATCTCAGCTCACTGCAACCTCCGCCTCCCAGGTTCAAGTGGTTCTGCTGCCTCAGCCTCCGAAGTAGCTGGGACTATAAGCACGTGCCACCACACCCAGCTAATTTTTGTATTTTTAGTAGAGACGGGGTTTCACCATGTTGGCCAGAGTGGTCTGGATCTCTTGACTTCGTGATCCGCCCAGTGTTGGCCTCCCAAAGTGCTGGGATTACAGGCGTGAGCCACTGCGCCCAGCCTCCCCCTTCTTTTTCTGGGTATATATATACAAAATAATCGAAGGCAGAATCTTGAAGAGATATTTGCACACTCATGTTTATTGGCCCATTTTGCGCAATAGATAAGAGGTCGAAGTAACCGAAATGTCCACTGACAGATGAATGGTTACAGAAAATGTAGTATGTACATACAAGGGAATATTATTCAGCCTTAAAAAGAAAGAACCTGTCATATGCTGCAAGATGGATGAATCTTAAGGACATTATACTGAAAGAATAAGCCAATAACAAAAAGACAATTACTGTATGATTCCACTTACATGAGGTATCTACAAGTAGTCAAATTCATAGACACAGAAAGTAAAATGGTGGTTGCTAGGGGTTGGGGTGAAGGAGAAATGAGAAAATGGTGTTTGATGAGTATAGAGTTTCAGTTTTGCAAGATGAAAAAGTTCTAGATATCTGTTGCACAACAATGTGAATATGGTTAGCACTACTCAACTGTACACTTAAAAATGGTATACAGTAAATTTTATGTGTTTTTTACCAGAATTAAAAAAAAACCCAAAACTAACCCCTTACTTTAGAATTGTGCTGACAGGCCAGTCAGCTGTGTTGTCATTAGATCATCATCTTTTTTTGGTGTGTCTGGTAAGGGTAATGGAAATACCAGAAACCTGACAAATAATAGTTGTGGGTCTTTTAAGTTCTATGGGGTGCTGCTGTTATTTCTATCACTTTGTGATGCTTTTCCATTGGCTTTTTTTCTATTGAATATTTTCACCCCTTTCTAGTTTACTTTTCAGAGTGAAATAGATATAACAAGTGTAATGCTTTGAAACAATCCTTTTTCTCTCCTTCAGGTGTGATGATGATCAGATGTCTAACGATAAGGAGCGGTTTGCCAGGTAATATTGTAGTAGGTAATATATTGTAATATATAATATGATCCATGTTGTAGAACCAGACAGTCCTAGCATATTGACTTAATTTTTTCTGGATGAGACGGAATTTCTCTGTTTAATATCTTTCCTATTTGGAAGTATGTGAAACTTAGTATTATAACTATCATTTATGTTCAGGTGACATGGCTTCAAACTGGCGGTATATTTTATACAGTGTTTTTCTGTGTATGTGATAACTAAAGCAATGTGCTTGCAAGGTTTCCATAGGAGCACAAATTATGGATTTTGTGCTTGCATTTATTATTAAATGGATCTACAAAAATAGGAATACAGATAATGGTTCTGTAATTAATTTATTTATTTTGAGACAGAGTCTTGCTCTGTTGCCCAGGCTGGAGTGCAATGGCGCCATCTCGGCTCACTGCAACCTTCACCTCCTGGGTTCAAGCGATTCTCCTGCCTCAGCCTCCTGAGTAGCTGGGATTATAGGCCCCTGCCACCACGCCCAGCTAATTTTTGTATTTTTAGTAGAGATGGGGTTTCACCATGTTGGTCAGGGTGATCTTGAACTCCTGACCTTGTGATCCGCCCGCCTCGGCCTCCCAAAGTGCTGGGATTATAGGTGTGAGCCACCGCACCCGGCCTATTTTATTTTTTTGAGACAGAGTCTCACTCCATCACCCATGCTGTAGTACAGTGGTGTAATCTCGGCTCACTGTAACCTCTGCCTCCTGGGTTCAAGCTGTTCTTCCACCTCAGCCTCCCTAGTAGCTGGGAATATGGGCATTTGCCACCATGCCTAGCTAATTTTTGTAATAATTTTTTTTAGCAGAGATGGGGTTTCACCATGTTGGCCAGGCTTGTCTCGAACTCCTCACCTCAAGCGATTCACCCACCTCAGCCTCCCAAAGTGCTGGGATTACAGGTGTGAGCCATTGTGCCTGGCCTATTATTTTATTTTAAGATATGTATATTTTTTAGAGACATTGTTTTCATTGTGTTTCCCAGGCTGGAGTACAGTGGCATGATCATAGCTCACTGCAGCCTCAAACTCTGGGGTTTCAGTGATCCTCCTACCTCAGCTTCCCAAATATTGGGATTATATGCATAGCCACCATGCCTGGTTGGTCCTGTTTTTTTAAAAATGACAGTAAGAGGCGGGGAGTGGTGGCATATGCCTGTAATTCCAGCACTTTGGGAGGCAGATGCAGGTGGATCACTTGAGGTCAGGAGTTCAAAACCAGCCTGGCCAACATGGTGAAACCCCATCTCTACTAAAAATATAAAAATTAGCCGGGCATCATGGTGGGCACTCATAATCCCAGCTACTCTAGAGGCTGAGGCATGAGAATTGCATGAGCCCGGGAGGTGGAGGTTGCAGTGAGCAGAGATGGCACCATTGCACTCCAGCCTGGGTGACAGCAAGATTTTGTGTCAGAAAAAAAAAAAAAAGACAGTAAGGAAACAGTTTTTGTGACAAGTAGAGTTTTGATTGAAAAAAACTTAAATTTGTTTAAATTACCTATCAAGATGATGAAATATACTTTTTTTTATTAAATTCTTAAATGTCAGTTTTCTTTTTAGAAAGTTTTTATTAAATATTAGGCAATAAATTATTTCTTTTTTGAAAATTAAGTTTGTAGCTACCTCAGAAAGATGAATAATTCGTTATTTCAAAATCCAGTGATTAACTGAGCACTTAGCACTTAGTATTTGTTCGTTGCTGATGCTCCTGGTCTCGGGAACATACTTTAAGAACCGTTGATGTAGAGAGATTAGAAATATCAGGGGAAGTAGTTAAAAACTATTCTGGAGTGGTGAGATGCAATCTCAGGCTTTGAATTAGAGGGTATTACATAAAATGCATTGTAGGGATATTTCTCTGGTAGCAGTTATAGAATTGATTAAAGGGATGGACTGTTAGACTGTAGGGAGGTAGATAGGAAGCTGTTGAAATAATAAGACAGCTATAAAATCATGAGGGCCTGGGTTACAGTGGCAGTGGTAACAGGAAAGGAGTGAAGTTAAGAGGTTTTTGAAGAATAATTTGTTTATCGAAACTAATTGAAATAAATATTTGTAAAGTCTTTAGGATGTGAACCATCTCTAAAATGAGAAGTTAATCATAGATATTTGGAGGATAGTTTTTCAAGCTTCATTGAAAAGTCAGGCCATCAGTTATTATTGGCAGTATCTTGATGAAATTTCAAAAAGCCATGAAAACATCGCATGAATGATTTTGGTTTTCATTTGTCCTGCTTAATGTGCATATATTTCATTCAGAAATACTGAGGTGGATTAGGGATTGTGGATCTGTAGTAGTAGTAGTAGTAGAAATAGGAATTTTAGATGCTTAACTTTTTTTTAAATAACAGAATTCATTCATATGATGTGTTAAGGTAGTGCCCCTCACATATCCTCCTTGGGATATAGAGGGTCTTAAAAGCTGAAAACTTCTTGAAAAACTTTTGGGATTATATGCATAGCCACCATGCCTGGTTAGTCCTGTTCTTTTAAAAATGACAGTAAGAGGCCGGGAGTGGTGGCTTATGCCTGTAATTCCAGCACTTTGGGAGGCAGAGGCAAAAGTTGCTCAACTTTTTGAAAAAAAAGAAGTTTGTAGTTTGTTAAGGAACTATCTAGAAGAAATAACCCAAGGAATGTAAAACTCTAAACTGCTGAATATCACTCAGTTCTCCTTCTCTTGTCATCAGAATATATGCGTAAATTTTTACATTCTTCTTCATTGTTACTGTGTTATTTTCTGCCTATTGACCATTTTATAAAAACATTCCCATATATTGATAAGGTTATTGTATTTGTCATTTTTAATAGCTAAATAATCTTTTAGCTTGTTAACCTGTCATACTTAGACATTTTATTCAGGGCCTCTTTATCTATATAAATATATTTAAAATGGAATTGACACATTCCTGACACAATGGCCTGCCAACACCTTGCTATTTCCTCAGTTGCCACCCATCATTACAGTATCTCAGTTTTCTAGAAAAATTTAGTGATGGTTCTTTGTATCCTTCTCCAGTGGAGAGGGAATTGTTACTTTTGATCCATTCCTGTGTGGCTATACTGCAGAGAAATGGCAAAAGGACCGAATCAAAGTTAATAATTATTTTAGGAACAAATCAATAATAGAAGATATGCCAGAAACCTACCTCTTAGAGTTATTTATATAATTTCTCCAGTGAAATCTGGTTGGTTATTTTGTCATTGTGTGGCACGTGCATGTGTTGTTTGTGTGAGAGGGAGAGAGATTATATTTGTCATCACTTGTTTGATAGTATCATCTTTAATGTACTCTGTCTTTAATTTCTTCATTATAGAATAGCACATGTGGATATCATTTTCTTTCCAGATTGGGAGCAGTGCATGAAAATGGTATTCCTGAATTCCCTTGGTTGGTTCTTGTTCAGACTCTGTATATCTTTGGTCCCTACAGAGATCGATTGGCAAAATGCTTTCTGTGTTTAGATCATGTTAATTTACTATATATTGGCTTTGCTTTTATGTTGACCTTTATCTTGTAAGTTACTTTTTCTTTATCCTAACAGATGGCTTTGTAGAGTTACAGGCAAGGTTCCTGCCTATAATTCCATTTCCCTCCTCTCTTCTCTGCATCTGTTTAGTTCTATATCCTTTTCTCTCTTCTTTCTCCTTTTCTTTTTTTTTCTCCCTCCATTTCCTCTCCCTCCCTCCTTCCTTTTTTCCCTTCCTCCCTCCCCCCTTCCTTCCTTCTTTTTTATTTTAATTTTAGCTTAGTTCATTAATTCTATTTTTAGGTCGGATGATGAGCAGAGCTCTGCGGATAAAGAGAGACTTGCCAGGTAGGAGAACAGTGTCTTTTAGCATGATGAAGCAGATGATGCTGCTTTTTCTATCCTTTTTCTTACTCTTTCTTTTCTTCCCCTTTCTCTTTGTATTTTTCCTTATCTGTGGCAAGAGAGGACAAGATTTTTTAGAAGTTTGAGTGTAACAGGAACTTTGGCTTCCCCCATCAGAAAGTGGGTGAGTTGAGGGAACTTTGCTTAGGGATTTAAGAAATTGCTATTAGTTTTAAGTTTTTTTTTCTTTTTCTCTTTATGTCAGTACTAAGTTTCACAGAACAAAAAGCTCTTAGAAGGAATGCAACCGTGCCAGTTGGTGCTTTAACAGGGAAATACTCTTTTTATCAGAAAACCAATAAATATATCTGTATTTGTGATTAGTTCCCAGTATTTAGGCCTCAGCATTTACTCCACACCTCTAGGAAACTCACACCTATTTTCCTATGAAGACTCACAGCCTAGATTATTCTCACAACAGAACTAGTGTTGCTTTGGTGACCGAATCCTTTCTTGCGGTAGTTTTCTAGAAAAGTTTTAGTTTCCTTGATGTGGCTATTTAAAAGACCAGGTTTCTGTACTTACGTGTCAGAAATCTGTCAGATACTAGGAAGATGAGTGCTTTATGTTTGAGAATAGAATTTTATGTCTTAGGCAAAGTGTAACTAAATATGGGCCTATGTGGTGAGACCCTTTTTGCCATTTAGAAAGGAGACTCTAGAATTCTCTTGGGAGACTGTTGTTTGTAATGTAGAAATGCTGCAGAAGAAATATGCATAGACTTTTCTGTTTTCTAGTATCTGTGATTTGGGGGTGACTTAGGAAATAGATCATTGATGCCAATACCCATTTTTACTATATTCCCCCTTTTTTCTACTATTTCCTCTTTAATCTGGGTCACAAACTCATTTTGCTGCCAGTTTAACTCGAGCTTCTTACTAACCCTTTCACTGTTCAGAAAATGGATTTGGCATGATGTGGTGGAGAAAACATTGTATTGGGAAGAGAGCAGCCTGGGGAAAGTCACTTACCTACTTGACCTCCCTTTGCTCTTCTCAGAAAAAAGAGATTTATGTTAGATTTTTAATTTTCTTACTTTCTTTTTTTTTTGGACAAAGAACTTTTGTTCAAGTAGAATTCTTAAGTGGTAACAGAAATAAATAAAAGAGATAAAGCAGGCCGGGCGCAGTGGCTCATGCTTGTAACCCTAGCACTTTGGGAGGCCGAGGCAGGCAGATCACGAGGTCAAGAGATGGAGAATATCCTGGCCAACTTGGTGAAACCGCGTCTCTACTAAAAATAAAAAAAAAAAAAACTGGGCGTGGTGGTGTGCGCCTGTAGTCCCAGCTACCTGGGAGGCTGAGATAGCAGAATTGCTTGAACCCAGAAGGCGGAGGTTGCAGTGAGCCGAGATCCCGCCACTGTACTCCAGCCTGGGTGACAGAGCAAGACTCCATCTCAAAAAAAAAAAAAAAAAAAAAGAAGAAGAGAGATAAGGCAAATATTTGAGTAGAAGCAGAAATGCAGCATGTTGCATGATTATCTCCTTGAGGCATCCCCATGGAGGACACTGAGAAACTTAATGGGCTTTTAAAAATTCCTGTTGGAAAACTGCTGGATTATTCCTGTTAACAGTGATATCTTTCTGTCTTAATTTTGAGGAAGTCAGTGTTGGAGCTGTGGTCTATTTACCTGGGTGAGATTCAAATTGTCTTGTCAGACCTTTAATCATCCTCCTCTCCATTCCACTCCTCCAGTTAACTTCGTCCCAGACTGGGGACCCATATGGGACTTTTAGTAGATGGTGTATCTTAAGTCTTGTAAGAAGTTTAGTGCACTGGCAGCACACCCAGATAAAGAAGGTAGGACTTTGTGCATTAATGGGCCAAATAAAACTTCAAAATCTTCAAATTCTGCCTTTTAATGTTGCAAATAAGAGAGAGGCTTACCATATTTTATAGACCAAGGAAATCTGTACTATCAATTCTTGTATCAGCTATGGAGCCACATACTTGAGTTGGCAAAAATTGGTCCTTTTATTTTCTGGCCTTTAAATAGTTGAATTAGTAAGCATGGGAGTTAACCAAGCTGAGGTTATATGTTCCATAGGAACTTAAGTGAGTAAAATCAGCATTTAAAAATACTATCTTTTTTTTTCTCTTGTTTTTTGTTTTTTGTTTTTTTTTGAAATGGAGTCTTGCTCTGCCACCCAGGCTGAAGTGCAGTGGTGTGATCTCAGCTCACTGCAACCTCCACCTCCCAGATTCAAGTGATTCTCCTGTCTCAGCCTCCCAAGTAGCTGGGATTACAGATGCATGCCACTGTGCCCTGCTAATTTTTGTATTTTTAGTAGAGACAGGATTTCACCATGTTGGCCAGGCCGGTCTCAAACTCCTGGCCTCAAGTAATCCACCTGCCTCCATCTCCCAAAGTGCTGGGATTACAGGCATGAGCCACCATGCCTGACCTGTCGTTTCTTAAAACAGCTTTTGTTCTGAGGGAGTGGTAATTTACAAAGGATGTGAAGTTTCCAGGAAATAGGGGGAAGGGAATTACATTATCTTCTTGTTCTCTGTCTGCCTTATTAGTTCTGTTTCATGCTTGCTTTGCATGAGAAGGTTGGCAAACCTTATTTTAACTGCTGAGACTTAAGCATCACTAAATCTGAATACCACATTCTTCAGCAGCACACTTGGTATCCATATCACTCTCCCTGCTACCAAATGACCAGATGTGACCACCTGGATGGGGCTTCTCTTTCTTTCCATGCAGGGAAAATCACAGTGAAATTGAACGGCGGCGACGGAACAAGATGACAGCCTACATCACAGAACTGTCAGATATGGTACCCACCTGTAGTGCCCTGGCTCGAAAACCAGACAAGCTAACCATCTTACGCATGGCAGTTTCTCACATGAAGTCCTTGCGGGGAACTGGCAACACATCCACTGATGGCTCCTATAAGCCGTCTTTCCTCACTGATCAGGTCTCTGGGACTTATAGTTCTGAGAGAGTCTGGAATCTGGGTGAATCTCTTGAAAGTTTTCGTTTTTTGGACAAGAATTCAGCTTTTCAGGAAGAAGTCAGACAATGGGAAAACGAATTTCAATCCTTGGCTATAACATTAATTAGCATTGGGACAATGAGAAGTAGAGAAGAGTTGTGAAAACTATTTAATAAGCTAATAAGTATTAATATTTGAGAACTTGACTCATGAATATAGCATATAGGATGGAAGAAGAACAGTGGAATCACAGAGGAAATGACTATGTCCATGGAACCAATTTTCTTTCTTGCCTTTAGGGTTATAGAAGATGGAAGAAATCTATTTCTTATCCCTGAAGCAGCTTCTAGTTTTAGTAATAGAATGAATCTGTCCCACCTTTGGTGATAGAAGAACTGAGAGTCTAATTGTTGCTTAGGGATGTGCTCTGTTACATGTGATCACTATGAAAAAAAGAAGGCGTAAACATTTTCTGCCTTTCAGGAACTTCATCTGAATATAAGTATGTGAGTGGCAGGATATCACAGAAAATAACAGGAAAATGCATAAAGAGAGGAATTGTATTTTTTAATTAGTAATTTTATGTGGGACTAGATAGACATACTGAAGGGATGGCTAAAGTGAATAGAATGGCTAGACTTGAGTGAGGATGGTTAGGGAAGACTTCTGAGGGTAAGGAAGCCATGTTCTGTTTTGGTTATTAAAATAACATGATCATTGCAGAAAAATTTGGAAAATGTAGGAGGTATAAGGAAGAAAAAAATTTACTTCAGTATCAATCAAGTATTCCCTTAATGCCACCAATTTAATCAAATGATTAGAAAGAAGGAGAGAATATAGTTTGAGAAAATGGAATAAGAATTTTCCAAATAGGATGGTCTACTTAAAACTACATACTTTGTAGCTATATACATTGAAATAGTTAATATGTTCTAACAGTACATGTGCAAGTATTCAACAGACTCCAGTTATGCACCTTTTGTGGGCAAACCAGGTGTGTTGTGCTGTGAGAAATAGAAAGAATGGTGAGACAAATGGTTTTCTGGTGGAAACAGACATGTAAATAAATAAATTAAACATAGAACTAGTTCTATAATAGAAGTGCTGTAATGAATCCTGTAAAATGCAGATATGGAAAATGAGTTGGGGAGTAGTGTTGTGGATTTTGGGAAGCACTTGAGCAAAAACCTAGAAGTGTGGAATAATTGGGTTATGCAAAGAAAGTCAAGTGGTTTAGCATGTTTTTGGTAGATAATAGGAAGGTAGGCTGGGATCTAATGATGGAATGTTTAGGTGTTAAAGAATTTAGATTTTAATTTTTATGCAGTGGGGAGACATAAAAAATGTATTAGATCTGGTAGCATTTTAAGGATTGATTGAAAGCAGGGCGACTACTTAATTAGTTTTGGTAAAAGATGACTAGGACAGTGACAAAGCATTGGAAAGTAGAATCGATAAAACTGAATTATCACTGGAATGTGAGAGAATAGTTAGATTTTGAGGCTTCTAGCTTAGGAGGATGCTGTTAAGAATATTGGAAGAGCACGGCAGGTTTTTTTTTTTAAGAGGGAAATAATGATTCAGGTTTTGGGATGTTGATGTTGAGTTGCTGGTAGAATATTTATAAATATTTTACAGATACTTGAAATTCAAGTCTGCTGAAAGCTCAGGAAAAAACGTTAGTCATGTCTAGGGCTATAGACTTGGTTATTATTTCGTAGTGGGGAAGAGTGAATATGGTTTCCCAGGAAGAAAGTATGGTATTAATAAAGAGGGCTTAAGATGAACTTTGGAAATGTCTACATTTAAGACTTGAACAAAGGAAAGGAAGTCTGAAACAGAAGAGGAAGCAAAAATTGGAGTACAGTCTCATAGAAGAAGGTAGGGAAAAATAAAATTTAAAGGATAAGATGGACGACATTGTCACATTCTGCAGAGAGGTTGAATAAAGTGATGAAGACCCAGGAAAAGGGACTTGAATTGGTAATTAGGAGGACATTAGTAACCTCATTAAAAATATATGTATGCTGTTCCTGGCAGAACAAAAACCAAACCAAACAGGAAAACAGTAGTTTAGAGTGAGAGTGAAGTGGGATTGAGAAATAATTGAAAGGTAAGAGGATAAAGCCAGTGAATATAACATTATTCTTAGTATAAGCTTGCTGCTGAAAAAGAGAGATGAGGTGGGTCAAACTGAGGGAAGATTTATCTAGAATTGAGAAAACTTGATCATTTTTATAGGCCTGAAGGGAAAGAGAGAAAGTGGGAATATTTGTCAAGCAAGATCCTAAAAAGAGACCAGAGAGGATGGAATTAAGAAGTCAATTATTGTTCATGGTAAGCCTTTTTTTTTTTGAGACAGGGTCTCTTGCTCTGTCGCTCAGGCTGGAGTGTGGTGGTATGATCTCGGCTCACTGCAACCTCTGCTTCCCAGGCTCAGGTGATCCTCCCACCTCAGCCTCCGGAGTAGCTGGGACTACAGGCGTGTGCCACCACACCTGGCTAGTTTTGTTTTTGTTTTTGTTTTGTTTTGTTTTGTTTGTTTGTAAAGATGGAGTTTCGCCCCATTGCCTAGGCTGGTCTTGAACTCCTGGACTCAGTGACCCTCCCACTTTGACCTCCCAAAGTGCTGGGATTACCGGCGGGAGCCGCTGTGCCTAGCCCAAGCCTTTTTATTCTTCTTGAATCCTGAGATAGAGAGGAAGAGGTGGATAGTGACATAGAGAAAGTGAGGAAACATGTATTAGAAAAAACTTTCTTATCGATGAACTACATTTAGGGTGGAAACCTGTGGCTGTGGATCAGGTGTGAACCAGCAGTTGCTTACGGAGAGATGCATGTGGCCTGAAGTGTCTTACTTCTTCCTGTGAATAGAAATACTTGTTTTTTCAGAGTAAAATATTAACTTCTATTTCTTTTTCTTGCGCAGGAACTGAAACATTTGATCTTGGAGGCAGCAGATGGCTTTCTGTTTATTGTCTCATGTGAGACAGGCAGGGTGGTGTATGTGTCTGACTCCGTGACTCCTGTTTTGAACCAGCCACAGTCTGAATGGTTTGGCAGCACACTCTATGATCAGGTGCACCCAGATGATGTGGATAAACTTCGTGAGCAGCTTTCCACTTCAGAAAATGCCCTGACAGGTGAGAGTTATGTGTATGGGAAATGAATGAGAAGTCCTTTCTTGTTTTTTTCCTGAGACTTAAGAGATGTTTTAGCTGTTAAATTGGTTTGTTGACTCTGGCAAGGCTTCAAGAATTTTCTACTTTAATGAATATAGTCAGTTCTTTTTATCCATATGAGATTATCTACTTTGTGGCTCAGCCTTAGAAAATATTTCATTGGTGATAATATTTTACATTTATCTTAATATTGGTATAAATAGAACAGTAAAAGCCAAACCTACAATACTTTTTTTTTTCCGTTCTAAAAGAATTATCCATGTTTTTATCTCATTTGTATGGATAATTATCTGGTATTTTTTCTACCTCCTGGTGCTTGGCTTTGTGCTAGGTTCAATGATAACAGCTTTTTATTCTATAGATATGGTTATTGGTCAATGTATAAGGTGTTTTCTGTTGTTGTTGTTGTTGTTGTTTGTATCTGTACTGTTGTTCTTTTTTTCTCCCCTATTTTATTATGTTCAGTCTTTTGGCCAGAGTTTGGCTAGAGGAAACAAGTCATATCTATTCTTGAGCAACTCTAGAAAAAAATTTAAAGTGGAAGCAGATAAAAAAACTGGTAGTTAAAATGCAAGAAATTTCAATATACTCATATTAGTGTTGTTGATCTTTAGTTTTCCTCCTTTTTTCCCACCCAAAAAAGAGACAGGGTCTCTCTCTTGCCTAGGCTGGAGTACGGTGGCACATCATAGCTTACTGTAATCTTGAACTCTTCTGGGCTCAGTAATCTGCCTGCTTACAGCTTCTTGAGTAGCTAGGAGTAGTTCATGTCACCACACTTGACCAATTTTTAAATTTTTTGTAGAGACAGGTTCTGTCTGTTGCCCAGACTGGTCTCAAACTCCTGGCCTTCAGCATTCCTCCTCCCATCTTGGCTTCTCAAAGGGCTGGGATTATCGGCATGAGCCACCACACTTGACCAGTTTTCCCCTCCTTTATGTTTTTATGATTTCATTTTTCTAGTTCTTCCTTTTCCCCAAAAGTTGTTCTTCGTTTCTGTATAATAAAGAAGACAAACAGATCTATATGTTTCTATAACATATAAAATTACTTGGTTTTTTTCTTTTTAAAATTTTTTCTTTTTATTCTTTTTTTTTTTTTTGAGACAAGGTCTTGCTTTATTGCTGAGGCTAGAGTACAGTGACTCTTCACAGGCACAGTCATAGCACACTACAGCCTCAAACTCCTGCCCTCAAGCAGTCCTCCTGCCTCAGCCTCCTGATTAGCTGGGACTACAGAAAAGTACTTGTTTTTCAACCAATGACATTTACTCTGTATGTATGTCTGTATGTGTATACAGATAATCAGCTATGAGAATATAGCCTTGCCTCTTGTTTTCTACTACTACTTTCCACTCCTACTTTTCCTTGCACAATGTTATTTTCAATGCTGCCTTTGAACTTAAGAGTGAGATTCATTGATGATAATTGAAGTATTTTAGGCTTGAAAAAAAATTCATCTCCTGCTTGGTCAGTTCTGTTATAAGCAAGGAGATTAAGGGCATGAATAGGATGCTTACTTATCTTTGCCTTCAGTATCTCTCCCCCTCTTCCCCACACACAAAAATGCACTCCAGACTGCTCTTCACATCTTCCTTCAGGGCGTATCCTGGATCTAAAGACTGGAACAGTGAAAAAGGAAGGTCAGCAGTCTTCCATGAGAATGTGTATGGGCTCAAGGAGATCGTTTATTTGCCGAATGAGGTGAGTGTCAAGCTGAGGATTGTGATTTGGTATAGGAAGGATCAAGAGCTGAGAGTTTTATTTCTGTCAGAGTTAAGTTGGATTAGCTCCAGTGGATTAAATTTAACTCTCCATACCCAGATGGATTGTAACACAGAATAAAGTATTTGGAAAGGGAACTAACGTTTCTGAACTTGCCAGACACTATGATAGGTGCTTTATATCTGTCATCTTATTTTATCCTCACAATTGCCTTGTAGTGTAAGATTGATGGTTACCATTTTGCAGATGGAAAAACAGATATAAAGAAATGAACTTGGCCAGGTGCAGTGGCTCAAGGCTGTAATCCCAGCACTTTAGGAGGCTGAGGCGAGTGGATCACCTGAGGTCAGGAGTTTGAGACCAGCCTGGCCAACATGGTGAAACCCCATCTCTACTAAAAAAAAACAACAACAAAATTAGACGGGCGTGGTGGCGTGCGCCCATAATCCCAGCCACTTGGAGGCTGAGGCAGGACAATTGCTTGAACCCAGGAGGTGGAGGTTGCAGTGAGCCGAGATTGTGCCATTACACTCCAGCCTAGGCAAAAAGAGTGAAACTCTGTCTCAAAAAAAAAAAAAAGAAAAAGAAAAAGAAATGAATTTCCCACTGTTACATACTGTTTGATACAGGATTTTGTTTTAATTCATAGTAGTCTGACTACAAAACCTCTACTTTTTCCCTGTTACAACACAAGGCAATATCCATTTACTCAGACCATTTCTTCTTTTTTTTTTTGGTTAGAAATTTGAGACTTCCTATGTCTTTCAGTAGGTGTTTAGTGTTTATAAATTATATACTGTACGTTTTAGGATTCTGTAGAAAATATGGTGGTCCTTTCTATACAGGTACAAAAGGCATCTCAGGGTCACAAAGTTCAGGCTATATAATGGAAATTGACTACATTGTACTGAGAGGATAGTTGCTAGAAATTATGGGTAGGATATTAAAGGTTTGCTTGGAGAGGCACAAAATTGAACATTATGTGGTTTAGTGATTTATTTTTATTTTTATTTATTTATTTTTTTGAGACAGAGTCTTGCTCTGTTGCCCAGGCTGGAGTGCAGTGGCATGATCTTGGGTCATTACAACCTCTACCTCCTGGGTTCAAGCGATTCTCATGCCTCAGTTTCCTGAGTAGCTGGATTGCCACCACAGCTGGCTAATTTTTGTATTTTTAGTAAAACAGTGTTTCACCATGTTGGCCAGGCTGGCCTCAAACTCTTGACCTCAAGTGATTCGCCTGCGTCAGCCTCCCAAAGTGCTGAGATTACAGGCCTGAACCACTGCACCCAGCGTGTAATTTAGAGTAGCTTCTAGACCCAGACTGCTGGATTTTGTTTTAATCCATATTCTATGGATTTGAATTCTAGCTTTGATGCTATCTTCTGAAACCTTGGATGATTACATGACTACATTGTGCTTTGATTTCATCATCTCACATTGGCGATAATGTTAATACTGACTTTATAAAGTTGTTATGAAGATTAGATGAATTAATATATGTAAAGATATTTAGAACAGAGCATGACACATATTAACCCTATGTAAGTTTTATTTTTGTTTTAAAGGATAGGGAGAGGGAAAGTAGCATTGGCAGGAGTATCCCAATATGTGGACATGGCTAATGCAAAGACATAGGCAAGAGCAAGATAATAATGAACTGTAGCAATTACATTAAGTTGTGGTTAATGTAGAGCAGGAGTAAGCAAACCACAGCCCTTTATTTGTAAATAAAGTTTTATTGGAACATAGCCATGCCCATATTTTTACATATTATCTATGGCTATTTTCATGCTATAATGCTAGAGTTGACTAGTTGCAACAGACTTTCTGGCCCGCAAAGCTGAAAATATGTACTATCTGGTCCTTTACAGAAAAAGCTTGCCAACTCTTGATGTTGAGAATGTTTGCATATGAAGAACATATGGAACATTTTGACTTCAAATTCTAAAAGTTTTAGAAATACTAAACTTGACCTATCTTTATCCTTCATTATTAGTAGCATTACCAATTTTCTATGTCTGGTTGTATCCAGAGCATGTTATTCTGCTATTACTGTGGAAAGTTCTTTGATAGGGCAGTCTGATTGCTTTTAATCTCTTTATTCCTTGAAACAGGTGTGGCAGTAGCTCTGTGGACCCAGTTTCTGTGAATAGGCTGAGCTTTGTGAGGAACAGATGCAGGTGAGATCCTAAGTGGTGAAAACCAAAGGGATGGCCAAATACCTGCAGAGATCATCACATTTTTACCTGTCTTACTGTAGTCGTTCCTTCAGCAGCTCTCACTTGCATCCCTTACCTCCCACTTAACATCCCTTACCTCCCACTTACTTTTTTTCTGGCAATATTTTCCTAAACTTCTAAAACTTCTCTTGAAAATCCTGTTTAAGGAAGTCGCTATGCTATTTTACCTACTTTCCTCCTACTGCATACCTTTTGGTTACTTTACTTTGGCAAGGGTAAAAATGTGGCGGTCATTTTTGGGTGGGAAAGATGATTATCCTGTTTTCTAAACTCCTAAGAGCATAAACTTAAAAGTACTAAGGCAGCATTGCCCTTTGAGTTTTACGGGTAGATTTTTTTTTTTTTTTTCAAACTCCTGTAACTCTTCTAGGAATGGACTTGGCTCTGTAAAGGATGGGGAACCTCACTTCGTGGTGGTCCACTGCACAGGCTACATCAAGGCCTGGCCCCCAGCAGGTAAGAAAGTGAAATAGTAAATATTTCCCCTTGGTACAGTTGGTTCCTCACAGAGTCCATGAAAGCTAATATTTATTATATACCTGGTATATGAAATGTACTTTTGTGTAAGATGAAAGAAAATAGGAAAAGAAAATGTACAATCCTTCCCTTCCATTATTGAGCTTTTATTCCAGTTGAGGAGATAGATAACTCAGGCTGGAAAATGATTCAGTATTGGCTGTGTCACAGAATGTGGTTTTTATGTGAACAAATTTATACTGAACATATGTATTCTAAGCATTTGTTGCAAAGAAACTTAGACATTGAATGCAGTTAATTTGAGAAAGATTTCTAAAGTAGGAACAAGACTTTGAGAGAAAAGGGGAAAATGCCTTTATTGTAATAACTTATCAAGAGGATATTCTCTGCAAAGACTTTAAATCAAGCTTTGAGCAGATTAGCTTTACCAGAACTTGAGGTCAAACAAGGAATGTGAGAAAGGTGATTGGGTTGCAGGATCAAAGTTTTAAGTTGGCTTGTCAGAGTTTCCAAATCTTAGCAACTTTATTACTTCCCTGCTGCCTGGGTATTATTGGAAAGTAGGGGTTTTGGGGAGACAGAAACTAAGAGAAAAGAGAAGCAAGGTGATGTGTTTTGGAAAAAGGTTAAACTTTGGATGTGGAGAAACCTGGATGTGATTCCTGTCATTGTTACTTATTAGTGGCATCACCTAGGGTAAGTTGCTTGACCTTTATAAAGCTCAGTTTTCTCATCTGTAATTCAGAGTTAGTACATCCTGTATAGGGTTTTTGTGAGGATTAGATTTAATGTAAGGAAAGCATCCAGCCCAGTGCCTGGCATATGGCAGGTAACCCAATAAAAGTAATTAATGTAATTTAAAAAAATTTAACTGAAGTAGTAATGACATTTGAACTACTTAGTCTATATACTATATAAGCCACACAGTTAAAGTATGTGATCTTTCATACCTCTATGTAGCATCAAGGAATACTATTTTTCTGGATAAAAAGAGTATAACTATGCAAAAAACAGGGGAGAAATGCAGTCTTCTTCCCTTTCTGTGTAAAACATTGGTTTTTCTCTTTTCCAAGGGACATGAATAACTATTGATGGTTGGTATAACTTCATTTTGGGTTGCTTGCTAACTTTAAAAGTTACAGATTAGGCAAAGCATAAATTTTCTGCCTATAACATGGTCATAGAATGGATGTCTTCATATGTGCCATATTTGGCCAGCATAGTTTTTTAGAGTACTCTGGGTAGGACTTGTATTTTCCAGTTTACTATAATTAACATGGGTAAAATGTAGGAATTAATATATATGTAAATACTTAAAACAATGACTGGCATATATGGTAAGTTTTATATACTTGTTTATTCTTATTTATCATTCTCTATTGCTTTATGCTTAGCCTCTTCATAACTAGATGTATTTTGTTTTGTTTTGCTTTTTGGTTTTTTTTTTGAGAGGGAGTCTCACTCTGTCTGTCGCCCAGGCTGGAGTGCAGTAGTGCGATCTCGGCTCACTGCATCCTCCGCCTCCTGGGTTCAAGTGATTCTCTCACCTCAGCCTCCCAAGTAGCTGGGATTACAGGTGCATGCCACCATGCCTGGCTAATTTTTGTATTTTTAGTAGAGATGGGGTTTCACTGTGTCGGCCAGGCTGGTCCTCAAGTGATCCGCCCACCTTGGCTTCCCAAAGTGTTGGGATTACAGGCGTCAGCCACGGTGCCTGGCCCATAAATAGGTCTATTTTGAATCTTTACTTGTCTGAGTTTTGAAGGCATTTGAGTTGGAGGTCCCCGTTAAACCTTTTAACGTCACGTTTCTGAAGGTGTTTCCCTCCCAGATGATGACCCAGAGGCTGGCCAGGGAAGCAAGTTTTGCCTAGTGGCCATTGGCAGATTGCAGGCAAGTATGAATTTTCCACATCTATATTCCCGTTCAATTAGAGCAGATCTTCAGGACTCATTCCTGTTAATTTTCTTTTACTTTCTGAATACAAATGAAGAATTCCATAAAACTCTCAAAATTTGAAGGAATATGGCATTTATAGTGACCATTGCTATTCTTGGATTTAAGTAAAGTTGAAAAGTATGAGAGGAGGGAGATCTTTTTCCCCTTGTCTTAATTTTAGCTTTACTATGCTTAATTTTCTATTTCCAGTTAATTTCCTTTGCCCCTATACAAAAGAAGAAAGATCCTTTTCATTGTATCATTACCTGACTAACAATAGAAAAGTGGAATTATTTTGATTTTTTCATAAGTATAGATAAGTTTCTTGGTTACTTGTACCATATCAACCTGAGTAATGAGTTCAGCATAGCCAGTATGTGGATTTTAGATTGAATAAACTTTATTCTTACTTTACTAACTTGGTAAAGTGTAAATGTATGGGAGCAGAGCTAGACCTTATGCCTTGTCTGATTGTGATTGTCATTTTTTTTTCCTTTTTGGATAAAATGTGAAAGTTTAGAAAGTCCTAAAACTGGGAATCTTATGTCTATGCAAAAGACCATGAGGAGATAGGAAATACATCTGTAAATAATGGTATCATTTTACCTCATTTTTATCTCTTCACTCTCAGGTAACTAGTTCTCCCAACTGTACAGACATGAGTAATGTTTGTCAACCAACAGAGTTCATCTCCCGACACAACATTGAGGGTATCTTCACTTTTGTGGATCACCGCTGTGTGGCTACTGTTGGCTACCAGCCACAGGTGAGGAGCTGGAGCTCCATTAGGCCTCCATTTTCCTTTGGCTATGTTGACATTATGTAATCATGTAGTTCCTAAGACAGCCAAAACATATCAACCTCAGTTAAGAAAAAGAGATCATCATATTCTGTTAGTACCTAACATTATTTTCAGCTTCCTATTAGGACTGTCATCTCATGTAGAGAAATATGGCTTGTCAAACCAGGTGGGAGCAGCAGGTACAAATATGTATTTATTTTTTGTTGTTGATATTAATACAGATGATTCAAAGGTACTCATATTAATTAGTTATACCAGTATAGCTACATTTAGATAATTCATGTAATTACCTAAATGAATAATGGCCCATAAAACATGCAGATTTAGCACCAGTTATTATAATTTACTCATGCAACAGACCAGTTAGCCATCTCTGAATTGACGCATCATATAAACTTTTAAAACTGTTGTGGGTCGGAAGGACTTCTGGCTGTGGCTATGTGAAAGAGGTTGGTGAAAAAGAGGTCTTGAAAACAAAGAACAAAGAGAATTTACACTACCTGATTCAACACTAACTATAAAGCTATTACCAAGACACTGTGGTGTTGGTGTAAGGATAGATATATAGATCAATAGACCAGAATAAGGTCTATTCTTATACTTGTCAACTAATTTTCAGCAAAGGTGACAAGACAATTCAATGGATAAAATAAATATTTCTAACAAATGGAACAATTGGATATCTGTATGCAAAAAAAAAAAAAAACAAAAAAAAAACCACACCCAAAAATGAAAACACATAGATCTTACCTCATACAATTTACAAAAATCAGCTTAGAGGCCTAAATGTGTAAGAGCTAAAGTTACAAATAAACTCCTAGGAGAAAATCTTTGTGATTTTGAGTTAGGCAAAAGATTTCTTACACTAAAAGCATGATTCACAGAAGAAAAAAAATTATAAATTGGATTTAATTGTAATTAAAATTTGCCCTCTTTAAAGGATATTATTAAGAAAATGAAAAGACCAGACATAAATGGAGAGAAAATAGTTACAAGTCATATACCTGAAAGAGGATTTGTACCAGGAATATATAAACAACTCATTAAGACAAACAGCTGGTAAAAAAGAGCATAAGACTTGACATTTGACTGAAGAATAAATATGCATTTATGCACATGAAAAGATGCTCAACATCTTTTTACCATTAGGAAAGTGCAAATTAAAATCACAATGAGATACCACTATATACCCACTAGAATGGCTGTAATCAAAAAGTATTGGTGAAAATGTGTAGAAGCTGGAAGGAACCCTCATACATTGCTGATAGACATGTAAAATGGTATAGCTACTAGCTTTGCAAAAGCATTTTGGCAGTTTCCTACAAAGTTAAACATACTCTTAGCCTATAACCTAGCAATTTTATTCCTGAGTATCTACCTAAGAGAAATGAAAACATGTTCACCCATAGATTTGTACACAGTTCATATCTGTATTATTCATAATAGCCAAAAAAATGAAAACTATTTAAACGTCCATTAACATTTTGTAAATGAATACACAACTGTGTTGTATCCATGTGAGAATACTACTGAGCATAAAAAGGAATAAACTACTGATAATGCAGCCATGTAGATGAACTTCAAAAATACCATGCTCAATGAAAGAAGCCAGACCCAAAAGACCACATATTATGTTGTTTTATTTATATGAAATTTGTAGAAATAGCAGAACTAGAGAGGCAGAAAGCAGATTTGTGGTTGGCTGGGGAGTTGGAGTGGGAGCAGAGATTGACTGCAGATGGCACAAGGGAACATCTTGGGGCAGTGAATGTGTTCTGAAACTGGATTGTGGTAATCATTGCACAACTATAAATTTAGTAGACATCATCAAATCATACACTTAGAATGGCTGAATTATGAATGTAAATTTTATCTAAAATTTATAATCTCATTAAAATAAATGTATAATATTCTGAGAAAGAAAAATGTTTTAGAAGCCAGCTCCTTAACAGATTCTGCCTTTTTTTAGTAGATTTCATCTTTTGTTTATTGTCTTTTTTTTTTCTCCTCCTCACTTAACTATAATCTTAGGATTAAAACAGAAGAAATAAAATCCAGGTCCCCAGCTGATGGACCAGGCCAGTTAGATGACCATAAAATTATATATGTTGGCTGGGCACGGTGGCTCACACCTGTAATCCCAGCGCTTTGGGAGGCCGAGGCGGGTGGATCACTTGAGGTCAGGAGTTCGAGACCAGCCTGACCAACATGGTGAAACCCTGTCTCTATTTAAAAAAATACAAAATTAGCCAGGTGTGGTAGCACACCCCTGTAATCCCAGCTACTTGGGAGGTTGAGACAGGAAAATTGCTTGAACTCAGGAGGTGGAGGTTGCAGTGAGCCAAGATCGCGCCATCGTACTCCAGCCTGGGCAACAAGAGCGAAACTCCATCTTAAAAAAAAAAAAGTATATATCTTACTCTTCTTTCTGTATTCTAGGAACTCTTAGGAAAGAATATTGTAGAATTCTGTCATCCTGAAGACCAGCAGCTTCTAAGAGACAGCTTCCAACAGGTAACTTTTTTCCTGGTTTGGTTCTGAATAAATATTTGTCATATTCACTCCATAAATATTGACTACTGATTAACTGAACACTGTGGCAGGCACTACAGTTTTATGTTCTTTAGTAGTTAATCTGCATTTTTAAGGAATAGAAAAGGACTAATACTTTGAAATTATGGATAATGCCCAAGGTATTTCTGTTTGGCTTTGGCTATTTACTGTCTTGTATTCAATTAACTGTATCCAAGGAGCTGTCTTTAAGGTATTTAAACTATTGCGCCAGGCATGGTGGCTCATGCGCCCAACCTCTGTAGATGCTGTGAAAATAGATGTTTTCCTCGTCTGGGCATGGTGGCTCACGCCTATAATCCCAGCACTCTGGGAGGCTGAGGCAGGTGGATCACTTGAGGCCAGGAGTTCAAGCCCAGCCTGGCCAACACAGTGAAACCCCATGTCTACTAAAAATACAAAAAATTAGCCTGGTATGGTGGTGCATGCCTGTAATCCCAGGTACTCGGGAGGCTGAGGCACGAGAATCACTTGAACCTGGGAGGCAGAGGTTGCTGTGAACTGAGATCATGCCACTGTACTCTAGCCTGGATGACAGAGCTAGACTCTGTCTCAAAAAAAAAAAGATAAAAAAGAAAATTGTATACTTCACTAAGCTTGTAGTAGAAAAATTCATTTTATATAGTTTTTTTTTTTTTTTAGAAGGAGTCTAGCTCTGTCGCCAGGGTGGAGTGTAGTGTGCAATCTCAGCTCATTGTAACCTCTGCCTCTTAGGTTCAAGCGATTCTCCTGTTTCAGCCCCCCGAGTAGCTGGGATTATAGGCACATGCTGCCACGCCCAGCTAATTTTTGTATTTTTAGTAGAGGCGGGGTTTCACCACGTTGGCCAGGATGGTCTCGATCTCCTGACCTCGTGATCCACCCACCTCAGCCTCCCAAGGTGCTAGGATTACAGGCATGAGCCATTGCGCCCAGCCTAGACTGTTCTTTTATGGATGAGTGAGAGTCGTAATGAATTATATAAGCTGACTGTTAATTGTCATTCTCAGGCTCCAGCTCCTGAAAATATCTGGTGAATTTTATAGACATGGCTTTTGATAACGGTTTTTACTTTGTATTAGACAAGTTAATTAACCTCTTTAAGTCTCAGTAGTGTCGTTATTGATACAATGAATATATTAATAGTACCTAAATTCAGACGGTTGTTGGGAAGATTAAATAAGGTAATGAATATAAAACACATCACCCAGTATTTGATACGTAGTATTACAAAATAAGTGGTTAGCTTCTAATACTGTTTATTTTTATTTTTTTAATTTTTAGGAATATAGAGTTAAAAGATTATTTTCTATTCCATGAGACTAGTATCTAAAATAACCTAAAATTGGCTGGGCATGGTCGCTCATGCCTGTAATCCCAGCACTTTGGGAGGCTGAGGCAGGTGATCACTTGAAGCCAGGAGTTTGAACCAGCCTGGCCAACATCTTGAAACCCTGTCTCTACTAAAAATACAAAAATTAGCCGGGTATGGTGGCTCATGCCTGTAGTCCCAGCTACTTGGGAGGCTGAGGCATGAGAATTGCTTGAACCCAGGAGGCAGAGGTTGCAGTGACCCAAGATTGCCCCACTGCACTCCAGCCTGGGCGATAGAGCAAGACTGTCTAAAAATAAAATAAAATAAAAAATAAAATAACTAAAATTACTTTTAAAAAATAAAAGCAAAACAAGACTAAAGCCAACTTAATTTTATTTATGGAAACCTCTGTAGATGCTGTGAAAACAGATGCTCTCATCTGGGTGCAGTGGCTCACACCTATAATCCCAGCACTTTGGGAGGCCAAGGCAGGCGGATCATTTGAGGTCAGGAGTTTGAGACCAGCCTAGCCAACATGGTGAAAACCCGTCTCTACTAAAAATACAAAAATTAGCTGGGCGTGATGGTGCACGCCTCTAGTCCCCAGCTACTCAGGAGGCTGAGGCAGGAGAATCACTTGAACCCTGGAGGCGAGGTTGCAGTGAGCCAAGATTGCACCACTGCACTCCAGCCTGGCGACAGAGCGAGACTCCATCTCAAAAAAAAAAAAAAAGAAAAAGAAAAGAAAACAGATGTTCTCAGGTTTCGGGGAAAAAATAGGATTGAAGAGCAATATATAAGCTATATTCTGTGTCCTTAAACTTACCAAATTTCTGGTATAGACTTGTAAAGCTAGGTCAGAGTATCTTTAATGGATTTCCCAAGGGAAGTAGGGAAACAGTCTTTTCCTTCCTGGAAATAAGTTATTATTCCTATTTGACTAGAATAGTATTAGGTTGGTGCAAAAGAAATTGTGATTTTTTGCCATTTTTTTAAATGGCAAAAAATGCAATTACTTTTGCACCAACCTAATAAGAAAGCTTGAGTCTCTGGCCGGGCTCAGTGGCTCACGCCTGTAATCCTAGCACTTTGGGAGGCCGAGGCAGGCGGATCCCGAGGTCGGGAAATCGAGACCATCCTGGCCAACATGGTGAAACCCCGTCTATACTAAAAATACAAAAATTAGCTGGGCGTGGTGGCACGTGCCTATAATCTCAGCTACTTGGGAGGCTGAGGCAGGAGAATCGCTTGAACCAGGGAGTCGGAGGTTGTAGTGAGCCGAGATTGCGCCACTGCACTCTAGCCTGGTGACAGAGCGAGACTCCGTCTCAAAAAAAAAAAAGTCTGGGCACGGTGGCTCACACTTGTAATCCCAGCACTTTGGGAGGCCGAGGCGGGCGGATCACAAGGTCAGGAGATCAAGACCATCCTGGCTAACATGGTGAAACCCCGTCTCTACTAAAAATACAAAAAATTAGCTGGGCGTGGTGGCACGCGCCTGTAGTCCCAGCCACTCGGGAGGCTGAGGCAAGAAAATCGCTTGAACCCGAGGGGTGGTGGTTGCAGTGAGCAGAGATCGTGCCACTGCACTCCAGCCTGGGCGACAGAGGGAGACTCCGTCTCAAAAAAAAAAAAAAAAGCTTAAGTCTCTGAAAGGAAGCATGAGAAATATGCTTCCATGTTTAATCACTTAGTTTTTACTCTCATTTTGTTTTAATATTGAAAAATATTGGTGCCTCAAGGACAATGACAAGAGTTTTAGGGTTATAGAAATTGGAAAATTTTTATTTATTTTTGTAATGAAAATTTTCTATGAGTTCCACTGATGGCATGAAAACTTTTTCAGGTAGTGAAATTAAAAGGCCAAGTGCTGTCTGTCATGTTCCGGTTCCGGTCTAAGAACCAAGAATGGCTCTGGATGAGAACCAGCTCCTTTACTTTCCAGAACCCTTACTCAGATGAAATTGAGTACATCATCTGTACCAACACCAATGTGAAGTATGTATTATACAGGAGTGTGAAAAAACTGTTTTTCCTCTGTTCTCACAACAGAAAACACTTCTGATGCCCTATGTGGGGGGTAAACAATCAAGCAACAACACAAAAATTTAGCCGGGCGTGGTGGCATGTGCCTGTAGTCCCAGCTACTCTGGAGGCTGAGACAGGAGAATCACTTGAACCTGAGAGGTGGAGGTTGCAGTGAGCTGGGATCATGCCACTGCACTCCAGCCTGGGCTACAGAGCGAGACTCCATTTCAAAAAAAGAAAAAGAAAAAAGAAATCAAGCAATCAGTAGTGGACACCAGCTGGGTGTCCTTCCATTCAATTCAGTTCACTATCTACTTGGAGATAGCATCAGATCCCCCAATTTGTGTATGCAGTACCACAAGACTGCTCCCACTTCTGATGCCAGTTGCAAGCCCCAGGTTGTTTTACCTGTGCATCTGACTGACCAGCTGTCTCCCATGACCCCCTACTTGGGTTCAGTCAATTTGCTTGAATGGCTCAGGGAACATTTACCTATGTTTACCAGTTTATTATAAAGGATATTACAAAGGATACTTTGTACATCAGATGAAGAGATAGATAGGGCAAGGTAAGGAGGAAGGAGTGCAGAGCTTTCAGACCCTTTCTGGGTGGGCTACCCTCCGGGGATCTCCATGTGTTTACCTATCAAGAAGCTCCTCAAACCCAGTCCTTTTGGGTTTTAATGGAAATTTCATTATGTAGCCATGAGTGATTAAATCATTGGCCATTGGTAATCAACTTAACCTTAGGTACCGGCTCCCCTCCATGAGGTTGAGGGTTAGGGCTAAAAGTCCCAGCCCTCTAATTTTACCTTGATCTTTCCAGAGATGAGCCCCCATCTTGAAGCTACCTAGGGGTTGCCAGCCCTCAGTCAACTCATTAGCAGACAAAAAGACACTTATCACACTGAAGATTCCAAAGATTTTAATTGGTAAAAATCCAGGTCCACTTATACATGGATTTTTTTCAGTAAATATATTAGAAAATTCTTTTGATATTTGTGACAATTTGAAAAACCCAAAAATAAGCTACATAGCCTGGATATATTGAAAAAATTAGAAAAAGTTAGCCATGTCATACATGAATGTATTAAATATATATAAATTCTAGTCTATTTTATCATTTACTACCATACAACATATACAAATCTATTATAAAAAGTAAAAATGCTGGACAGGTGCAGTGGCTCACACCTGTAATCCCATCACTTTATCACTTTGGGATACCAAGTTGGGATACCAAGTTGAGCAGATCACTTGAGGTCAGGAGTTCGAGACCAGCCTGGCCAACATGGTGAAACCCTGTCTCTACTGAAAAAAAAAAAAAAAAAAAAAAGAAAATACAAAAATTAGCTGGGCATGGTGGCACACGCCTATAGTCCCAGCTACTTGGGAGGTTAAGGTATGAGAATCACTTGAACCTGGGAGGTGGAGGTTGCAGTGAGCTGAGATCGCACCACTGCACTCCAGCCTGGGTGACAGAGGGAGACTCCATCTCAAAAAAAATAAAAATAAAAATGTATCACAACGTATACATACACACCGTTTGTACAATGGCACCATTTGTAGTTGAGAGAAATGTAAACAAATGTAAAGATGCAGTTTTAAATCATAACCGCGTAAAGTTAACTATAGTATATACTGTACTGTTGTAATAATTTGGTAGCCACCTATTGCTCAATTGTTGCCAGTTTGCTTAAAATGCTGTGTGATGCTAATCATCTCTTCATGAGCAATTCACTCCAGTAAATTGCATATTGCAGTAAACAGTGAAATCTCATGGTTCTTGCATATTTTTCATCGTGTTGAGTGCAATACTGAAACCTTGAATAACATTTGGGAACAGTATGAAGTGCCACTAGTGATGCTGGAAGTCTTCCCAAGAAGCAGGGAAAAGTCATGACATTATAAGAAAAAGGTGAATTGCTTGATATGTACTATAGAATGAAGTCTGCAGCTGTGGTTGCTTGCCACTTCATATAGATGACTCATCTTGTAAGTCATCTTGTAAGATGATATAAGCTTATGATAACGATAAATACAGTACAGTGCTGTAAATGCATTTTCTCTTCCTTATGATTTTCTTAATAACATTTTCTCTTTAGCTTTATTGTAAGAATACAGTACATAATACGTACAACATACAAAACGTGTTCAACTGCTTATGTTATTGGTAAGGCTTCTGGCCAACAGTAGGCTATTAGTAGTAACGTTTTGGGAGAGTCAGAAGTTTACAGTCGAATTTTCGATGGCACAGGGGTCAGTGCCCCTAGCCTCCATGTTGAGCAATCAGTTGTATTTCATAATATCACATAGGCATTTTCCAATGTTGGGATTTCTAATGTACCAACTCTTCTTAGTCTTATCAAGCTATCCCTTTCTCCTCTACTTTTCTAGTATTAAACACCATTAGTTTGAAGTTCTTCATTTTCCAGCTTATAGGATTTGGGATAGTTGATCAGAGTAGAGTAAGGTTTTTTTGTTTTGTTTTGTTTTGTTTTGTTTTTTCAGACAGGGTCTCGCTCTGGCACCCAGGCTGGAATGCAGTGGTGTGATCATGGCTCACTGCAGCTTGAACCTCCCAGGCTCAAGTGATCCTCCCACCTCAGTCCCCTGAGTAGCTGGGACTACAGACATCTACCAAGACGCCTGGCTAATTTTTGTATTTTTTGTAGAGATGGGATTTTTCCATGTTGCAGAGTCTGGTCTTAAACTCCTGGGCACAAGCAGTCCATCGTCCTCCCAAAGTGCTAGGATCACAGGCGTAAGCCACTGCACCTGGCCAGAGTAAGATTTTACAAACAATAATTCAGAGACTAGGTCCTGAGATGGAAGGGTTTAGTTTCAATTCTATGTATCAACTCTTTCTGGAAAGGACTATGTTTTGTACACCAGTTTATTGCTCTAGTCTGGCAGGATTTTCCTCTGGAGCAGGGGTAGGCAAGCTCTTTCTATAAGTGGGGCTAGATAGTAAATATTTTAGGCTTTGTGGGCCATGTGGTCTTTATTCCACCTACTCAACTCTGCTGTAGCATGAAAACAGTCATAGACAAATGAAAGAATGGGGCTGTGTTCCAGTAAATCTTTATTTAGAAAAACAGGCAGTGGGCCTGATTTGGTCAGTTTTCTTTAGAGCATAGCTACATCCTCCTCTTTCATTAGTTACTGTTCCTCTCTTTTGCACTTTTCTATTTGAGTTTTCTTTCTCAGTTTCTTTTTTAAAAAGTTTTATGAGATATATTTCACATACCATATACCTCACTCATTTAAAGTATACAGTGTTTTTTAGTATATCACATAGTTATGTAACTCTTACTGCAGTCTAATTTCAGAATATTTTCATTCCCCCAAAAGAAATTCTAGATCAGTTAACAGTCATTCCCTGTTCTTTCCCCCGGCTCTGAAATTCTGTATAACTATGAATCTGTTGTCTTTATAAATTTGTCTATTCTAGACTTTTCGTATAAATGGAATCATAGACTTTGTAATTCCTTTGTAACTGGCCTATTTTACTTAGTATAATGTTTACAGAGGTTATCTGTACTGATACATGTTGTAGCATGTATCAGTACTTCATTTCTTTTTATTGCCAAATAAGATTTCATTGTATGGATATACCACATACTGTCTGTATGTTCGTTAATGGACATTTGGTTGTTTCTACTTCTTGGTTATCAAAAATGCTTCCATATGTAAAATAGGGATAAGGAACTGAAAAAATGCTTTCATGAATATTTGTTTACTAGTTTTTATGTGGATATATGTTTTTATTCTCTTGAATTCCACCCAGGAGTGGAATTGCTGGCCACATAGTAACTCTGTTTTACCTTTTGAGGAACTGCCAAACTGTTTTCCAAAGCTGCCCCATCATTTTGCATTCCCAGGAGCTCTGATTCCTCCACATCCTTGTTAACACTTGTTATTGCCTTTTTTTTTTTATTGTAGCCATCTAGTAGGTATCAATTGTCAGGTTACCACCTTGCCATTTAATCTTTTCTTTCTGTAGAATTGGCCTTGAATCCACCTCTTGAAGATCAGATTATGACTACTTAGCAAATATGAATAATACCTAGTGACAAGTTTTGTCCAATTCAGTCTTTAGAACTTGTAAAGTTTAATTCTTTGCTAACTAACTTAGTATAACAGAGTGGATTGAGTTAGAAATTTTTATTAACTTAGGACTCAAGTGGATGGTCATGGTCATTGTAGTTCTTTATTTTTGTCTCTTTGCATCTTTATATTACACAACAGCCTTCATTTTTGTGTTTCCATTTTGTTTAAATTTTTAAAAATTTAAGTTGTTTGAAGGACTCGAGTTTCTGGAAATAATTGCTTTCTCCATGTTTATGTATCATTTTCCCTACCATGATTAATTTTAATTAGCTTTTAGGGATTTGTTTGTTTGTTTGTTTCATTGAGACAGTGTCTCACTCTGTCACCCAGGCTGGAGTGCGGTGGCGCTATCTCAGCTCACTGCAACCTCCGCCTCCCAGGCTCAAGCAATCCTCCCATCTGTCTCCTGAGTATCTGGGACTACAGGAGCCCGCCACCACGCCTGCTAATTTTTGTATTTTTTGTAGAGACGGAGCTTCACCATGTTGCCCAGGCTGGTCTCAAACTCCTGAGCTCAAGCAATCCACCCTGCCTCAGCCTCCCAAAGTGCCAGGATTACAGGTGTAAGCCACCGTGCCTGGCCAGTATTTTATTTTTAAATAAATATTCTTTATAGAAAATGTGGAAAGTATTGAAAAATACAAAGAGAAGGAATAAAATTCTCACACTCCAGATAGTCTTTGTTGATGTACAGTGTATGTACTTTCATTTTTTTACCTATGCTTTTAAAAAATACCTTATATGAATATATACACACATTCACAATAACCAGGTTTTGAATACCTAGAAGGAGTTAGAACCCAACAAGATGACCCCTGTGTCATAGAACATGGTTTCTGTTTGCTGAAACTGACACCCTAGATTAACTATAGGATAGGACTTTAATGAAGGATTTATTGATTGTTCCACCTACAGATGAATCTATAGAGCTTTACATACAGAATCTTATTCTTCTCTTTCTCTCTCTCTCCCCCCTTCCTCCCTCTCCACCCCCTCTTTACTGTCTACTCTGGTTTCCTAGGAACTCTAGCCAAGAACCACGGCCTACACTCTCCAACACAATCCAGAGGCCACAACTAGGTCCCACAGCTAATTTACCCCTGGAGATGGGCTCAGGACAGCTGGCACCCAGGTAAAAAAGGGTGAAATAATCATCTGTTGAGCAGTCACCCAGGGGGTGGTCATTTGCAATCCCATATATTTTTTGTTCGGTTGGTTAATTTTTTTTTTTTTTTTTTGAGAAGGAGTTTTGCTCTCATTGCTCAGGCTGGATGGAATACAATGGCACGATCTAGGCTCACTGTGACCTCTGTCTCCTGGGTTCAAGTGATTCACCTGCCTCAGCCTCCCAAATAGCTGGGATTACAGGTGCCTGCCACCACCCCCGGCTAATTTTTTGTATTTTTAGTAGAGACGGGGTTTTGCCATGTTGGCCAGGCTGGTGTCGAACTCCTGACCTCAGGTGATCCACCTGCTTCGGCCTCCCAAAGTGTTGGGATTACAGGCATGAGCCACCATGCCCGGCCTGTTTAATTTGTTTTAAGGTTCTTTCTCCAGATTCTTTTTTAAAAAAAATTTTTTTTTCTATTTGTCTTGTCAACTGGCCTTTGACATATAGGCAGCAGCAACAGCAAACAGAATTGGACATGGTACCAGGAAGAGATGGACTGGCCAGCTACAATCATTCCCAGGTGAGTTGTGTCCTCTTCGTTGAAGAGGGTAGGGAGTATTTACTTAGGAAGTGTTCTCCGGTACTAGTTAGAATGTACATATGTTGTATATGAATTTTAGGGTTATTGAATTGTCATGTTAAATCTTTAATGGTTATTTTTATCATTGTATTCCACAGGTGGTTCAGCCTGTGACAACCACAGGACCAGAACACAGCAAGCCCCTTGAGAAGTCAGATGGTTTATTTGCCCAGGATAGAGATCCAAGATTTTCAGAAATCTATCACAACATCAATGCGGGTATGTTTCTTTCTCATTATCCTTTTAAATTCTCATTTAGATCACTTACTGATGGGCATGCCACTGCCCAGTCAGTAATCTTCCAGTGTTTTTCCACTTAATCATAATACCACCTGAGTAAATAGGAACTTGCTGAACTAATATACTACAGCCCCTTGACTGGCCCTTCCCCAACTCCTTTTGGTCCACAGATCAGAGTAAAGGCATCTCCTCCAGCACTGTCCCTGCCACCCAACAGCTATTCTCCCAGGGCAACACATTCCCTCCTACCCCCCGGCCGGCAGAGAATTTCAGGTGAGCCCCGTATATATGTGCTGCTTTACAGGGCCCTGAGGGATTCAGCTGCTGAATCCAAATTTTATTCTTCCCTTGCTTTCTCTGGTTACTTCAGAAAAAGCAGTGAAGCTTGTAGGGCCTAGCGTGAGGCAAACAAGCTGCTTTTCTTCCTCCTATTTCTTTGCACCTGTCCTATTGCCATGTTCTAGGCTCCATCTCTGTGTGTCCTGGTCAGTGTGTGACTGTCAGTCTTTCTTGTCTTTTCCAAATTGTTATCAAATTTTCCTTAACCTGCAGGAAGTCAAGGGGATCTAGGGATAGCACTAGATTGTCCTTTGATTCCTAGCTTCTGTGATAAATCTATCCTTTTAATCTTTTACCTCATTTATTCACTCCTAGGAATAGTGGCCTAGCCCCTCCTGTAACCATTGTCCAGCCATCAGCTTCTGCAGGACAGATGTTGGCCCAGATTTCCCGCCACTCCAACCCCACCCAAGGAGCAACCCCAACTTGGACCCCTACTACCCGCTCAGGCTTTTCTGCCCAGGTAAAACTTATCATCTGTGTGTTCCCTGTGTATTATTTTTTGTTTGTTTGGGCTTTTTTCCGTATGTAAAATCAGTGTTTTCTATTTTAAATACCTTCTCCCCAACCCCTGTTCTCCGGTTTCCAATTTCCATCTTTGTTGAGAGTAGCTAATTAAAAATCACAGATAATAAAAAAAAATCTCAGTAGAGTCTGTGGTTTTCACCTTAAATCAGAATTGCTCACTTGGAACGTTTTGAGCACGTCTGATTTTCAGATTTGTTTTGGAGTAAATTCTAAGATGTTTCCTCTTTGTTTAGGACTCCATAAGGCAGGAGCAAAGGAGAAAATTAATGACTAACTTACAGTGATGTCTGTTTACAAAAAAGTTGAAAAATTCTTTTTTTTTTTTTTTTTGAGACAGAGTCTTGCTCTGTCGCCCAGGCTAGAGTGCAGTGGTGCGATCTTGGCTCACTGCAAGCTCTGCCTCCCGGGTTCACGCCATTCTCCTGCCTCAGCCTTCCAAGTAGCTGGGACTTGTACAGGCGCCCGCCACTGCGCCTAATTTTTTTTTTTTGTATTTTTAGTAGAGATGGGGTTTCACCATGTTAGCCAGGATGGTCTCAACCTCCTGACCTTGTGATCCGCCCACCTCAGCCTCCCAAAGTGCTGGGATTACAGGCGTGAGCCACCGCGCCTGGCTGAAAAATTCTTTTTTTTTTTTTTTCTTGAGACAGACTGTCACTTTGTTGCCCAGGCTCTGGAGTGCAGTGGCGCGATCTCGGCTCACTGCAAGCTCCGCTTCCTGGGTTCATGCCATTCTCCTGCCTCAGCCTCCCGAGTAGCTGGGACTACAGGGTGCTCGCCACCACGCCTGGCTAATTTTTTGTATTTTTAGTAGAGACGGCATTTCACCGTGTTAGCCAAGATGGTCTTGATCTCTTGACCTCGTGATCCGCCCTCCTCGGCCTCCCAAAGTGCTGGGATTACAGGCATGAGCCACCGCATCCAGCCGAAAAATTCTTTTATAATATTCATATATATAATATAACGCACAATAAATACACTGTCTAAAGAAAGATTCTTTAATATTACTATATATTTATGTTATACAAGTAATAGTTTTAAAAAGTCAAAACCAAAAGCAGGTTCCAGAATGTTATATGCAATACGATCTCAATTGTGTACAAAATGCATGAGAAAATAGAAACTGGAAGAAATTATCCAAACATGTTAACCATGGAATTATGAATGATTCTTATTTTCTTTATATTTTCCTTCACTTTCTGAATATTCTATAATGCATATACAGAACTCTCATGAGAAAATAGTTTTTATAAAAAATACATCATTAGGAACAAATGAATGCAGAACAGACAGAATAATGGTGCAGAGTAGTTTTTCTCTGCATATGGTACTTTTTTTGTTGTTTGTTTTTTTGAGACAGAGTCTCGCTGTTGCCCAGGCTAGAGTGCAGTGGCGCGATCTTGGCTCACTGCAACCTCTGTCTCCCGGGTTCAAGTGATTCTCCTGCCTCAGCCTCCTGGGTTGCTGGGATTACAGGCACGTGCCACCATGCCCAGCTAATTTTTGTATTTTTAGTAGAGACGGGGATTTCACCATGTTGGCCCGGCTGGTCTGGAACTCCTCACCTCAGGTGGTCTGCCTGCCTTGGCCTCCCAAAGTGCTGGGATTATAGGCATGAGCCATGAGCCACCCCGCCTGGCCTGCATATAATACTTTACTGTTATGAATGCCTCTAGTTTTATATAACTTCACAGTTTATAAGATGCTTTCATTTAATTCTTACAATTTTTATTAATCCCATAGTTCATTGCTTTTTTGTAATTTTATCTCAGCTGCCTAAAAAATAGTGTCAAGAGAGATTGAGAGTTAATTGGAAGAAATATACAATAGGAAATAAGTGATGAGCTTGGTTCAGAAGGATGCAGTGATTGACAGTGTTGACTCTCATAGGCATGGTATGTGCAATGATGTTAATGCTGTATTTGTTCTATATCCCCTCTCCATCTCTCTTTAGCAGGTGGCTACCCAGGCTACTGCTAAGACTCGTACTTCCCAGTTTGGTGTGGGCAGCTTTCAGACTCCATCCTCCTTCAGCTCCATGTCCCTCCCTGGTGCCCCAACTGCATCGCCTGGTGCTGCTGCCTACCCTAGTCTCACCAATCGTGGATCTAACTTTGGTGAGTCCAGACCATAAGGAGAGTAACAGGAAAATCGCACCACTAAAGAGAAAGGATTTGGTAGTTAAAGTTGTTTGCCTGTGTTGTGGGTACACTGACCTGATTGTAGGGAAATGCAAGGTGACAATCTATTTAGAATTTAAAACCTACCAGCTGGGTGCGGTGGCTCACGCCTGTAATACCAGCACTTTGGGAGGCTGAGGCAGGCGGATCACTTGAGGTTGGGAGTTCAACCCCAGCCTGACCAACATGGAGAAACCCTGTCTCTACCGGGTGTGGTACCGCATGCCTGTAATTCCAGCTACTCGGGCGGCTGAGGCAGGAGAATCGCTTGAACCCAGGAGGCAGAGGTTGCGGTGAGCTGAGATCGCGCCTTTGCACTCCAGCCTGGGCAACAAGAGTGAAACTCCGTCTCAAAAAAATAAAAAATAAAAAAAAAAAACTACCCACATGAAAAATACTTTAGCACATATAACAAAAATCATGTGAATTTTTATACATTTAATAGTATGCACATTTAACCTAAATGAGTAAAGAACTCTATGGAAAGGCTGCCTGGAGAAGAAGAATTAATTTAGGGCTGAGTTTTGAGATAGAAAAGGCATTGATTGGCAGAGAGAAGGACAGAGTTATCCTAGGTAAAATTAATGGCTTACCTATAGTTGTTTACTTGTGGCATTAGTACACAATGGAATTGTGTAGATTGGAGTTGTTTATTCTTCCTTGCTGTATTTCTAGCTCCTGAGACTGGACAGACTGCAGGACAATTCCAGACACGGACAGCAGAGGGTGTGGGTGTCTGGCCACAGTGGCAGGGCCAGCAGCCTCATCATCGTTCAAGTTCTAGTGAGCAACATGTTCAACAACCGCCAGCACAGCAACCTGGCCAGCCTGAGGTCTTCCAGGTAAGAGAGTGAAAAGACTTTCAAAAATTAGAAGCTGGGAGAGAAAGGGTCCAGGAGGAGGAGAGACAGTGAAGGAAGCATGCCTGGATTGAGGTGTTTGGTTGGGGGTATATGTGAGAAGACAGAGAGGGATAAATGTAGGGATCACTGTCAGTTATTGAAAAGATTGCAGAAGCTAGATGCAGTGGTGCTTGTGTATATGATGTCAGCCCCTTAGAAGGCTGAAGCAGGGGATCACTTGAGGCCATGAGTTCAAAGCCAGGCTGAGCAACTAGCCTGATCCTGTCCCTGTCAAACAAACAAAAAAGGAGTATGAATTGAGTGTGATACATACCATTTAACCAGAACAGACAAATTTAGCACCATAGGAAGATGCCAAAGAAAGTTACTTTAGCTCATTCAAATAGCTCCATATACCCAAGTCACAGTAGCTTTGGGTTTAAAAGAGACAGAATGATTAAAAATAAAAAGTAGTGCTCGCTTCAGCAGCATATATACTAAAATTGGAATGAATATAGAGAAGATTAGCATGGCCCCTGCGTAAGGATGACACACAAATTCATGAAGTGTTCCATTTAAAAAATTATAAAAAGTAAATGAAATAGAACATAATGATTATAGCCATAATGGTCTATTTACACAAGTCCTGAGGGACTGCAAGAGTGAATGGAGTAATCTTAGGCAGGACAAAGGAAGAGCTGGTTTAAAGCAAAGATTGAAAGAAAGCAAAACAGGTCTTGGTGGAAAACAAATAGGATAAGAGACTCCATATATGTCTATAGGGGGTTATATGAAATACAGCAAGCAGATTTTTCTCCCTTTGAAAATATTGAGAACTAGGAAAAGGAAAAAGGTGGAACTGTAGGAGGAAGACAGAAGGGATTAGGAAAAAAGGCTGCGATCTAAAGGAGTCAAAGTTGTTGGAAGTAAGGAAGGCTAAGAGCTCAGCACAGCAAAGACTCGGGGTCAGGGATGGTAGTGCAGGGGAATGGTGGAGTAGAACTTGGTAAGTGTAAGAGATCAAGGTGTGTGACCCAAACTTAATCTTTTTCTTTTATCAGGAGATGCTGTCCATGCTGGGAGATCAGAGCAACAGCTACAACAATGAAGAATTCCCTGATCTAACTATGTTTCCCCCCTTTTCAGAATAGAACTATTGGGGTGAGGATAAGGGGTGGGGGAGAAAAAATCACTGTTTGTTTTTAAAAAGCAAATCTTTCTGTAAACAGAATAAAAGTTCCTCTCCCTTCCCTTCCCTCACCCCTGACATGTACCCCCTTTCCCTTCTGGCTGTTCCCCTGCTCTGTTGCCTCTCTAAGGTAACATTTATAGAAGAAATGGAATGAATCTCCAAGGCTTTTAGGACTGTCTGAAAATTTGAGGCTGGGTGAAGTTAAAACACCTTTCCTTATGTCTCCTGACCTGAAATTGTATAGTGTTGATTTGTGCTGAGATCAAGAGGCAGGTTAGAAGAACCTGACATCCACTGTTTGCCTTGGATAGTATGGCTTGTTTTTGGAAAGAAATTCTGAAGAGAGTGGAGGAGAGGAGAAATGTCCTCATATTTGAGGACCATGAAACATTGTAGGTATATATGGGGCTTTAGCAAGTTTGAGCATAGGCTCTTTTTGCTGCCTGTGAGCAGTCCCTCTGGAAAGAAACATGTGAGTAAGTGAGAGAGAGTGTGTGTGTATGTGTGTGTGTGTGTGTGTGCGCACACATGCTTCTGTATTTCACTCTTTCTCCCTATTAGGGAGTTATGCAAAATTTGTCCCCGATTTTACCTTTGTCTTTCTGTGTACTTTTCAAAGAGTCCTAAGGAGTTAAATCTTCCAGGTATTTTCCACTTAGTATTGCAGCCAAAGAATATTTAAATAAACGTCTTTGCTGCGCTTGCATCCATGCCCAGCCAATATACAACTGTAAAGCAAATATAGAAAGTCGGCTGTTGATACGATTGTCTGTTATCGAACACATTCAGTGATAAAGCTGGGTTACTGCTGCTTTTGGTGCTCTCACCTTATCTGGAAGATCTGCAAACATTACCTAAATAGGCTGGCAAGATAAACACTTTCTGGAACCCGAGACTTGGCCATAAAGATAATGCTGCATTTTTCTGTCAGAATCACATATGATGTGTGTTCTGTAGAGGTTATTTCTGCATGGAAACTCAACTTCTTGGATTAGCCGTCCCAGTGAAAATCCTCATTGTTGGAGTGTAAACCAAATACGAAGCCCTCTTGCAAAGTAGCCTCTTTCATCCCATACTCAAAATACCCAGTTTAGCAAGCAACTGAGATTTAAGTCTCTCTGGCCCTAAGAGGTTTTTCCTCTTTGCTCCCTCCAATCTTGAGATTGGGTTTTGCTTTAGAGTGCAAGTATCATAATTCCGTATGATAGATGGGGCCTGGACACCCATCTCAACAGGGTCACTTGGTAATTAACAATAGCCATATAAATGCGGATACAGGTTACTACCCTCACCCTTTACCTTCCTCAGGTAACAGTCGTAGATACCAGCTTTTTTTTTTTTTTTTTTAAATTGGCTTTGGCCAGTAGCTAAAGTGCAAGACTGAATTAATGAGAAGATATATTAAATGTAGTCATAGGGGACTGAGGAGCAAGGGTGGCCTTGAAGAGGCCAAAGGAATGTCCATTTGCTGAGTTTCCCTTCCTTATGTCTCCAGTCTGGTGCCAGGTAGTGGAGTAAAAAAGGAGACAGTTTATTTTTTTATTCTATGTGCACACTTACAGTATACATATATATTTATATCACAATTTACGAAACCAAAAAGTTGAGTTTCCAATGGAACCCTTGTTTTTTAATAATCGACTTTTTAAATGTGATCAGGACTATAATATTGTACAGTTATTATAGGGCTTTTGGGGAAGGGGAGGATAGCGAGAAGATGCTCTGGGGGTTTTGTTTTTGCTTTTCCTTCAGGGTTTTATTTTTGACTGTTTTGTTTTCTTGTTGGCCATTTCTGTATTGCTGGCATCTGTGCTAAGCTTTACAGTGGCAAAAATAATGACATGTAGCAAAGATTTTCAAACAAAATATTTTTTCCTTTTGTAAAATTTCTTGTGTTGTGTGATCTTGATTGCGGCTTTATCATTCCTTTCCAGTTCATAAACAACAGGCACCCACAACCAGAGGAATCTATAGTTTAAGCTCCAGACATACAAACATAAGGCACATTGTGTCTTTAATTTCAGGAATCAGAAATCATAGGGTTCTGATCACATTGCACGCCTCCCCCCTCACTTGTCCTCCTGATCCTGACACATTCTGAGTAACATCAGCAGGAATGCTCTGACCATGAGGTGGGGGTTTTGGGGTGGGCGTTGCCTGGGTTCTTGGGAGAGAGGGGAAGAGTCGGGACTTGAAAACCACTAGGGCACATCTGGATGCCTTCCCCCAGTATGTCCTTTTCTGGATTAAAATGAGTGAAATTTAAACTGTTCAAGTCTGGACCTGGTTTCCCTCTAGGAGACTATGTTGGTTCATTAGCAACTTTTTTTTTTTTTTTTTTTTTTGTGTGTGTGTGTGTGTGTGTGTGTGAGAGATGGAGTCTCGCTCTGTTACCCAGGCTGGAGTGCAGTGGCACGATCTTGGCTCACTGCAACCTCTGCCCCTTGGGTTCAAGCAATTCTCCTGCCTCAGCTTCCCAAGTAGCTGGCACTACAGGTGTGTGCCACCATGCCCAGCTAATTTTTGTGTTTTTTTTTTTTAGTAGAGATGGGGTTTCACTATATGTTGGCCAGGCTAGTCTCGAACTCCTGACCTTAGGTGATCCACATGCTTTGGCCTCCCAAAGGCCTGGGATTACAGGCGTGAACCACTGCGCCTAGCCTGTTAGCAGCTCTTAAAATCCAGAGGCATAAGCCTGTATTTTTGAGGGTTTATGCATGGAATCCAGCTAGAAACTGAGTCTATTACAGATCCCATTTATTATCCTTTCTATTCCAAGAAGCCTTTTTTTCTCCTTCCCCACATCTGTTTATGGAAGAAAATGAAGTTTGGGGTGTGGTTTGAGGAATCAGCTAGATTCTTATGATCTGTCACATGCTTGGATGTTGGGGAAGCATTTGGAGAAGCTCATGTGACTTGTCCTAGATTGGGGATTTTAATTGAGACAGATGATGTTTATCGGGCATCCCACCACCTGAGAGTTTTAGCAACAGAGTCACATGTGAGTCCATCAGAACTTACGGCATTGATTCAAGTGCTGTCATAAATAACCAGGACTGCTGTTTTTGGTTACTTTTAAAGACAGTTTCATCTGGACTTTCTGGGCATATCCTCCTTCAGCAAAACCACATTAGGCTGGGAAAACTATTCTGCCTGGAAGTAATGACAACTTGCAACCAACAAGCTTATAAAAATACAAAGAATTCTGGAGCCTATGGCTTCCATTACATTATTCTTTTATAGCCTTTTATGTTCATTACCGCATCCCAGAGGTGAGAGTCAGACACAAATATGAAAATAGGTTTCAATGTTGGAGAGGTAAATCCTAACAGGAAAGGGGTAGGAAAAGATATAATCCCCCAATATTAAAATAAAGATATTGAAGAAGAAGGATGGGAGAGACTAGGGCTGTGTCCTTCCTTTTACTCACCAAAAGAGAAAGTAAGCTCCTATTTGAGTCAATAGATATTGAGGTCTTGTTATTTGCCACCAAAGACAGTCTTGTGAGACTAAATAGCTAGTAATTCCCTACCCTGGCACACATGCTGCATACACACAGAAACACTGCAAATCCACTGCCTCCTTCCCTCCTCCCTACCCTTCCTTCTCTCAGCATTTCTATCCCCGCCTCCTCCTCTTACCCAAATTTTCCAGCCGATCACTGGAGCTGACTTCCGCAATCCCGATGGAATAAATCTAGCACCCCTGATGGTGTGCCCACACTTTGCTGCCGAAACGAAGCCAGACAACAGATTTCCATCAGCAGGTAACGTTTGCAACTTCCTAGATCTTTTAGCTTTTCATTCCTGTCAATTCTCTGAGTATTAGGGATGTAGTGACTTGAGGATCACAATAAACTTTTAGCCTCTGCAGATGAAAACAGAGATGCACTTCTTAGGTCATTCCCTGGCTAAATAAAATCTGCCTGGAAATCTGTAGAATTCCTTGTATGATTTATATATATACATACATGATTGTTAGTAAAAGCAAAGTATATAGGGAATCATTTCCCCATCCTTCAAGAGTGGCCTTTCTGCAGTGTTTTCTACTTTGGCCAACAAGGATCAAAACGGTTAACTCCTTAGTGAGGAGGAGGAGAGTGGTATGGGGAGGTAGTAGCTCAGTGCTTCCTGTTCACTGAGACATCTCAAAGCCCTTAACACTCTAGTTTTTAAATGTCCTACTGGACATTTTGCCAGTTTGCAAAATTACATGTAAATGGACTATAAGCAATTGTGTAAGCCATATGTCATGCTGCAGGCTGCAAATTGTTCTTAAAATGGAGGATTTGTAATTAAGAAAGCCAATGCAAGAAATGAGTGAAGCTAACTAGAGTAAACTTATGAAAAGCTGTGAATTTCATCATCATAGAACATTGCTTTTCAGTCTGAACATTCTTCTAACAAACCTTGGATCTGAGGCTTCTTGTCCTTTGCGGCAGCCACAGTGGGTTTTTGTTGTTAGGGGAAAAATAAAAAACCTTGCCCGCAGCATCTGGTTAAGATTAGGGCAGTTTCCTGCCTAAGGAGGGAAGGGAGAGAAAAAGGAAGAAGAAATGCATAAGGAGAATGAGGAGATATACAATGTCTCAGAAAACAGGAAACATTGTCCTATTTTCCCTTGTCCTCTTCTGACAAGATCTGGGAAAGTACCAGAATTTAGGCACGAAAGAGAAGAACGCCTCGAAGAAATGATCAGGAGGCAAAACTTAGACGGAAATCTCTCCTTTGTGTATTCTGAACCCCACTACCACCTTGCTATTTGTCTGTCTCCAAGCCTGCTAGGGACCCTGGAGGAAACGCACTGAGCCCATTCTGATTGTCCAGTTTCTATCCCCCATTTCTGGTTGTGTACGTGTGTGTGTGTGTGTGTGTGTGTGTGTGTGTGTGTGTGTGTGTGAGAGAGAGAGAGACAGAGAGAGAAACAGAGAGAGTGTGTGTTGCCTAAATCTCCCGAGAGAGAGAGAGAGAGAGAAAGAGAGAAATGGCTAAATCCCCCTAGATCAAAGTCCTTGGAACCAGATGTACCAGCATCCTATCTAAACACAGGCCCCTCCTGACTATCATTGTTTTATCACCCTTTTTCCGTCTACCTTTCTCTTCCTCATAAAGCCTAGTTTTCCTCTGTTTCCCTGCCAAATGGAAGAGTTTTCCCTAACTACATTCTTCTGCAGGATGTGGGGGCTCAAGGTTCTGCTGCTACCTGTGGTGAGCTTTGCTCTGTACCCTGAGGAGATACTGGACACCCACTGGGAGCTATGGAAGAAGACCCACAGGAAGCAATATAACAACAAGGTGCCTGGGGTCCTGGAGGGGGCATGGCAGGAAGGCTGAGACCTGAGCTCTCTCATCTTAGCTTCCAGACTCCCTTCTTCAATCCAAATGCTTTATTCCAAGCAAATCAGTCCCTCTTCCCTAACTCATGTTAACATACGGTTTTCATTCCTATGCTTCAAATCATCCTCTGTCAAACTGTATCCTTCCTTTGCTTTATAAGTGTGTTACATTTCTCTTTTGGGAAGAGTTCTAAGATTAATGCTGTTAATCTATAAGCAATTTTTCTGTCTCTCCAGAGCTTTGTGTTGTATTTGTTTACATATTATCTCTTCTTGCAGGCTCTTAATTCCATGGTTAGTTCCCCAACTAAACTGTAAACTTTTATGATTGTGAGTTTCCTTTATTCTCCTAAAACCCTTCACAATATTACATATGTAACTGTAGACAGTCTATACAAGTACTGACTATGCTTTGTTTAGGTGGATGAAATCTCTCGGCGTTTAATTTGGGAAAAAAACCTGAAGTATATTTCCATCCATAACCTTGAGGCTTCTCTTGGTGTCCATACATATGAACTGGCTATGAACCACCTGGGGGACATGGCAAGTATAGCTTCAGCTCCTGTCCCACCTGCACCATTTGCTTTAGTTCCCTGCTGATGCCTGGCCTCTTTCTTCTTTGTCTTAGACCAGTGAAGAGGTGGTTCAGAAGATGACTGGACTCAAAGTACCCCTGTCTCATTCCCGCAGTAATGACACCCTTTATATCCCAGAATGGGAAGGTAGAGCCCCAGACTCTGTCGACTATCGAAAGAAAGGATATGTTACTCCTGTCAAAAATCAGGTACTCTCCTTTCTTCTGGGTGTGCATATGTAATCTGGCATGACCTTTTCCTTTTTCTGCTGCTTTGTTCTTGAGGTGAAAGGGCACCAGGAAAAGAGGGCAAGGAATTAAGGTACATCTCCCCATTCCCATTCTGTTATTTAACCTCATTTGTTTCTGTACATTTGGGTTGTTTCTGGTTTTTCTTTTTCTTTTCCTTTTTTTTTTTTTTTTTTTTTTTTTGAGATAGAGTCTCACTCTGTCGCCCAGGATGGAGTGCAGTGGTGCAATCTTGGCTCACTGCAACCTACACCTCCCGGGTTCAAGCGATTCTCCTGCCTCAGCCTCCTGAGTAGCTGAGATTACAGGCACGCGCCACTACGCCTGGCTAATTTTTCTATTTTTATAGAGATGCGTTTTCACCATGTTGGCCAGGCTGGTCTTGAACTGACCTCAGGTGATCCACCTGCCTCAGCCTCCCAAAGTGCTGGGATTAGAGTCATGAGCCATCGCGGCCTGGTTTTTCTTTATTACAAATAGTGTTGCAATAAGCACCCTTGTGCATATGTTTTTGTGCACATGTACAAATATTTATGCAAAATAAGTCCTAAAATTGGAATTGTTAGGTCACAAATAATCCTTTCCCCCCCCCCAAATTTTTTTTTTTTTTTTGAGACAGCGTCTCTGTCACCCAGGCTGGAGTCCAGTGGCGCAATCATGGCTCACTGCAGCCTCAACGTCTCAGGCTCAAGTGATTCTCCAACCTCAGCCTCCCTAGTAGCTGGGATTAGAAGCACATGCCACCACACCCAGCTAATTTTAAAAAATTTTTTGTAGAGACAGAGTTTTGCCATGCTACCCAGGCTGGTCTCAAATTCCTGGGCTCAAGCAATCTGCCCGCTTCGGCCTCCCAAAGTGCTAGGATTACAGACATGAGCCACCATGCCCAGCCCAAAAAAGTTTTTGCAATCTTACATTCTTACTAGCATGAGAATGTCAGTTTTTTCACAACCCAAACAACACAGGATTGTATCAGCAAGATAAACAATTGATTTAACGTTCATTTAACAAACACTTTTTGACCCCCAGAACCTACCAGATGCAGTGTTAGGCAGCAGAGACTCAAGATGACTAAGACACAACCTGTGTCCTCAGGAAATCTCAATCTAAAAAAATAGAACAGGAAAGAAAGAAAAATCTACAATCTAGCTGCACAAACAATAATAGCTAATACTTTTTGAGATTTTATTGTTTGTCAGGAACTTCTTAACTCTTTACATGAGTTAAATATTTAATCCTTATAACAATATTTTATGCATAGAGAAACTGAGACACAGGCAAATTTAGTAACTTACCCGGGGTCACATAGCTACTGGGTGGCAAAGTCAGGGTTAGCACCCAGGACAAATGCCTCCACAGCTGGTACTGTGCTCTGCTTTACTGTAGCTAATAGTAAAAATGGTAGCAAAAATCAATAGCAGTAGAACAGTGCAACAGATATTAAGCGGAAGAGGAAGACTCACAACAATGACAACATTTGTGCTGAAATTTTTAGAACACATGGAATTTCTTCAGGCAGGTAGAGAGAAGATATAGAAAATGTAAACAGCAAAGATTGATAGTTTCTCTGTATGCCTTTCAGGGTCAGTGTGGTTCCTGTTGGGCTTTTAGCTCTGTGGGTGCCCTGGAGGGCCAACTCAAGAAGAAAACTGGCAAACTCTTAAATCTGAGTCCCCAGAACCTAGTGGATTGTGTGTCTGAGAATGATGGCTGTGGAGGGGGCTACATGACCAATGCCTTCCAATATGTGCAGAAGAACCGGGGTATTGACTCTGAAGATGCCTACCCATATGTGGGACAGGTGAGATTGCTCCACACAATTATACAGCTCTGTTGGCTCCTCCTTCCCCAGCATGATGTTTTGTACTGGAAACAATTCCAGAAATACTGTTTTCTGTTATCCTATCCTGCTTTCTTGATGGAATAATTTCCCACAGAAGGCCAAGAAGATTTCCACAATCTGGGGGAATTTAGGGAGCTTAAGCTACTATAGCTCCTATTTGCATCTCTGCCATGGAGAGAAAACAGAGGCTAGGCTACCTACCCCATAGACTTCCGAGCTGGGTTCTATAACCCTCTGCTCAATTCCTCACTCCCACAACAAACCCACAAACCCACCATGCTATTTTCACAAATTGTGTGGCTTTATTTTATATGATCTCAGTGTGAGTTTTCAGAACATTTCAGCAAATTATGTAAGTTTACATGCTAACATCTATAAAATGAGAGAAAAAACAAGTTGCTTCATATAAGAGATAAGGGATTAACTCAGTTCCTCCTGCATGATCCTCTAGTCATAGGAAGGAAATCATATCTGAAAGGGAGGCAACCTGAGGGGTTTTTTATACACATAGGGCTGGGTCTGATAGACAATATAATGTAGGGCCTTCACAACAGAAACCTCTGAAACAGGGACAGCAAGTTTGAGAATAAAAATGATGGCTACTGTGTTCTAAGCCGTGTCCTTAGTGCATTTTTTCTTTTTCTTTTTTTCATTTAATCTCATAACAACTCTGTTAGGTAGACTTATCTTGAATGTATAGGTGAGGAAATGGACACTTAAGGAGATAAGACAGTATAATTCATACCACTAGTATGTAACAATGTAAGATGTATCTACCAGGGATGTTTATCTTCTGCAAACATTCCTAGGTATATCTCCCATGCACATGTGCAAGAATTTCTTACTAGGATATAATGCCTTGGAACTGAATTGTCTGGGTCTTAGGGTATGTCTGTCTTCAACTTTACTACACAATGTCAAATTGTTTGCCAAAATATTTGGAAAAATTTATACCTGCAATGTGTAAGAAATCCCCTTCAATCACCTTTTTATCAGTATGTTTATCTGGCCATTTGCATTTCTTCTTCAGTGAATTAACTGTTTTTATCTCTTGCTCATTTGTTTTTCTTTTTATTTTTTTGAAATAGGGTCTTACTCTGTTGCCCAGGCTGGAGTGTGGTGATATAGTCATAGCTCACTGCAGCCTCCACTTCCTGGGCTCAAGCAATCCTCTCGCCTCAGCCTCCCAAATAGCTAGGATATAGGTGCATGCCATCATGCCCACCAATTTCAAAAAACCTTTGAAATTTTTTTTTGTAGAGGCTAGGCATGGTGGCTCATGCCTGTAATCCCAGCACTTTGGGAGGCTGAGGTGGGAGGATCACTTAAGCCCAGGAGTTCCAGATCAGCCTGGTACAACATAGCAAGACCTCATCTCTACAGAAAAAATTTTTAAAAGTAGCCAGGTATGATGGCGTGCATAGTTCTAGCTACTCAGGAGGCTGGTTGGGAGGACAACTTGAGCCTGGGAGTTCAAGGCTGCTGTGAGCTGTGATCATGTCACTGCTCTCTAGCCTGGGTGACAGAGTGAGACCCTGTCCCCAAAAACAACAACCGTTTTTTTTGGTAGAGACATTGTCTCGCTATGTTGCCAAGGCTAGTCTCAAACTCCTAGGCTCAAGCAATCCTCCCACCTCCCAAAGTGCTGGGATTATAGATGTAAGCCACCATGCCTGGCCTACCCTTTTTTTTTTTTTTTTGAAATGGAGTTTTGCTTTTGTCACCTAGGCTTGAGTGCAGTGGCGCGATCTTGGCTCACTGCAACCTCCACCTCCTGGATTCAAGCAATTCTCCTGCCTCAGCCTCCTGAGTAGCTGGGATTATAGGCACCCGCAACCACGCCCGGCTAGTTTTTGTATTTTTAGTACAGACAGGGTTTCACCATGTTGGCCAGGCTGGTCTTGAACCCCTGACCTCAGGTGGTCCGCCCGCCTCGGCCTCCCAAAGTGCTGGGATTACAGGTGTGAGCCACCATGCCCCACCCCTTACTCATTTTTAATTGGATTGTTTTTTCTCTTTCTTAGCGATTCTTAAAAGTTTAAAGAGAATATTTGGATACAATACTATGTATTTAAAAGTTGAGGTTTGTCTTTTCATTCTTTTTATGATGTCTTTCAATCTAGAAAAGTTAATTTTAATAGGCCTGGCGCGGTGGCTCACGCTTGTAATCCCAGCACTTTGGGAGGCTGAGATGGGTGGATCACAAGGTCAGGAGATCAAGACCATCCTGGCTAACATGGTGAAACCCTGTCTCTACTAAAAATACAAAAAAATTAGCTGGGCGTGGTGGCAGGTGCCTGTAGTTCCAGCTACTCGGGAGGCTGAGGCAGGAGAATGGCGTGAACCCGGGAGGTGGAGCTTGCAGTGAGCCGAGATTGCACCACTGCACTCCAGCCTGGGCAACTGAGCAAGACTGCGTTTCAAAAAAAAAAAAAAGTTAATTTTAATATAGTAAAATTAGTAAAATGATTAATTTTCCTTTGCAATTTTTGTAATGTGTTTTATTCGTTTATGAATGGAGAAAGGTAAGAAAAAATAAAATTTAAAAAAGAAGAGATGTGGCCAGGTACGGTGGCTCACACCTATAATCCCAGTAGTTTGGGAGGCTGAGGCAGGCAGATCACTTGAGGTCAGGAGTTTGAGACCAGCTGGGATAACATGGTGAAACCCCATCTCTACTAAAAATACAAAAATTAGCCAGGTGTGATTGCGCACGCTTGTAATCCCAGCAGGCTGAGGCAGGAGAATTGCTCGAACTCAGGAGGCAGAGGTTGCAGTGAGCCAAGATCATGCCATTGCACTCCAGCCTGGGTAACAGAGACTCTGTCTCAAAAAATAAAAAGATAAAAAAGAAGAGATCTGATAGGGCGGCCAGATAACATTTTAAAGGGATGGTATTATAAGTTTGTTCCAGCATAATGCAGGTTATTCTGACTTTAAAGTATCATCACATAATATCTTTTTGAGTCAATTTCCAAGATATTCTGTTTCACTTGTAATTCTGTGTAATTTTTGGCACCAGGAGGCATCAGGGATTTGGAGCACATGGCAGAAACAAAGGCATCTTGAAAAATATCAAGGCAGTAGACCACTGTAATCTTAAAATGGCATATCAAATGCTGCTATTGCTGTTAATATTTAGATAATGTTAGATAATGTATTTTTTTAGAGGGTATCTCACTATCTTGCACAGGCTGGAGTAGAGTGGCTATTCACAGCATGATCACAGTACACTAAAGGCTCAAACTCCTGGGCACAAACAATCCTCCTGCCTCAGCCTGCTGAGTAGTAGATAATAAGTTCTTGTGGATGCAACCTTAGGGTTCTGAAGGGGTAGTCTGTAGGAAAATGAATTGCTGAAAAGAATACACCACCTTAACATGGGCTATTATTCGATTCCATAATTGTGGCTTGCCAATGAAACATTGCTAACTACCTGTAAAATATAGTGTTGGAAGTCATAGGCTAAATTGCTAAGTTCTTTAATCTATTTTAGTGTCTTGTTATGTACTTTTATATTTTGTCTTTGATGAGAGCACAAGGATCACACCAGTTCCCCTGATATAGGTGCAGAGGGCCCAGGTCTTCCCTCTAGCTAAGCCTTGGCCTTGGCCTCCTACCCACACAGCAGCTGGTGCCTTCCTGCCCCCTGAGGCTAATACATACTATGTGGCCAGAAGATGGTTTATGCTTTTTAAAAAAATCTTATTTCAGAAATCTTTCCCTACTGTTTTCCTCCCACATTTATGTCTTAAAACACCTGTAGTTGATTTTTTTTTTTTTTGAGATGGAGTCTCGCTCTCGCCCAGGCTGGAGTGCAATGGCGCGATCTTGGCTCACTACAAGGTCTGCCTCCCAGGTTCACGCCATTCTCCTGCCTCAGCCTCCCCAGTAGCTGGGACTACAGGCGCCCGCTACCACGCCTGGCTAATTTTTTTGCATTTTTAGTAGAGACAGGGTTTCACTGTGTTAGCCAGGATGGTCTCGATCTCCTGACCTCGTGATCCACCCTCCTCAGCCTCCCAAAGTGCTGGGATTACAGGCATGAGCCACCGCACCTGGCCTGTAGTTGGTTTTTATGTGTGGTGGAAGGCGGGAATCCTCTTTTCATATTCGTTTTTCTGAGGAAGAACAGACCCTCTCTAGAAACCCTAGACTGCTGCCTCTGTTAGTTCACTGGCATCACTCAAAATATTGGTTGAGTTTCTTACTCACTGACTCATTGCCTATTGCTTTGTCCTAGTCCTATTACAATCTTGTTTCTTCCAGGAAGAGAGTTGTATGTACAACCCAACAGGCAAGGCAGCTAAATGCAGAGGGTACAGAGAGATCCCCGAGGGGAATGAGAAAGCCCTGAAGAGGGCAGTGGCCCGAGTGGGACCTGTCTCTGTGGCCATTGATGCAAGCCTGACCTCCTTCCAGTTTTACAGCAAAGGTAAGAAGCTGCTGATCCTATACAGCACTGTCTTTTATGATACAAACTTGATGGTTTCTCGAAGGACCTTGGGTATTTTCAGTACTTAGTTTTTGTATTCACATGGAGGTGGCCAGAGAGAAATTAACAACTGCTGCAGTATGGAGCAGCATCTCTGTGGTAAACCCTCCTGACACGGATGGAATTCTTCAAACAGTCTCCTAGACTGGGAGATCCCACAGGGTGACCCTTGGATTGCATAGAGCCTCACGCTGGTAGTTTGTATTCTAGGTGTGTATTATGATGAAAGCTGCAATAGCGATAATCTGAACCATGCAGTTTTGGCAGTGGGATATGGAATCCAGAAGGGAAACAAGCACTGGATAATTAAAAACAGGTAATGATGGGAACACTACTTTTGTTATTCAGTCACCCTTTTAACACTCAACCTCACCTCCAGCTTCCCGATATTCCTTTCTCTGTCCCAAATCAAGAAAAAATTATCTCAGAGTTCTCACTTCTATCTTCTCAGTCAGAGGCTCTTAATTCTCAGTCTGACACTTAATGGCCAGTGTGTTAGTCCATTTTGCATTGCCACAAAAGAATACCCGAGACTGGGTAATTTATAAAGAAACGAGGTTTGTTTGGCTATACAAAGCGTGGCACTAGTATCTGCTCAGCCTCTGATGAGGCCTCAGAGCTTTTACTCATGGCAGAAGGCAAAAGAGGGAGCAGGCATGTCACATAGTGAGAGAGGGAGCAAGAGAGAGAGGGAGGTGCCGACTCTTTAAAGAACCAGCTCTTGCATGAACTAATAGAGTGAGAACTCACTCATCACCAAGGCGATGGCACCAAGCCATTCATGAGGAATCCACTCTCATAACCCAAACACCTCCCACTATGCCCCACCTCCCACATTGGGGATCACATTTCAGCATGAGACTGGGAGGGGACACACATCCAAACCATATCCGCCAGACAATAGTGCTCAATTATGTGCTGGGCAGATGCTCCCTGTGTGCAAGGTGCTTAGTGACATACATAAACCAACGAGCAGATGACACCTTCAGTGAGCTCAGAGCCCAATAAGACAGACCTAACTAACCATGAGATAAAGCAGTACAAAGAACCAGCAGGAGCTTTGGAATTACGTATTTTTACTTTCTTTTGTCTCTAATGTGATCAGTTTCTTAGATGGTTTCCATTAGCAATCTGTCTTTAACAGTAGGGGAACAGCGTAAAGGTTTAATATTCCTTTGAACAGTTTTTTTCCTTCAAAATACACTTAAGATACACGTATATAAGAACTTGCCAAAGATTGTGAAGAGAAACATTTTTTAGAAATAAGATATAAACAAAAAAAGTTAGTGTTTACTTTCCTATGTTGGGGAACAAAGAAAACTCCAGGGTACCTTGCTTCCCATTTCTCTTTAGCACCTTGTGACTTTTGGGGAGGGGCAGATTGATAACAATTATAGTTTTCCTTTCCTGGCTGATCACCATTAACCTGGCAGCAGCACTGGCTAAATCTCCTGTCCTTAGTGCCCTCCAAGGAGCAGGAGCCCTAGACTCTGGGTCGCTGACAGACTCACGCAGTGGTGTTGTTCAAACCTGAAGCAACTTTTTATATCACAGTTCCAACTCAAGGTGAACCTGAGCATCTTCCCAAGTCTCCCACAGCTTCTGTCCTGTGTTGTCCCTTCTCTTGACTCCCAGGTCCAAGCACTTACCCTGTTCTTTCATGATCAGGTACCATGTGTGGAGATAGCTTCCAAGAGAGCTGGGAGGAAGAAAGGACACACCCGGGCAGGATCAGGAACACTGGGGGCCCCTGGAGAAGGGGAGAGTGGGGGAGGGTACAGGTTTTAAATAAAATGTGTTGGGTAATTAGAGAAGTTGCTGGTTGGGGAAAGAGGACTGAAAACAATTCAGGAAGATAAACAGACAATCTCTCCTCTCTCCTCTTTCTCACGTCGTCTCTCTTGTCTTCTAGTCTCGCTACTCATTTCCTTAGTAATCTCATCCACTCTCATAGTTTCATCCATCTCTCCTATGGGGTTTACTCCCAAATCAAGATCACCAGCTTCAGCCTCTTTCTTATGCTCTAAACTCACATTTTCAAGATTAATATTCCCCAAATACAGCTCTGATCATATCACTCTCCCACTCAAAATCCCTCACTGGCTCCTCACGATGATGGGTCACAGAGTAAAGGTGAAGCTTTTTAACCTTGCAGTAAAGGTAATTCAACCTGATCTCAATCTGCCTTTCCAGACATCTCTCCCACTACACCCTGTTAGGCACACTGCTTTTCAGCTACATGATCCTAACAGTGCCCCACACTTTCCTGCCTCTGTTGTTCATTTCACACCCTTCCACTGGCATCCCCTTCCCACAGGTCGAAATTCTACTTAGCCTTTTGGCTCAGCTCAAATGCCACCTCTTACATCAAGCCTCTAAGATTCTCTTGATCAGAAGGAATCTTTCCCTCCTTTGATACCTACAGTATTATGCCTTCTCCCTATTTCTTGACTTTAAACTCTTTAAAGTTAAAAAACATCATATTCATTTTTGTGTACCATCAGTACCTCGCACAATACTCAGTAAATATTTTAATGAATAAATAAACTGAGAGTACTAAGTATTTTTCTTGATTGGTCTTACAGCTGGGGAGAAAACTGGGGAAACAAAGGATATATCCTCATGGCTCGAAATAAGAACAACGCCTGTGGCATTGCCAACCTGGCCAGCTTCCCCAAGATGTGACTCCAGCCAGCCAAATCCATCCTGCTCTTCCATTTCTTCCACGATGGTGCAGTGTAACGATGCACTTTGGAAGGGAGTTGGTGTGCTATTTTTGAAGCAGATGTGGTGATACTGAGATTGTCTGTTCAGTTTCCCCATTTGTTTGTGCTTCAAATGATCCTTCCTACTTTGCTTCTCTCCACCCATGACCTTTTTCACTGTGGCCATCAGGACTTTCCCTGACAGCTGTGTACTCTTAGGCTAAGAGATGTGACTACAGCCTGCCCCTGACTGTGTTGTCCCAGGGCTGATGCTGTACAGGTACAGGCTGGAGATTTTCACATAGGTTAGATTCTCATTCACGGGACTAGTTAGCTTTAAGCACCCTAGAGGACTAGGGTAATCTGACTTCTCACTTCCTAAGTTCCCTTCTATATCCTCAAGGTAGAAATGTCTATGTTTTCTACTCCAATTCATAAATCTATTCATAAGTCTTTGGTACAAGTTTACATGATAAAAAGAAATGTGATTTGTCTTCCCTTCTTTGCACTTTTGAAATAAAGTATTTATCTCCTGTCTACAGTTTAATAAATAGCATCTAGTACACATTCATTTTGTGTTGGATACTGTGTTAGGTGCTGGAGGAAAAAAGATGAATAGAACATCTTCTATGTACTTGATGCGCTCACAGTCTGGTTGTAGAGACTGTCACATAAACATTTCATCCCAATTCATTTATTTGTTCATTCCTTCAGCCAATATATATTGAGTTCTTACTCTGTGCCAAGAACTGTACTACATTTCTGGGATTAAGTGGATATAAGGAGATCTCAGTGTTTAATCTGCCTGAGGGGAGACTAAATTAAGTGACATGGAAACTTGGGTCTTGAAAAACATTTTAAGGTTATTTTTTCTTTTCTCTCTCTCTCGCTCTGTCTTTCTCTCTCTTTCGTCAGGGTCTCCCTCTGTTGCCCAGGCTGGAGTCAGTGGCACTCATAGCTCACTGCAGCCTTGATCTCCTGGGCTCAAGAGTTCTTCCCACCTCAGTCTCCTAAGTAGCTTGGACTACGGTGAACACCACCATGCTTAGCTGATTTTTTAAAAATTATTTTGTGGGAGGCCGAGGTGAGAGGATCGCCTGAGCCCAGCAGTTTGAGACCAGCTTGTCTCCCTATGTTGGCCGCCTCGGCCTCCCAAAGTGCTGGAATTATAGGTGTGGGCCACTGCACCCAGCATGACACTGTTGTTAATATGGCAATAATCTCCAAATTGATCTACAGAATTAACACAATTTGTATTAAAATCTCAGCTGGCTTTCTTGCAGAAATTGGCAAGCTGGCTCTAAGATTCATATGGACATTCAAGGGCTTCAGAATAGCCAAAACAACCTTGAAAAAGAACAAAGTTGGAGGACTTGCACTTCTCAATTTCAAAACTTAACTTCAAACCAATAGTAGTCAAGGCATACAGATCAATGGAATAGAATTAAGGGTGTAGAAATAAACCACATTCAATTGACATGGGGTGCCAAGACAATTCAAGGTGGGAAAGAATAGTCTTTTCAAAAAGTCATGCTGGACAACTGAATAACAACATGGAGAAGAATGAAGTTGGAACACTACTCCACCTCATATAAAAAATTAATTCAAAATGGCTAAAAACCTAAAGGTAAGAGCTAAAACTCTTAGAAAACACAGGGGTAAATCTTCCTGACCTTGAATTAGGCAGTGGTTATGACACCACAGCACAAGAAAGAACAACAAAAAATTAGGGCCGGGCGCCTTAGCTCACGCCTGTAATCCCAACACTCTGAGAGGCTGAGGCAGGCGGATTGCCTGAGGTCAGGAGTTTGAGACCAGCCTGGCCAACATGGTGAAACCCTGTCTTTACTAAAATACAAAAATTAGCCGGGCGTGGTGGCGGGCCCCTGTAATCCCAGCTACTTGGGAGGCTGAGGCAGGAGAATCACTTGACCCTGTGAGGCGGAGGTTGCAGGGAGCTGAGATCATGCCACTGCACTCCAGCCTGGATGACAGAGTGAGACTCTGTCTCAAGAAAAAAAAAAGAAAAAAGTTAGATAAATTGGACTTCTGTCAAAATTAGAATTTTTTTGTCCACCAAAGGACACTATTAAGAGAGGGTAAAGACAACACAGAATGGGAGAAGATATCCACAAGTTATATATCTGATGAAAGAATTAATATCCAAAATATTCAAAGAACTCCCACAACTCTACAATAAGAAAAATTAAAAATGGGCAAAGGACTTGAATACATATTTCACCAAAACAGATATACAAATGGTGAATAAGCACATGAAAATATGCTCAACATCACTAGCCTATAAGGAAATGTAAACCAAAACCACAGTGAGATACACTTCATACCCATTAGAATGGCTATTACAACAACAACAACAACAACAAACCTGGAATATAACAAGTGTTGATGAGGATGTGAAGAAACTGAAATCTCGTACGTTGTTAGTGGGAATGTAAAAGGGTGCAGCTGCAGTGGAAAACAGTGTGTTGGTTCCACAAAAACTTAAACATAGAATTACCATATAATCCAGCAATTCCACTCCTGGATTTAGATCCAAAATAATTGAATGCAGGGATTCAGATACTCATACACCAATGTTCTTAGCAGCATTATTCACAAAAGCCCAAAGGTAGAAACAACCCAGTGTCCATTAACAGATGAATGGATAGCCTAATGTGGTAATATTCTACACAATGGAATATTATTCAGCCATAAAAAGAAATAAAATTCTGGTTGGGACGGTGGCATGCCTGCATAGTCCCAGCTACTAGGGAGGCTGAGGTAGGAGGATTGCTTGAGCCCAGAAGTTTGAATCCAGCCTGGGCAACATAGTGAGACCCCATCTCAGGTAAAAGAGAAAGAGAGAAGAAAGAAAGAGGCCGGGCACAGTGCCTCAAGCCTGTAATCCCAGCATTTTGGGAGGCTGAGGTGGGTGGATCACTTGAGGCCAGGAGTTCGAGACCAGCCTGGCCAGCAAGGTGAAACCCTGTCTCTACTAAAAATACAAAAATTAGCTGGGCGCAGTGGCTCATGCCTGTAATCCCGGCTACTTGGGAGGCTGAGGCACAAGAATCGCTTGAACCCTGGAGGCAGAGGTTGCAGTGAGCTGCGATCGCGCCACTGCACTCCAGCCTGGGAGACAGAGTGAGACTCCATCTCAAAAAAAAAATATATATATATATATTATTTAGCCATGTGATTCCAAATTAAATATTGCTCAATCATTTTGTTGTTATTCTTCTCTACTTCTCTTTTGGTCCATATTAGCAAATTCTGTCCCTGCCTCTTCAAAATATAATATGAATCTGGCCGTTTCTCTCTCCCTCTAGCATGACCACACAGTTTAAGTTCCCTTTGTTTCCCCCTAGTCTTATGTGATAGTCCTCTAACTTCCCTACTTCTGCACTACACTCCACCCTACAGTCTGTTTTTCCCTGTACAAAACTTTCCCATTACTCTTTCATTTATTTAACAAATATTAAGCCTTTACTGTGAGTCAGGCACTGTTCTGGTAATTCAACAGTGACAAAAATTCAAGACCTCATTGGGTTTATATTTTAGTGAACTTAGAATATAATACAGAAGTATTAAGTGGCCTACAAGCAGCATGATCTGGTCCCAGGCTGTTTTTTTTGTTTGTTTGTTTTTTGAGATGGAGTTTTGCTCTTGTTGTCCAGGCTGGAATGCAATGGCATGATCTCAGCTCACTGCAACGTGTGCCTCCCATGTTCAAGCGATTCTCCTGTCTCAGCCTCCTGAGTAGCTGGGATTACAGGTGCCTGCCACCTTGCCCGGCTAATTTTTGGTATTTTTAGTAGAGACAGGGTTTCACCATGTTGGCCAGGCTGGTCTCCAACTCCTGACCTCAAGTGATCACCCGTCTTGGCCTCCCAAAGTGCTGGGATTACAGGCGTGAGCCACCAGGCCCGGCCTTTTTTTTTTTTTTAATTAATTAATTAATTTATTTATTTATTAATTTTTTTTTTTTTTTGAGACGGAGTCTCGCTCTGTCGCCCAGGCCGGACTGCGGACTGCAGTGGCGCAATCTTGGCTCACTGCAAGCTCCGCTTCCCGGGTTCACGCCATTCTCCTGCCTCAGCCTCCCGAGTAGCTGGGACTACAGGCGCCCGCCACCGTGCCCGGCTAATTTTTTGTATTTTTAGTAGAGACGGGGTTTCACCTTGTTAGCCAGGATGGTCTCGATCTCCTGACCTCATGATCCACCCGCCTCGGCCTCCCAAAGTGCTGGGATTACAGGCGTGAGCCACCGCGCCCGGCCTTAATTTATTAATTAATTTATTTTTTTTTGAGACAGGGTCTCACTCTGTCACCCGGATTGGAGTGCAGTGGCACAATGACATCTCACTGCAGCATCGACCTCCCGAGCTCAAGCGATCCTCCCACCTCAGCCTCCCGAGTAACTGGGACTACAGGCACATGTCACCATGCCCCACTAATTTTTGTATTTTTTGTAAAGATGAGGTTTTGCCATGTTGCCCAGGCTGGTCTCGAACTCCTAGACTCCAGTAATCCACCTGCTTCAGCCTCCCAAAGTGCTAGGATTAACCAGTGTAAGCCACTGCGCCCGGCCCAGGCCACCTGTCTGACTTCATTTCAGTCTGTGGTGTTACGGACAATGGTTATCTAAACAAAATTAGAATGCTGTTAGAAATAAGGAGTTATTCAAGAAATGCTCATGCCTGTATAACAGAGTGCTTATCAACTCCTCTTCCCCGGTGAGAGACAACCCAGGGCCTTATTTGGTTACAGTGTTCAACTCTTAAGACCAGGATTTCTGGCTGATGATTTCTTTCTGATTTCCTTCTCAAATTTGGATATGGCTCCTTGAGGCCTGGCAAGCAGATGCTTAATATTTGTTAAATGGGAAAGTTTTGTACAGGGGAGTGATGTGAACTGGGGTACAGGGAAGAATAGACTGTAGGGCGGAGTGTAGCGTGGAAGTAGGGAAGTTAGAGGGCTGTTACGTAAGTCTAGTGGGGAAATGGTGGGAACTTAAACTGTGGTCATGGTAGAGGGAGAGAGAAGTGGCCAGATTCGCTTATACTGGGTAAAACTTAAACTATCTTAGCCAATATATCTTTAAAAAAAATAGGAACAGAGTAATTACAATGAAAACTCTAATTCTGCAAAGAGGAGAATGGATGAAAAATAGCACACAGTTATTGTTGATCTGTAGCATAATTTATGTCCTGCTAGGCAGGAATATGGAAGACTCCTTGCCTGGCAGTAGAATGAGTTCCTTGGCGAGGTAACTGGGAAACTCGAGGCTCGCTCTCTATGGGGATCTTCTTTATGGTCTAGCATGGCTCCTGCTTCTTCCTGCTAGAGGATCTTACTTGTCTCTTATTCTCCATGGCTATGCCAGAGATGGGCACATGGAAATGCCCTTTCTGGGCATGCCCTACTCAACTTTAGCTGTGGTACAAATTGGAAACCTAGAAAATACAATAGATTGCTGGGCCTGGGGTTTCTTTGGCAATACGTTCCCATAAAAGCTCAGTAGCTTTTGGTCTGAGTTGTCACACCCAAAAAATGTTTTTCTAGATAAAATGTTTAAACCTGAGAATTTCAAACTCCTAGGAATCAACCTCAGTGCTGTGCCATCCCCTGACCTCCATTTAATGGTACTTGTCCAAGTAGCTCAAAATAAAAGCCATAAGAGCAGATGTATACCCATAATCTGAGCTTTGCCCTCTTTTCTGGGAAAATGCTTAGCTGGAGGTGCATGACAGAAGCCTGGAACTCTGGTCTTATTTCTTGCTAAATCTTTTGCCTCCTTGCCTCTGCATTAAGTTTAGTTTGGTGCTTTTTATTTATTTTTTTTGAGATGGAGTCTTGCTCTGTTGCCCAGGCTGGAGTGCAGTGGTACAATCTTGGCTCACTGCAGCCTCTGCCTCCTGGGTTCAAGCGATTCTCCTGCCTCAGAGTAGCTGGAATTACAGACTCCCACCACCACACCCGGCTAACTTTTGTATTTTTAGTAGAGATGGGGTTTTGCCATATTGGCGAGGCTGGTCTCAAATTCCTGATCTCAAGTGATCCGCCCACCTCAGCCTCCCAAAGTGCTGAGATTACAGGTGTAAGCCACCTCGCCCGACCAGTTTGGTACTTTTTCTACCCTATAGGGCTCTAAACTATGGGATTTTATATTGCAGGCTATAGGCAGAAAGAACTTCACTTAGCAAAGCGATATATTATTCTCTCTACGCTTTTAGATAGAACACTTTCAGATTAAGTTACTGAGTAACTTTCTTGTATTCTTTCTTGTTTTTTGTTTTGTTTTGCTTTTTGCTTTTTTTTGAGACAAGTCTTGCTCTGTCGCCCAGACTGGAGTACAGTGGTGTGATCTTGGCACACTGCAACCTCTGCCTCCCGGGTTCAAGCAATTCTCCTGCCTCAGCCTCCTGAGTAGCTGGGATTATAGGCGCCCGCCACCACACCCAGCTAATTTTTGTATTTTTAGTAGAGACGGGGTTTCACCGTCTTGTCCAGGCTGGTCTCGAACACCTGACCTCACGTGATCCACACACCTCGACCTCCCAAAGTGCTGGGATTACAGACGTGAGCCACTTTCTGAAGCCTACAAAAGGAGCCAACATATGCCAACATGCTGAATTTTTCCTATCATTTCTTTCTCTTCTTTTTTTTTTGAGACAGGGCCTCACTCTGTTGCCCAGGCTTGAGTGCAGTGGCACAATCATGGCTCACTGCAGCCTCGACCTCCTGCACTCAAGTGATCCTCCCATCTCAGCCTCCCGGGTAGCTGGGACTACAGGTGTGTGTCACCACACCCAGCATGTATTTTGTAGAGAAGGGTTTTGCCATGTTGCTCAGGCTGGTCTCTAAATCCTAGGCTCAAGCAATCCACCTGTCTATCTCCCAAAGTGCTGGGACTACAGGGGAGAGCCACTGCGCCCAGCACTACCATTTCTTCTCATACCACACTCCAGTGGGCCTGTGGTCTTACCCCAAAACAATAGGCAACAGATATTTCATGAATTCATAATTTCCAGTTTGGACTAGAGTCCTCATTGCCCTATCCCCACGCCCTCCATTCAGCCAGTTCCACATTTTACAGTTTGTAACTTCTACCAAATTCTGAGTCAGCCAAAATCGACTACTCTTCTTTGCAACAAAGAACCTCGTGATACAGGTCTTGCAGGCTGTGATTGTGTCACATGCTCATTCCCCAACCAGTCATTGTAGCTGGAGGGATACAAAACTTTGACAGGCTGGCCTTGGGACCTATGCCCACTCTTGAAGCTAGGGGCAAGATTGGTTCTATCTTAAGCCCAGGAGTGTCAGGGTTTCCCCATTTTAAAATCAGGGTGCTGTTACCACGAGAAGGAGGAAGGGAAGCTGGTGAAAAAAAGTATACTTCCAACACCTTTTAGCTTAGCTATTCTCAACTTTCCCATATTACTATAGAGAAGACAGATGTTGTTCACATTTTCGACACATTTCCACGGACACGCTCACAAAATAATATCAGTCGTTGGTAGCTACCCATAATTCTCCCCTTCTCTCTCCCAGAAAGCATACTGGAATGCACATCTATCAACATAATATTATTATAGGGATAATCTGCTGAATTGGCTCTAATTGTTAAACATGTCACTTTCAAACTGTTGGTACTTTTTTATTAGTAATACATTTCTTGTGACTTACTTTGTAATTAATTGTAACACATCAAATGTGTCACACCAATTGTTATTCATTTGTTAGGGGAGGGGTCTTATCACTGGCTTCTAGAGTACTCCCTAATTATGTCTTATTTTGTTCTCTTGGTAAAATTAAGCTCCTTCTTTGAGTACACATTGCTAGGTGACAAGGAGTACTTGTAGGATAATGGGGGATGTCTACTAGGATCAAATAATGCACCAAGCAGATAAGCTACACAGAATATCAGAAAGAATATATATTTTCAATTCAGAACATTCCTATTTTCCCTAATGACTCAAGAATTCTGTTTTCTTTCTTCAGAAAGTTATTGCATAATATTAACATAAAGTTAATTGAGGGGAAACTCAACATTATGGTAAAATCGTCTTTTCTAGTCCCATATTCTCCTATAGTCCATGAAGGGTATTCCTCACCTCACCTTTGTGCATTTCTTGGACAGTGAGGTCAGTAAGAAGTAAACTATTTTATTATGAAAATAATGTATGTTATTAAATTCCTAGCACACTTGGGTAAATTAACAGAGACTAGAACTAGCATTGGAATGAATCATCCTAAAATTCAAAATCCTTTTCTTTAAGACTAAATAAGGGTAGGGCGCAGTGGCTCACGCCTGTAATCCCAGCACTTTGGGAGGCTGAGGCAGGTAGATCGCCTGAGGTCAGGAGTTCAAGACCAGCCTGGCCAATATAGCAAAACCCTGTCTCTATTACAAAAAAAAACAAAAAACAAAAATTAGCCAGGCGTGATGGCGCGCCTGTAATCCCAGCTACTCAGGAGGCTGAGGCAGGAGAATTGCTTGAACGTGGAGGTGGAGGTTGCAGTGAGCCGAGATTGCACCACTGCACTCCAGCCTGGGCGACAGAGCAAGACTGTCTCTCTCTCTCTCTCTCTCACACACACACACACACACAGACTAAATAAGACAGAGAAACTTAAAGCAGCTGATTTTCAGGGGGCATGAAGCTAAGAGATGGTTACTTCAAAAGCTTGAAAAGGTACAACTGTAACAAGCAGGGACAAAGCTTCCTTATTTTGCTTTCATTTCTCCTTTTCCACGTTATTCAGGAGATGTTGCCTCGTTTGTGATGAAAGGGAGTCTGCATTCCCGATAAGACTTAGTGTTGTGCAGCATTCTGGATAAGACTTAGTTGTTGTGCAACTGTTGTGCAAAACATTTGCCTTGTTTTTTTGTTTTCAATCGCTATTGAAATAAATTTGCAAAAAGTGTGCCCCATTTCAGGGCAATTTACAGCTTTGCAAAAATCCAGTTTACAGCTTTGGAATGTCACAGGATGATGTGTAAGTTTATAAAATACCTTAAGTGATACAAGGATAGATTATCTAATGACATGTTCCCCTAATGTATTCAAACACTGTATGTGTTTACAGACTTTTGCATACCAGGAGGAGATTCAAAGAGAAACCTAAGGCTTAAAGCCTCAGAAGCCACTGCCAAGTCATGATGAACCAGAAATGAAGACAAACCATGTAGAATATTATAATTAGGAAAAGTTAATTCAATGAATGTTTATTGATTATTATCTAAATATGTGTTAAGCCACAGTGCAATACAAAGATGAGTAGGACAAGATCCTGTATTTTCAAGTTAGCTAGTGAGATAAAACTATCTTACGTGCTACAAATACAGAATCAGAATTTCGTGGTACAATTTGTATCGTGCAAGTGTAGCTAGAGGGAAGAAGAGTTGGGGTAGTTAGAGAAGGCTCTGAGGAGGCAGTACTTGAAGTGGATCTTGCAGAACAAAGAGGCCAAGGAATGGAGAGAGCCATTCTAGAAAGGAGGCAAGAATGATTGGGCAACTGGGGAGGTCCATGGGACCAGCATGGCTACATCAGAGGCTGAGTTTTCAAAATCTGGGGTTTTGTTTGTTTGTTTTTGTTGTTGTTGTTGTTGTTTGAGACTAGTCTTGTTCTGTCACCCAGGCTGTAGTGCAATGGTGCGATCTCAGCTCACTGCAATCTCCGCCTGCTGGATTCAAGTGATTCTCGTGCCTCAGCCTCCCAAGTAGCTGGGACTACAGATGAGGCACTAATTTTTATATTTTTAGTAGAAACGTGGTTTCACCATGTTGGCCAGACTGGTCTCAAACTCCTGGCCTCAAGTGATCCACCAGCCTCGGCCTCCCAAAGTGCTGGGATTACAGGCATGAGCCATCAGATTGCCTGAGCTCAGGAGTTCAACACCAGCCTGGGCAACACGGTGAAACCCCATCTCCACTAAACTACAAAAAATTGGCATGGAGGCGTGTGCCTGTAATCCCAGCTACTCGGGAGGCTGAGGCAGAGAATTGCTTGAACCAGGGAGGCAGAGTTTGCAGTGAGCCGAGATCGCGCCACTGCACTCCAGCCTGGGCAACAGAGCGAGACCCCCTCTTTAAAACAAAAACAAAAACAAATTGAGTAAAATGCTCAGGAAAGGGATCCAGAGCATGGGGAAAGAGCCTTGGAAGGCAGGGGCGCAGGACTTCATGCAGCAGGCAACAGAAAACATTTCTAGAAAACAGCATGATAAAAATGTGTTTTAGGAGCACAGTTTGGCAGTGATGTGCAGGATGAGATTCCACAACAGACTGGAATGAAGGTGCTGAAATAATTTAAATCATCAGAAAATATTTATTTAGTGTCTGCTGACCATCGCATCATATACTGTGGAGGACACGAAGAAGAGTAGGAGCTACAGGGCCCCTGTACTTTATGGGCTAACAGGTAGTTACATAAGGCAAAAATACAAATAATTATCATATTAAACAGAAAATTAAGAGGATGGTTTTTCTGCGCTCAGTCTATGTGTCTGCCACAAGGAGCCTCAAAGCCTCAAAGCTTGGTAGAAGCTCAAAAAGTGACATCCAGTTGGGGATAAAGAAAGGCTTTTTTTTTTTTTTGAGACGGAGTTTCACTCTTGTTGCCCAGGCTGGAGTGCAATGTGCGATCTCGGCTCACTGCAACCTCCGACTCCCGGGTTCAAGCAATTCTCCCACCTCAGCCTCCTGAGTAGGTGGGACTACAGGCATGCGCCACCACACCCGGCTAATTTTGTATTTTTAGTAGAGACAGGGTTTCGCCGTGTTGGTCAGGCTGGTCTTGAACTCCTGACCTCAGGTGATCCACCCGCCTCGGCCTCCCAAAGTGCTCGGATTACAGGCGTGAGCCACTGCACCTGGCCGAGAAAGGCTTTTTGTAAGAGCTATTTTCAGAGATGGGCCATTAAGGAGGAGCAGAATTTCAAGCAGCAGAAATGAGAAAAGGAAATTCCAGAAAGAGAGAGGCAACACGATAATTTTGGGAAAGCACTACTTTAAAAACAAGGTTGGTTCACTTCTAGGTCAATGGACAGTTTTGTCCTCTTGAACAAGTTAGCCTCTCAGAAGTTTAACTTCTCCTCTGTAAAATGAGGATAATAATATCTACCTCATAGAGTTGTGAAGATTAAATAATAATGCACAAAGAGTCTAGCACACTCATTGGCATATAATTGGCATCCAATTAATGTTAGCTAGGACTATTAGGATCATTAAGCAAGTCAACAGTGCAGAGGGTGACAAGCATAGATGATCTGGAAATATGAGGAAAACTAGTTGCTTAGAGTATAAGGTTCTTGTGTGAGGATAGCAAAGATGAAACTGCAAAGATAGAGCAATGCTTTTGTTTTGTACAGCATCTGAAATACTGGAATAAGGACTTTGGTTCAAATTAGTAGGCAATATGGAAGTATTGAAGAGTTTTGACACAGAAAATATTTTTGTTTGTTTTTATTTTTTTAGAAGGAAGGTCTTAGTCTGTCACCCAGGCTGGAGTGCAGTGGCAACCTCCTGCGCTCAAGGGATCCTCCTGCCTCAGCTTCTCAAGTAGCTGGGACTACAGGGGTGTACACTGTGTCTGGCTTTTATTTTTTGCAGAGACAGGGTCTCACTATGTTGCCCAGGCTGGTCTTGAGAACTCCTGGCTTCAAGGGATCCTCCCTCCCTTGGCTTCCCAAAATGCTGGGATTAAAGGTGTGAGCCACAGTGCTGAAACAGGAAATAGATCTATAATTATATAATAATATATTTTAAAAATATTATTCCATATCTATATCTATATTTATCTATATCTCTATCTATCTATCTCTATCTATATCTTTTGAGATGGAGTCTCATTCTATCACCCAGGCTGGAGTGCAGTGACATGATCACGACTCACTGCAGCTTTGACTTCCTGGGCTCAAACAATCCTCCTACCTCAGCCTCCAGAGTAGCTGGGACCACAGGCGCATGCCACCACACCCAGCTAAATTTTGTATTTTTTGTAGAGATGGGACCTTGCCATGTTACCCAGGCTGGTCATGAACTCCTGGGCTCAAGCAATCCTCCCGCCTCAGCCTCCCAAAGTGCTGGGATTACAGGCGCGAGCCACTGCACCTGGTCAAAACAGGAAATCTTTTGATCAGAACTCTGCTTTTGGAAAAGCGATGAGGGCTTAGACCTGTGTGGTCGAATGCAGTAGCCATTAACTGCAAGAAGCTATTGAGCACTTGAGATGTGACACTGAAAAGTTCAAATTGAGATGTGCTGTAAGTATAAAATACAAAACTGGATTTTTTTTTCTGAAACAGCTTTTTATTAAATGGCAAAGCAGAATTGCAGCACAATTTAAATGTCTGTAAATTAGGTCACAAAAGGGATGCAAAATGTTTGCAGTTTGAATATTCTAATTCATACAGGTAAAGTCATTCATCAACTCTTACACCAATACATAAGATTATTCCATGATTAAAAGTAGCCCAAATCTAATAACCATAGGCTATATTAGTGGATCTCTTTTCCTATTATAAGATTTTAGCATTACTTCTGATACTGATTTCTTTACCAAATGGAACCTATAAATTTTTAAAATTTGAGGCCAGGCTGGGCGTGGTGGCTCATGCCTGTAATCCCAGCACTTTGGGAGGCCATGGTGGGCAGATCGCTTGAGTCTAGGAGTTTGAGACCAGCCTCGGCCACATGATGAAACCCCGTCGCTACAGAAAATAAAAAAATTAACCAGGTGTGATGGCACGTGCCTTTAGTCCCAGCTACTTGGGAAGCTGAGGTGGGAGAATTGCTTGATCTTGGGAGGCAGAGGTTGCAGTGAGCCGAGATTGTGCCACTACACTCCAGCCTGGATGACAGAGGAAGACCCTGTCTCAAAAAATAAATAAAATAAGATAAAACTTGTTAAAGGATAATAACAAAGGATGACTGCAAATCAAGTAGTTGAGTTGACAGAAAATTCTGAGAGAACAAGTAAGATAAAATACTGAGAAGATTGTCAATAAGCATATATGCGAAACACTCCTATTTCATTCACAATTCTAATACTACTGCACTGCGAAGGAATTTTGCAAAAGTTGATCTGCTGGGTACAAATAAATCTAGAGACCAAACTCTTTGTAACTGTTCTCTTCTAGATGTGGCTTACATAAAGTTAGTCAAACTTAATCCACTTCCGTATATATTTCCCAAAAGATCTACTCTGTGCCAGGGATAACAAAATCTGGAGTGAAAATATTCACAGTTCGTCACTACTGTTTACCAAGTACTTTTTCACCCTATTTCTATTTTTCCTCTAAATTTTGTATTTTAAACATACACTTGACCAACTTATCTTTCCAGATAAGATGAAGTGAGTTACTTTGTGCAAAAACAAATTTTTAACAACAAATCTTCCTAAGTTGACAATTCAGCCTCAAAGAAAAATCTTTATTTTTATAGCTTCCCTCTGTTTTAAATGGATTAAAGAGAAACCAGCATTCTTGTCTTAATACTAAATATAAAAAATGACAAGCCCTAGCTGTTTCTCAGATACAGATACTTTCTGTATCTTATTTTGGTTAAGTTTCAACAATTAAAGTGCAGGTTACTCTCTGAGATGATTAACTATTAAAATGACTTTTACAAATGTGAAACCAATTCTTTCCTTCGAGGAAGGTAAAGAGGAAGAGGCAAGTGGAGAAGAGGCATAAGATGACGGACAGGGTACATGAGGCTACGCATTCAGTGTATGATTCCGGTCACTTTTTCACAACGTGTGGTTATTTTTCTTGTATATCTTAGTAAGCCTCTAATAAAAGACAGTGCTAAATCTACAAATCAAGGAAAATTTGATAAAACATTCATCTTTAAGTTTCATAAATATATGCAATTCTTTTTTTTTAAATGCAGTCTCGCTCTGTCACCAAGGCTGGAGTGCAACGGAGCAACCTCAGCTCACTGCAGCCTCCACCTCCCAGGTTCAAGCAATTCCCCTGCCTCGGCCTGCCGAATAGCTGGGATTACAGGCATAAGCCACCACGCCTGGCTAATTATTTTGTATTTTTAGTAGGAATGGGGTTTCACCATGTTGCCAGGCTGGTCTCGAACTCCTGACCTCAGGCAATCCACATGCCTCCGCCTCCCAAAGTTCTGGGATTACAGGCATGTGCCACTGCACCTGGCCAATATGTGCAACTGTAATGATAAAGTTTCTACAATTCATTTGCATGTTTTCCTTTTTTTTTTTTTTAATTTATTTTTTTATTGATAATTCTTGGGTGTTTCTCACAGAGGGGGATTTGGCAGGGTCATGGGACAATAGTGGAGGGAAGGTCAGCAGATAAACAAGTGAACAAAGGTCTCTGGTTTTCCTAGGCAGAGGACCCTGCGGCCTTCCGCAGTGTTTGTGTCCCTGGGTACTTGAGATTAGGGAGTGGTGATGACTCTTAACGAGCATGCTGCCTTCAAGCATCTGTTTAACAAAGCACATCTTGCACCGCCCTTAATCCATTTAACCCTGAGTGGACACAGCACATGTTTCAGAGAGCACAGGGTTGGGGGTAAGGTCACAGATCAACAGGATCCCAAGGCAGAAGAATTTTTCTTAGTACAGAACAAAATGAAAAGTCTCCCATGTCTACTTCTTTCTACACAGACACGGCAACCATCCGATTTCTCAATCTTTTCCCCACCTTTCCCACCTTTCTATTCCACAAAGCCGCCATTGTCATCCTGGCCTGTTCTCAATGAGCGGTTGGGCACACCTCCCAGACAGGGTGGTGGCCGGGCAGAGGGGCTCCTCACTTCCCAGTAGGGGCGGCCGGGCAGAGGCGCCCCTCACCTCCCGGACGGGGCGGCTGGCCGGGCGGGGGGCTGACCCCCCCACCTCCCTCCCGGACGGGGCGGCTGGCCGGGCAGGGGGCTGACCTCCCACCTCCCTCCCGGACGGGGTGGCTGCCGGGCGGAGACGCTCCTCACTTCCCAGATGGGGTGGCTGCCGGGCGGAGAGGCTCCTCACTTCTCAGACGGGGCGGCTGCCGGGCGGAGGGGCTCCTCACTTCTCAGACGTGGCGGCCGGGCAGAGACGCTCCTCACCTCCCAGAGGGGGTCTCGGCCGGGCAGAGGCGCTCCTCACATCCCAGATGGGGCGGCGGGGCAGAGGCGCTCCCCACATCTCAGACGATGGGCGGCCGGGCAGAGACGCTCCTCACTTCCTAGATGTGATGGCGGCCGGGAAGAGGCGCTCCTCACTTCCTAGATGGGATGGCGGCCGGGAAGAGGCGCTCCTCACTTCCTAGATGGGATGGCGGCCGGGAAGAGGCGCTCCTCACTTCCTAGATGGGATGGCGGCCGGGAAGAGGCGCTCCTCACTTCCTAGATGGGATGGCGGCCGGGCGGAGACGCTCCTCACTTTCCAGACTGGGCAGCCAGGCAGAGGGGCTCCTCACATCCCAGACGATGGGCGGCCAGGCAGAGACACTCCTCACTTCCCAGACAGGGTGGCGGCCGGGCAGAGGCTGCAATCTCGGCACTTTGGGAGGCCAAGGCAGGCGGCTGGGAGGTGGAGGTTGTAGCGAGCCGAGATCACACCACTGCACTTCAGCCTGGGCACCATTGAGCACTGAGTGAACGAGACTCCGTCTGCAATCCCGGCACCTCGGGAGGCCGAGGCTGGCGGATCACTTGCGGTTAGGGGCTGGAGACTGGCCCGGCCAACACAGCGAAACCCCGTCTCCACCAAAACCAGTCAGGCGTGGCGGCGCGTGCCTGCAATCGCAGGCACTCGGCAGGCTGAGGCAGGAGAATCAGGCAGGGAGGTTGCAGTGAGCCGAGATGGCAGCAGTACAGTCCAGCTTCGGCTCCGCATGAGAGGGAGACCGTGGAAAGAGAGGGAGACCGTGGGGAGAGGGAGGGGGAGGGGGAGGGAGAGGGAGAGACTGCATGTTTTCATAGACTAATATAATATACAAACTTAGGGAAGTCTCCTGTTAATGCTGTTAATTTTGCCTCACCTGACATTTTCTTCATAAATATTCAATGAAGCCACAAAGATGCTGTAACTTTTTGGAATCTGTCCAAGTTTAAAAGAAAAAATTATCAGCAGCAATTCTGTAAAACAGAAGTGTGTCAATTCCTTACTTTCTTTTGCTTTCGGTGTCAGTTGTTTGAAAAACACCAGAAGCTGACATGAGATTTTCTATATGTTGTCCAACAACTTGGTTTTCTGATTTTAGCTTCAGATTTTCTTCCTTACCTGTGTTTGCTCTTGCAGAGAGATCTTCAAGTATGAGTTGGAATTTCCACACTTGATTAATAAGTCGTGTTGTTTTCCTCTAGTTCCACCTGATTTTCAGCATCAACTGCATCCATGTCAGCACTCATCATCTTGGGTAACAAACTTTTGAGCCTTGGACACAAAATGCATGATGAATGTTCTTCCAGTTTGAGGGGCCAGAAGTGGGAGGGTTTGGGCGGATGCCTCAGACCTGGACACTTGGACCAACTGACAACGGTGCTCTCCAAAACTGAATTTTGAAGATGATACCAAAAATATCTCATTAATAATTTATTGATTATAAATAGAAAGGATAATGTTATGGATATTATCATTGAGTTAAATAAAATGTGTTTTTCTTTTTTCTTCTTTTTTTTTTCCTTTTGAGACAGAGTCTTGCTCTATCCCCCAGGCTGGAGTGCAGTGGTGCGATCTTGGCTTACTGCAACCTCCGCCTCCTGGATTCAAGCGATTCTTCTGCCTCAGCCTCCCAAGTAGCTGGGACAACAGGTGCGCACCACCGTGCCCAGCTAATTTATATATATATTTAATAGAGACGGGGTTTCACCATATTGGCCAGGCTGGTCTCGAACTCCTGACCTCGTGATCCGTGATCTGCCTGCCTTGGCCTCCCAAAGTGCTGGGATTACAGGCGTGAGCCACTGCGCCTGGCCTAAAATGTGGCTTAAAATTAATGTTATCTCGCTTTTTTGTTTTGTTTTCCTTTTTTTTTTTTCAGATGGAGTCTTGCTCTGTTGCCCAGGCTGGAGTGCAGTGGCGTGATCTCGGCTCACTGCAACCTCTGCCTCCTGGGTTCAAATGATTCTCATGCCTCACCTCCTGAGTAGCTGGGATTACAGGTGCCCACCACCATGCCCGGCTAATTTTTGTATTTTTAGTAAAGGCAGGGTTTCACCATTTTGTCCAGGCCGGTCTCAAACTCCTGACCTCAGGTGATCCGCCCGCCTCAGCCTCTCAAAGTGCTGGTATTACAGGCGTGAGCCACCGTGCCTGGCCCGTGTTTTACTTTTTAAATATGGCCACCAGAGAACTTAGATTTACTGTGTGCCTTACACTGCATTTCTGTTGGACGGCGCTGTTTCAGAGGTTGTGGAGGATGGTAAAATCATGAATCAGGGACTCAGGGACTTGCCCTTCCAGCATAGTGAACTACATAATTCAGTCCAGCCTTCCCACTGAGGGCAAATAGAAAAGCTGGAAAATACATCAAAAGTATCTACTTGAAGCCCTCAGAGACTTAACAAAGTAGCAAGGACTTACTGGGACAGATTGAAACCTTACATGGCATTGCGGTTTGAAGTGTAATGATGGAATATTTAAGTAACCAGAGAAAGGCTAGCATCTTCCTAGCCTCAGTAGAAAATTCCATCTGCATCTTTATTTTATTTTATTGTTTTCATACCTGCTTCTGGATACCATGTGTCTTTCTATTGAATACCTTCTTACTCTAGCTATCATAAATGTACAAAAATTAATTTGTAAGACCCCCATCACTCAAAGCAATAATAATTTATCACTTGCATTCAATAAAAAAAAATTCTGAGTATCTACTCTATAGAATTGCATGATTGCCTGCCATACCAACACCCTCAGGAATTACTTTCCCTTTCCTCTCTATTGAATTAAAGGTTGATATGAAAGAAGCCAATTATATTTTAGTGAAAGGCAACATAACATAGTGGTTAAGAGCATGAACTCTGGTGCCAGGCAGCCTGGATCCTGATTCTGCCTCTTCCATTTACTAGCAAGGTGATCTTGGGCTAGGGTTAGGGCTTTTGTAAAATAGAGAAAAGAATAATACCTACCTCGCAGGATTTTTGTGGTGATGAAATGAGTCAATATATGTAAAGTGCTTAGAGCAGTGCCTGGCCAGAGTCAGAATGTCTGCTACATGAGAGTTGGCTACCACTGTTGAATCAGTGGGAATGAAATTCAGGCTCATTCAATAGAAGCCCAGTCTCAGGAGCTGCTGGAACAAGTCTAATTGAGGTCAAGTCTATTATGTTTACAGCAGTATTTCTAGTACTGTTTTCCATTGTGTACACATAATTTTTCAGCTACATTATGGACTAAATCATATGAATTTTTATTGACATGTTTAAGAAACAAATAACCACTTTATAATACTTCTTAAGGAGAGTATATTTTTGTTTTTTTTTTTGTTTGTTTTTGAGACAGAATCTCTGTCGCCCAGGCCGGAGTGCAGTGGCGCCATCTCGGCTCACTGCAACCTCTGCCTCCCAGGTTCAAGTGATTCTCTTGCCTCAGCCTCCCGAGTAGCTGGGATTACAGGCATGCACCACCACACCCGGCTGATTTTTGTATTTTTAGTTTCACCATGTTGGCCAGACTGGTCTTGAACTCCTGACCTCAGGTGATCCACCCACCTCAGCCTCCCAAAGTGCTGGCATTACAGGCATGAGGCACTGCTCCCGGCCTCTATTTTTGGTTTTAAACAGCCTCTTTACATGTCTTTTAAAACACAACACTTTTGCAAGTTGGAAACTGCTTGTATGTATAGGACTTAAAATACACTGGTTAAAGAAGGCTATTACTGGCCTGCACTTGCACTTTACAAATAAAATGAAGCAACTGTCATTCATCTTTAGCCTTAGCACCACCTTAGGTATCTTCACTTCCTCTGCCTCTTCTGTTATTGCTGCCATTGGTAACAGGTGCCTCTACCAAAGGGCTGGGCTGACTTACCAGGTAGATGTAAGAAGGAGAAATGACTTAAAGGAAAGTTGTTCTGTGCTCACCTTTCCTGTTTTTAATGTTTGTGGCACTATGCCCACACTTCCACCACTTCCTTCCACAATGATCTTGCTTAAGCCTCCCTAAGTTCCAGTTTCCTCATCTATAGAAGAGGGACACCGCTGCTACCAACACCATCTCATTGGTACAGTTACAATTGATGTTTTCAATGTCCCCGACAATACAGTTAAATAGAAGCTTCAGAATCCTGCCTCATCATCGTACGTTCAAAAGCTTTCATTCTCATTGGTTCTGCAGATTCCTAGGGAAAATTAGTGAACCGTGAAAAGACTCTCCCGTTTCTAGCAAAGGCATTTCTAATATCTTGAATAAAGGCGCTACATAGTTCTCTTAAAAGTAGAGCAACTAATTTGATATTAGTTGTCCTTGAGATTAAGCCATGTTTAGGCATCCATCTTCTATAACTCCCAACTAGATTTTCTCAACCTAAGATAGGATTTGTGCATTTTTTTCTTTCATATCTTCTTAAATACTTCAAATATGTTAGCTGACTGACTAGCCAAGATGCCAAGTTGGGTAGCTTACACCTCTGGTTGCCAAACTTTGGTCACCAGATTCCTGCAAATCCTTCATTCTTTCATCGAATATTTACTGAGTGCTAGATACTGTTCTAGGTGCTTGAGATACATCTGAACAAACAAAAATCCCTGTTTTGTGGGATATTTGTCCTTGACAATATTTTCATTAGTCTTCAGTTAAATGATTAAAATATAGACAATGGAGTGAGACTTTTTTGTTCTGTTTTGTTGGTTTGAGACAGGGTCTCTCTCTCACTGTCACCCAGAGTGGAGTGCAGTGGTGCCATCATGGTTCACTGCAGCCTTGACCTCCAGTGCTCAGGTGATCCTCCCACCTCAGCCTCCCGAGTAGCTGGGATTACAGGCACACACTACCATGCCCAGCTAATTTTTTGTATTTTTATTAGAGACGAGGTTTCGCCATCTTGCCAAGGCTGGTCTTGAACTCCTGGCCTGAAGTGATCTGCCTGCCTCGACCTCCCAAAGTGCTGGGATTACAGGTATGAGCCACCACACCCAGCTGGAGTGAGTTTTTAACAAAACTAAATATAATCAACTTCTAAATTCTGAGATTATTTCCTTTTTATCCTTTTTTGGTGTTAAAATGCTCCTTCAATTTTGAAATGATGAGTGAAGATAATACATTTTAAATACCCTTATTTGATAAACTAAAAAAAAACCCTTAAGTTGGCCCTCTAATATTTTCTTCAAGTTTTACCATTCTGTAAAATCTGAAACTGAGAAACTATAGTAATTCAAGCCAGTATTGCGACTTCTTACAATGCCAAGTCTTGAACAAAATAAGAAAGTTCAAAGAAAAGGAACTTAAGCAGATGCCGTGCCTTCTGAGTCCAGCCCAGTTGCATGCTAGTAAGTGTTTAACAACTGGCTCTCCAGATTAAAACAATAAATAGGCTGGGCGCAGTGGCTCAGATCTGTAAACCTAGCACTTTGGGAGGCCGAGGCAGGCAGATCACTTGAACTCAGGAAGGTGGAGACCAGCCGGGCAAATGTGGTGAAAGCCCATCTCTACAAAAAAATACAAAAATTAGCCGGGCGCGGGCCGGGCGCAGTGGCTCACGCTTGTAATCCCAGCACTTTGGTAGGCTGAGGTGGCGGATTACCTGAGGTCAGGAGTTTGAGACCAGCCTGGCCATTATGGTGAAACCCTGTCTCTACTAAAAATACAAAAAATTAGCCAGGTGTGGTGTCGCATGCCTGTAATCCCAGCTACTCAGGAGGCTGAGGCAGGAGAATTGATTGAACCCTGGGGATGGAGGTTGCAGTGAGCTGAGATCGCGCCACTGCACTCCAGCCTGGGTGACAGAGTAAGACTCTGTCTCAAAAAAAAAAAAAAAAAAAAAAAAAAAAAAATTAGCCAGGCATGGTGGTGGGCGGCTGAAGCAGGAGAATCACTTGAACTTGGAAGGTGGAGGCTGCAGTGAGCTAAGATCACGCCACTGCACTTCAGCCTGGGTGATAGACTAAGACTCTGTCTCAAAAAAATAAATAAAATAAAATAAAATAAAATAAAATAAGGGAGACCTGATTTGTAGAGTTTGCTTATTTTAAGCTACCAATGCAATGCTACTAAAGATGGAGTGAGGATGAAGTGGGTATAAGCAGCTTTCGTGAACGAGTGTCAATACAAGCCAGCTCTGAGACACCGCTGCTCCAGCCTGGTATGAAATACAATATCTAGCCCAGGCATCAAGGATGTTGGTGTGGACTTCAAGTTTCAGTTCCACCACTTATTTCCACAATGGTTTTAGACAAGGCTTTCTAAGTCCCAGTTTCCTAAACTATAGAATAGGGATACTATTGCTACCACTACCACCTCATATGTTGTTGGGAGGATCAAATAAAATAATGGGCAGGAAAGATCTTCAGTGCCCTGTACAATGCCTGGCACAGAAGATGCATAATATCTGTATTTAATTCATTAAAACATATCGATTTGGGTATTTCCTCTTTTCCATATTTGCTAGAAACTTCCTATTTTGAAAAAGAATAACAGAGTTTGAGAGTTCAAAGATAAAATGCACAATTTAATATCATTTATTGAAAGCACAATTTTGCTGCAAGTGCTTTTCTAAAAAGAGTACTGCCAGAGTAGCTCAACAGTCTTTATTTAGTCCAAAAGATGGCCAAGCGCGGTGGCTCACGCCTGTAATCCCAGCACTTTGGGAGGCCAAGGCGAGTGGATTAACTGAGGTCAGGAGTTCGAGACCAGCCTGATGAACATGGAGAACTCCCCCCCCCATCTCTACTTAAAATACAAAATTAACTGGGTGTGGTGATGAACGCCTGTAGTCTCAGCTACTTGGGAGGCTAAGGCAGAAGAATCACTTGAACCCAGGAGATGTAGGTTGCAGTGAGCCAAGATTGCACCACTGCACTCCAGCCTGGGCGACAGAGCCAGACTCCATCTCAAACAAAAAAAAAGGGCGGGAAATAGAGAACATCAAAACATCTCTGATGTTCTTCCCTTTGCTTCTTGAGGTGGCAGCTTAGACCACTGATTCTTAGCCATTCTTCTTTTCTTTTTCTTTTTTTTTTTTGAGACGGAGTCTCGCTCGCGCCCAGGCTGGAGTGCAGTGGTGCGATCCCGGCTCACTGCAAGCTCCGCCTCCCAGGCTCACGCCATTCTCCTGCCTCAGCCTCCCGAGTAGCTGGGACTACAGGCACCCGCTACCATGCCCGGCTAATTTTTTTGTATTTTTAGTAGAGACGGGGTTTCACCATGTTAGCCAGGATGGTCTTAATCTCCTGACCTCGTGATCCGCTCACCTCAGCCTCCCAAAGTGCTAGGATTACAGGCGTGAGCCACCGCGCCGGCCTCTTCTTTTCTAATATATGCATTAAAAAGTTATAAATTTCTTTCTAAGCACTGGTTTAGCTGGATCTCACACATTTTTATATGTCATTTTTAAAAATTATTGCTCAGTTCAAAATATTTTCTAATTGCCATTATGATTTCTTCTTCTTAATAACCATGGTTATTAAGAAGTATATCACTTAAATGGGAGGTTTTCTAATTACATTTTTGTTATTGGGCCTAGCTTAATCTCACTGTGGTCAGAGAACATACTCTAAATGACTTGAATATTTTATGGCCCAGCACATACAGAGTCAATTTTGTTAAATATTCTATGTGCCCTTCAAAATAAATATTCTGAGGCCAGTGCAGTGGCTTGGGGCTGGGGTCCCAGCTACATGGGAGGCTGAGCTGGGAGGATCACTTGGGCCCAGCAGTTCAAAGCTGCCGTGAGCCGTGATCCTGCCTCTGCTCTCCAGCCTGGGTGAAAAAAAAAGAAAAAAAAAAAAAAAGGATTCTGTTGTTGAGGACAGGCTCTAGATATCTTAATTAGGACAAGTTCATTAATCGCATTATTCGAATCTTCTATATCGCTATTAATTTATTCCATTTGCTTATTCTACAAGCTATTGAAAGAGGTATCTCAAAGCCTCCCATTATGATTGCAGATTTTATCTATTTTTCCTTTTAGCTCTGGCAATCTTTGCTTTATGGGACTCTGAGGCCATGTTTTGAGGAGCATACAGATTTAAGATTATAATCTCTTCCTGGCGGGTCCCTTTATCATTTATTTCTTTATCATTATGAAAGTTCCCTCTTTAGCCTCATAATGCTTCTTGCTTTAAAGTCTACTCTGACTGATATTTGAATAATTATACCCACATTTTGCTGTTGCTTGCGTTTGTGTGATCTAGCTTTTAGCTTCCTATTATTGTCAACCTTTCTGTGTTTTTGTATTAAAGATGTTTTTCTTGGCCAGGCATGGTGGCTCATGCCTGTAATCCCAGCACTTTAGGAGGCTGAGGTGGGTGGATCACCCGAGGTCAGGAGTTTGAGACCAGCCTGGCCAACATGGCGAAACCCCGTCTCTACTAAAAATACAAAAACTAGCCAGGCATGGTGGCATGCCTGTAATCCCAGCTACTCAGGAAGCTGAGAATCACTTGAACCCAGGAGGAAGAGTTTGCTGTGAGCCAAGATCATGCCACTGCACTCCAGCCTAGGCGACAGAGCAAGGCTCTGTCTCAAAAAAAAAAAATAAATAAATAAAAATAAAAAATGCCAGGAGCGCGGCTGGGCGCGGTGGCTCACGCCTGTAATCCCAGCACTTTGGGAGGCCGAGGCGGGCGGATCACGAGGTCAGGAGATCGAGACCATCCTGGCTAACATGGTGAAACCCTGTCTCTACTAAAAATACAAAAAATTAGCCAGGCGTGTGGCAGGCGCCTGTAGTCCCAGCTACTTGGGAGGCTGAGGCAGGAGAATGGCATGAACCCAGGAGGCAGAGCTTGCAGTGATCTGAGATCACGCCACTGCACTCCAGCCTGGGTGACAGAGCGAGACTCTGTCTCAAAAAAAAAAAAAAAAAAAAAAAATGCCAGGAGCATTAGTATTTCAAATGAATATCCTAAATGGTAGCACTTGCTCATAACCATCTATCTTAATCCTGAGTACTTTATTAGAAACTTGTTCTGCAAAAGGAACGGACTCAGGAATAATTAGTTGGAACTGTAAAATCTTACCATCTCATGGAGCGATATTATAATTACATTCTATTGCTGGTGTCTTCCACTGTTTAGTTGCCACTAAGTCAGCATTTCCGTACTTATGCATAGGGAAAGTGAGCCATGGGCATGTTAAATCACTTGTTCCAGGCCTTATAACCAATAGATGGCAGAACCAAGACATATGCAAAAGCTTTTAAGCTTTTTACTCAGCCCACGTCCTGACAACAGAAAATACAATAGCAGTTAATATGTCACTTGTTCTTTTTCTCACAAAAGGTAATTCATCTCTATTCTCCCTGCCTTCCATAAGTAAAATTTTGGTTTCTTCTACGACCTACATATTAACCAGGGGTCATGTATATCAGACAAATAAACACAGTCTCTGCTTACTTACTGAGTCCAAAGGCAGGCTGGGAAGAAGTGAGTATGTCCCTGAGAGCCCTGTTTCATTTTGGGATCAACTCAATTTAGTTTCTTGGTAAATCTGGAATTAATTTATGGATTTAGAAATAAACAAAGGAAGACATTTAGATGGCCGCTGCCGTCCTGAATCCGGTTTAGAGTACCACTAGAAAACACAATTAACCCCAAAATTTTTTCCCACTTGGTAGAGGATTACCGGAAACAGGTAGAGACATAATTTCATACACAATTCCATGTAGGCAATACCCAGGAATGGAGACAGAAGGTGTGCTGTTGCCTAATCACCACGTTTATGCTCTGTACTGAGTGTAGATTTATAGACCTCGTCAGACAGAGAAACAATGACTGGAAAAATACATGGTCCCTTGTAAAAGCAGTTGTCTACCATTTAATCTTGATGGAAAGAAATTTGTTCCTATGCTAATTTCTCATTAAGGAAATTGAACTGTCTATTTCTATGGATAGAAATACATATAGAGGTATCAAGGCTAAAAGCAAAAAACATCAGGTATGAGATCAGATGTGTAAAGAAGGATAGAGAAGGCAACCTGAAATTATTGAGAGCTCCACAATAGCTTTCTTCTTGAGTTTCCTGTATTCGCAGCCTGAGAAAAGCACCTTCCCCATTCTAGCTTCTGACACTCCACCCTTGTTTTTCCAAACTCAACACGGCTGTGGATGTCAATACTAGGTTCATCTATCCGGGTACTACAGTTTATTTAAAATGTGCAGGAAGCAGCCAGGCGCAGTGGCTTGCGCCTGTAATCTCAGCACTTTGGGAGGCCAAGGCGGGCGGATCATCTGAGGTCAGGGGTTTGAAACCAGCCTGGCCAACGTGGCGAAACCCTGTCTCTACTAAAAATACAAAATTAGCCTGGCGTGGTGGCGCATGCCTGTAATCCCAGCTACTTGGGAGGCTGAGGCAGGAGAATCGCTTGAACCCGGGAGGCGGAGGTTGCAGTGAGCCGAGATCATGCCATTGCACTCCATCCTGGACAACAAGAGTGAAACTCCATCTCAAAAAAAAAAAAAAAAAGTGCCGGAAACTCAAAGAACCTATGAAAGGCCAGAAAGTCGGTGAGGTTTGTTTATTGTGTAACCACAAACATCACCAAAACCACAGAGAGGACTGCTCAACCTATGATGCCACTGAGCAGACACAATATTTGACATAAACACTACAGTTTGAACAGGTGACACTGGGGACCAGATATTAGAATATCTGCTGCTGCTCCTGCTCCTGCTGGTGCTGCTGCTGCTGGGAGACATCTCTACTGCCATTCTCACCAAAAGGAGGATTTTACATACTTCTGGTTCCTCACTTACCCACTTGCAAAATGATGTTCTATACAGGTGTGCCTGACTGGCAAAGGCTAGGTCTCATGTCTGTGCCTTAACTGCACTGGATCCTTGAAAATGGAGCTTTGGCTTCAACTTGGAGAAGCAAAATTTATAACGTGGGAAATTCTCCAAACATGGGAATATTGTTCAAAAGATGCTAGGTGGCCATAAAAATAAATGAACACTGTATATACTACTGTGGAGTTATCAGAATTTAATTGCTAAAGTATAGTTTCTAAAAAGCTGAGAGCAAATATACAACGAACGCATCGAAGTTTAACTCATTAATTAATAAGGGATCAGTAAGATTAAAGTCAGTTCAAATAAGAATTTGAGGCCGGGCATGGTGGCTCATGCCTGTAATCCCAGCACTCTGGGAAGCCGAGGTGGGTGGATCACCTGAGGTCAGGAGTTCGAGACCGGCCTGGCCAACACGGTGAAACCCTGTATCTACTAAAAATGCAAAAATTAGCTGGGTGTGGTGGTGTGCATTTGTAATCTCAGCTACTGGGGAGGCTGAGGCAGGAGAATCGCTTAAATCCGGGAGGCGGAGGTTAGAGTGAGCTGAGATCGCACCACTGCACTCCAGCGTGGGCGATGAAGTAAGGCCGTGTCTCAAAAAAAAAAAAAAAAGAATTCGACTGACAGAGATCTACATTCTCTATTTCTCTATTCAGTGAAATCTACAATACAAAATTTATTTGCATTGCCATGTATAGGGATCATTTGCATAGTTATCAGTTTTTTACAACTTAACTCTAAAAAGAATCAAACAATTCCTGTAAAGGTCCACTAAATAATACCCAGCACATCACTGAAAGGACACCTGCTAATGTCTTTCGCCTGAATAATTTTTCTTAATAAAATGTTAAGTGATTGACTAAAACAAAAAAAATGCTAAGTGAAAAAAACAAGATAGAGAAAAATATGTGTAATATGTTAGTGTTCACTTAAGATGAAAGAATATTAATATATAGGCATATTTGCATATTTCTAAAAATAGGAAGATAAACCATAAATTTTTTAAATGATTACCAATTAAGGAAAAAAGGAAATCGTGTAAAACAGACAAAAGTAGAGGCTAGAGTTCTTTGAATATACCTCATTGTGATGATTTCACTTTGGATCCACATAAATGTTTTACATAATTATAAAATGAAATTACATAAGTGTAAAAAGCAAGCCCTAAAAGGAAGAAGTGAAATGAAACAAATAAACCTGTGTATGGAGGTGGAGCATAACCATACAGGGAACTATTCCAGGTGACTTCAAAACACAGTAATTGACTTACATCGTTAGCGACATTTGGCTTAATGGAGAAAAACCTGTCCCCCTCCACTTTAAAACCTCTAATTTGTTTTCATTAACAATCTTATTGGCGTAGGCTTGTTGTTGTTATTCTGCAATTTTACAGGATAAATTAAACAAGTACTTGAGTTGATATTTTAGAGAACCCAGATTTTTTAAGCATGTTTGAAAAGAAGTGCAGATATAAGATTGATGGGGTGAGTAAACCCTATAGTCTTGAATTTGAATTTGAAGTATCAGTGTCAGCTTGTGATTTATTTAATTTTTTTAAAAAAGATATTTCTTAGCTCTAGCTACTGAAAAGGCTTAGCAACAATGGTCAATCTGCTATCCCAAACACTGCTAGTTCCTAGATTATGGTATTTAAACATTGTTTCCACTAAAAGGAACCAGAGCTCCTTGGAGAAATGGCTGATTCCAGGTCTGGGGCAGGAATTGTTCAAGACAAACCTGCAATAGCCTGTCATATTAGAAAGAAAGGAAGCTTTTAAAGAGTACTAATATTATGCCAAATATACAAACTCTGTCTGCACCAAAGAGCCAGTTTGAATAAATTCCTACAGACCAAAAATGAGACAATATGAGTATCAATAAGGATAAAACTGGAATGGATTGAAACACATCAAATATGTTTAAATCCATGAATTCATAATGATATAAACATAACTCAATGGTTTCACAATATATGGAGCTTATTTAAATCTCAATTCAAACAAACTATTAAAAAATGTATAAGACAGTCCAGAAAATGTGAACATTGATAGGATGTCTGATGACATTAAGAAATTATTGTCTTAATTTCTTATGACAATAAAGTGGCTCACACCTGTAAACCCAGTACTTAGGGAGGCTGAGGTGGGCAGATTACCTATGGTCAGGAGTTCGAGACAAGCCTGGCCAATGTGGTGAAACCCCATCTCTACTAAAAATACAAAAATTAGCTGGGTGTGATGGCACATGCCTGTAATCCCAGCCACTTGGGAGGCTGAGGCAGGAGAATCGCTTGAACTCGGCAGGCAGAGATTGCAGTGAGCTGGGATCACACCACTGCACTCCAGCCTGGGCAAGTGAGTGAGACTCTGTCTCAGAAAAAAAAAAAAAAGAAAATTATTGTTCATTTATTTTAGATGTGATGATGGTATTGTGGTATTATATTTGTTTAATAGTCTCTGTCTTTTAAAGACACACACAGGGACATTTACGTATGAAATGACAGAATGTCTAGAATTTATTTAATATAATTCAGGTAGTGAGAGTGGGAATATAAATAAAATAAGATTGGCCATGTACTGATCATTGTTGAAACAAGACAATGGTTTCACGGCAGCTCATTTTACTACTATTTTTACTTTTACATGTGTTTTAAATTTTCCATAAGCAGTATCTTTTTAAAAAAAACTGTATGGCTACAAACACAAACATGTCTACTACAGCTGAGATGAATCAACATTATAATGATGTTACTTCTCCCTAAATTTATGCATATATTCAAATAAAAACTCTAATAGCCAGATGTGGGGGCTCATGCCTGTAATCCCAGCACTTCAGGAGGCCAAGGTGGGCAGATTGCTTGAGCCCAGGAGTTTGAGGCCAGCCTGGGCAACATGGTGAAACCCCTTATCTACAAAAAACAAAAAACAAAATCAGCCAGGCATGGTGGTGTGCACCTGTAGTCCCAGCCACTCCAGAGGCTGAGGCGGGAGGATCACTTGAGCCCAGGAGGTCAAGGCTGCAGTGAGCCATGATTGCATCACTGCACTCCAGCCTGGGTGACAGAATGAAACCCTGTCTCCAAAAGAAAAAAGCAAAAAACTCCAACAGAGTTTTTCAGGGAACTTGATAAACTGATTCAAAAAATTCATATAAAGAAGAGTTAACAAGTACAAAATACAAAGACAATGTTTAAAAAGAAGAACAAAGATAGGGTGGCCTAGATGACTTGCCTTACCATACGTGGAGACATATTACAAAGCTGTTTTAATTAAAACTGTGTGATACTGAAGTAGCAAAAGATAAAAAGAACAGCTTCATGAGCTCAGAAACTGACCTATCTATGTATGAGAATTTGGTGTACAATAGAGGTAGAATCAAAATTGGAAAACAAAGAAAATAAGCTCCCTACGTCATACCATACACAAAACTAAATTCCAGGTGAATTAAACACCTAAAAGCAGTAGCCATAGAAAAGATAAATAAAACACTCTCTGAAAGTATAAAAATAAGATGAGTGTATCTTTATTACATTTGGATGAGGAAAATTTTCTTATACAAAAACAGTATAGATTGATTATACGGAAAAGCTGAATAAAATGTTCTACCTCAACATAAAAAAATTTCATATAGAAAAACTCACTATAAACAAGACTAAAGGACAAGTGGAATTTCATAGGCTTATGCAAAGGAAGAAAAAATAAAATAAAAGACAAGTGGAAGACTAAGGGAGGATGTTTTTAAGGGTATATAACTGTCAAAGATTAGAAGCCAGAATATATTTTTAAAACACATACACCTTGGCCGGGCACGGTGGCTCACACCTGTAATCCCAGCACTTTGGGAGGCTGAGGCGGGTGGATCACGAGGTGAAGAGTTCAAGACCAGCCTGGCCAAGATGGTGAAACCCTGTCTCTACTAAAAATACAAAAATTAGCTGGACATGCTGGCAGGTGCCTGTAATCCCAGCTACTTGGGAGTCTGAGGCAGAGAATCGCTTGAACCTGGGAGGTGGATGTTGCAGTGAGCCAAGATCGCACCAATGCACTCCAGCATGGGAGACAAAGCACGACTCCGTCTCGGAAAACACACAACACACACACACACACACACCTCCCACAAATCACTAAGAAAATGCAACAATACAATAGAAAAATGAGCAAAAAAGATGAACAGGAAATTCACAGAAAATTCAAACGGTCAATAAATGTGTGAAAAGATCCTCAACCTCATTAGTAATTAGGAAAATGCAAATTTAAAAGATGATAGTTCGTCTTGCTCCCACCCCACCCAGGTAATCATTCTCAATTGGATATATTTGAGTGTATCCTTTTTTCCATGAATATACTAACACATACACACACACACACACACACACACGCATATTACTAAACTATACATATAGTATATATTAATAAAGACATTTTGAGTTTGATGAACGAAGGAATGGCTGAGTGAGAACCAGACAATATCAGATCATGAATGAGTTGTGTTAAAAGCAGTAAGACAGGTTTTCCTAGGAAATCATACAAGGAGCTGGGATTTGGGGAGCTTTATCTAAATCTCTTTATAACTAAATGTTTTCCATGTAAAAGTTGGTGTTTTTAAAATTCAATTTAATTTTTTTTTTGAGATAGGGTCTTGATATGTCATCCAGGCTGAAACACAGTGGCATAATCATGGCTCACTGCAGCCTTGTCCTCCTAGACTCAAGCAATTCTCCCACCTCACCCTCCCCCTCAGCTGGGACTACAAGCATGCACCACCATGCCCAGCTAATTAAAAAAAATTTTTTTGCAGAGACAGGGTCTCACTATATTGCCTAGGCTGGTCTTGAACTCCTGGCCTCAAGTGATCCTCCCGCCTCAGCCTCCCAAAGTGCTGGGATTATAGGCATGAGCCACTGGGCTCAGACAAGGGCTCTTCTTGATGGCTTACTGTATCCACTTTGTCCCCAAGACCATAGGGAAATGACTAGAGGTGACTGTACTAGCTAGATTTTAAATGAAACTGAAATGAAAGTTCACTTCCTCATTTTGAGTACCTCATGTGACAAGTTCCAATTTCTTTTCAAGTCAATTGAACTGAAATCTCCTTGTTGCTTTGAAATCTTAGAAGAGAGCCCACTAATTCAAGGACTCTTACTGTGGGAGCAACTGCTGGTTCTATCACGTATGTACTCTTTGTTCTTTTTCTCCCATTTGGTCTTCAAACACTCTGTGTTTGTAACTTGTTCTGCCTGCTAGGTTTTAAATCTTTGGTTTCAGGAAGTAAACTAAAAAATCGTGTCGTTCAATTTGCCTCTTCTCTATTTTTAAAAAGTTAATGTCTGCTTGAGCATCTAAGCATCTAAGTTGAGACTGAAACATGGCTTTCTTTGGAATATAATTTAAAGGCTTACATGTTTAAAATTCCAGATGTTTTCAATTAAAAAGAAATGGAAAAGAAAGTAGAATCCAGTTTGAGGGAGCTAGTCGCTGAATTTCTGTTGATGTCTCTTGAATTAAATACAGAAGTGGCATTTTAAAGAGTAGTTAATTGCCTCATTTGAAACAGATGTCTGATCATTAAAAAAAAAAAAACGTAAAAAGGAAAATTACCTACCTAAAGATGTGAAAGCAATAGATGAGAATTGTCTTTTAACTATCTGTAAAGACTGTGGATATTTAAACAGGTCAGTTAAGAAGAGCCCATGTATTCAAAAATTCAGGAGATAAACTGATTTTTCAGAGGTTTGTCTCTCTTAAGGATGATTTTTTTTTTTTTTTGAGAGAGAGAGAAAGAGATTTCCTTTGATTAGATTTGTTGGCAAATCCTGGAAAGTCCCTGTTTTCTAACCCTCTAGATGTGTTTGGTTTACCAGATATTGGGAAATTCCTGGAAATCACTTTTTAAAGTGCTACTAAGCATTGGAAGTAGTATTTCTGACATAAATCTGCAGCTGTTCCCTGTGACTATATATCCCAGGAATTTTCCTGTATAATTCTGTTTATAATAGTCTGTCCCTTTGATAGACTTTGCATTGTTATTTTCTCTTATGAAAACATGTGGTCACAACATATGCAGCTAATAGCAACACTTCCTATGTTACCTTTCCTTACACAGAATGAAACGGCTGGTTTGTGTGCTCTTGGTGTGCTCCTCTGCAGTGGCACAGTTGCATAAAGATCCTACCCTGGATCACCACTGGCATCTCTGGAAGAAAACCTATGGCAAACAATACAAGGAAAAGGTAGATTGGATTGCCACTCGAGCGATATGCTTTTAAAGGAGTACTGTTTTCTACCTCTTAAAATTGTGTTCTTACAGGCAGTGTTTTCAGTAAATATTTAAGCTGGGTGTGGTGGCTCGCGCCTGTAATCCTAGCCCTTTGGAAGGCCAAGGTGAGCGGATCACCTGAGGTCAGGAGTTCGAGACCAGCCTAGCCAACATGGCGAAACCCCATCTCTACTAAAAATACAAAAATTAGCTGGATGTGGTGGTGGGCGCCTGTAATCCCAGCTACTCGGGAGGCTGAGGCAAGAGAATCACTTGAGCCGGGAAGGCGGAGGTTGCAGTGAGCCAAGATTGTGCCATTGCATTCCAGCCTGGGTGACAGAGTGAGACTCCATCTCAAAAATAAATAAATAAATATTATGTACTTGTTTCTTGCCAGATACTGTTCTTGGTACCATACAGCAGGAATCAAAACAAAATTCCTGTTATGGAGCTTATATTATAGTGAGAGAGACAGGAAATAAGAAAATAAACAAGCAGATATGTAGTATGCTAGATGGTGATAAGTGTTGTAGATAAAAATAACAGAAGGCATGGAGAGTAGGAAGGGCCCTGGGTGGTGGTGGTGGTAAGAAGTCTATCTATATGACAGGAGGGTTAGGGAAGGCCTCACGGATAAGGGTGCCATTTGAGCAGAGAATTGATGGAAGCCAGGGAGCAAGCAAAATACATAATAGAGTGAAGGTCTCAGGCCAAGGGCAAATCAGCACAAGCTCCTGAGGAAGGGCCACATTTGGGATGGCTGAGGAGCGAAAAGGCGTTAATACCCACATAGTGTGGCCAGATATTGTTTCTTGACTATCACTTCCCATTTTGTACTTTTGTTTTTATTTCAAAGCACACTTGCTGATGTTAAGACCTTAACCCTACTGCTTTAAATAACTAAGTCCTGTAACTATGTAATATTTCTGTTTGTAAGCTAGCATCATATATTTATTTATTTGACATATTATTTTGTATAAAAATGACACTCTTAGGTCATACACTCTAAGTTTTATTTTTATTTATTTATAATTAAATAATAATTGTGTCTATTTATGGAGTACAATGTGATGTTATGATACAAATATACATTGCAGAATGATTAAATTAGGCTAATTAACCTATTCAGCACCTCACATACTTATCCTTTCATTGTGATAAGAACATTTAAAATCTACCCTTTCAGTAATTTTGACATATAAAATACATTATTATTATTATCTGTAGTCACCATGCTATGCAATAGATTGCTAGAATGTAGTCTTCTTGTCAAATGAAACTCTGTACTCTTTGCCTAACATCTCCCCTTTCCCTGTCTACCCTCCGCCCAGCCTCTGCTAACCACCATTCTACTCTCTACTTTTATGAGTTCAACTGTTTTAGATTCCACATGTAAATGAGATTATGCAGTACTTGTCTTTCTGTGCCTGGCTTATTTCACTTAGCATAACGTTCTCTAGACCCATCCATGTTGTTGAAAATGACAGAATTTCCTTTTTTTTTTTTTAAGGCTAAATAGTATTCCATTATGTATGGAATACAATATGTACCACACTTTTTTATCCATTCGTCTTTTAATGGACACTTTATAAGGTTGATTCCGTATCTTGGCTATTGTGAATAATGCTACAATGAACATGGAAGTGCAGCTATCTCATTGACATACTGATTGCGCTTCCTTGGGACATATACCCAGAAGTGAGATTGCTGGATGATATGGTAATTATATTTTTAGTTTTTTGAGGAACCTCCATACTGTTTTCCCAAATGGCTGTACTAATTTACATTCCTACTAAAAGTGTATGAGGGTTCCCTTTTCTCCACATCCTCACCAACACTTATCTTTCATCGTTTTGATAATAGCCATTCTAACAGATGTGAGGTGATATCTCATTGTGGTTTTACTTTACATTTCCCTGATGACTGGTGATGTTAAGCATTTTTTCATATATCTGTTGGCCATTTGTATGTGTCTTGTTTTGAGAAATGTCTATTCAGGTCTTCTGCCCATTTTTAAACAGGGTTGTTTTCTTGATAGTTACTTTGAGTTCCTTCTATATTTGGGATATTAGCCCCTTATCAAATGTATGATTTGCAAATATTTTCTCCCAATCTATGAGTTATCTTTTCACTCTGTTAATTGTTTCCTTTATTGTACGAAAGCTTTTTAGTTTGATGGAGTCCCGTTCGTCTATTTTTGCTATTGTTGCCTGTTCTTTAGGGGTCATATTCAAAAAACCGTTGCCCGGACCAATGTTGTGGAGTTTTCCCCTATATTTTCTTATAGTGGTTGTATATAGTTTCAGGCCTTATGTTTGTGCTTTAATTCATTTTGAGTTGATTATTGTATATGGGGTGACATAAGGGTTCAATTTCATTTTTCTGCATTTGGATAGCCAGTTTTCCCAATACTATTTATTAAACAGACTATCCTTTCCCCATTGTGTGTTCTTGGCACCTTTGCTGAAAATTGATTGACCATAAAGTTGCAGGTTATTTCTGGGCTCTATATCCTATTCCATTGGTAAATGTGTCTGTTTCTATGCCAGTACTATGCTGTTTAAATTACTATAGTTTTGTAATATATTTTGAAACCAGGCATTTTGTAATGCCTCCAGCTTTGTTCCTCTTGCTAAAGATTACTTTGACTATTTAAGGACTTTTGTAGTTCCGCATGAATTTGAGGATTGTTTTTTCTATTTCTGTGAAGAATAACATTAGAATTTTGATAGAAATTGCACTGAATTTCTAGTTTGCTTTGGATAGTATGAACATTTTAGCAATATTAATTCTTCCAATCCATAAGCATGGAATATCTTCCCATTTATTTATTTTATCTTAAATTTCTTTCTTTCTTTTTTCTTTTTTTCTTGTTTTTTTGAGATGGAATTTTGCTCTTGTTGCCCAGGCTGGGGTGCAGTGGCGTGACCTCTGCTCACCACAACCTCTGCTTCTGGGGTTCAAGCAATTCTCCTGCCTCAGCCTCCTGAGTAGCTGGGATTACAGGCATGTGCCACCACGCCCGGGTAATTTTGTATTTTTAGTAGAGTCGGGGTTTTTCCATGTTGGTCAGGCTGGTCTCAAACTCCCGACCTCAGGTGATCTGCCTGCTTCGGCCTCCCATAGTGCTGGGATTACAGGTGTGAGCCACCACGCCCGGCCTATTTTGTCTTCAGTTTCTTTTATCAATGTTTTACAGTTTTCAGCATATAACTTTTCAACTCCTTGGTTAAATTAACTCCTAAATATGTTTTAAATGCTGTTGTAAATAGAATTGTTTTCCTAATTTCTTTTTCAAATAGTTGTTAGTGTATAAAAATACTACTGACTTTTGTATGTTGACTTTGTGTCTTACAACTTTACTGAATTCATGTATCAGTTCTAATAGTTTTTTGATGGAGTCTTTCTTCTCTCTTTTTTTTTTTTTTTTTTTGAGGCGGATTCATGCTCTGTCGCCCAGGCTGGAGTGCAGTGGCGCAATCTCGGCTCACTGCAACCTCCGCCTCCCAGGTTCAAGCAATTCTCCTGCCTCAGCCTCCTGAGTAGCTGGGATTACCGGCACACGCCACCACACCTAGCTAATTTTTGTGTTTTTAGTAGAGATGGGGTTTCACCATGTTGGTCAGGCTGGTCTCGAACTTCTGACCTCATGATCAACCCATCTTGGCCTCCCAGAGTGCTGGGATTACAAGCATAAGCCGCCTTGCCCAACCTTCTTTTTTTTTTTTTTTGAGATGAGATCTTGCTCTGTCACCCAGGTTGGAGTGAAGTGGTGTGATCATAGCTTACTGCAGCCTCAAACTCCAGCTCAAGTGATTCTCTTGCCTCAGCCTTCCAAGTAACTGGGACTGTAGGCACATGCCACCACACCTGGCTAATTTCTATTTTTGTTTTTTGTAGAGAAGGGGTCTTGCCATGTTGTCCAGGCTGGTGTTGAACTCCTAGATTCACACAATCCTCCCACCTCAACCTCCCAAAGTACAGGCATGAGCCACCACACCTGGCCAAGACTTTCTATATGATCATGTTATCAACAAACAAACGCAATTTCACTTCTTCCTTCTCTTATTTGGAGATCTTGTATTTATTTTTCTTGCCTAATTGCTCTGGCTAGGATTTTCAGCACTATATTGACTAGAAATGGTGAGAGTGGGTACCCTTGTCTTTTTCTGATCTTAGCAGAATGGCCTTTAAATTTTCACCCAATTGAGTATGGTGTTAGCTGTAGTCTTGCCATATATGGCCTATTTGTGTTGAGGAACATTCCTTCTATATGTAATTTGTTGAGAATGTTTGTTATGAAAGGATGTTGAATTCTGTCAAATGCTTTTCCTGCATCTATTTAAATGATCATACGGTTTCGTTGGTGGTGATGAATTTCACCCTCACCCACACCCTTTATGAACAGGTTCCTCATTTCAAGATTGACTGGACTTAGATGTGCAATTAGCACCACTATCTGGTTAAATGAATGCTATCCCTCTGTTTAATAATTCCAGTCCCTCAGGATGAATGAACCTGACTTTTGATTCGTATCCTACCTTTATAATTGATCTCAAAGTGCACTTCTTTTTTTTTTTTTCCTTTCTTGCACTTAGTTAGATTTGTTTGCCTTTATACCATTGCTTCTCATCTTGTGGTTTGGAAGTAAGCCCATCATGCATGCCCATTATGTCCATTACTGGGGTAACAGTAAAACCTTGCTCCAAGGGAAAGAAACCTGCATCCAGACTTGCTACCCAGTGCCTCTGGGACTGGGCTCACCCGCTCAATGAAATGAGGCAGAACACAGTTGTTGCTGACTGCTCCCTGGGGTTCCAGCTTATTGGAAACTCTGGCTTCAGCTACTGTAGGAGGCACCATCCACCTTGCCTTCTACATCATTGTATTCTATGTAAATGAATCTCCTGAAGGACAAGAAAATCGTCGGTCAGCATGTAAATTCACTCTGAATAAAATTAAAATAATAGAATCAAAAATGAATTTTCAAAAGACTATATATAAAGGAATAATATGCACACTAATGGACAAGAAATAAATTAGAAATCTTGAAAATAAAAAATATTGTCATTGCGATAAAAATCAAAAGGATTTCCAGACTGGAAAGAGCTGGATAGAATCAGTAATCTGAAAGATAGTACTGAGGAATTCACCCAGAATGCAGCACCTAGAAATAAAAAGAAAAATATATGAAAACGCAAGTAAGAGAGATGAAAGAGAGTTTGAGGCTCCAAAATACTTCGGATAGGAGTTTCTGAAGAAGAGAATTAGGTGGAATGGTGGAGAAGCAATATATGTGGAGACACTGATTGAGAATTTTCCAGATATGAGAAAAGGTCCTGAGTCCTCCAATCAAAAGCACACAGCCGAAGGTAAATAAAGAAACCTACACCCAGATACATGTAACGAAGTTGTAAAACATCAAAAAGAAAGAGCAAATCATGGCTGGGTGTATGGTTCATGCCTGTAATCCCAGCACTTTGGGAGGCCAAGGGGGAAGGATCCTTTAAGGCCAGGAATTTGAGACCAGCCTAGGCAACATAGGGAGACCCTGTCTCTACAAAAAAAAAAAATAATAATAAAATAAAAATAAAAATAAGCTGGTTGTGGTGGTGCAGGCTTGCAGTCCTAGCTACTCGGGCAGCTGAGATGGGAGGATAGTTTGAGCCCAAGAGTTTGAGGCTGTAGTGAGCTATGATCATACCACTGCACTCCAGCCTGGGCAAAAGAGCAAGACCCTGTCTAAAAAAAAAAAAAAAAAATGCTGGGCGCGGTGGCTTACACCAATAATCGCAGGACTTTGGGAGGCTGATAGGGGAGGATTGCTTGAGCCCAGGAATTCAATATGAGCCTGCAACATAGGGAGACCCAGTCTCTACCAAAACAAACAAACAAACAAACAGAAAAACTGGCTGCAGTGGCACACACCAGTCATCCCAGCTATGCAGGAGGCTGAGGTGTGAAGATTGCTGGGTCCCAGGAGGTCAAGGCTATGGTGAGCAGTAATCAGGCCACTTCACTGCACTCCATCCAGCCGAGTGACAGAGCAAGACTCTGTCAAAATAATAATAATAATAATAATAAATGTTAAAAAGAGAAGGAAATTCATGTTTATCATAAAATAATATTAAACCATCAAAGCAGTTAAGAGCAAGAATTAAGATTAATATGTGAAGTTAGCAGTTATATTGGATATATTTATGTATTTGCATGCTCTCGGGCAGATCCACATTTGGTAGAATGCTTCAAAAATGCTATTTTTGGGCGGGTGCAGTGGCTCACACCTGTAATCCCAGTACTTTGGGAGGCTGAGGCAGGCAGATCCCCTGAGGTCAACAGTTTGAGACCAGCCTGGCCAACATGACGAAACCCCGTCTCTACTAAAAATACAAAAATTAGCTAGGCGTGGTGGCACATGCCTGTAATCCCAGATACTCGGAAGGTTGAAGCAGGAGAATCACTTGAACCTGAGAATCGGAGGTTGAAGTAAGCTGAGATCGTGCCATTGGACTCCAGCTTGGGTGACAGAGTGAGACTCCATCTCAAAAAAAAAAAAAATTGCCATTTTCATCATCAAACACTTATTTGTCCAGGATGCAGTATGACTATGTTCTTCTTCATTATGTTTTAGAATGAAGAAGCAGTACGACGTCTCATCTGGGAAAAGAATCTAAAGTTTGTGATGCTTCACAACCTGGAGCATTCAATGGGAATGCACTCATACGATCTGGGCATGAACCACCTGGGAGACATGGTAGGTACATTACAAGAAATCCCACTTTCACGTCTGGGTAAATATCATTTCCTTTCTGTCTCCCCAAAAGCAATTTGAAGGTAAACAACAATAACAAAGGAATGTATAGTACAAAGTTGGAAAACAGTAGAATTGAAGGACGTAAGAACGTGTACAGAAATTTCTTACTTAGTTCTATTTTGACTGCTTTCTTTCTTTAACAAATCACTTCTTTAGAGGAAATTTTAAACTCAGAGACTACCATTGTTTTTTTTTTAATAAATTCTAGAAAGTATTACCTAAAGACTATTGACAGGTTTTTATAGCAAGTTGCCATACTTATTTAAGTCTAGATTGACAATTTAGTATGACCCATCTGCTTTCTTAATGGGAGAATGTGGGTATTTAATATCACAAATAATCCCCTATTGGTTTTCAGATTCTGTTCTGTCCTGCAAAACTTTACCACTGTTGCCAAAGTGAAGAAGGGAACGCCCTAGGTAGACTGAATTCCTTCTTAAATGCAGGAATCTCCTTTGTAATTATTTCTCACATGGGAAACCAGTTTAGTCCACTTTTTAGACAGCCCTTTTATAAAATTCTGCCTTGCTTTGAAACAAAAATCTGCCTCCCTGTAACTTCTAGTTTTTACCATTCTCTTTTTCTCCTTCCCCATGAGGGTGCCTAGCTGGGATGCTAGTGCCAAGTGTGAAACTAAACAAACCCAGATAATTCGCCCCACCAGATCCTAATGGAACCTGTGTTGGTCACAACTATTACTGTTTTTTCTCAGTTTTTTTATTCCATGGCAGTTTTTAAATATATTCACAGTTACAGTTATTAGGATATTAGAAAGTAGGATAGGCTGGGCACAGTGGCTCACACCTGTAATCCCAGCACTTTGGGAGGCCAAGGTGGGCAGATCACCTGAGGTCGGGAGTTTGAGACTAGCCTGACCAACATAGAGAAATCCTGTCTCTACTAAAAATACAAAATTAGCTGGGCGTGGTGGCACATGCCTGTAATCTCAGCTATTTGGGAGGCTGAGGCAAGAGAATTGCTTGAACCCGGGAGGCAGAGATTGCAGTGAGCCGAGGTCATGCCATTGCACTCCAGCCTGGGCAAAAAGAGTGAAACTCCGTCTCAAAAGAGAAAAAAAAAAAAAAAAAAGAAAGAAAGAAAAGAAAGAAGGATGTAAGTGAAAGAGATATATAGTCATGTGTCATATGCATTTTGGCCACTGATGGACCACATATACCATGGTGGTCCTTTAAGATTATGATGGAGCTGAAAAGTTCCTCTTGCCTAGCTAGTGATGTTGTAGCCACCATAACAATGTAGCACAACACACTACTCACTTGTCTGTGGTGATGCTGCTGTAAACAAACCTACTGCTCTGCCAGTGGTATGAAAGTATAGCACATAAAATTTTGCACAGTACAAAATGCTTAATAATAATAAATGACTATGTTACTGGTTTATGTATTTACTATACTATACTTTTAATTGTTATTTTAGAGTGTACTCCTACTTATACTTTTAAAAAGTTAACTGTAAAACAGCCTCAGGCAGGTCCTTCAGGAGGCATCCAGTAGAAAACATTGTTATCAGAGGAGATGACAGCTCCATACGTGTTGTTGCCCCTGAAGACCTTCCAGTGGGACAAGAGGTGGAGACGAAATGCAGTGATACTGATGATCCTGACCTTGTATAGGCCTAGGCTAATGTGTGTGTGTGTTTGTATTTTAGTTTTTAACAAAAAAGTGTAAAAACTTTTAAAAAATTAAAAATAGAAAAAGCTTATAGAAGAAGGTGATAAAGAAGAAAATATTTTCGTACAGCTGTACAATGTGTTTGTATTTTAAGGGGTTACCATAGAAGACAAAACATTTAAAAAATTAAAAGTTTATTAAGTAAAAAAGTTGCATTAAACTAAGGTTAATTTATTATTGAAGAAAGAAAAATGTTTTAACAAATTTAGTGTAGCCAAAGTGCACCGTGTTTATAAAGTCTACAGTAATGTCCTGGGCCTTCACATTCACTCTCCACTCACTCACTGACTCACCCAGAGCAACTCCAGGCCTTTCATAGTAAATGACCTATATAGAAGTACCATTTTTACTTTTTTTTTTTTTCTTTGAGATGGAGTCTCACTCTGTCGCCCAGGCTGGAGTGCACTGGCGCGATCTCAGCTCACTGCAACCTCCGCCTCCCAGGCTCAAGTGATTCTCCTGCCTCAGCCTCCCAAATAGCTGGGATTACAGGCATGCACCACCATGCCCAGCTAATTTTTGTATTTTTAGTAGAGATGGGGTTTCACCATGTTGGCCAGGCTGGTCTTGAACTCCTGACCTCAGGTGATTTGCCCGGCTCGGCCTCCCAAAGTGCTGGGATTGCAGGCGTGAGCCACCATGCCCAGCTCCCATTTTTACTTTTTATACTGTATTTTCACTCTACCTTTTCTATGTTTAGATATATTTAGATACACAAGTACTTCATATTGTTCTACAATTGCCTACAACCTTCAGTACAGTACCATGCCGTGCAGGTTTGTAGTTTAGGAGCAATGGGCCCTACCATACAGCCTAGGTATGTAGGAGCCAATACGCTCTAGGTTTGTGTAAGTACACACTATGGTGTTTTCACAATGACAAAATCACCTAACGATGCATTTCTCAGAACATATTCCAGTCATTAAACAATGCCTGACTGTATATTTGCTTTGTAGACCAGTGAAGAAGTGATGTCTTTGATGAGTTCCCTGAGAGTTCCCAGCCAGTGGCAGAGAAATATCACATATAAGTCAAACCCTAATCGGATATTGCCTGATTCTGTGGACTGGAGAGAGAAAGGGTGTGTTACTGAAGTGAAATATCAAGTGAGTATTACCATCCCAAGCCTCTGAACCCTAGGTAGAGCTCTTTAAATGCTTAGTCTAGCTACAGAATTTGACAGTGAATCTTACAGTCCCACGTGTTACTTTCTAGTTATTTTTGTTATTCTTGTCTTCCCAACTAAATTATAAGTTCCTTAAGGGCAAGGATCACATATTATATTTTATTTATACAGTTGGCCCTCCATATCCACAGCTTCCACATCTGCAGATTCCACCAACCGTGGATCAAAAATATCCAGAAAAAAATGAAAATAAAAAATAGGCCAGGCACTCACGCCTATAATACCATTACTTTGGGAGGCTGAGGCAGGCGCATCACCTGAGGCCAGGAGTTCCAGATCAGCCTGGCCAACATGATGAAACCCCGTCTCTACTAAAAATACAAAAATTAACTGGGCCTGGTGGCACATGCCTATAATCCCAGTTACTCAGGAGAGTGAGGCAGGAGAATCACTTGAACCTGGGAGGCAGAGGTTGCAGTGAGCTGAGATCACACCATGGCACTCCAGCCTGAGCTAAAGAGCGAGACTCCATCTCAAAAAAAAAAAAAAAGGTAAAGTATAAGGGAGGGCCGGGCGTAGTGGCTCATGCCTGTAATCCCAGCACTTTTCCAGGTCAAGGGAGGCAGATCACTTGAGGTCAGGAGTTCGAGACCAGCTTGGCCAACATGGTGAAGTCCCGTCTCTACTGAAAATACAAAAATTAGCCTGGCGTGGTGGTGGGCGCCTGTAATCCCAGCTACTCGGGAGGGTGAGGCAGGAGAATCACTTGAACCTGGGAGGCAGAGGTTGCAGTGAGCTGAGATCTTGCCACTGCACTCCAGCCTGGGCGATAGAGTGAGACCCTGTCTTAAAAAAAAAAAAAAAAAAAAGTGTATAGGAGGATGTGTAGGTTATATGCGAATACTCAGTAATTTATATAAGGAACTTGAAAATTCTTGACTTTGGTATGCTCAGAGGTCCTGGAACCAATCCCTTGTGGATACTGAGGGACAACTGGATTCTCCACAGTGGTTTTTGTTTTGTTTTGTTTTGTTTTGTTTGAGACAGGGTCTCCCTCTGTTGCCCAGGCTGGACTGCAGTGGTGCGATCTGGGCTCACTGCAACCTCTGCCTCTTGGGCTCAAGTGATCCTCCCATCTCAGCCTACACGGTGACTACAGGCACACACCACCACTTTTTTTTTCTTTGTATTTTTAGCAGAGATGGGTTTTGCCATGTTGCCCAAGCTGATCTCAAGCTCCTGAGCTCAAGTGATCCTCCTACCTCCACCTCCCAAAGTCCTGGGATTATAGGCATGAGCCCTCGTGTTCAGCCCCCACAGTGCTTTTCTAAGTGATCATAGAGCCACCTACTTAGACAAACACTGAACTAAGCAAATAGGTGTTTAACACAGACTTTTATTGCTCACGCTATGCATTGACTGCACTGGACTCTCCAATAAGCCAATTGCTTGAGAAGCAGTGTTGTGTGAGAGAGCCCTGGTGATCAGGAAGTTTCTCCATTTCACTTGTGAGTTTCAAAGTTGAAGGAGAAGAAAGAACTAGAGATAGAGTGTTCTATAAATTGAGCCACTCAAGTTAATTCATGGCTAGTCTTGCATCGTTAGAATATGAAATATGTGCCTTGTAAAATTATTGTTCCTATGCTGTTGTATTTTCCTTTAGTTTGCTTGTTTTAAAAAAATTGCAAAAATCCTAAATTAGTTAGAGGTAAAACACATGTATCACCATAGAGGTCAGGGTAAGTGAGAGGAATCAAAGCATTCTGAGCAGCTACCCCAGGTTGTGATCAATGAAGAAAGTAAAAATTTATTAGGAAGTAAATGGTGGCCAGGCACAGTGGCTCACATCTGTGATTCCAGCACTTTGGGAGGCAGAGGCAGAAGGATCGCTTGAGCCCAGGAGTTAGAAACCAACCTAGGCAATATAGTGAGGCCCTGACTCTACAAAAAATAAAAATAAAAATTAGCCAGGCATGGTGCGCTCCTGTAGTCCCAGCTACTTGAGGGGCTGAGATGGGAGGATCGCTTGAGCCTGGGAGGTTGAGGCTACAGTGAGCCATGATCACACCACTGCACTTCAGTCTGAGTGACAGAAGGAAACCCTGTCTCAAAACAAACAAACAAAAAGAAGTAAATGGTACTGCTAATCTCTTATTCTTTTCCACCTACATATTTTTCTTTCAATTAGTTTTGGATTTCTTACCCGAGGTTCTCTAAAATAACAGCTTTTAGAAGACCCAATAAACCACATATTTAGATGTTAACTCTGAGTAAGTTAATGAGCTCCTTTCTCTGGGTGCTTGCATTTTAATGAACAATTTTGCTTCAATCAAAAGCAATGTCAGTTTGCTTCCTTTTGGTGGAGAGCAAGGTGGGAGGAGGGAAGGAGAGAGAAAGAGAACAATTATGATGGGGCTCTGGACACTCTGCCCCTTTTAAAACTAAAGCAGCTTTGCCTTTTTTTGTTTGTTTATGCCTCCTTGTAAAATATTTTTTAATCAAAAAAATTCTGAAGATAACAAAGGTTTGAAAAATGCCAACCTAGGATTAAACTTCTTATGTTTCAGGCATCATATGACAGGAGAAAGGGTATTTTAGGTCAAGGAAATCATCCTAGCTCTCTCAAAATCTCATTACTGTAGGCAACTATCTCCCTTACTTATGGGTGAAAATAGGTGCAATTTGGTACATGCTCAGTGAGTATTGTTTCTAAGTATATTTGAATATGGCCATTATGTTCTGAGCTTGGCTGATTGCAAATCTCTATCAAGGTTGGACCTTGCCTAGATAACAATTGAGTTAAATTTAGTCTTCATTCCCATTGTTAAAGACAGAAGGAAACTGTAGTGGGGGAGCTCTTTCTGGGAACTAGGGACAGAACTGATGTAGCTGAGCGTTGTCCAGTTTGGGTTATGGAAGTCATTCCGAATGATTTTCTGTGATTTGCGTTTGTGACCTTGTATCTGTTTTAGGGTTCTTGTGGTGCTTGCTGGGCTTTCAGTGCTGTGGGGGCCCTGGAAGCACAGCTGAAGCTGAAAACAGGAAAGCTGGTGTCTCTCAGTGCCCAGAACCTGGTGGATTGCTCAACTGAAAAATATGGAAACAAAGGCTGCAATGGTGGCTTCATGACAACGGCTTTCCAGTACATCATTGATAACAAGGGCATCGACTCAGACGCTTCCTATCCCTACAAAGCCATGGTGCGTCTTAAGCAAACTTTTTGTGCTGCCCCATGATCTCATGTTATCCACTGACTGACTGTGCTGGGCTTGCCACCATGCCAATTGCTTGAGAAGCAGTATTGTGTGTGAGAGAGAACCCTGAAGAGGAATTCTTAAATTCTCAAGAGTTCTGTTTCTGATGAAGTACTCTTCTTAATATATCAGTAGTACAAATAAGGAAGTAGCATTCATGCTTAAAAACAGATTTTAATGACTGGGCGTAGTGGCTCATACCTATAATCTCAGCACTTTGGAAGGCCGAGGTGGGTGGATCACCTGAGGTCAGGAGTTTGAGACCAGCCTGGCCAACGTGGTGAAACCCTGTCTCTACCAAAAATACAAAAATTAGCCAGGCATGGTGGTGCATGCCTGTGGTCCCAGCTACTCGGGAGGCTGAAGCAGGAGAATCGCTTGAACTCAGGAGGTGGAGGTGCAGTGAGCCGAGATCACGCCACTGTACTCCAGCCTCGGCAACGGAGCAAGACTCCATCCCAAAATTAAACAGATTTTAAGCAAACTATCCTTAAAATTATTTCTCTGTATTTAAACTTTTTCTTCTGCAGCCTCCCATGCTCAACCTTATTCTCAGATCATTAACCACATCATTCTTCCACCCACTGAGAAGCTAAATAACACTCTCCTCTTCCTCAGAAATTCATTATACATTTTGATATAACGATAACCTAAGGATTGTGTCCATGTTACAGAAGATTTTAAAAATATAAAAATATCACTCAAAAACCTTCTACCTTAACCACTATTGTTTTGGTTTATTTCTTTCAAGTTATTTTCTTGTTAAGCACTTAAAAAACATAGTTGGCCAAGTGTGGTGGCTCACACCTGTAATGTCAGCACTTTGGGAGGTCGAGGTGGGAGGATTGCTTGAGCTCAAGAGTTTGAGACCAGCCTGTGCAACATAGTGAGACCTCACCTCTACTAAAAATCAAAAAAATTAGCCAGGCATGGTGGTGCACACCTGAGTAGCAGTTCCAGCTACTCAGGAAGCTGAGGTGGGAGAATCACTTGGCCCAGGAGTTGGAGGCTGCAGTGAGCCATGATTATGCTACTGCACTCCAGCCTGGACAATGGAGTGAGAGCCTATCTCAAAAAAATAAATAATATAAATAAATACAAAATAGTTGTATATACAACAAACATGAATTTGTAACTTTCCTTTTCCCACTTGAAATACTTGTGTTTCCCATATTATATGGTCTTTATATACCATCATTTTAGCTGCAGATCATCTTGCAGGCATCAAAAAGATTTTAAAGCTCTCATCTAGAGTTTATTATCTCTATGTAATATTTCCCTACAGTCCACCTGAAAGTCTGAGGGGCCATTGTCCTGGCAAGTTTTGCATGTATGAGGATGTTCACAATTTGAAAGAATAGAATAGTTCTGTATTTCCTCCATTATTGCTGAAACCCGGGACTGTTAGGATTTGGAAGATTTGCAAAGGAAGGAGCCTTAGACACATGAAAAAGTTAAAGAAAGGAAGGGAGACATTTAAAATCCAGGCTTAGGATACAGGTGATTTATACAGGAGTTGAAGTATACTTCATCATATTTATACTTCTTTTTGCAGGATCAGAAATGTCAATATGACTCAAAATATCGTGCTGCCACATGTTCAAAGTACACTGAACTTCCTTATGGCAGAGAAGATGTCCTGAAAGAAGCTGTGGCCAATAAAGGCCCAGTGTCTGTTGGTGTAGATGCGCGTCATCCTTCTTTCTTCCTCTACAGAAGTGGTAAAAAATAAAATAAACAATAATTAGAATTTAAAGAAAGAAAGAAAGGATATTGGCTGAGCACGGTGGTTCATGCCTGTAATTCTAGCTTTGGAGGCTGAGGTGGGAGGATTGCTTGAGCCTGGGAGTTTGACACCAGCCTGAGCAACATCGCGAGACCCTTATCTCTACGAAAAATAAAAATAAAAATTAGCCGGATATGGTGACACTCACTTGTAGTCTCAGCTACTTGGGAGGGTGAGGCAGGAGGACTCCTTGAACCCAGGAATTTGAGGTTACAGTGAGCTATGATCATACCACTGCACTCCAACCTGGGCAACAGAGTGAAAACCTGTCTCTAAAAAACAAGGAAGAAAGAAAGAGAAAGAAGGAAGAAAGAGGGGCAGGGCAGGGCAGGGCAGGGCAAGGTGGGGCGGGGCGGGGCGGGGCGGGGTGAGGCGGGGCGGGGTGAGGCGAGGCAATTTTAAACCTCATGAACCAACATCTGCTGGCTTCAAACTTTTCTTCTGTAGCTTCCTCGCCTCTCTCAGCCTTCTTACAATAGAAGAGAGTTAGGGTCTTGTTCTGGATTAGGTTTTGGCGTAAAGGCATGCTGGGCTGGCTTACTCTTGTATCTAGACCACTCACATTTTCTCTGTATCAGCAATAAGGCTGTTTCACTTTCTTGTCATTTGTGTGTTCAGCAGAGCAGCATTTTTAATTTCCTTCAAGCACTTTTCCTTTACATTCACAGCATGCCTGACTGTTCGGTACAAGTGGCCTAGGCTAGGTTCTGGCCTGTCTTGGCTTTCAACATGCCTTTCCCGCTAAGCTTAATCACATCTAGCTTTTGACTTAAAGTGAGAGATATGCAACTTTTCTTTTTACTTGAACACTTAGAAGCTATCATAGGGTTATCATGTGGCATAATTTCAATATCATTGTGTCTCAGGGAACAGGGAGGCCTGAGGAGAGAGATGGGGGTGTGGCCAGTCCGTGGATCAGTCAGAACACACACAACATTTGTGGGTTAAGTCTGCTATCTTATATAGGTGTGGTTTGTAGCTCACCCTCAAAATTATGAAGTAACATCAAAGATCATTGATCACAGATGACCATAACAGATATAATAATGATGAGAAAGTTTGAAATATTGTGAGAATTACCAAAATGTGGTACAAGGACACAATGTGAGCACATGCTTTTGGGAAAATGGTACCAATAGACTTGCTGAATGTAGAGTTGCCACAAACCTTCAATTTGTAAAAAATGCAATATCTAGCTGGGTGCAGTGGCTCATGCCTATAATTCCAGCGCTTTGGGAGGCCAAATCAGGAGGATGACTGGAGCCTAGGAGATTGAGGTTACAATTAGCTATGATCATACCACCTGTATTACAGCCTAGACAACAGAGCAAAACACTGTTCCTTAAAAAAAAAAAAAAGCTAATATCTGCAAAGCACAATAAAGCAAAGCACAATAAAATGAGATATGCCTGTATACACAGAGAATTAAAATAACTGATTGTATGCAAGTTTAAAAATACTTAGAAAAAAACAAAAAAGAAAAAAACTTAGAAAAAGGTGGTGTGCTTATCAAAGAAGGTTTCTGGGGGAACTATGACTGGAGTGATGCTAAGCTTGGCAAGAACACTGACAAATACAGCATTGGTGGCAAATAATTATGAGCCCTAGTTTATGCATGACAGTATATGTCCTTGACTTTTTTTTTTTTTTTTAAGATGGAGTCTTGCTCTGTTGCCAGGCTGGAGTGAGGTGGCACGATCTCAGCTCACTGCAACCTCTGCCTCCTGGGTTCAAGCAATTCTCCTGCCTCAGCCTCCTGAGTAGCTGGGACTACAGGTGCGTGCCACCATGCCCAGCTAATTTTTGTATTTTTAGTAGAGATGGGGTGTCACCATGTTGGCCAGGATGGTCTCGATCTCTTGACCTTGTGACCCGCCCGCCTTGGCCTCCCAAACTTCTGGGATTACAGGCATGAGCCACCATGCCTGGACATGTCCTTAACTTTTTAAATTAACCTTGCTATGTATCCAAAGCAGGCTAATAAAAAGTAATACCGTTTTAAAATGCCCTTTATTATCCTATAGTATTCACTCTTTTTTCCCACCCATATTTGATTCTCAGGTGTCTACTATGAACCATCCTGTACTCAGAATGTGAATCATGGTGTACTTGTGGTTGGCTATGGTGATCTTAATGGGAAAGAATACTGGCTTGTGAAAAACAGGTAATATATTTACACTTTATATTTAATTGGAATCAGGAATTTGAGGGAGTTTCAGCAAATACTCTCATGATTTTGATGATGATCATTATGATCACGATATTGACAATGATGAACTTTATAGCTTCTTACAAAGTGACATTCTAAATTACTCAGTGCCCCCATCTTTTCACTTACCATTCTGCCTTCATCACTTTGTTTTCCTGGTTTATCTTCTGTACTACTTCTGTGATTATTCCTTCTCAGCCTCTCTCATGAACCTATTCCTCTCCTCTATTTAGCCCAAAAATGTTAGTTTTCCCCAGGGCTCTATCATCTGCCCATTCCTCTTCTTATTTTATTTTTTCTTGGGTGCTATAATTCCACTCTTAGGACTCTAGCTATAACCTTTATATGCCAATAGCTTTTGAATCTCTAGCTCTAGTTCTGACATCTTCCCAGAACTTCAGACTTATCTGGACACACTCACTTACATATATCTTAGTCTTTCCAAACTCAATACATCCAAATAATTCAGTACTCTCTCCCCCATACTGTTCCTCCTTCAGAATTTCCCATATCAGTAAAGGGCCACACAACACAATCACCCAATAAGATATGATGGATTCATCTGAGACCTCCCCAAGTCCAACCAAGCAACCAATTAGTCAAACCAATTTTACCTTATCTATGTCCTTGATTCTGTTCCTTCTCTGTTTCTTCTATTACGGCTCTAGTTCAGGCATCTCTAGTGTGGACTATTGCTGTACCCTTCTAACTGGTCTCCTTTACTCTCTATTTTCTTCCCCTTTACCCTCAAATCCATCTTTCATACTGCTGCCAAACTTATTTGTCTAAAATATGAACGAGTCTGGGCTTATAACTCTTCTACTGAGTTTCATTCGGTGTAAAATTAATGTTCCCTGACAGAAGACAAATCCTATAGGCTGTGCTCCCTGCCTTGCCAGCCTCACCTCCTGGCATTTGTTGCCTCCTATTTTCACTCTGGTTATACTGCACTATCCACAGTTGTAGTTCCCATACATTCCACTTTATCTGTAATACCTTCCTTCATATCTTGGTTTGTGTTCCCTCTGCCTAGAACATCCTGTCTTCTCTTTTGGTTTACTTCTCCTTTTCTTCAGAAGTAGCTCAGGCACAATCTATTCCAGAAAAGTCTTTCCTGAATCCTTGGGCTGAGGAACATGTCTTTTTTCTATGCTGCCAAAATGTCCTATGCATACTGGATCACAGGATTTTAGGCATTATATTTAAATTGTATATTTACCTGTCTGTCACTCCAGTGTTCTGTACGTGCCTTTGGGGAGAGATTATGTCTGGTCTTCATATCCGCAGCACAGACTAAGTGGGTGGCACCTAAAGGCCCCTCAATATATGTATTGAACTGACATCTATATCACTCATAAACAAAAGGAACATAACTTCTAGAGGGAAAAAATGGAGGAAATATGAAGAGTTGAGACTTTGGGGCATACCTGGAGTTTCTCTTTGTGTTAGTTTGCTATGGCTACCATGACAAAGTGCCACGAACTGAGCAGCTTAAATGACAGAAATTTATGTCTCCCAGTTCTGGAGGCTGGAAGTCTAAGATCAAGGTGTTACTTCCTTCTCACGCTGTGAGGAAGAAAATATTCGTGGACACAGGAAAAAAAAACTGTATGATCTTACTTATATGTGGGATCTAAAAAAGTCAAACTTACAGAAACAGACAGTAGAATGATAGCTGCCAGGGACTGGAGGCTGGGTAATGAGGAGATGCTGATCAAAGAGTGTAAACTTTCAGGTATAAGATGAACAGATTCTGGGAATCAAAGGTACAGCACGGGTGGAGATGGATGTGTTATTTCATTTGATTATGTCAATCATTGCACAATGTGCACATACATCAAGTCATCACACTGTATACCTTGAGTTTATACAATCTGTCAATTAAATATGTTCTTTTAATTAAAAAAAAAAGTTTGATGCCTCTCCCCTAGCTTCTGAAAGTTTGCTGGTGATCTTTGACTTTCCTCAGCCTTTAGGACAATCACCCTGACCTCTGCCTTCATTTTCACATGACATTCTCCCTGTATGCATTTCTGTCTCTATTCATAATTTTACTTTCTTCCCCTTTTTGAGACAGGGTCTCACTCTGTCACCCAGGCTGGAGTGCAGTGGGGTGATCAATGTTCACCGCAACCTCAAACTCCTGGGCTCAAGCAATCCTCCCACATCAGCCACCAAAGTAGCTGGCACTACTGGCATGCACCACCACACCAGACCAATTTTAATTTCTATTTGTAGAGACAGGATCTCTCTATGTTTCCCAGGCTGGTCTCAAACTCCTGGGATCAAGTGATCCTCCTGCTTTGGTCTCCCAGAGCACTGGGATTACAGGTGTGAGCCACTGCGCCTGGCCAATTTTCCCTTTTCATGAGCATCATTCATGTTGGATTAGGACCCACCCTAATGACCTCATCTTAATTTAATTAATTATGTCTACATCAACCCTATCTCTAAATAAGTTCACATTCTGAGGTACTGGAGGTTAGGATTCCAACATGAATTTTGTGGGGACACAATGCAACCCATAACACCCCTTAAATCTTTACTTGAAGTACATAGTCTACAAATCAAACAAAAGGTGCTTTCCTACCCTTTTCCCACTGTGGCACACATAGAAGATGATGATATTCGTATGGCCCATGGGGAAAGTAGCTGAGGGGATCAATATCTTGGTTCACTGATAACCTATTCACAGCACTGATCAGCTTGGGTGTAGACCAGTGATAGCTTTTTAAAATGAAACTATTTCCCTCATATCTTATTGACTCTCTAAGGAACTCCCTACGGCAGGTGTTCTAAATTCCCTTCTCTACTGAAGTTGCTCTTGAAGATCATCTATATCTTTTAGTGTTGAAATTCAAATCTGCTTCTCTTCACTCATTCATTCAACAAGCACTTACTAGGCATCTACAATGTGACTGGCATTATCTAGGCCCTGGAGATACAAAAAATAGTAAGAAACCATCCTGTCCTAAAGGCACTCACAATCTAACATGAAAAAATATATATAATATATATTATATATACATACATAATATACAATACATATTATGTATGCATACATAATATACAATACATATTATGTATGCATACATAATCTATAATATACATAATATATAATATAATACATAATATACATATATAATATATAATATATTATGTATACATAATATACATATATAATATATAATATATTATGTATACATAATATACATATAATATATAATATATTATGTATACATAATATACATATAATATATAATATATTATGTATACATAATATACATATAATATATAAATATTATGTATACATAATATACATATAATATATAATATATTATGTATACATAATATACATATAATATATAATATATTATGTATACATAATATACATATAATATATAATATATTATGTATACATAATATACATATAATATATAAATATTATGTATACATAATATACATATAATATATAAATATTATGTATACATAATATACATATAATATATAAATATTATGTATACATAATATACATATAATATATAAATATTATGTATACATAATATACATATAATATATAAATATTATGTGTACATATTATGTATACATAATATACATATAATATATAATATATTATGTATACATAATATACATATAATATATAAATATTATGTATACATAATATACATATAATATATAATATATTATGTATACATAATATACATATAATATATAATATATTATGTATACATAATATACATATAATATATAATATATTATGTATACATAATATACATATAATATATAATATATTATGTATACATAATATACATATAATATATAATATATTATGTATACATAATATACATATAATATATAATATATTATGTATACATAATATACATATAATATATAATATATTATGTATACATAATATACATATAATATATAATATATTATGTATACATAATATACATATAATATATAATATATTATGTATACATAATATACATATAATATATAATATATTATGTATACATAATATACATATAATATATAATATATTATGTATACATAATATACATATATAATATATTATGTATACATAATATACATATATAATATATTATGTATACATAATATACATATATAATATATTATGTATACATACATATAAATCTCTCTATATATAAATATAAATATATTTATAAATATATATATATATATATATATATCTCCCAGCCTCCCAAAGTGTTGGGATTACAGGCGTGAGCCACCACCGCACCCAGCCTAGATGTATTTTTAAACGATACAACAAACACATCGTGGTATAATGATACATGTCTAAATGGCTATGGGACTGTTGAAGAGGAAATGCCTAACAGCCTAAACCTCCACAGAGAAGACACTATTTGAATCAAGTTTCCAGATGTATGGAATTGTTCATGTATTGGAGGAGGAAAGTGTGTTAGAGGTTGGAAAGTTGCTCTCAATGACCCAAAAAACATATGCAATGGCACATTTCTCACTATCTTGATTCATTTTGCTACATCAACTTTAGCCTCATATCTTACGTTATTTTATCCACCTGCCTGTTACATGAGTTTGCTATATCAAAGCAAACTCATCTATATCAAAGCAAACTCACCTGCTCCTTCAGTTTCAACTATTGCCATTATGTAGATGATCCCCAGTTCATAATCTCTGAAAATGACCTCCTAAGTGACACACTTCCTTGTCCAACTTCCAATTTGGCAGCTCTCCTTGAAAAATCCAAACTCCCCACCTACATCACCCTACTACCAACATATACACACTCTCATACTCAATAAGTTTACAATGTTCTTCTCTTCCTTTCTTCCCTCATCCCTGAAAAGGATTTTCAAACAAGCTCAAGGGAAAACTATTCCTTATTTTGGGTAATATATTACCATCTTCAGATTATTAAAGCCTAAGCATCATCTTGGCCTTTTCCTTTTCCCCCCTCAACCCACCCAGCCCTATCCATTTGGCCTGTGAATCATATTTTATATGTATTTTCTCTTTGCCATTCCCAATGGCCCTGCTGTAATTCAGATTCCATTCTACCCAGCTATAGCGGTATCTTTTTAAAATATAGATCATGTCAACTCCTGCTCAAAAATTCTGAATAGTTCACCATTGTCTAAAAATGAAGTCCAAACTCCTGGCCAGGCATTCCAGGTACTCCATTATCTAGCTTTTAACATAACCTTAGACATTTCTTCCACTATATTTTCATATACCCACAGTCATACTCTGGCCACAGTGAACTACTTATTCATCATTCCCTAAGTTTACAGATACATCCCTACCTCTGTTTCTTTATATATGCTGTATCTTTCTGAAATGCCTGTGAAGTCCAATGCTGTCTATAGAAATCCCACCTGTCTTGGTGAAATGGGCATTCTTATACAGTTTGATGGGAAAGTAAGCTGTATTTATTCTTTTTTTTTTTGAGATGGAGTCTCACTCTGTCACCAGGCTAGAGTGCAGTGGCATGATCTCAGCTCACCGCAACCTCTGCCTTTAAGGTTCAAGCAATTCTTCTGCCTCAGCCTCCCGAGTAGATGGGACTACAGGCATGTGCCACCATGCCCAGCCAATTTTTGTATTTTTAGTAGAGATGGAGTTTCACCATGTTGGATGGAGTTTCACCATGTTGGCCAGGATGATCTCGATCTCTTGACCTCGTGATCTGCCCACCTCGGTCTCCCCAAGTGCTGGGATTACAGGCATGAGCCACCCTACCCTGCCTATTCTCTTTCTTGGAAGCAATTTGACAATATGATAAAGAACTTTTTAAATGTTCATATTCTTCCCCCCCCCTTTTTTTTTTGAGACAGAGTCTCGCTCTGTCTCCCAAGCTGGAGTGCAGTGGCACAATCTCGGCTCACTGCAACCTCCGTCTCCCAGGTTCAAGTGATTCTCCTGCCTCAGTCTCCCAAGTAGCTGAGATTACAGGTGCCCACCAAAACACCTGGCTAATTTTTGTATTTTTAGTAGAGATGGGGTTTCACCATGTTGGCCAGGCTGGTCTACCAACTCCTGATCTTGGGTGATCTGCCTGTCTTGGCCTCCCAAAGTGCCAGGATTACAGGCGCAAGCCACTGCGCACAGCCAGTGTCCCATTACTTTTATTTCTTGGAATCTATATGAAGAAAATAATCCTAAATATGGGAAAACTTTCATACACAACTTATGTGAATTGTAGCATTATTATTTAATAGTAAAAACTAGTAAGTAGCCAAAAATGCCTAACAATAGGTATATGATTAAATAAACTATGACATAATCAACTCCATGCATTAGATTTATTCAGACTATTATTAATAACCTAATAAAATACTTGGGATATATATTTAAATGAAAAAAGATACACATAAATACAAAATTTATATGTAGTATAAATATTAGCTGAATGTGGTAAGCTCATGCTTATAACTCTAGAGCTTTGGGAGGCCAAGGCAGGAGGATCACTTGAGGCCAGGAGTTTAAGACCAGAAACATAGGGAGACCCAGTCTCTATAAACAAATTTAAAAAATTAGCTGGGCATGGTGGCATGTGCCTGTAATATCAACTACTCAAGAGGCTGAGGTAGGAGGATTTTTTGAGCTGAGGAGTTTGAGGCTACAGTGAGCCATGATCACACCACTGCCCTCTGGCCTAGGTGACAGAGCAGGACCCTATGTCAAAAAAAAATTTAAGTTAAACATAGTATGTCCAACCAGGCTTAGTGGCTCATGCTTGTAATCCCAGCACTTTGGGAGGCTGAACTGGGAGGATCGCTTGAGCCCAGGGGTTCAAGACCAGCATGGGGAACATAGTGAGACCCCATCTCTATACAAAAATAAGCCAGGCATGGTGACACACACTTGTGGTCCCAGCTACTTGGGAGACTGAGGTGGGAATATCACTTGAGCCCAGGAAGTTGAGGCCGCTGTGAGTGAGCCATGATCACATCACTCAACTCTAGCTTCAGTGACAGAATGAGACCCTATCTCGAAAAAAAAAGGAAGGAGGCCGGGCACAGTGGCTCATGCCTGTAATCCCAGCACTTTGGGAGGCCAAGGCAGGTGGATCACTAGGTCAGGAGATCAAGACCATCCTGGCTAACACGGTGAAACCCTGTCTCTACTAAAAATACAAAAAAAATTAGCCAGGCGTGGTGGCGCATGCCTGTAGTCCCAGCTACTCGGGAGGCTGAGGCAGGAGGATGGCATGAACCTGGGAGGCGGAGCTTGCAGTGAGCCAAGATCACACCACTGCGCTCCACACTCCAGCCGGGGTGACAGAGCGAGACTCTGTCTCAAAAAAGGAAGGAAAAAAAAGAAAGGTATTAATTTTAAAATGAAAAAAAAGTCATTACAAATCCTATTCATTTTTTAAATCCTGCCTCAAATACTATCTCCTTCATACCCCATTCACTTAGAATTGTTTCTCTAATTCCTAAGCTTTGGCAATGCTTTATGAATTCTATTATAGTATTTTACACATATCCCTTGTGTTATAGCTATTTGTGCAAACCATGCCCCATTCACTAAAATGTAAACTTCTTCAAGGTAGGATAGTCTCTTGTTCATTTTTGCATCTTCATTTGGACACTGATTCAACAAACATGTATTGAGTACCTACCATGTGCCAAGCTAGGAACTAGCGATTGGAAATGAAAAATGCAGCTCTTCTACCGTCCCTCAAGGTACTCATAGTCTAATGGAGTGAAGGAAACAGGCAGGTGCATGTGTAGTCCATTGCAACTCAATGTGATAAATGCTAAAATCGAGGTGGCATAGGTTGCACTGGAGGCATAGAAGAACTTCGGCAGGTTATTTAACTTCTTTAATTTTAGTTTCATCAGCCTTCTTACAATGGAAGAGAGTTAGGGCCTTGCTCTGGATTAGGTTTTCGCTTAAGGGCATGTTGTGGCTAGTTTGCTCTTTTATCTAGGCCACTCAAATCATATCAGCAATAAGGCTGTTTCACTTTTTTTCTTTACTTTTTTCTTCTTTCTTTCTTTTTGTTGTTGTTGTTGTTGTTGTTGTTGTTGTTGAGACAGGTCTCACTTTGTCACCCAGGCTGGAGTGCAGTGGCACAATCTCAGCTCACTGCAACCTCCGCCTCCCTCCAAGTAGCTGAGACTACAGGCATGTGCCACCAGGCACGGGTAATTTCTGTATTTTTAGCTTGTTGCCCAGGCTGGTCTTGAACTCCTGAGCTCAAGTCATCTACCCGCCTGAGCTTCCCAAAGTGCTGGAATTACAGGCATGAGCCACTGCACCTGGCCTGTTGTTTTGCTTTCATTCATGTGTTCACTGGAGTAGCATTTTAATTTCCTCCAAGAGCTTTCCCTTTGCATTCACAACATGGCTAACTGGTTCAAGAAGTCTAGCTTTCAGCCTACCTTGGCTTTCACAAAGCATAATCATTTCTAGCTTTGATGTAAAATGAGAGATGTATAACTCTTCCTTTCACTTGAACACTTAGAAGCCACTGTAAGGTTGTTTTTTGTTTTTGTTTTTTGAGACAGTCTCCCTCTGTTGCCCAGGCTGGAGTACAGTGGTGCAATCTTGGCTCACTGAAACCTCTGCCTCCCAGGTTCTAAGCAATTCTCCTGCCTCAGCCTCCGGAGTAACTGGGATTACAGGCACGCACCACCACACCCTGCTAATTTTGTATTTTTAGTACAGACGGGGTTTCGCCATGTTGGCCAGGCTGGTCTCGAACTCTTGTCCTCAGGTGATCCACCTGCCTTGGCCTCCCAAAGTGCTAGGATTACAAGCGTGAGCCACCGCACCTGGCCCATTGTAAGGTTATTAATTGGCCTAATTTCAATATCATTGTGTCTCAGGGAAAAGGGAGGCCAGAGGAGAGAGAGAGAGATGGGGGAAGTGTCAGTTAGTGGAGCAGTCAGAACACACACCACTTATCAGTTAAGTTCACCATCTTATATGCACGTGGCTCATGGCACCCCAAGACAATTACAATAGTAATATTAAAGATCACTGATCCCAGCTTGGGCAACATAGCAAGACTCTGTCTCTACAGATAGTTTTTTTTTTTAATTACCCTGGCATGCTGGTGCATATTTGTGGTCCCAGCTACTTGGGAGGCTGAGGCAGGAGCGTGAGACCTGGAGGCTGAGGCTGCAGTGAGCTGCGATTGTGCCACTGCACAACAACCTGGATGACAGAGTGAGATCCTATCTCAAAAAAAAAAAAAAAATCACTGATCACAGATCACCATAACAGATTTGCTAATAATGAAAACAGTTGAAATATTATGAGAAATGCCAAAATGTGACACAGGGACACAAAGTGAGCACAGGCTGTTGGAAACATTGTGCCGATAGACTTGCTCCATGCAGGGTTGCCACAAACCTTCAATTTGTAAAATATGCAAAATTTGCAATGCACAATAAAGCAAAGCACAATAAAACAAGATTTGCTTGCACTTCTCAATACCTCTGCTGTTACCATTAGAGTTCAAGCCACCATCCATCTCCTGGTCTATTGCAATAATCTCATAACTGGTAGCTGCTTCCCTCTTGTTTGCTTGGAATCAATCCTCTACACAGTAACCAGAATTATCTTTTTAAAGCATAAAGTAGATTATGTTACCCTTCTACCCCAAACCCTCTAATGGCTTTCCTTCCCACTCAGAATAAAACCCATGACCTGTAAAGCATGACATTATCTGGCCTTAGCCTGCCTCTCCAACTACCTCTCCAACTACTCTCCCCTCTCTCACTCAGCTCCCAGCACATTAGCCTTTTGGCTATTTCTTGACACATCATGCTTATTTCTAGCCCTTTATCCAGGTCTTTGCCTCACTTGCATCTTTGCGCAAACATCCACTCAGCGAAGCTTTTCCCGACCATTCCACCTAAAATTGAGCCCTGTCTCTTAACACTCTGTATCCCTTATCCTGCTTTATTTTTCTTTATTGTACTAATCATATATATCATCAAGTATTTCTTCGTTTATCATATGTTTCTCCTCTAGAACCTAGGCTTTAGAAAGACTTTGTCTCTGTAATCCTAATGCCTAGAAGAGTGTCTGGCACAGCCTAAGAAGCCCAGGACTTCAGTCTATTACAAAGGAAACTGGCATTGATTTTAGAAGGAATAATAAGTTAGTAGCCTTATAATATGCAAGGAGAAGGTAGGGTGATCAACTTTCCCACTTTGCTAAGGGCTACGAGGCTTTCTGGGACATAGGACTTTCTTTTTAAAAACAGGACAGTCCCAGGCAAACTGGGACTGGTGATCACCCTAGAAGAACGCTATACATTTTTTTAAAAGTAGACGGACTCAGCCCGGCTCAGTGGCTCACGCCTGTAATCCCAGCACTTTGGGAGGCCGAGGTGGGAGGATCACCTGAGGTTGGGAGTTCGAGACCAGCCTGGCCAACATGGAGACACTCCATCTCTACTAAAAATACAAAATTATCCGGGCATGATGGCGCACGCCTGTAATCCCAGCTACTCAGGAGGCTGAGGCAGGAGAATCACTTGAACCTGGGAGGTGGAGGTTGCAGTGAGGCGAGGTTGTGCCATTGCACTCCAGCCTGGGCAACAAGAGTGAAACTCCGTCTCAAAAAAAAAAAAGTAGATGGACTCTACTTGAGTCCAATCTGATGTACTCATACCTGGATAATAATAAAAATAGCTACCTTCACTTAGTAAGCATTGGCTATATACCAAATATTGTGTGAGTACTTTAAATACATTCTCTCATTTAATTTTTAAAGTACTCTTATGAGATAGGCATTTAGTTAACAAACTCACCTAAAGTTGAACAGTTTGAGTGAAAGAGCTATAGAATTAATAAAAATATACAACTTGGTAAGTACCGAAATGAACATTTGGAGCAGATCTTGTATAATTCTGAAGGCAAGACTTTGTCCTCAGATACTTTATTTAGCTTAAGATTTTTTTTTTTTATCAGTTTCATTGTTTAAGGGAAGTTAGCAGGACTCAGTCAAAAAGAGGTCTGGGATCTTTTGCAAAACTGGGGGCAATTGATCTTGGTCGGTAAAACTGAGAAAAGTAAATTGTTTAGATGTTGAATGGGGTCTGGGATTCCTTGGTCTCACTGACTGAATTCATACTGCTAGTAACTAGACCCTCAATTCAATTTTCATACTAGAACTCAGGTCCAAATTCAGTTCACCTAAAATGATTTATTTTACCTATTATTTAATGCAGTGACCATAGTAGGATATAAATTACATGAGATCCTAGATGTACTGGTCTGAATTTCATTCCCCATATGACTTCACTCACAGAGATAACTGTAGGGATAGGCATAGATAAAAGTTAGAGTGGGCTTTGGAATAAAATAATCCTAGATTTGACCTCTGGCTTCACAATTTACTATCTATGTGACTTTTGGCAAGCTACTTTACCACTCTGCCCTTCTGTTTTTTTCTTTAGTAAAAGAAGATAATATTCACCTCACAGGATGATGATTAAATTAGATAATTTATGTTAATCTGTTTGGCAGAGTAAGTGCTAAATAAGTGGTGTCTATTAATATTAATAATAGCCTGGCCGGATTCTTGTTATTGCTTTTGCTTATCAAACTGGATATTAAAAGAGCATTGCTACAGCCTGGGCAACATAGTGAGACCTCTTCTTTACTAAAATAAAAAATTGGGCCAGGCGCAGTGGCTCACGCCTGTAATCCCAGCACTTTGGGAGGCTGAGGCGGGCAGATCACAAGGTCAGGAGATCGAGACCATCCTGGCTAACACGGTAAAACCCCATCTCTACTAAAAAATACAAAAAAATTAGCCAGGCGTGGTGGTGGGCGCCTGTAATTCCAGCTACTGAGGAGGCTGAGGCAGGAGAATGGCGTGAACCCGGGAGGCGGAGCTTGCAGTGAGCCGAGATTGTGCCACTACACTCCAGCCTGGGCCACAGAGCAAGACTCCATCACAAAAAAAAAAAAAAAAAAATTGGCCAAGCATGGTGGTATGCACATGTGGTCCTAGCTACTTGTAAGGCTGAGGCAGGAGGATTGCTTGAGCACAGGAGGTCGAAGCTGCAGTGAGCTGTGATTGCACCACCACACTCCAACCAGGGCAACACGGTGAGACTCTGTCAAAAACAAACAAACAAACAAAAAAACCCACTACAGCCAGTGGTTTATTAGAGGTGACGATGGAGTTTGAATTTTATTGTAAAGGCATGGAGAGCCATTGACAATTTCTAAGCAGTGGAGTGGCAATTAAGTGAAAGGAAGTAAAGAAAGGAGCTCATGAAAATGTTTGAGAAGGACTGACCAGAGAGAGATAAGAAAATCAGAACATAGTAGTGTCTTGAAGCCAAGAGACCAGTAAGGTGGGAGTAGACAAGTGTGTTAAATGGTACAGAGAGAAAAAAATAGGACCTGCAAAATGTCCAATGAGGGCTGATACATAGAATATTTAAGGCCTCTTAAAGCACAGTCCTTTTAAATGGTGTCATTTGTCTTCCAACAATAAACCAGCATTTCTTAGGTTCTCCACTGCATGCAAAAACACAAACTTTGAGTCCCTGAGCCAAAATTTCTAACAGCTTCCCTTTGCCTTTGTAATTGAAGTACATGTTCCTCCACCTGCTGTTCTAAGCTGTTCACAACATGGCCCCAAACCAGCTTTCTATCCTCTTTTTCCACTATTCTACTAAAGATATCCAGTTTTCCTTTCAACTAAATTTCTTACTGCTCTCCAGACACACTAGGCATTTTCTCAATTTCACACTTTTATTTGTATCCTAGAGCACTTAATGAATTTTGCCTTGTATGATATTTATATACCTACCACTATAAAATCTCAGAATGATAAAGAGCTTCAGAAATCATTCCTCTTACAAGGATTTTCTAAGTTTTTTCATCAGTCTTGGTAAAGTAAGAAAAATAAGAATATTTTGGTGACTTTTTCATTAATATAAATTTATTTACTCAAAAGACTATCCTTAAAATAGAGATTATGTCTTTGGATTTTTTGCTTTTGGTGTTAAAATGTATTTTCTTTTACAACATAATGGTGACAGTAAGTAGTATGGTTTTTATTTATTTTCTTTTTTTGAGACAGTCTCACTCTGTTGCCCAGGCTGGAGTGCACAGGCGCAATCTCGGCTTACTGCAACCTCTGCCTTGCCTCCCAGGTTCAAGCGATTCTCCTACCTCAGCCTCTCGAGTAGCTGGGACTACAGGCTCATGCTACCATGCCCAGCTAGTTTTTGTATTTTTAGTAGAGACGGGGTTTCACCATGTTGATCAGGCTGGTCTCGAACTCCTGACCTCAAATGATCTGCCCGTCTCTGCCTCCCAAAGTGCTGGGATTACAGGCTTGAGCCACCGTGCCCGACCAATAGTATGCTTTTTAAAAAAGATGACCATACAGCCGGGCGTGGTGGCTCACACCTGTAATCCCAACTCTTTGGGAGCCTGAGGCGGGTAGATCACTTGAGGTCAGGAGTTGGAGACCAGCCTGACCAACATGGAGAAACCCCATCTCTACTAAAAATACAAAATTAGCCGTCGTGGTGGCACATGCCTGCAGTCCTAGCTACTTGGGAGGCTGAGGCAGGAGAATCACTTGAACCCAGGAGATGGAGGCTGCGGTGAGCTGAGATTGCACCATTGCACTCCAGTCTGGGCAACAAGAGCGAAACTTCACCTCCAAAAAAAAAAAAAAGATGTCCATACATGCTAATTTTAAAATTGATAACTGTATATCTATCTGTAAAAACTTTTTGAACTCCTCTAAGTCCATTAAATCAAAAAGTGAAACACTGATCTACTCGAACCCTAATCCGACCCATGATTTTTCTCTGCAACATCTCTAACAAGTAGCCTCTGCTGCAGAGTAGGTAAGGAATACAGGTGCATGCCACCATGCCTGGCTAATTAAAAAAAAATTTTTTTTGTAGAATCAGGGACTTGCTATTTTGCCCAGGCTGCTCTCAAACTCTGGCCTCAAACAATCCTCCCACTTCAGCCTCTCAAAGCACTTGGATTACAAGTGTGAGCCACCATGCCTGGCTCATTTTTCAATAGCTTTAATTATGAGAAAGTCAGCTCCACTTCTAGATCAAAAAGCTCTTTCAGAGCTGCATTTTTGTTGTTTGCTTTAGAATTCCCTGCCCTATACCTTTTTCATAGTAGTCACTCAAAAATATTTCTTAATTGACATTCTCTAGAGGAATTTAAGTTTGATAGAAAATCATTACACATGATACTGTTATCAAAAAATTTAGAGATAAAGGCTTATAAAGGATACTAATACTCTTTCTTTAGAGAAGGCATATTTGCAAAGTAGGAGGATTAAAGGACTGGGATGGATCTTACTATAGTTTTCCTTAGGTATTAAGTCTATTCATCAATATAGCACTAAAGCTTTCCAAACCATTATTTTGAGTTACCTGAAATCCCTGGAGAAATTATTACCTTATTTCATTCTAATTTTGTTTTACGGCCTTTCATATGTAATCACTTATAGGAGAAAAACAATGAGATAAAAAGTTGATAACATGGTTTGATTGTACGCATTTGTAATTTTGTATTATTTCTTTTTCTAAAGCTGGGGCCACAACTTTGGTGAAGAAGGATATATTCGGATGGCAAGAAATAAAGGAAATCATTGTGGGATTGCTAGCTTTCCCTCTTACCCAGAAATCTAGAGGATCTCTCCTTTTTATAACAAATCAAGAAATATGAAGCACTTTCTCTTAACTTAATTTTTCCTGCTGTATCCAGAAGAAATAATTGTGTCATGATTAATGTGTATTTACTGTACTAATTAGAAAATATAGTTTGAGGCCGGGCACGGTGGCTCACGCCTGTAATCCCAGTACTTGGGAGGCCAAGGCAGGCATATCAACTTGAGGCCAGGAGTTAAAGAGCAGCCTGGCTAACATGGTGAAACCCCATCTCTACTAAAAATACAAAAAATTAGCCGAGCACGGTGGTGCATGCCTGTAATCCCAGCTACTTGGGAGGCTGAGGCACGAGATTCCTTGAACCCAAGAGGTTGAGGCTATGTTGAGCTGAGATCACACCACTGTACTCCAGCCTGGATGACAGAGTGGAGACTCTGTTTCAAAAAAACAGAAAAGAAAATATAGTTTGATTCTTCATTTTTTTAAATTTGCAAATCTCAGGATAAAGTTTGCTAAGTAAATTAGTAATGTACTATAGATATAACTGTACAAAAATTGTTCAACCTAAAACAATCTGTAATTGCTTATTGTTTTATTGTATACTCTTTGTCTTTTTAAGACCCCTAATAGCCTTTTGTAACTTGATGGCTTAAAAATACTTAATAAATCTGCCATTTCAAATTTCTATCATTGCCACATACCATTCTTATTCCTAGGCAACTATTAATAATCTATCCTGAGAATATTAATTGTGGTATTCTGGTGATGGGGTTTAGCAACTTTGATGGAAGAAAATATTAGGCTATAAATGTCCTAAGGACTCAGATTGTATCTTTGTACAGAAGAGGATTCAAAACGCCACGTGTAGTGGCTCATGCCTGTAATCCCAACACTTTGGGAGGCTGAAGTAGGAGGATCGTCTTGAGCCCAGGAGTTCAAGACCAGCCTGGACAACATAGTGAGACCTTGTCTCCACAAAAATAAAAAAGAAACTATCCAGGAGTGGTGGTGTGTGCCTGTGGTCCCTGCTATGCAGATGTCTAAGACAGGAGGATCACAAGAGCCCAGGAGGTTGAGAATGCAGTGAGCTTGTAATTGCACCACTGCACTCCAGCCTGGGTGACAGAGCAAGACCCTGTCTTAAAAAAAGAGGATTCAACACATATTTTTATATTATGTTAAAGTAAAGAAATGCATAAAAGACAAGCACTTTGGAAGAATTATTTTAATGATCAACAATTTAATGTATTAGTCCAAATTATTTTTACGTAGTCATCAACAATTTGACCAGGGCCTTTATTTGGCAAATAACTGAGCCAACCAGAATAAAATAACCAATACTCCACTGCTCATATTTTTATCTAATTCAGATGGATCTTCCTTACAACTGCTCTAGATTAGTAGATGCATCTAAGCAGGCAGCAGGAACTTTAAATTTTTTAAGTTCATGTCTATGACATGAACAATGTGTGGGATAATGTCATTAATATATCCTAAATTAACCTAAACGTATTTCACTAACTCTGGCTCCTTCTCCATAAAGCACATTTTAAGGAACAAGAATTGCTAAATATAAAAACATAAATAATACCATAATACATGGCTATCATCAAAAGTGTATAGAATATTATAGTTTAAAAGTATTTAGTTGATTACTTTTCAGTTTTGTTTTGTTTTTTGAGACGGAGTCTCACTCTGTTGCCCAGGCTGGAGTGCAGTGGCACCATCTCAGTTCACTGCAACTTCTGCCTCCCGAGTTCAAGCGATTCTCCTGCCTCAGCCTCCCGAGTAGCTGGAATTATAGGCGTGCACCACCACGCCCAGCTAATTTTTGTATTTTTAGTAAAGACAGGGTTTTGCCACATTAGCCAGGCTGGTCTCAAACTCCTGACCTCAGGTGATCCACCCACCCCAGCCTCCCAAAGTGCTAAGATTACAGGCGTGAGCCACTGAGCCCAGCCTACTTTTCAGTTTTTAACATAATTTTTGTTTTATCCACAACTTTTCAAGTATTGAAAGTAGAATAAAAACATGGGTTCTTAGTCTTTAGCTATCTGTTAAAGCCTATGAATGCCTTCTTAAAATCATGTTTTTAAATGCATAAAATATATAGGATTACAAAGGAATCTAATTATATCGAAATACAGTTATTAAAATGTTAAAAGATAAGTTTGTTATATATTAATATGCATGCTTCTTTATAAATGCATTAAATAAGAGTTAATAGCTATCCTAAATTTGAAATAGTGATAAGCATAATGAAAATAGATGCAAAAAACTAATGTGATATGAAAATATCTGGGTTTTTCTTTTGATGATGAAGTATTGCTAATATTACCGTGGTTTATGAACTATGTTCAGAATTGAAGAAAATCCTAACTTTCAGTTAGAGGTTAGTGACGGGGTTCAGGACACCCTACACAAAATACAGCACTTTGACATATTGAATATTTTAAGCTGAAGGCATTTGAGGAAATTGCAGAAGCAGGAAGGTGACTCTGACCTTCTGCCTGCTGTTCTCCCCAGAAGCAGCCATAAAACCTGGGAAGGATTTTCTGACCTTCCCCTGAAGTAGATCATAAGACTGTCATGTAAGAGGTGCTCTCCTGGCACCCAGAGAAAAGGAGCATCCTTACCTCCAAAAGCACAGGGACACAAAGAGGAATCTAAACAAACAGGCCTCTCAGTTTCCCCCAGTTTATTACATTTAGCTTGTTCACACTTTGCCCTATGACATTTCTACATCACTGGCTGCTCTTCATCAAACCTACTATAAAAAACATTCAAGTTCAACTGTTTCTTTGGGCCTTTATTTCCTTATGGAGCCCCTCGTGTCGTGTAAAACTTATATTAAATAAATGTGCATGCTTTTCTCTTGCTAATCTCTCTTTTGTTATAGAGATCTCAGCCCTAAACCTAGGATGGATAGAAGGAAACATATGTTCTCCCCTACATTAGTAAAAATAAAAATGGAATTTTTTACCCATACAAATTCATAAATTCCCTGAATTCTATCCAAGGAGACTTTGAGAGTTGTGGCTCTCAAGTAAAGAATGCCTGAACTGCTCTCCCTCCCCCTCCCCCTCCCCCTCCCCCTCTCCCCACGGTCTCCCTCTCATGCGGAGCCGAAGCTGGACTGTACTGCTGCCATCTCGGCTCACTGCAACCTCCCTGCCTGATTCTCCTGCCTCAGCCTGACCAGTGCCTGCGATTGCAGCCTCGCGCCACCACGCCTGACTGGTTTTGGTGGAGACGGGGTTTCGCTGTGTTGGCCGGGCGGGTCTCCAGCCCCTAACCACGAGTGATCCGCCAACCTCGGCCTCCCAAGGTGCGGGGATTGCAGACGGAGTCTCGTTCACTCAGTGCTCAATGGTGCCCAGGCTGGAGTGCAGTGGCGTGATCTCGGCTCACTACAACCTACACCTCCCAGCCGCCTGCCTTGGCCTCCCAAAGTGCTGAGATTGCAGCCTCTGCCCGGCTGCCACCCTGTCTGGGAAGTGAGGAGTGTCTCTGCCTGGCCGCCCATCGTCTGGGATGTGAGGAGCCCCTCTGCCTGGCTGCCCAGTCTGGAAAGTGAGGAGCGTCTCCGCCCGGCCGCCATCCCATCTAGGAAGTGAGGAGGCCTCTTCCCAGCCGCCATCACATCTAGGAAGTGAGGAGCGTCTCTGCCCGGCCGCCCATCGTCTGAGATGTGGGGAGCGCCTCTGCCCCGCCGCCCCATCTGGGATGTGAGGAGCGCCTCTGCCCGGCCGAGACCCTGTCTGGGAGGTGAGGAGCGTCTCTGCCCGGCCGCCCCGTCTGAGAAGTGAGGAGACCCTCTGCCTGGCAACCACCCCGTCTGAGAAGTGAGGAGCCCCTCCGCCCGGCAGCTGCCCCGTCTGAGAAGTGAGGAGCCTCTCCGCCCGGCAGCCACCCGATCTGGGAAGTGAGGAGCGTCTCCGCCCGGCAGCCACCCCGTCCGGGAGGGAGGTGGGGGGGGGTGTCAGCCCCCCGCCCGGCCAGCCGCCCCATCCGGGAGGGAGGTGGGGGGGGTCAGCCCCCCGCCCGGCCAGCCGCCCTGTCCGGGAGGCAGGTGGGGGGGTCAGCCCCCCGCCCGGCCAGCCGCCCCGTCCGGGAGGTGAGGGGCGCCTCTGCCCGGCCGCCCCTACTGGGAAGTGAGGAGCCCCTCAGCCCGGCCAGCCACCCCGTCCGGGAGGGAGATGTGGGGGTCAGCCCCCCCACCCGGCCAGCCGCCCCATCCGGGAGGGAGGTGGGGGGGTCAGCCCCCCGCCTGGCCAGCCGCCCCGTCCGGGAGGGAGGTGGGGGGGTGAGCCCTCCGCCCGGCCAGCCGCCCCGTCTGGGAGGTGAGGGGCGCCTCTGCCCGGCCGCCCCTACTGGGAAGTGAGGAGCCCCTCTGCCCGGCCAGCCGCCCCGTCCGGGAGGGAGGTGGGGGGGTCGGCCCCCCGCCCGGCCAGCCGCCCCGTCCGGGAGGGAGGTGGGGGGGGTCAGCCCCCCTGCCCAGCCAGCCACCCCGTCCGGGAGGTGAGGGGCGCCTCTGCCCGGCCGCCCCTACTGGGAAGTGAGGAGCCCCTCTGCCCGGCCACCACCCCGTCTGGGAGGTGTTCCCAACAGCTCATTGAGAACGGGCCAGGATGACAATGGCGGCTTTGTGGAATAGAAAGGCGGGAAAGGTGGGGAAAAGATTGAGAAATCGGATAGTTGCCGTGTCTGTGTAGAAAGAAGTAGACATGGGAGACTTTTCATTTTGTTCTGCACTAAGAAAAATTCCTCTGCCTTGGGATCCTGTTGATCTGTGACCTTACCCCCAACCCTGTGCTCTCTGAAACATGTGCTGTGTCCACTCAGGGTTAAATGGATTAAGGGCGGTGCAAGATGTGCTTTGTTAAACAGATGCTTGAAGGCAGCATGCTCGTTAAGAGTCATCACCAATCCCTAATCTCAAGTAATCAGGGACACAAACACTGCGGAAGGCCGCAGGGTCCTCTGCCTAGGAAAACCAGAGTCCTTTGTTCACTTGTTTATCTGCTGACCTTCCCTCCACTATTGTCCCATGACCCTGCCAAATCCCCCTCTGTGAGAAACACCCAAGAATTATCAATAAAAAAATAAATTAAAAAAAAAAAAAAAAAGAATGCCTGAACTAAGCAAGTAGAATAATGAAATACTTTTTAAAAACTTCACTGTATGCCCAATATAAAGGGAAATTATTAACAATAAGTAATTTCAAACTTATAGAGATAAAAAATTATCTAAAAATATAAATTTAAAACAAAAACATTTAGAATTTATTCTGGAACAATTTCTAGACAGTAGTATGCAAGATGACTTGAAGAAAATTTTTTTAAAAGCCAGGTGCAGTGGCTCACACCTGTAATCCCAGCACTGTGGGAGGCTGAGGTGGGAGGATCGCTTGAGCCAGAAGTTCAAGAGGCTGGTCTCAAACTCCTGGGCGCAAGTGATCCTCCTGCCTCTTGTTATGAGCACATAAAAAGATCTCCATCTCTACAAAAAATAAAAAAGTTAGCCAGGTGTGGTGGTATGTGCCTATAGTCCCAGCTACCAGGGGAAAGGCTGAGGTGGGAGGATCACTTGAGCCCAGGAGATTGAGGCTGCAGTGAGCCATGATAGCGCCATTGCACTCCAGCCTGGGTGACCTTGTTTCAAAATAAATAAATTGGCAAATAATAAAATAAATAAAATTTTAAAATGAGACAACCTAGGCCGGGCGTGGTGGCTTACGCCTGTAATCCCAGCACTTTGGGAGGCCGAGGCAGGCAGATCACTTGAGGTCAGGAGTTGGAGACCAGCCTGGCCAACACAGTGAAACCCCGCCTCTACTAAAAATACAAAAATTAGCTGGGCATGGTGGTGGGTGCCTGTAATCCCAGCTACTTGAGAGGCTGAGACAGGAGAATTGCTTGAACTCAGGAGGTGGAGGTTGCAGTGAGCCGAGATCATGCCATTGCACTCCAGCCTGGGCAACAAGAACGAAACTCTGTCTCAAGAAAAAAAAAGAGACAATCTAAAAGATATTCTAGTAGTCTATATGTGTGGTGATAAAGCCCTAAACTAAATACATCATTTCTGAAAACAGCAAAAAAATAAAAAATAAAGCAAATCTGGGAGCCATCACAGAGTAAAAGTTGACAGAATTTTAAACTGTATAATAAAAGTAAAGAAACGGTGCTTGCTTTGGCAGCACATATACTCAAATTTGAATGATACAGAGAAGATTAGCCAAAAAATTTGAAAAATTATATTAAAAAAAGAAACAAGAAGATTTAAATATTCCAGAACTAGGCATCCATGAGACAATGCCATTAAAACATATAACATAAATGTGACAGATACTTAGTATTTCCTTTCTCTTTTCTTTTTTCCTTTCTTATCTTTTTTTTTTTTTTTTTGAGACAGGGTCTCACTCTGTCACTCAGGCTGGAGTGCAGTGATGCCATCACTGCTCACTGCAGCCTTGAACTCCTGAACTTAAGCTATTTTCTCACCTCACACACCTTCCCCACCCCTCCAGTAGCTGGGACTAGAGGTGCAAGCCACCATTTCTGGCTTATTTGTGTGTGTGTGTGTGTGTGTGTGTGTGTGTGTGTGTGTGTGTGTGTGTAGAGATGGGAGTCTCATTATGTTGCCCAGGCTGGTCTCCAACTCTTGGCCTCAAGTGATCCTCCCACTTTGGTCTCCCAAAGTACTGGGATTACAGGCATAAGACTTACTATTTCTTTGAATCAAATTATTATTTTTTGACTCTTCTCTTCTAGATGAGAATCTTGATGATGCTTCAAGTATGCATACTCTAAGTTACCAGAAAGACTATAAATCAGAACATGTAATAAAGGGGGCCGGGCGTGGTGGCTCATGCCTGTAATCCCAGCACTTTGGGAGGCCAAGGCAAGCCGATCACCTGAGGTCAGGAGTTCGAGGCTAGCCTGGCCAACATGGCAAAATGCCACCTTTACTAAAAATACAAAAATTAGCCTGGCGTGGTGGTGGACGCCTGTAACCCCAGTTACTTCAGAGGCTGAGGCAGGAGAATTGCTTGAACCCAGGAAGGGGAGGTTGCAGTGAGTCGAGATCACGCCACTGCATTCCAGTCTGGGTGACAGAGCAAGACTCTGTCTCAAAAAAAATGAAAAAAAATGAAAATAGGCCTGGCATAGTAGTTCATGCCTGAAACACTTTGGGAGGCTAAGGCAGGAGTATTACTTGAGGCCAGTAGTTCAAGATCAGTCTACACAACATAGCAAGACCCTGACTCTACAAAAAAATTAAAAAGTAGCCGAGAGTTGTGGCACACACCTGCGGTCCTAGTTGTTACAGAGGCTGAGGAGGGAGGATTGCTTGAGCCAGGAGTTTGAGGCTGCAGTGAGGTATGATTGCATCACTGCACTCCAGCCTGGGAGACTGAAAGAGACCTTGCCTCTAAAGAAAAAAAAGTGGCTGGGCACAGTGGCTCATGCCTGTAATCCCAGCATTTTGGGAGTCCAAGGTGGGCAAATCACCTGAGGTCAGGAGTTCAAGACCAGTCTGGCCAACATGGTGAAACCCCATCTCTACTAAAAATACAAAAATTAGTTGGATGTGGTGGTGCGTGCCTGTGATCCCAGCTACTGGGGAGGCTGAGGCAGGAGAATCCCTTGAACCCAGGAGGTGGAGGTTGCAGTGAGCCAAGATTATGCCACTGCACTCCAGCTTGGGCAAAAGAGTGAGACTCCGTCTCAAAAAACAACAACAACAACAACAACAAAAAAAAACACACAAAACAGTGACTTAATTATAATTCAAAATAATTATTAGACCAAGATTTTCACTATTTTTAACCCTAATAACAAGGTTCTAGTCTTCATTTCTCTCCTAGTTGAATGACTTTGGGCAAATCTTTTCATATCTAGTGGCTGTTTTCTCCTTTGTAATGAAGATATGTCAAAGTTTATGAGTACAGGCTTATCTTGTTTTATTGTGCTTTGCTTTATTGTGCTTTGCAGATATTGCATTTTTTTTACAAATTGCAGGTTTGTAGCAACCCAGAATCAAGTAAGTCTGTCAGTGCCGTTTCCCAACAGCATATGCTTACTTCATGTCTTTGTGTCACATTTTGGTAATTCTTGCAATATTTTAAACTTTTTCATTATTATTATTATCTACTATGGTGATCTGTGATCAGTGATCTTTGATGTTACTATGATAATTGTCATAGGATGTCAAAAGCCGCACCCATGTAAAATGGCAAATATAATCAATAAATGTGTGTGTTCTAACTGCTCCATTTACTGGCTGTGTCCCCATCTCTCTCCCTCTCCTTGGGCCTCCCTATTTTCTAAGACACAGCAATATTTAAATTAGGTCAATTCATAACCCTACAATGTTGTCTATGTGTTCAAGTGAAAGAAAGAGTTGCATGCCTCTCACTTAAACGCTGAAAATGATTAAGCTTAGTGAGGAAGGCATGCCAAAAGCCAAGATAGGCTGAAAGGCCTCTTGTGCCAAATAGTTCACCAAGTTGTGAATGTAAAGGGAAAGTTCTTGGAGGAAATTACAAGTGCTACTCCAGTGAACACATGAATGATAAGAAAGTGAAGCAGCTTTATTGGTGATATGCAGAAAGTTTGAGTGGTCTGGATAGAAGATTGAGCCAGCCACAACATGCTCTTAAACCGAAGTCTAATCCAGAGCAAGGCCCTAACTCCTCAATTCTAGAAAGGCTGACAGAGATGCAGAAGCTGCAGAAGCTGCAGAAGAAAAGTCTGAAGCTAGCAGATGTTGGTTCATGAGGTTTCAAGGATGAAGCCATTCTCCATAACACAAAAGTGCTGAGATCGTGCCACTGCACTCCAGCCTGGGCGACAGAGTGAGACTCCGTCTCAAAAAAAAAAAAAAAAAAAAAAAAAAGTGCAAGGTGGAGCATCAAGGGCTGATGTGGAAGCTGCAGCAAGTTATCCAGAAGATCTAGCTAAGATAACTGATGCAGGTGGCTATACTAAACAGCACATTTTCCACGTAGGTGAAACAGCTTTGTGGAAGAAGATTCCACTGAAAACTTTCATAGCTAGAGAAGAGAAATTAATGCCTTCAAAGCTTTAAAGGACAGGATGAATTTCTCATACGAGGATAATGCAGCTGGTGACTTACATTTGAAGCCAGTGCTCCCTTAACATTCTGCAAATTCTAGGGCCGTTAAGAATTATACTAAATCTACTCTGCCTGTGATCTATAAATGGAACAACAAAGCCTGGATGACACCACATCTGCTTACAACATAGTTCACTGGATATTTTAAGCACATGGTTGAGACCTACTGCTGCTTAGAAAAAAAGATTCCTTTCAACATATTACTGCTCATTGTCAATGCACTTGGTCACTCAAGAGCTCTAATGGAGGTGAACATGGAGATTAATGTTGTTTTCGTGTCTGCTAACAAAAAGACCATTCTGCAGCCCATGGATCAAGAAGTAATTTTGACTTTCAAGCCTTATAAGTTAAGAAACACATTTTGTAAGGGCTGTAGCTGCCATAGTGATTCCTCTGATGGATGTAGGCAAAGAAAATTGAAAACCTTCTGGAAAGGCGTCACTATTCTCGATGCCATTAAGAATATTTGTGATTCATAGGAGGAGGTCAAAATATCAACATTAGCAGCAGTTTAGAAGAAGTTATTCCAATCCTCATGGATGACTTTGAGAAGTTCGAGACTGCCATGGAGGAAGCAACTGCAGATGTGGAAATAGCAAGAGTACCAGAATTGGAAGTAGAACCTGAAGATGAGAAGATGGGACTGAATTGCTACAATCTCATGACAAAATTTGAACTGCTGAGGAATTGCTTCTTTTTTTTTTTTTTTAAGTTAGTGTCTTGCTCTGTTGTCCAGGCTGGAGTACAGTGGCGTGATTTCAGCTCACTGTAACCTCAGCCTCCTGGGTTCAAGCGATTCTCCCACCTCAGCCTCCCTAGTAGCTGGGATTACAGGCGTGCTATCATGCCTGGCTAATTTTTGTATTTTTAGTAGAGACAGGGTTTCACCATATTGGCCAGGCTAGTCTCAAACTCCTGACTTCGTGATCCACCCGCCTCAGCCTCCCAAAGTGCTGGAATTGCTTCTTATGGATGATTGAGGAAAGTGATTTATTGAGATGGAATCGATGGAATCTACTCCTGGTGAAGATGCTGAGAACAAGATTGAAATGGTAACAAAGGATTTAGAATGTTACATAAACTTAGTTGACAAAGTAGCAGCAGGGTTTGAAAGGACTGACTCCAATTCTGAAGGAATTTCTACTGTGGGTAAAATGCTGTAAAACAGCATCACATGCTACAGAGAAATCTTTTATAAAAGGAAGAGTCAATCGATGTGGTGAATGTCATTGTTGTCCTAATTTAAGAAATTGCCACAGACACCCCAACATGCAGCAAACACCTCCCTGATCAGTCAGCAGCCATTAACATCAAGGCAAGGCCCTCCACCGGCAAAAAGATGATTGTTCAGATGATCATTAGCATTTTTTAGGAATAAAGTATTTTAAAATTAAAGTATGTGCATTGTGTTTCTAGACATTATGCTCCTGCACACTTAACAGACTACAGAAAGCATAAGATATGTACAATAAATATATTAAGGGCTGGGCGCAGTGGCTCATGCCTGTAATCCCAGCACTTTGGGAGGCCAAGGCGGGCAGATCACGAGGTCAGGAGATCAAGACCATCCTGGCTAACACGGTGAAACCCTGTCTCTACTAAAAATACAAAAAAATTAGCCGGGTGTGGTGGCGGGCGCCTGTAGTCCCAGCTACTTGGGAGGCTGAGGCAGGAGAATGGTGTGAACCCAGGAGGTGGAGCTTGCAGTGAGCCGAGATCGCACCACTGCACTCCAGCCTGGGCGACAGACAGAGCAAGACTCCGTCTCAAAAAAAAAAATTTATATATATATATTAAGATATTAATAGTGTAACCATAATTTTTTTTTTTTGAAACAAGTCTCACTGCCGCCTAGGCAGGAGTGCAGTGGCTCAAACAGGGCTCACTGCCACTGCAAACTCCTGGGCTCAAGGGATCCTCCTGCCTAAGCCTCCTGAGTAGCTGAGACTACAGGTGTGTGCCACAACCTCTGCCTAATTTTTTTTATTTTTTGTAGAGACAGGGTCTCACTTTGTTGCCCAAGCTGATCCCCAATTTCTGGCCTCAAGCAATTGTTCCGCCTCAGCCTCCCAAAGTGCTGGGATTATTGGCATGAGCCACCACATCTAGCCAACATAACTTTTATACACATGGAAAACTAAAAAATTGTGTAATTTGCTTTATTATGTTGTTTGCTTTATTGGAGGGTCTGGAACTGAACTTGCAATATCTCCAAGGTATGCCTGTAATTGAATGTTTACACTGGTAAGAAATGTATTTGGATATATAATAATCTGTAAACTAAGAAGCTTGTACTACTGAATAATCTCCAACTATTAATACCTACCCACTCTGATTTTATTTTGTTTCTAAATGAGACAAATTACATTCAAAGCTATCCATTGTCCCCAATGACATAACACAGTGGAAGTGGCTAAGTAGAAGACTGCTAAAGCAAATGGTTTCCTGAAGATACAGGAGATTGGAAGGTGGGAATGCAATTTGTGGTAGTTCCAATGAGAAAATCAAAAGTCAGCCGGGTGTGGTGGCTCACGCCTGTAATCCCAGCACTTTGGGAGGCCGAGGGAGGCAGGTCACCTGAGGTCGGGAGTTTGAGACCAGCTTGGCCAACATGGCAAAACCCCGTCTCTACTAAAAATACAAAAATTAGCTGGGCATGGTGGCGGACGCCTGTAATCCCAGCTACTTGGGAGGCTGAGGCAGGAGAATTGCTTGAACCCTGGAGGCAGAGGTTGCAGTGAGCCAAGATCATGCCACTGCACTTCAGCCTGGACGACAAGAGCAAAACTCCGTCTCAAAAAAAAAAAAAAAAAAAAAAGAAAGAAAATCAAAAGTCAGAAAAACAATCAGAAATTCAGTAACTGCACATGCAGTTACTTAACCTTCCCCCTTCTGTCTGGCTTTTCCACTGCCTGAGACGTGGCGCTGAGGCTTCCCGTGTCTGAGGCTCCCAGTGCGCCTTGCGCTGCGCTTGGCGGGAAAGGTGACCTCGACCAGGGGTCAAAAAGCCACTGTCGCGCCCCAGCGGGTGACCGTTGAAGGAAAGCGCATGCGCGTCGGGCACAGCGCGTGCAGCCTCGTGCAGCTCTTCTGGTCTCCGGCGCCCGCCCCTCAGACGTAATGTAATATATATTAGTGTGTATATATCTGTGTGTGTGTGCGTATATTTTACTTTTTAATCTCTTTGTCTGTCAGCTTCCCCCTACTTTTAAGTTTCTTAAGGTCTTAGTGGTAAAACATTTGCGGTAAAAATGTATACCCACTTACTTGTCAACAGAGGTTCTTGAGATGGGGTGAGTACGGACGGCGAATTCAGGATTTGTCAGGATAAATTTAAACGTTTAACGTAAATAGGTTCTTCTATGAAGTTTGCCTCTTTAGTAAACTCTTCCAGCTGAATTGTCTGATTAAGAAAAGTGAAACTGGGGCCGGACACAGTGGTTCCGGACACACAACTTCCTGTAATCCCAGCAAGTTGGGCGGCTGAGGCCGGAGGATCATTTGAGACCAGCCTGACCAACATGGCGAAACCCCGTCTCCACTAAAAATAGAAAAAAAAATTAGCGGCCGGGCACGGTGCTTCACGCCTATAATCCCAACACCTTGGGGGCCGAGGCGGGCGGATCACGAGGTCAGGAGTTTCCTGGCCAACATGGTGAAACCCCGTGTCTACTAGAAATACAAAAATTAGCTGGGCGTGGTGGCACGCCTGGAGTCCCAGCTACTCAGGAGGCTCAGGCAGGAGAATCACTTGAACCCAGAGGGGGAGGTTGCGGTGAGCCGAGATCGCGCCATTACACTCCAGCCTGGGCAACAGAGAGAGACACCGTCTCGAAAAAAAAAATTGTATATATATATATGGTGGGCACCTGTGGTCCCAGCTACTCGGGAGGCTGAGGCAGGAGAATCGCTTGAACCCGGGAGGCGGAGCTTGCAGTGAGCTGAGATCGCGCCACTGCACTCCAGCCTGGCGACAGAGCGAAACTCCGTCTCAAAAAAATGAAAAATAAAAACAAATAAAACTGAAAAAGTTTAGAGGGTTTGCCAGGCAATTTTTCATTACTGAATACCTACCTGTACAATGTTGTCATTGTTTGAATTTGTATAGGGAATAAAAATAGGAAGATTGTGCCTTTTTAAAAAGTTCTCTTAAACAGTTTCTTAATAACCCATTTGTTTGAGACTTGCTAGTCAAATGGCTTCAAATCAGGACCCTACTCAAAATGGTTCTACTGCAATATCGACCTCTACGTTTTTGAAGACTCTATTTTAATTAAAGAAATTCAAATTTATTCACATAAAATTGTTTTGAATTTTATATGTGGTAAACTGAAATGTTAGAGGAAAAAAATGAGCTCTAAGTTAAAGCTTGTATTTGTGTCACAAGGTTGAATTAAAGAAAATACTTTATCAGAAGAAGATGGCCACTGCCCAGTTGCAGAGGACTCCCATGGTATGATTTCTTGTATTTTGGTATATCTTAATAATAGCTGCTTTTATTGTTTCTTGAAGTCTCAAATACTCTGTTGGAAGTTAGGGCTCAACTATTTGAGGGTTTTATGATACCAGGAAACTGCATGTTTTAAGAAATGAAGATATTTGCTGAAGTATTTTGAATTAATTGAGAATTCTTTTTTTTTTTTTTTTTTTTTTTTTTTTTTTTTTTTTTTGAGACAGAGTCTCGCTCTGTCGCCCAGGCTGGAGTGCAGTGGCGGGATCTCGGCTCACTGCAAGCTCCGCCTCCCGGGTTCACGCCATTCTCCTGCCTCAGCCTCCCAAGTAGCTGGGACTACAGGCGCCCGCCACTACGCCCGGCTAATTTTTTGTATTTTTAGTAGAGACGGGGTTTCACCGTTTTAGCCGGGATGGTCTCGATCTCCTGACCTCGTGATCCGCCCGCCTCGGCCTCCCAAAGTGCTGGGATTACAGGCGTGAGCCACCGCGCCCGGCATTAATTGAGAATTCTATTGGATGTTTGCTGCATTGCATTAAATTGCTCATTCACATTTAATTTACATTAGGTATTAATGAATACTGCTTTGTTGCTTTGATGAAATTATTGTTCATAGCAGTCCACCTCTAGAACATGAATGTTCAATATATAAGCAGAATAAAATTAAATAAATAAGAAAATGAGGCCGGGCACGGTGGCTCACGCCTGTAGTCTCAGCTATGAAGGTGGCTGAGGCAGGAGAATCGCTTGAACTCAGAAGGGGGAGGTTGCAGTGAGTCGAGATCACACCACTGCACTCCAGCCTGGGTAACAGTGAGACTCCGTCTCAAAAAGAAAGAAAATGAATGTTTGTAACCGAGACACAAATATGCATTTGCTATATTTGTATAGGATTTTGCATTACACTTAACCTCTGTTATACCTACTCAGTGACCAAAGAGAAAAATCAATGTAATCTATCCATGTGTTATGCATTTACAGACAGTTAATCTGCAAGGGGATTCTTAAGATTTTTAGGTACTTTTTGAGCTGAGGCTGAGGTGAGAGGATTGCTTGAGCGCAAGAGTTTGAGGTCAGCCTGGGTAACATAGTGAGATCTCATCTCTACAAAAAAAAAAAAAAAAAAAATTAGCCAGGCATGGTGGTGCAACGCCTGTAGTCTCAGCTACTTTAGAGGTTGTGCGAGGATATATGAAATGTCTAGAATAGGCAAATTTATAGGGACAGATAGGCTAATGGGTAGGACGTGGGATGGGATAAGGGACAGGGAGTGATTGCTAATTGGTATGGGTTTCCTTTTTGGGATGAAGAAAATGTTATGAAATTGGTGGTGATTGTTGCACACACACCTCTGTGAATAAACTAAAAACCATTAAACTGAAAAACACTTTATATGGGTGTCCCAAAAAGGTGTTTTTAAAATACCAGCCACTATTAACATTTGTTTTATTCATCCTCAAAATACAAGCATTTGATATATTTGAATATAATCTGAAGAATTATATAATGATTATATACTTTTTTTTTGAGATGGAGTCTCGCTTTGTCACTCAGGCTGGAGTGCAGTGGTGCGATCTTGGCTCACAGCAACCTCTGCCTCCTGGGCTCAAGCAATTCCCTGCCTCAGCCTCCCAAGTGCTGGGATTACAAGAGTAGCTGGGTTTACAGGTGCCTGCCACCACGCCCAGCTAATTTTTGTATTTTTAGTAGAGACAGGGTTTCACCATTTGGCCAGGCTGGTCTTGAACTCCTGACCTTGTGATCCACCCGCCTCAGCCTCCCAAAGTGCTGGGATTACAGGCGTGAGCCACTGCACCCGGCCTATACTTTTTTAATGAAATACTTTGTGCCCATCAACTTGCATCCAATGGAGGTTGTAGGCAGCTGTGATTGTGCCACTGCACTCCAGCCTGGGCAATACAGTGAGATCCTGTCTCAATTTTTTTAAAAATAAAAAAAAAAAATTAAAAGATTTTTAGATACTTTTTGCATATGTCCTTTAGGCTATTACCCTAGAAATACCCTCACATTTTACATGCCGCTCTGACTTTTGGGGGATTACTAACCAATATAGGGAGGAATTCTTGGGGTGAGTACTATGATTATACAAAATTGGATATATGTTAAGTCAAGAGAAACTTTATTTTTAATAAATTTAAATAAAGTGTTCTACTTTCCCTTGAATTTTAGAGTGCACTGGTATTTCCCAATAAGATATCAACTGAACACCAGTCTTTGGTGTTAGTGAAGAGGCTTCTAGCAGTTTCAGTATCCTGTATCACGTATTTGAGGGGAATATTCCCAGAATGCGCTTATGGAACAAGATATCTAGATGGTAATACAATATTTATTTTAAAGCTTTCTTTTAAAATGGTATTTTTATTTTTGCTTGCTCCAAAACTATAATTTTTGACTTAGAAATTTTATTTTAATAGAAGCTTTATTAATACAATTCACGTACCTGACAGTTCACTTGTTTAAAGTGTACATTTCAATGATTTTTTTTTTTTTTTTTTTTGAGACGGGGTCTCGCCCGGGCTGGAGTGCAGTGGTGCCATCTCCGCTCACTGCAAGCTCCACCTCCTGGGTTCACGCCATTCTCCTGCTTCAGCCTCACGAGTAGCTGGGACTACAGGCGCCCGCCACCACGCCCGGCTAATTTTTTGTATTTTTAGTAGAGACGGGGTTTCACCGTGTTAGCCAGGATGGTCTCGATTTCCTCACCTTGTGATCTGCCCGCCTCGGCCTCCCAAAGTGGTGTGATTACAGGCGTGAGCCACCGCGCCCGGCCCATTTCAATGATTTTTAATAAATTAACAGATTTGTACAACCATCACCACAGTCAATTTTAGAACATTTCTTCATCCCAAGAAGAAACTCCATACCCCTTAAGGCACTGTGCACTTCCCCTCAACCTTCCCAGTCCTAGGCAATCACCAATCTACTTTCTGTCTGTACAGATTTACTTACTCTGGACATTTCATATAAATGAAATAATATAAAATGTGGTCCTGGCCGGGTGCAGTGGCTCACGCCTGTAATCCCAGCACTTTGGGAGGCCGAGGCGGGCGGATCACAAAGTCAAGAGATGGAGACCATCCTGGCCAACATGGTGAAACCCCGTCTCTACTAAAAATACAAAAATTAGCCGGGCATGGTGGTGCATGCCTGTAGTCCCAGCTACTTGGGAGGCTGAGCAGGAGAATCGCTTGAACCCGGGAGGCGGAGGTTGCAGTGAGCCGAGATTGTGCCACTGCACTCCAGCCTGGCAACAGAGCAAGACTCAGTCTCAAAAAAAAAAAAAAAAAAAAAAAAAAAAAAAGTGGTCCTTTGTGACTGGCTTTCACTTAGCATGTTTTCAAGGTTCCTCCGTATTGTAGCATGGATCAGTGCTTCATCCCTTTTTGTTGCTGAATAATGTTCTATTGCATGGCTGTACCACATTTTATTTATCCCTTTATTAGTTGATGAACATTTGGGTTCTCTTTTTGGCTATTATGAATAATGCCGCACTGATGTACAAGTTTTTGTTTTTGTTTGGATAACTAAATGGTTTTAAAATATATACATATATATATATATTCAATACCTTTAGAAGCACTTAATCATAAAATTTTTCCTCAGTTTCTCAAGTATAATTTTACCTGAAATTATGCTTATAATGATGAAAGAAATCAATAGAAAACATACAGTAGTAGTGTATGTTCTTGTGCTATTTTAAGGAAGTAAAAATAATACAGCCAGGGCCAGGCGTGGAAGCTCACGTCTGTAATCCCAGCACTTTGGGAGGCTGAGGCAGGAGGATCACTTGAGGCCAGGAATTCAAGACCAGCCTGGTCAACATAAGGAGACTCCATCTCTATTTTTTAAATTAAAATAATAATAATAATACAGCCAGTTTATACTACAATAATAACTTATTTCTCAGTACATTATACATGCATAATATTGTACACCAGTTATGTGCTGGGCAATATGTTAAGCACTATGTTATATACGATATCTTGTTAATTCATGTAGCAGTCTTACAAATACCTGTTTTTCAATTAAGGTACCTGAGGATATGAGAGACTCTCAGTCTTTTCCACTGTGTTACATGTTGCTTCTTTGCAGGCCTCTTTGTTTTTGATAGCCCGTTAAGTTCTTGGCCTTTACAAGTATTTTACTGGGATAAGATTCTAAGATTCTTGTATAACAATGGCATGAAAGCAACATATCTAATTTCATGGATTCTATAAGTTTTTTATGAAATATTTTTGTACCCATCAGCTTGCATCCTAATTATTATGATGGCATCTTATAATAAATATTAAAATACTACTTTCATATAACCTTTCTTCCTTTAATTACATTAATAATATTAATTATTGCTATTAATAATTTACCTGTGCTGGGCAAGGTGGCTCACGCCTGTAATCCCAGCACTTTGGGAGGTTGAGGCAGGCGGGTCACCTGAGGTCAGGAGTTCGAGACTAGTCTGCCCAACATGAGGAAACCCTGTCTCTACCAAAAAATACAAAAATTAGCCGGTCATGGTGGCGCACCTGAAGTCCCAGCTACTGGGGAGGCTGAGGTGGGAGAATGGCTTGAACTCGGAAGGCAGAAGTTCCAGTGAGCCGAGATCATGTCACCGCACTCCATCCTGGGTGATAGAGTGAGACCCTGTCTCAAAATAATAATAATTATAATAATAATTTACCTGTAATACACAGCAGAAGAAAATAAACTTCATTTAAAATTTCTAGTTGTTTACTTTTCTTAAGTAACTCTATATTTCATCATTTTTGTGTTTAGATCTTTGTGTCAAAATACTGAGAGAAGATAAAAATTGCCCAGGATCTACACAGTTAGTGAAATGGCAAGTAAAAGAATACCTAAAGAGAGAAAATTATTTTTTTCTCATTTTACTTTTTTTTGTACCTTGGATACCTTTGGTGTTTAACCAAATTTTAGTGAATCACCCTTTAATGCTAGATAGCATTTTTGTAGGTCATTAAATTTTCCACCGAAGTTTTCCTCTCCTTGAAGTCTGGGTATTTGGAAAAATAAATTTTAAAAATAAATGTTTCTTTATTTTGTGCCCCATGCAAGCAGGCTTTATTTATTTTATTATTGTTCCCCACAAATAGCTGTCAGATATTTTGTATTTTCCCTTCCATCTCTATCATCATTTTACATTTCTGCCACATTGTTTTTTATGTTTTGTCTTGTTTTAAGCTAGTTAATAAGAAGGGAGCTTTAATAAGACATTTTTGTATTATTTAGTAATGAGATAATATGGAAATTTATGAAAATAACTATTTTCTGGAAATGCATTCAGTCTAAAAATGAATCCTTGATTTTTTTTTTAGGATGCTAGGATGTTATGATGCTTTACAGAAAAAATATGTAAGTCTTGCAATCTCTTTATCCTTTTTTTTCTACAGTTTATGATCTACAAATATAACTGGAGTTATGATGTAGTAAAACATTCATTTGAACTAACTTGAGTGTAGGTCAGTCTGAATTACTGAAAAGCCTAAACATTTGAATATTTTAAAGACTAATCATCAACTCATTTAAAGATAATGGAATTAACACTAAACAAATTTTTCCAAGCTAGTTTTTTTAACACTTATTTGTATTAATAACACGTGTTAACTTACAAAAAAGTTAATGAATTAAAGAGTCTTTTCAAATAGTTTATTCATTAGTTTCACATGCCTTCTACAAGCTTGTTTATACTAATAATTTAATAAATTATTTCCTTATTAGGGTTCAAAAATAAATTTCCACATAATCTAGGTTAAATTGTCACAAATTCTGAATTAGCAAAATTAAGAAGGTTTTAAGATGTATTGTAATCCTTTTTGCATACTTAGTATAATTTAGTACCAACTTGCATAATGAAGTCCAGCACTAGGCTAATTGTGAAGAAGATGAAATTTTTTTTTTTTTGAGATGGAGTCTTGCTCTGTCGCTCAGGCTGGAATGCAGTGGCACCATCTCGGCTTACTGCAAGCTCCGCCTCCCAGGTTCACGCCATTCTCCTGCCTCAGCCTCAAGAAGATTAATTTTTATTCATGGTTCCTAATCTTCCCCATTAAGGCGTAGTAAATATTGAGCGCCCGTTATGTGTTAGGCATCTCTTCTAGGTAGGAACTGGGTAAGCTAACAGTGATCAACAAAACAAAAAAGGTCCCTTGTAAAGTAGGAAAACAAGTAGTTAATAAAACAAATCATATACTTTTCAATAATGTTAAATTGCCATTAAAATTTTTAGCAAAAGTATGTGGTAAATGGAAAGGTGAAGTAACTTTAGATGGGATGGTCATAGGAGCTTCTCTGAGGAAGTGACATTGAAGAGACCTGAATGAGAAGAAACCAGCCAGGCATTGATTTTAGGAGAGAATACTCCTGGCAGAGCAGCAAATGCAAAGAATTGGAAGTTTAGAGAGTTCCAGGAACAAAAAGAAGGCCAATATGACTGAGGGCAATTGTCCAGTGGGGGAGAATAACATGAGATGAGCCTGGGCAGATAAGCAGGGCCAGAGCACTCAGTGGCTTTTATTTTAGGTGCAAAGAAAAGCCATTCAAAGCTTATACATAGAAATGTAATATTTGATTTACATTTAAAAATTGTTTTAGGCCAGGCGTGGTGGCTCATGCCTGTAATCCTAGCACCTTGGGAGGCCAAGACACGTGGATCACCTAAGGTTAGGAGTTTGAGACCAGCCTGGCCAACATGGTGAAACCTTGTCTCTACTAAAAATACAAAAATGAGCTAGGCGTGTTGGCGCGCCTGTAATCCCAGTTACTCAGGAGGCTGAGGCAGGAGAATCGCTTGAACCTGGGAGGTGGAGATTGCAGTAAGCTGAGATCATGCCACTGTACTCCAGCCTGAGTGACAGAGTGATACTCTGTCTTAAAAAATAATTGTTTTAAATCACTTTGCCTACAACTTAGAGAATATGCTGTAGAAGGAGATTAAGATTGGGAGTAAGGAGAATAGCACCTAGGCCATTACTGTAGTACTGGTGAGAAATAATGGTTGCTTAGACCAGGATAGCAGAGAGAGGAGATTCAGGATAGATTTGGCAGTAGAAGTGATTGGATTTGTTGATGGACTGGTTGTGTAATACAAGGAAAAGATCAGAATCAAGGATGACTCTTAGATTTTTGGCAGATCACTTGATTAAATTATTTTCTATGATTTTCTTTTCCTATGGTCTCCAAAACTTCCTCCCTCTGTTGAATTCATAGGGCCCTGAACTCTGCTTTTTCTTTTTTCAAAATCAGTTCTCATTGTTTTCAGTATAACACATATATTGTGTTATTTCACAATATATATATTTTTTCCTTGTAACTGGCAGTAATGTCCTTTTTGCTTAAGTCAATGAAATAAAGTGCTGACATGAATTTCAATCATCAGTAATTTTAGTAGCAATAGATATTTCAGGGGATAGGGAAGCATATCTAAGGTACTGCATTATAGGCATTGATCTTATGCAGTCAAGATCTGCAATGATTATTTGTTATTAGGAATACATGTTGAAATAGGACAAAGAATTCTTATGATTCGTAATGAAAAATTATTTTATAGACTACAAGTAAGATTTTTGTTCTTTGTTGTATTTCAGCTAAGGATGGTTGTTCTAGCTGTAAGTATTTTTAAATTGTGTGTTCTTTTTTTAATACTGCCAAATTTGGCCTTGCTTAATTAAATGACACTAAAACTATCAATTGATTATGTCACATTATTCAAATAACTGATCTATTCAATGGAATGAAAAAGTAATATTTTGGGTGGTCATTTTTATTTGTTTGTTTTGCTGAGTTCACATGAAGTTTAGTCTAAACATCTAATTTAGTTCTTGAATACTTAGCCTTAGATAACTCAATTGTAAATTGTTTTTAAATAGGTATACACAAACCCAGAAGATCCTCAGGTAAGTGTGCTTGAGTTACTAAAGAAACATAATGCCTCTAATATCTAAAAATAACACGAAACATAATATAAGAATATCTTATGCTTTTAATTATGCTTTAATCAATATACTTTCATATATATTTTCACATTTGAGCTTCATAAAACTCTTCTGAGGTAAGGCAGGGCTTGGATTGTTACCTTTAAACAGATTAGCATGACAGAGATTATGTGACTGATCTTAGGCCACAAAGCTTACAAACTGTTAGAAACTTAACTTAAATCTCCTGACGTCTAATTCTTTATAGTATTTTTTATACTACATTTTAGAATTATGAAAGGGCTTGAGTTTTAGGAAAGTAAGAAAGTCATCCTTAAACTTCGAATATTCATCCCAATCCATTCATAGCTACCTATTTATCTTACCATTAAAGGAGAGAAGGGAGAACGTGAAAGGGAAAACCAGAAGATAAGAAACAAGGGGGAAAGATCTACTGAGTGCTTACTTTATATTAGGCTCTGTTCTTTGGGGCTTTATGTGCATTATCTCATTTATTCATCCCAACCTTCATGAGGTAACCACTATTAGCATCTCCGCTTTACAGATGAGGAAATCTAAGTACAAGGGGTTTCTTGCCTAAGGTCATAGTGGCTGAAGTGGCAGAACCAGGTTTTTGAACCTAGGAAGGCCAGTTCACAATTTGGGTGTTTACCCATTACGCTATAGCTGTTACAATATAACGTTTCATTCAGTCAAGGAGAGGTAGATTTAAACTGGTGTTAAAAATAGACGTTTAAAAACATCACTATGTAAGCAATGAAATATAAAGAAAGCAATAGAAGTATTCAGGCTTCAGGAGGGCTGAGAATGTGTCTTTTCTTTGATACTCACACCTGCGATTAATGCTTAATATGTATCCATGCTGACAAAGCAGATCATTTGGGTAAAGGCTGTGAATTAATAGATTGTGTTCAGAAAACTAATTGATTGTTCAGAAAATGTTCATTTATTTTCATATGTTATATAGTTGTGCATTTTTTCTATCAGTAAATTAGCAACCTTGTTGATACAATAATAATATTTATTGAATGTTTACTATATGTCAGGTACTTTATAAAGTACCCTGTATAAATTATCCCATTTGTGAATATTTATTCACAACTATCAATGAGATATGTACTGTCTTTAATCTCTTTTTTAGCTGGGGAAACTAATACTTAAACTAAGGCTTAAGTGGCTTGCCTGTGGTTACAGTATAGCAAAGATTTATGCCCTGTGTTAGCCACTCTGCTGAGGTATGTTGCCTCCCTTATCTGCCTGCTAAGGAGTTCCTTCCATGTGGTATAAATAACTGAAGGGGTGGCCTGCCCCTCCACACCTGTGGGTATTTCTAGTCGGGTGGGACGAGAGACTGAGAAAAGAAATAAGACACAGAGACAAAGTATAGAGAAACAATAGTAGGCCCAGGGGACCGGCGCTCAGCATACCAAGGACCTGCACCGGCGCCGGTCTCTGAGTTCCCTCAGTTTTTATTGATTATTATCTTCATTATTTTAGTAAAAAGGAATGTAGTAGGAGGGCAGGGTGATAATAAGGAGAAGGTCAGCAACAAACATGTGAGCAATAGAATCTATGTCATAATTAAGTTCAAGGGAAGGTACTATGACTGGACGTACACGTAAGCCAGATTTGTTTCTCACCACCCAAACATCTCAGTGGAGTAAAGAATAACAAGGCAGCATTGCTGCAAACATGTCTCGCCTCCCACCATAGGGCGGTTTTTGTCCTATCTCAGAATTGAACAAATGTACAATCGGGTTTTATACCGAGACATTCAGTTCCCAGGGGCAGGCAGGAGACAGTGGCCTTCCTCTATCTCAACTGCAAGAGGCTTTCCTCTTTTACTAATCCACCTCAGCACAGACCTTTTATGGGTGTCGGGCTGGGGGACGGTCAGGTCTTTCTCATCCCACAAGGCCATATTTCAGACTATCACATGGGGAGAAACCTTGGACAATACCCCGCTTTCAAGGGCAGAGGTCCCTGCGGCTTTCCGCAATGCATTGTGCCCCTGGTTTATTGAGACTAGAGAATGGCGATGACTTTTACTAAGTATACTGCTTGTAAACATTTTGTTAACAAGGCACGTCCTGCACAGCCCTAGATCCCTTAAACCTTGATTTCATACAACATATGTTTCTGTGAGCTCCAGATTGGATCAAAGTGGTTGGGTCAAAGTGGCTGGGGCAAAGCTACAAATTAACAACATCTCAGCAAAGCAATTATTTAAAGTACAAGTCTTTTTCAAAATGGAGTCTCTTATGTCTTCCCTTTCTACATAGACACAGTAACAGTCTGATCTCTCTTTTCCCTACAATAACATACATTACAATGAGTTGGGAAATAAATGTCTCTCCAAGACTGAAGCCCCAAACCCAAACCATGAAAACTGACTATGAGGAATCAAAAGTTTCAATGGATCAATAGGGATTAATATGGCAGAAAAAAGTATTGACTAAATGTTGAGTCATACAAAACAGAATATAGCTATTTAGCAGCTAGTACTGAATATCAGAAGCATAACTGCGATATTTTCTATTTAAGACAATTTCAGAATGTTACCAATTCAAATTCAAATACACCAATAATGGACCACTCATGGACTTCATAAGGTATTGTTCTATAGTTTTCTGTTTGTATTACAGATTACCACTTATTCATATTAATGCTATATAGCTAAACCTCAGGATTCATTCTGAAACTGCGGGGACATCCCCAATTAACCATCAAGATGTGGCTATGCAAAATGGAGTGGTGGCTTGCAGTAGCTTCAAGCCAGGATTCTGTGGCTAATAATAAGCAATTTTAATTGTGGAAAGAGAACTTAGGTGATTAGAAATATAGAAATATAATTTTAAAACATAATGTGCTTTCTTTAAACACTTCATATAAAATGCACTTAAGTAAAATTAAGTTATTATTTCTAGCAGATATTAATATTAAAATTTTATAATAGTGACATTAAAACACATGGTAACTTTCAAGTTAACAGCTTAATGCTATAATAGAAATAAGAATCTCAAATAGTTAAAATGTAAAGTTATGATATTAGAAGCCACAGGTTTTATAAAATAAATTAATATGTGATTCTCTTCTAGTAAAAACCAAAGCAACGAATCTAGCATGTTGTCTACTGACACCAAGAAAGCAAGCATTCTCCTCATTCGCAAGATTTATATCCTAATGCAAAATCTGGGGCCTTTACCTAATGATGTTTGTTTGACCATGAAACTTTTTTACTATGATGAAGGTACTATTTGCAATACATCCTGTTTCAGTTGGTACATATGTTTTATCATTATTGAAACAATTGGTTTCCATTCCAAATATTTTTAGCACCTAAATTTTTTGAAATTATAAAATTTACACTTAATATCACTATTCAAGAAAGAAAGATTTACAAAATTAAGCTTTAAAATAGATGCTTCTCTAGTGATAGGAACATATCCATGTGAAGTATAACCTCACTCAAATTTAACAATGAGTTAACAGTTTTCACTTATCAGATTGGTAAAACGTGTTAATCCATTATTGATAAGGATGTGGGGAAACAGGAACTTTTTTTTGTTTGAGACAGAGTCTTGCTCTGTCTCCCAGGCTGGAGTGCAGTGGCATAATCTCAGCTCACTGCAGCCTCCACCTCCTGGGTTCAAGCAATTCTCCTGTCTCAGCCTCCTGAGTAACTGGGACTACAGGCACTCGCCACCATGCCTGGCTAATTTTTGTATTTTTAGTACAGATGGGGTTTCACCGTGTTGGCCAGGCTAGTCTTGAACTCCTGATCTCAAGTGATTCACCCGCTTTGGCCTCCCAAAGTACTGGAATAACAGGCGTGAGCCACAGCACCCGGCTGAGCAGGCACTTTTGTACACGCGAGGGACTGTAAACAGGTGCAACATTTTTAGAGGACAATTTGGCAGTATCAAAATTTTAAATGCACACTATCTTTAATCCAGAAATTCTATAGTGAGAAAAATATATTGAAGATATAATTGTGCAAATACGCAAAGTTATATAAGGATTTTGATTATAGCATTGGCTAAAATAGGAACAAACTGGAAACAACTTCAGTGTCCTTCATTGGGGACTGAGTAAATAAATTATGGTCCATCTGCGTAATAGAATACTACACAAGCTGTTAAAAAGAAGGTGCTGATAAATTACGTTATCCAAGATATATTATTAAGTTAAAACCAGCTAGGTATGGAATGGTATGAGCTCATTTGTGTTTTTTAAGAAATTTTATATGTATTTCCTAAAACCTATGTAAATATGAAATATCTTTTATTATATGCATGTCTTCTAGAAGAACATAAAGCAACAAAAATAACAACTAACATTTATTGAGTATTTACTATGTGCCAGTTCTCTTCTCAACATTTTACGACACTTTATTTTATTCCCACAATGACCCTATGAAGTAGGTACTATTATTTTCACCATTTGACAGATGAGAAAATCAAATCAGGGATGATGAATAATTTACTCAAGGTCACAGACAGTCAAGTGAAGAAAACAAAGCTTACCTTTAGGGAATAAAATGGGGACTTGGACATAGCAGGAGAGTAATTCGTATGTTTTACCTTATGCCCTTATATACTATTTGAAATACCTGCAATCTGCGTGTGTTTTTATAATAATAATTATATTTTCTTTAATTTCATGAACAGCACAGTTTACACTTACTTTTTTGCAGTTACACCCCCAGATTACCAGCCTCCCGGTTTTAAGGATGGTGATTGTGAAGGAGTTATATTTGAAGGGGAACCTATGTATTTAAATGTGGGAGAAGTCTCAACACCTTTTCACATCTTCAAAGTAAAAGTGACCACTGAGAGAGAACGAATGGAAAATATTGACTCAACTATACTATCACCAAAACAAATAAAAACACCATTTCAAAAAATCCTGAGGGACAAAGATGTAGAAGATGAACAGGAGCATTATACAAGTGTAAGTGTATTTCAAGAGTTATAAAGAACAATAATAACAAATGTTTGACTCAATTCTGAAGATTTTTCATAGCTCCCATTAACATTTGTGTAAATTCTGTATTATAATCATAAACTCAAGGTTGAAAGGGACCTTAAAGTCTAGGCCTATGGTTTTAAAACTTTTTACTTAGCCCAAACAACATTGTACTAGAACTTAAAAGCACAACTATTCTGGTTGAAGTAGGGAATGTTCCTGGAGGCTCTGCCACTCCCTATGTCACTTACCTTCTTAGTGGACTCTGAGGAAACCCCTAGGACTCTAGGGCATAATTTGAAAAGCATTGCACTAGTCTAACTCCCGGCTAATGATGGAATCTTTTCTACAACATCCCTACTAAGTGTTCAGGTAGCCTGTGCTTGAATTTCTCTAGGGCCTGGAAAGTCACTGTTCTGAAGCAGCCTGGAAGTTCCTGGAAGTCAGGAAAAGTGTCTCATTCAACTTTTTAATCATCCTGTGCCTAGCACTTGGATTTCTAGTTAGTGCGTCCTAAGTATTAGTCGAGTGAATGGATGAATAGAAGTATAAAAGAGTTTTTTTGTTGCCTCACTTCCAGCAAATATGGAAGTCATTATTGCTTTAATCTTTCAAGCATTAACATTATGTCCTTTAATCTCACCTCTCTTGTATTCTGTGTCTCAATTTATTCTAAATTATGACTACAGTACTTATGTACAGAGATTCACTATTCTGATTAGGCTGTCTAACCACATCTTTACACATAGAAAATTCAATCAATTTTCAACCAATTCAGTTAAAGAAAAAAACTTTTTTCTAAGACCTAAATCCCAGTCTTGCTTTATAACAAATATGGCTGAGGTGTTTGTAGCATTCTTTAAAATATTTAAATCTCTTTCACATGTATCACAAAGGGAACAATAATTGTAATGTAGACATTAAACCTGTTGCAATTTCTACCATAACATGACTGAGCTTATCCTTCAATAACTCTCTGAAGAGTTTTTGTTTATTACTTTTTTTTTTTTTTGAGACAGAGTTTCACTCTTGTTGCCCAGGCTGGAGTGCAATGGCACGATCTCAGCTCACAGCAACCTCCTCCTCCCAGGTTCAAGTGATTCTCCTGCCTCAGCTTCCCAAGTAGCTGGGATTACAGGCATGTGCCACCATGCCTGGCTAATTTTGTATTTTTAGTAGAGACAGGGTTTCTCCATGTTGGTCAGGCTAGTCTCGGACTCTTGACCTCAGGTGATCTGCCCACCTGTGCCTCCCAAAGTGCTGGGATTACAGGCATGAGCCACCACGCCTGGCCGAAAGTTGTATATTTTTATCATTTGTCCTTAAAGCAACCCTGCAAAATAAAGAAAAATAGTATTTTATACTTTATTTGGATTAATAAATTGCCTTTTGATAGAAATTCTAGGAACACTTTTATTTCTAGCAACCATGAGGTAGTTGTAGGTTTTTGGGGTTTTCTGGTTTGTTTGTTTTGTTTTGTTTTGTTTTGTTTTTTGAGACAGAGTCTTGCTCTTTTGCCGAGGCTGAAGTGCAGTGGCAGATCTTGGTTCACTGCAACCTCTAGCCTCCTGGGTTCAAGGTATTCTCCTGCCTCAGCCTCCTGAGTAGCTGGGATTACAAGCATGTGCCACCACGCCGGGCTAATTTTTGTATTTTTAGTAGAGACGAGATTTCACCATGTTAGCCAGGCTGGTCTCCAACTCCTGACCCCAAGTGATCTGCCCACCTCAGCCTCCCAAAGTGCTGGGAACACAGGCGTAAGCCATTGCGCCTGGCTTGGGTTTTTTTGTTTGTTTGTGTTTGAGTCAGGGTCTCGTCCTGTCTCCCAGGCTGGAGCGCAGTGGGATGATCACGGCTACTGCAGCCTCAAACTTCTGGGCTCAAGCGATCCTCTCACCTCAGCCTCAGGTGACAGAAACATGCCACCACACCTGGCTAATTTTTAAAATTTTTTCATAGAGACGAGGTCTCATCATATTGCCCAGGCTAATCTGGAACTACTAGTCTCAAGCAATCCTCCCTCCATGGCCTTCCAAAGTGCTAGTAATACAAGCATGAGCCACCATGCCCGGCCAGTAGTTTTATATTGTATTTAGCCTTCACATGAAACAAATTTGTTCATAAATGCTTTCTGCTCAGTTGTTTTAGTTCCTTTTTGAAATGTGTCAATTTTTTTCTTCACATAATTATGTAGGATGATTTGGACATTGAAACTAAAATGGAAGAACAGGAAAAAAACCCTGCATCTTCTGAACTTGAAGGTAAGAAGTTAATGAAAATGTACATTAACTCACTTCCAACTCAATTTTATACCCGGGTAACTTTTTTTTTTTTTTTTTACAGAACCAAGTTTAGTTTGTGAGGAAGATGAAATTATGAGGTCTAAAGAAAGTCCAGATCTTTCTATTTCTCATTCTCAGGTATAAACTTGATAGTTTCATCTCACTTTTGTTTTGTTCACAGGACAGTTGCTTATGCGCTAATTTTTTATTTTTCAGATTTTCTTATTCCAGGTCTTTTAGAATAAAATTCAATATTTAGAATGCTTGTTATTAACTAAATCTGGAAATTATATGTTGATGAATTTTGAGTATATTACTGGTGGATTTGTTTAGTAATAAACCTAAATACTATTGGTAGAATCTGAGAATTTCAGAGCTAGATAGAATCTTATGCAGTTATTTATTCCACCCTGCTTTGTATTTATAAGTGGAATATATAATACATTTGTGTTGCCTTGGAGCATACATGTTTTATTCTGCTTTTCAAATACAGTAAAATCCTGAAATAAGAGATTTAGGTAATATGAACTTGGAAAAAATATGATTGATGATTGATTGTCTGTCTTCCTCTGCCCAGCCCATTTCTCAAATAAGTAGACTAAATTTCTTGTCTTCTGGAAGGGTGGTGCCTGGTGATCATTTGGTACTTTCTCAGTTCAGTGGTTGGCCAATTATGTAAAGTGTCAGTTTCACTATCTTTACTTTTGTGCTTTTTGAACAGTATGAACCAACTCAAAATTATTGGTTTTAACTTGACAAGACCCTAAATTTTATGTGGTTAAATTTTTGGACCCCATTTATTGTGTTATGAAAAGGTTTTATTATACTAAGTTATATTTTTTGTAATTATTTTCTTTTTTAGGTTGAGCAGTTAGTCAATAAAACATCTGAACTTGATATGTCTGAAAGCAAAACAAGAAGTGGAAAAGTCTTTCAGAATAAAATGGTAAATATCTCTTTAGGTTTGTTTTCCATTGTAACCTTGTAATTCTCCCCCATATGTGAGTTTATTTTAATATTTCGTTTATTAAACCAGTATTTACTAAGTACCTATTATGTGTCAGGTACTTTACTAGGTGCTTAGGATATAACCTGAATAACACATACTTCATGGTCTTAGCTGAAGTTTAGTAACTGGAAATAAACAAGCAATGATACAGAGCCATTATAGAAGTCTGAATAGGCTACATAGGCACAAAGAAAGGAATGGTTAATTTTACTGAAGGTATATTAAAGAGAGGGATCCGGGAAAGGTTTTGGGAAGAAGTGATACTATCATCCAGACTCCCAGAGAAATTTCCTAGAATGCCAGAATGTTCCCATGCTTGATCTTTTTTTCTTTTTAAATTTCATTTAATTTAAGTTCCAAGATACATGTGCAGGACGTGCAGGTTTGTTACATAGGTAAACGTGTGCCATAGTGATTTGCTGCACCTATCAATCTATTACCTAGGTATTAAGCCCCACATGCATTAGCTATTTATCCTAATGCTCTCCCTCCCTCCAACCCCCTGACAGGCCCCAGTGTGTATTGTTCCCCTCTTTGTGTCCATGTGTTCTCATTGTTTATCTACCACTTATAAGTGAGAACATGTGGTGTTTGGTTTTCTGTTCCTGTGTTAGTTTGCTGAGGATAATGGCTTCCAGCTCCATCCATGTCCCTGCAAAGGACATGATTTCATTTCTTTTTATGGCTGCTTATTTTCTTTATCCAGTCTATCACTGATGGGCATGTGGGTTGATTCTGTCTTTGCTATTGTGAATAGTGGTGCAGTGAACATACAGGTGCATGTATCTTTGTAATAGAATGATTTATATTCCTCTGGGTATATACCTAGTAATGGGATTACTGGGACAAATGGTATTTCTGGTTCTAGATCTTTGAAGAATCACCACACTGTCTTCCACAATGGTTGAACTAATTTACATTCCAACCAACAGTGTAAAAGTGTTCCTATTTCTCCATAGCCTCGTCAGCATCTGTTGTTTCTTAACTTTTAATAATCACCATTCTGACTGGCATGAGATGGTATCTCATTGTGGTTTTGATTTGCATTTCTCTAATGATCAGTGATGTTGAGTGTTTTTCATATGTTTGTTGGCCACATGAATGTCTTCTTTTGAGAAGTGTCTGTTCATGTCCTTTACCCACTTTTTAATGGGGTTGTTTATTTTTTCTTGTAAATTTGTTTAAGTTTCTTATAGATTCTGGATATTAGACCTTTGTCAGATGGATAGATTGCAGAAATTTTCTCCCATTCTGTAGGTTCTCTGTTCACTCTGAAAAATATGGAATGCTTCATGAATTTGCATGTCATCCTTGTGCAAGGGACATGCTAATCTTCTCTATATCGTTCTAATTTTAGCATATGTGCTGCTGAAGTGAGCACCATGCTCAGTCTTATAAATTGAGTATCTTGTTAATAAGACATTACAAAATAATCTTTTGTATATATCTTGTATAAAATGAATCTCATATTCTTAAGGGAAAAAAATCACTGCTTTATTTTAGCTTTTGGTATGAATTATACTAAATCAAAATTCATATTTGATTTTAGACCTTTAAGTTACTCTCAAAGGTTCATTGGGGTGAAGAAAAAGCATTCTGTAAAATATATAAAATATCTAAAGTTTAGGAAATAAATAGCTCACTCTGTTAGTGGTGTGCTAGAACATTTATTCCCAACTCCCCACTCAGAGATATCATGTTGGTAGCTTAAATTGGACATGTTGGTAGTATTCACAGCACAGAAATCAGCAAATGCCTCAAGGTTTGTTTCTCTCCTAGAGCTGGTTATTAAACATTTATTGGAACACTACTCATTATAGTGCCATTTTTAAGTGTCTTCCCCCACCCCTATTCTCAATGGGAAGTTAGAACTGGCAGAAGGCAGCATTCAAATGAGTATCTCATGAAAGCAAGAGATAAAGGAATGTCAAGATTTACTACTTCTAGAAGCAAAATGTTCATCCTAGCCAGTTTATATGTAGGATGAATAACCTTTACTAGGATATAGGGATAGAGACCAGCATTTTAAAAATTATTAAGCAAGATCTCCTTGTAATGTAACATTAAGATGATTTAGGGACATAAATTTATTTCTGAAATTGCACATGTTTTTGGATATGAACTCTGAGCAAGTGTACTCCTGATTTTGAGAATTATTACTGAATTGTGGTTAGAAAAGGGCAAGAAATGAAAATATTCATTATTATATATACTAAGGAAGTTATCATTGGAAAGCTCATTTCAAGCATCAGAAAAGAAGTATATCCTTTTAGAGAATAGTTGTATGACACCTAATCATTAGTCATTTTCCAATATTCATTTTAATAACTATATATACAGCATTATTCACAATAGCCGAAAGATGGGAAAAACCTAAATATACATCAACAGATGAATGGATTAAAAAATGTGGTATATTCATACAATTGAATATCAGCCATAAAAAAAATGAAGTGCCAATACATGCTACAACTTAGATGAACCTTGAAAACATGCTAATTAAAGGAAGTTACTCACAAAAGTCCACATATTGTATTATTCCTTTCATTTGAAAGTCAGAACTGGGAAAGTTATTGAGACAGTCTTAAGGCTGGTGGGAGGATGGCAGAATAAGAGAGTGATAGCTAAGGTATATGGGGTTTGTTTGTGGGGTGATGAAAGTGATGTAAAATTGATTGTAGTGATGGTTGTACAACTCTGTGAAGGTACTGAAAATCATTGAATTGTACACTTATAAATGGGTGAATCATATAGTATCTAAATTATATCTCAATAAAGCTGTTTTTTAAAAAAATTGTATATCCAGCTGGGCACTGTAGCTCATTCCTGTAATCCCAGCACTTTGGCAGGCTGAGGCAGGAGGATCCCTTGAGGCCAGAAGTTTCAGGCTGCAGTGAGCCATGATGGTGCCACTGCATTCCAGCCTGGGTGACAGAGGGAGACCCTGTCCCTAAAAAGTAAATAAATAAATAAATATTGCATATCGTTGCATAAGATTGAAAAATCAAGTGTTGGCTGTTCTTTGAGAAATAACCAATTAGTAATTATTCTATCTTTGTGGAGGCAAATGGAAATCAACCAGTAAAATCTTCCAAAGAAAATCGGAAGAGAAGTCAACATGAATCTGGGAGAATAGTAAGTCTTATGATAATGTATAGTTTGAATACAATGGGAAGGATCAGAATATCATTACTACAGATTAAATTTAAAATGATGAATTTGATATCTTTCGATGTACCTGAGAGTTCTGATATTCAAATTTTGTTTAAATATATTTTGTTCTAAAAATCGAGGTGATTTTGAAATAAGATGCCCTATGTTGGTTTATTAGTTTTTTCCATGTAAACATCTCCTGTCTCATTCCATGAATGATTTAAAGTAATTGGAGGAATTTATAATATATAAATTAAAAATCAGCTGGGTGCAGTGGCTCATGCCTGTAATCCCAGCACTTTGGGAGACTGAGGCAGGTGGATCACGAGGTCAAGAGATCGAGACCCTCCTGGCCAACATGGTGAAACCCTGTCTCTACCAAAAATACAAAAAAAAAAAAAAATAGCTGGGCGTGGTGGCGCACGCCTGTAGTCCCAGCTACTCGGGAGGGTGAGGCAGGAGAATCGCTTGAACCTGGGAGGTGGAGGTTGCAGTGAGCCAAGATCGCGCCACTGTACTACAGCCTGGCGACAGACCAAGACTCCGTCTTTAAAAAAAAAAAAAATCAGTGCCAGGAAAAATATAAGAGAATATAGAATGAGAAAGTGACAGTACAAGAATACTAAGGCCATTTTGTTTATATAGAACTGAAATTGGGCCACAAATTTGATCTGAGCTTTCTAGAGATCAAAACTGAAGTAGAAGGAGGATAATTTACTAAATACATGTGTTCCCTAAAAATATAGGGTCTCCTCCTAGTACCTCTGGAGAAAAAAATATTTTCCTGACTTAAACCCTATAGTTGTTTCATATTTAGAACCTTATTTTACCAAATCAGATAATGTATTTGCCATTTCTGAGATAATTATTCATATTTTTCCAACTAGATATTTTAGTATTATTAGTAGGTTAGAATTAAACAACTGAAAACCTAAGACTATTTTTAAAACTCAAATGTTAACGTCTCAAGAGTACAAAAGCAAGACATGATTTAAATCGTACATGATTCCAAGGTAGAATGTTTTTCTATTTGTAGTTCATTTTAAAATCTTTTTTCCCTTCTTATTGCTCTGAAATATTTGGCTATTTTGAGGACATAATGTTAAATCTATCTTCTCACTTCTAGAGCAGCCCTACTGAAGATTATACATTTTGCAAGTACATACTTTCAGCAGCCATTGGAAGATGTTAATAATAAATTTTACTCTACTTTTAAGAAACCCAGATATAGTTATGCTAGGTATGCTAGGCATAAATTTTTTTAAAAAGAAGAGAAATCTCAGATACATGAAAAAATCTACAATTAAAGACATTTAAACAGGAAAGTATCTATTCTTAGTAGTTGTTTTCTTTTGACAGGTCCTCCATCACTTTGATTCTTCTAGTCAAGAGTCAGTGCCAAAAAGGAGAAAGTTTAGTGAACCAAAGGAACATATATAAAAATTATTTTTGTTCTGCAGGCTTGCAGAGTTCTTCTCACCATTTAAACTGAAGGACCCTATATTATATTTCCCTAACTCTGAAGATGTATATGTAGTTTAAAGCAGTTTGTACACTAAAACTAAGTTTTTGGCTGACTGTCATATTGTGGTCCTTAATCTTGAGATAAATCCAATAGAACTTTTGAATAAAAGCAAAAGTACAAATGTCATAATTGATTCGGTAATAAGTAAAATTTCAAAATTGATTTTGTTCATTACCTACTTAATATTTCCTTTAAATATATACTAACTGTTAAGGCCCTCTAATGCCATTTTTCTAAACAGTAATGTTTACTTTGGTATTAAAATTTGGTATGGATTCACTTTTTACTTATGTTAAAATTATACCATTTAACTGGCTCTTTTGTCATTGTGCTGTTATTAAAACAATGTTCTTCAATATTTTGACATAATGTATTAACATTTTAATATATAATGTACAATTTAAGAATTGGTGCTTTACCTTTACTATGCTTTTTTTTACAGGACAAAAAGACTGATTTTTAAAGTATGGCATTTTTTGCAGCATAAATAAAATATTGTTCAGTACGTAGGCCCTTTTATCGCTTCTAATTTTTATTTAAGTAGCAGGAAATATGGCTTCATTCATTTGAAAGGCTGGTAGGAGGATGGGGGGATAGGGAATACTAATTTTTAGATGATTTCGGTAGCTATTACTTTGCAAGAAGAGTTGAGCACACTTTCTAGAATTTTTGAGTGGTAGTATGAAAAATGCTGTGCTTTTAATGAGAAACCTGGGAGCTAGTTCCAGCCTTGCCTGCTTTCTTTGCTTTAGAAAAAGGAAGACTTAAAACTTGGTCTGTTTGCCGCTTGTAGTTTCAGCAGCCATATTCCAAAAACATACACATCCATGGGTTTGTCAGTAATAAGCGCTATAGGGAATGCTGGTACATATGCGATGGTAGAAATGTATTCATCCTGTTTAAGGTAAACCATATAAACGTACACAAACTGACCCAGATCATGTTTTTCTGGAACAGTCAAGTCAAGGATAAACTGACTGTCAGAAACAACCAATGTAAAAATATTTATTTATTTTTAGCTGTATTGCTTGGATCCCAACACATCTCACTTAATTGTCCCAGTATACGCTACTACAGCAACACACCTGCTACGCTGAAATTAACCCACAGAAACCTTTCGAGATTGGCAGCCCATGTTAGCTCACTCAGCGCTTTGATTGGCTGGTTTAATGGGGGTGGGGAGCGCAGCCCTCTTTCCTCTCTTCCACCAAGGTTCCTTCATTGGATTGACCAGCTGTCAGGTTGAACGCAAACCTGCCTCCTTTTGGTGGTGTTTGTCTGGATCGCAACAGAATAGCTGGGGGAGAGCCTCCCCCTGTGAGCTCCGATTGGCGGGACTCAACCTTGGTGATTTCTGATTGGCGCAATGAAGAAACACCAAGGTAGGTTGCCTAGTGATCCTGAGGAAGCTGATGTGTTATTCCTTCTCTGCATCGAAGGATCAGGAAGTTTGTGCTCTCTGCGTGGCTAAGTTTTTCACCTACTAGGACGGGGGTGGGGTGGGGAGAACAGGTGTCCTTCTAAAATACAGCACAAGCTACAGCCTGCGTCCAGCCATAACCCAGGAGTAACATCAGGTAAGCAACGAGAAAATTACATTTCCTAACGTCCCTTCCCCCCACCAAAAAAAACCTCTATTTTTTAAAATTATTATTTTATGGGAGGGAAAGGTTTGTATTCATTTGGGCCATTTGTTTTCTTTCAAGTAGGATTTTTAACTAGTAAATGTGCAGATGAAACTAATTTCTCAAAGAAACCGCCCCCTCTCCCCCTCCCCCCCTGCCCCGCGAAGGTTTAAAGTTTCTTGGATTGGTTTAGGAAATAGTCCCTATTCACAGTGCCAGATAGGCTTAGTGCGCTTAAGAATTTATTTCATGGTTCTCTTCCTCCTTCACTTTTCTTCCCACCTCCCATAACAAATTATATTTGAAATATACCCTTGTACAAAAAAACTTTTGTAGCTCACTTCATTTGTATTTCTATTTTAAATGTTCACATGCACTTCTGAGTATTCATTTTAATCAATATAAATTTATCGAGCAATAACAATGTTAAAGACAGTGCTAGTTGCTATGGAGAATATATAAACCCAAGAAGACAATATCCCTGTTCTTAAGAAGTTTACAGTTGAGAGACAGCTATACCAAGAGAAAGACTATAATAAATACTTTAAAGGAAGTGAGTATAAATAAAGCTCTGTGAAACAGCTGAGGGAGTGGCCATGAGACACATAGGTAATAGAAAAGAGGAGGTCACTTAAAGGCCTTCACAAGGCCTTTAAAGAATGGGTAGAATGTAAAGAGGAAGAGAAAAGGGTGAAGACCCCAGCAAGTACAGAGGAGCAGAAGCAGAAAGAAAGCATGAGACATTTTTGAGAAAAAGTCTGGCAACACTACTTATTAGGAGCAATGGGAAATATTGCTAGAGGAGTAGAAACGAGTCCAGTCATAGCAACTCTTAAATACCATTATTTTGATCTTGAAAAAGATACTCCTTTATATAATTGCTGATTTAAAATATTTGTTATATATTATCTTAAAAACTGATATCTAGATTTATATAAAATAAAGTATGCTAACTATAAACTTTATCACAAATGATTTAGTGCAGTTTCTTTTGACCGTAGTACATAGAATAAAAGACATGTTCTTTGACTTTTTTTTTTAAATTGAGAAAATTTGTTAATCTTTCAACACTCTCTTGCCAGTAATTTTTGTTTGCAGCTCCTTGTGTATTTGCAAGATATGGCTAGCTAGGACTAGAGCTGCTAAGTTTACTGACTGTGGAATTACTACACATGATTTTCTGAATGTTATCGTCTAGACTTGTGATCTCCAAAGTGAGTACATGAAATGAGTCATTAGGGTATGGGAAGGAAATATAGAACATGTATTTCTATTTAGTTTTTCGTATTCTTTTTTACTTTCTATTTTTTGTGTTTTTTTATAATGTAGTACCATGGAACGTTTATAGAAATTAGATACAAATTATTATATGCATTTTGGGGCTGGATGCTCACAATTTTTTGTTGTTCCATCTTACTTAACTTGGGATCCATTTTGTGAAAGAGGAGTGACAATGGTGGATATTCACTCCTTCTTTATAGATTATGCAGAAAAAATCAGCAGGTTTGGCCGGGCCTGGTGGCTCATGCCTGTAATCCTAGCACTTTGGGAGGCCCAGGCAGGCAGATCACTTGAGGTCAGGAGTTCAAGACCAGCCTGGCCAACATGGTGAAACCCCATCTCTACTAAAAATACAAAAATTAGCCAGACATGGTGGCGCACACCTGTAATCCCAACTACTCAGGAGGCTGAGGCACAAGAATCACTTGAACCTGGGAAGCGGAGGTTGCAGTGAGCCAACATCGCACCACTGCACTCCCAGCCTGGGCAACAGAGCAAGACTCCCTCTCAAGAAAAGAAGAAGAAAAAGAAAAAAAGAAGTCAACAGGCTTGAAAGATGAGCATTTCTACTGGACTTTAGAATTACTCATTTGATCTTTTGTCAGTGCCATCTGTGAAGTCCAAGCTATTGTACTTTGGAAAAGATACTGTATTACCCACCCATTTTTTTCTGGTCATTACTCCTTCCTTTCTTTCTATATTTAAATCTGTAAATATTTCCTATTTGTATGGATGTTTAGTATGCATGTATGAATATATGATTTATTTACATAAGCATACATATGGATTTTTTTTTTCACCACTCCCTCCAGAAACAGGTGAGAATGACCACTTTAACTCACCGGGCCCGTCGCACTGAAATAAGCAAGAACTCTGAAAAGAAGATGGAAAGTGAGGAAGACAGTAATTGGGAGAAAAGTCCAGACAATGAAGATTCTGGAGACTCTAAGGATATCCGCCTTACTCTTATGGAAGAAGTATTGCTTCTGGGACTAAAAGATAAAGAGGTAATGCAGTTAGGTTTGCTAGGCTATCTCAAAGACTATTAAATATTGGAATGTTTTAGGAAGTAACCTAATGGAATATATTTAATAATAAATTGGTCTTAGAATTGTGCTCTAACCATCTGGAAGATGGAGGAGTTGGGACAGTGACCGATACTTGGAGGGTAAAAATCCAGAAGTAGAATTACGTGAAGTGTATTTAATTACAAAATTACTCCAAAATTTTAGAAGATACAGGAGAGGAGGATATAGTATAAAGTTTTGTACTTGTAGTTTCCCAAGTTAGATTAAAGGCGAAATAATACCGTTTATTAAAGTAAGAACAAGGGCCCACACACTGAAGTCTTCTTCAGCTTTGAGGAGAAATAGTCTTTTACATGAAAAGACAAGGAACATGTGTGATTAGTTGCCTTACAGAAATAAACAATTGGTAGGTTTCTTATAGCAGAAATAATTTTTTATTTTCCTCTGTGCATCTTTATAAGGCAAATATCAACAGTTGGATTACGCGGTGGCTCACGCCTGTAATCCCAGCACTTTGGGGAGCCGAGGTGAGTGAATCACTTGAGGCCAGGAGTTCAAGACTAGCCTGGCCAACATGGTGAAACCCCGTCTCTACTAAAAATAAAAAATTAGCCATGTGTGGCGGCGGGTGCCTGTAATCCCAGGTACTCGGGAGGCTGAGGCAGGAGAATCACTTGAACCTGGGAGGCGGAGGTTGCAATGAGCCAAGATTGCACCACTGCACTCCAGCCTGGATGACAGAGTGAGACCCTGCCTCAAAAAAAAAAAAAAAAAAAAAAAAAAAAAATATATATATATATATATATATATATATACACACACACACACACACACACATACATAAACAATTGAGGATTATTTTAATTTTTGAAAATTTTTAAAAATAATTTTAGCTTTTCTCTTTTTTCCCTAAATGTCTCCTTATTTAATGGAACATTTATTTTATAGTACAGTTAGTCTTAAGGTCCTGAGTCTTGTGATATAACCAGAAATTTCCCTGGCTTCTCTACTAGTATACATCATCATCCTTCATTTGTAACTTTTTGCTGTGTTTTCTCATCACACTATTCCCTCATGAAGAAGTTACGAAGGTAACATTTTAAACAATCTGCTTTCTTTCCAGGAAAGCCTTAAATAACCGCCCCCCCTCGCCCACCGCCTGCAAGAAAAGAAAGAGGTATATTTATTACTGGCCTCAGTTTTGAAAACATACAAAATTAGAATGTTATTTTAGATTTTAAAAGTACTAAATTTGGCTTTGATAATTATCCTTAGCTAGAAGTGAATTGGCTGCATACAAGTAGTAACAGCTCTTCTTTTCTACATAATTCTTCGACTTGGAAATACCATTGTTGTTTAGATTTTGCCTTTCATTTATTTACTATTTTCCTTTTTACTTTTTTTCTTGTTAAATTACCAACTTGAACAAAATTTACAGACCAGTTATAGTCTGTGTATTGTTAAAACTAATATTAGAGACATGCTTATGTGTACCTGGCCAAGATGTAGGTATATCAGAAATTCTTGCCCGGAAATATATTTTCCTGTTTGCTGAGAAGTTGATGAGCCTTCAGTTTTATAAAAGGCAAATAAACGAAAAGGCAAAACCAGCTCTCCAAGAGAATGTCAGAATAGGACTGAAGATTAGGTGATATAAATACTCTTTTGAGACGTTTACACATTACCTAGGAAACAGTCACTGACTGTATAAAAAGAGGATATAGAACTAAAAGCTATTTGGTTTGTTTTAGCTTTGAATAGGAATGATTAATTTCCTGCTGACCTTATGCACTGGAATTTTTGCTTTTGGGCTTGTCTTCATGTGTTTATAATGGTTAATATAAATTTTAGGAAATAGAATAAAAAATAAAGCAGCTCATTAAGAGCTATGGCCATGGTGAGTACTTAACATATTGGTGAGATACTGTACAAAATAAGCAGATGGCTGGATGCAATGGCTAATTCCTGTAATCCTAACACTTGGGAGGCCAAGGTAAGAGGATTGCTTGGGCCCAGGAGTTCAAGACCAGCCTGGGCAACATGGTGAGACACCATCTCTACAAAAAATTTAAAACAAAAAAATTAGCTGGACATGGTGGCACATGCCTGTAGTCCTAGCTACTCAGGAGGCTGAGTCAAGAGGATGGCTTAAGCCTCGGAGGTCGAGGCTTCAGTGAACCAGGATTGTGTCACTGCACTCCAGCCTGAACAACAGAGCAAGGCCTCAAAAAATAATAAATAATAGCACATAACAATTAACCACCTTTTGAATTGCTCTAATTTTATTTTTGAGGATAGTTAACAAATATTTAGCTTTCATTTGGCTCAGGAAGAATAAAAGACAATAAATCCTTAGGTGTAAATGAATAGAAGAGGTCAAACTTTGTGATTTATTTAAATAGTAGTAGTTACAAAAGGCCAGTTACATAACTATCTCTAAAAATATTAAATTGATTCCCAACTGTACTTATTTTTTTCTTATCTCTCAAACTATCAATAGATTCATTTAATCAATATTTAATGTGATTGAGGACACCCATTATGTGCTTAGGATTATGCTAAATATTAATACTAAGGTAAATATAAAATAGTATAGTATATGGTCCCTGCCTTCAAGAAACTTGCATTCTAGCTGGAGAGACAAAAAGATACATACTTTTTAAAAGTTAAGTAACCCGAAGGTCCATCAACAGCAGAATGGATAAAAATGAATCATCAAAAAAAAAAAAGAGTCATCCATTTGTTTAAATGAGTATAAATATGTTTTCTATACAGAATGAAAATGAACATTGTTATACAACATGTATATTTCTCACATTATGTTCAATAAAAAAAGCCAAACACAAAAATATACATACTGTATGATTCCATTTATATGAAACTCAAAAAACTATTGTATTTGAGGTTGCATATTTAGGTGGTACAATTATAAACAAAATCAAGCCAGGAATTACTATAGTTTTTAGAATAGTGATTATCTTTTTGTAAGGGATAGGGGAAGGAAAAGGGTGTTAGTAATTAGGAAGGAAAATGGAGAGGATTTCTAGATAGTAACAATTTTCTGTTTCTGGACCTAGAGGAAGTTTCATAGTTTTGTTTTTGTTTTTGTTTTTGTTTTTAAGACAGAGTCTTGCTCTGTCACCCAGGTTGGAGTATAGTGGCACCATCTTGGCTCACTGCAACCTGCGCCTCCCGAGTTCAAGCAATTCTCCTGTCTCAATCTCCTGAGTAGCTGGGATTACAGGCACCCGCCACCATGCCTGGCTAATTTTTGTATTTTTAGTAGAGATGGGGTTTCACCATATTGGTCAGGCTGGTCTTGAACTCCTGACCTCTCAGGCGACCCACCCAACTTGGCCTCCCAAAGTGCTGGGATTATAGGTGTGGCCTCCCAAAGTGCTGGGATTACAGGCGTAAACTACTGCTCCCGGCCTTTTTTATTTATTTATTTATTTTTGATACGGAGTCTTGCTCTGTCCCTCCTGGCTAATTTTTGTATTCTTAGTAGGGAAGGGTTTTCAGCATGTTAGCCAGGCTAGTCTTGAACTCCTGATCTCAAGTGATCCACCTGCCTTGGCCTCCCAAAGTGCTGGGATTACAAGCGTGAGCCACTGCACCTGGGCCATAGATCTTCACTTTGGAATAATTAAGCTTTTTACTTTGTTTTGTTTATTCTTCTGTGTGTACATTATATTTCACAATGCAAAATATTTTTTTTAAAGTAAACAACAATAAAAAGCAAGTTTTTGCATGTTAGAATGAGCCAAGGGAGTTAGAGAGAGGAGAAACCATCATGAGATAGAGTAATCCGGGGAAGAATAGAAAAAGGCAGTAAAACAAGCCATGCCTTTAAAAATGGGAGGATTAACATGAATGGAGAAAAGGAAACACGTTCTGGATGAGGGAACCTGAGTGAGCAAAGGTATCATGAGCTTGATGAGTTTGGGAGATAACTGTGAGTAGGCCAGTATGACTGAAGTAGGTGGAGAACAATGGGATTCAAAATCAGTAAATTCGATTTGGACCAGATTATAGATTTTGTTACCAGGCAGAGACTTTTAGACTCTTTCCTTTAGGGAAAAGAGAATCAGCCTAATGAAAACAGCAAAGCCCATTTCATTTTTGTGTCCAAATTAAGGGCTTAATAACATTTTTATGTTCTTTGTGAGTATGTTTTAATGTGTATATAATTGCTTGTTTTTACATGGTTTGGGATTTGTGACAAGTCAAAAAAGGAAAAAATCCTAAATGTTAAATTTTGTGTCCCAAACTCCCAAACTTTTACTGGAGAGTTCCCTAAGATCCTCTGTTTAGAACCCAGTATTATCATTTTTTTAGAAACTATGTGTCTTTCAAGCAGGCACGGTGGCTCCTGTCTGTAATCCCAGCACTTTGGGAGACAGAAGGATTGCCTGAGGCCAGGAATTCTAGACCAACCTGGGCAACATAGTGAGACCTCATCTCTACAAAAAATATAAAAATTAGCCTGGCATGGTGTCACATACCTGCAGTTTCAGCTACTTGGGAGATTGAGGCGAGAGGATTGCTTGAGCCCAGGAGTTCAAGGCTGGAGTGAGCTGTGTTTGTGCCACTGTACTCCAACCTGGGTGACAGAGTGAGACCCTGTCTTAAAAGAAAAAAAAAAATTCTTCTGAGGGGTAACTACCACAGACTGGTTTTAAAATATTAAGCATCTGGCCAGACGCAGTGGCTCACATCTATAATCCCAGCACTTTGGGAGGTTTGAGGCGGGCAAATCACTTGAGGCCAGGAGTTCGAGACCAGCCTGGCCAACATGGTGAAACCCCATCTCTACTAAAGGAAAAAAAAAATTAGCTGGGTGTGGTGGCATGCACCTGTAATCCTAGCTATGCTGATGGGAGAATCTCTTGAACCCAAGAGGCAGAGGCTGCAATGAGCCAAGGTCACACTACTGCACTCTAGCCTGGGTGACAGAGTAAGACTGCCTCAAAAAATATAAACTAATTAAATTAAATATTAAGTATCATTGTCTTATGAAAACAATCAAGAAATTTAAATATAATTTGAAGAGTATAACCTTTCAAGCACAGTTAAAATTAGATACTATCTCAGTTCAATAACACTGACCTCAACTGAGAAAGTAAACATTGAGCACAAGCCTGACCAAAATAAAATAGGTTTATCTCCTGTTGAAATCAGGAATCTGCTTATTTGTTATTATTGCCTTTGGTAAGAGTTTTGATATAGATTATTAACTCATGAACAGTGTTTTAATTGACTTGCTAATGTATAAAACTTTTCATTTATTAGAATCGTTTCTTAAGTTACCTGTAAGGGGAGTAAGCCAATTACTGCTTTTGACTCCTAGTGGTCTTTTCATTTCTCATCTATTTAATTTGTGGATAATGTTTTTCAACCATCCTCTCTTTCTTGGAAAGCTTTCTCCTAGTAATGCCATTTATTGAATACTTACTACTTACTGTGAAAGAAAAGCTTTTCATCATATTTCTCATGTCACTGTGGTAAAAATTGGCAAGAAGTATTATCCATTGGAAATATGGCAATACATTTTCACTTATTTGTTTAATCACCAAAAATTTTATTGAATGACTCATATGTCATAGAAAGAGAGAACAAAAACAATTGTCCCTGCTTTTGAGGTCAATTTATGGTTTAGTGGCATAGGGATGGTTGGAGATGCTGGGAGTAGAAGCCAGAAAGTCAGCAGACCATTTCAGAACAATGTGATATGTGTATAAGTGTGTTCTGAGTAGGAAGGAAACACAGAGGAAAAGCACGTAAATCAGATGGGTGGTGGGAAGGAGCAGTAGGAGAGGGAAGAAGAGATGTTGGGAAAGACTTACAGGAGGTGATAACTCTTTTTTTTGTTGTTTGTTTGTTTGAGATAGAATCTCATTCTGTCACCCAGGCTGCAAAGCAGTGGCGTGATCTTGGCTCACTGCAACCTCCACCTCCCGGATTCAAGCGATTCTGCTTCCTCAGCCTCCCAAGTAGCTGGTATTACATGCACCTGCCACCATCCCCGGCTAATTTTTGTATTTTTGTAGAGACGGGGTTTCACCATGTTGGCCAGGCTGGTCTTGAATTCCTGACCTCAGGTGATCCAACTGCCTTGGCCTCCCAAAGTGCTGGGATTACAGGTGTGAGCCACTGCGCCCCGCCAGGAGGTAATAACTCTTAACTGGAATAAGAGTGAGTTAGTCTGTAAAGAGACAGGTTCTAGGAAAAAAGAACATCAACTGGATGTTCCTAATAATTTCAGTGATGTGCAACTGGAATAACCACAGATGTCTGAAAGCATCCCATCTCCTTTTAATGAACTCCAGTGTTTTAAAACTGAAGTATGAGAGCTGAACATCCAGTTACATGCTTTATTGTTTAAGTTTTCTAAAATTGTGAAATACAGTGTATCCAGAAAATTGTATAAAGCACATATATACAGTTTAACAAGTAGTTTGAAAGCCAACAGTCATGTAATCACCAATAGAACAATATCAGCATCCTGGAAGGCTTCTCTTATGCCTGCCCCTAATCACATGCTGCCCACTTCCCTGTAGTTTTGACATGTATGTATATCCCTAAACAATATATTTTAGTTTTGCCTGTTTTTAAACTCTATTTTATTGGGTTAATATTTTAATGTATTCTTTTGATCAATATAATGTTTGTGAGATTTGTCCATGTTGTTGCATATAGTTTAATCCAGTTCATCCTGATTAATATTTCATTACATGAATATACCACTATTCATTCTATGGGTTAATGCACATTCAAGAGTTCATTATGAACAGTGCTGCTAAAATTCTCCTGGTACTTGTCAGTTATCTTTTTTCAAACAATCTACTGTTATCCACTATACGTATGGGAATTATACGTATGAAATTCATATGTATTTTTAATTATAAAGTATGTTAATGCTACGCTTTTTCAAGCTGCTGATGATCCTCCATCAAGTATAGTTCATCTTTATTAGCAATAGGAGATTAGAAGTAAAAGCTTCTTTAAAGCTGGTAAAAAAAATTCACTAATCAAAAAGTTTTTTTTTGTTTTTTTTTTGAGACAGAGTTTCGCTCTTGTTACCTAAGCTAGAGTGTAGTGGCACGATCTTGGCTCACCGCAACCTCTGCCTCCCGCGTTCAATTCTCCTGTGTCAGCCTCCCAAGTAGCTGGGATTACAGGCATGCACCACCACGCCCGGCTAATTTTTTGTATTTTTAGTAGAAACGGGGTTTTACCACGTTAGCCAGGCTGGTGTCGAACTCCTGACCTCAGGTGATCCGCCTGCCTCGACCTCCCAAAGTGCTGGGATTACAGATGTGAGCCACCACGCCCAGCCCAAAAAGGTTTTTAAAATCAGTCACAGTCAGTCAGTGTCCAACTTGTTGATTATTGGCTATGAATGAAGAAAATTGGCCGCCTTAAAAAGTGACTCAATCCTAAAGCATTTTATTATAATTAAAATATTAATAGCAGGCCGAGCAAAGAACAAGACCTTGTCTTAAAAAAAAAAATTAAAAGTCTAATTTAAGTTACTACCTGGTCTTTCCTTTTAGTTTCCTAATCGCGCAAAATGAACAATAAGTCTCCCAGTAGCTACTGCGATTGTGAATAGGGCAACTGTATCAGAAGGGCTTGTTTGTCAGGTTTTTTTCTTTAAACATAAGCTGTTAAAAAAATTAACTTTTGTTTTTTATTATATCCAGGCATATTAACCCCAAATAACTATTTACTATTGGTATAAAAGGAAATAAACTGGAAGACCAAAGACCTGTTTTAATAGTAGGAAAATATAGCTTAAGCTATTTCATTAAGATCTTCTCCCTAATTCTTCCAATCCCCAAATGCACACAGTACTCTCCCAAAATATAAAATATCTAGTATTGATATTGAGACAAAGCTGCCCACTTGAATTTGGGATTTTGGCTGTAACCACTGTGCCTATAAACTTGCTGTCAGCCATTTCATCACTTTTGCCTCCATATTTTGTTTGTATAATTTATTTTCAAAACATTTTGCAGTTTCTATTGTTTAATCCTGCAAGGCAGGTATCATTCTCTTTATAGGAGTCAAAGTTAAATGATCATTTGGGCAATAAATTGTGGAATTTACATTCAAACTGACTCTGCAACTGGGCGTGGTGTTTCACTGCCTGTATTCCCAGCAGTTTGGGAGGCCAAAATGGGAGGATTACTTCAGGCCAGGAGTTCAAGACAAGCCAGGGCAACAAAATGAGACCCAATCTCTACAAAAAAATGAAAACAGCCCTGCGTGAACCTATAGTCCCAGCTACTCAGGAGGTTGAGGTGAGAGGATCACTTGAGCCCAGGAGTTCGAAGCTGCATTGAGCTATGATCACACCACTGTGCTCCAGCCTGGGCCACAGAGCACGACTCTGTCTCAAAACAGGAAAAACAAAACAAAAACAAATATCTGACTTTGCAGTTTAAAAAGGACATGCTGGCTGGGTGCGGTAGCTCACGCCTGTAATCCTAGCACTTTGGGAGGCCAAGGCAGGCAGATCATGAGGTTAGGAATTCAAGACCAGCCTGGCCAATATGGTAAAACCCCATCTTTACTAAAAATACAAAAATTAGCCGGGTGTGGTGGCACGCACCTGTAATCTCAGCTACTCGGGAGGCTGAGGCAGGAGAATTGCTTGAACCAGGGAGGCAGAAGTTGCAGTGAGCCAAGGTTGCGCCACTGCACTCTAGCCTGGGCAACAGAGCAAGACTCTGTCTCAAAAAAAAAAAAAAAAAAGACATACTTACAAAGCAAGTTTCACATGTTTCTCTGTATTTCTTCCTGAAATAAAGAGAATTGTTCAGGATCGTTAACTGTTTAGTGTGACCCAAATAATTTCACCTCCTTGAATAGATTCTTATGGATTTTATTTTTTATATTTTTATTTTTATTTTTTGAGATGGACTCTCATTCTGTTGCCCAGGCTAGAGTGCAGCGGTGCGATCTCAACCCACTGCAACCTCCACCTCGTGGGTTCAAGCAATTCTCTTGCCTCAGCCTCCTGAGTAGCTGGGACTATAAGGTGCATGCCACCACGCCTGGCTAATTTTTTATTTTTAGTAGAGACAGGGTTTCACCATATTGGCCAGGCTAGTCTCAAACTCCTGACCTCAAGTGATCCACCTGCTTCAGCCTCCCAAAGTGCTGGGATTACAGGCATAAGCCACTGCATCTGGCCAGATTCATATGGATTTTAATTTATGCCTCCTATTAAGATAAAAGATTATTATGTTTCACAATAATATTTGGCATATGAGTTATTTTTCAGGTCTTATCCATATCTTTCTTGTTCAAATGTTTAATACCCCAGCAAAGCTCACTCCTGGAAAAAGATTTTGGGATCCTATAAAAAACATTAACTAGGCATCAATAATGTCAGAAAAAGGGAAAATACTACTGTAAGGAATTCTGAATGATTTTATTAGTTTTATTTTTACTTCAAATTTTCCATTCCATTGCCTCAAATATTAAGGAGGAAATAGGAAAATTCTATACATTATTTTTCTCTTCTCCTTTTTGAAACAAGATATTCTAGTCATAAAGGGCAACAAGTCCAAGTAAGAAGTTTGAATAACCCAACTGGCAAAAGGAAGATATGTTTAACGAATAAGTAAATAATATTTAATTATAATTATCATATTATCGCTGGGCATGGTGGCTCACACCTGTAATCCCAGCACTTTGGGAGGCCGAGGCGGGTGGATCACCTGAGGTCAGGAATTTGAGACCAGCCTGGCCAACATGGTGAAACCCCATCTCTACTAATAATACAAAAATTAGCTGGGCGTGGTAGTGCATGCCCGTAATCCCAGCTACTTGGGAGGCTGAGGCAGGAGAATTGCTTAAACCCAGGAGGCGGAGTTTGCAGTGAGCTGAGATCGCACCATTGCACTACAGTCTGGGCAGCAAGAGTGAAACTCTCTCCAAAAAAAAAATTAAAATAATCACATCAGAAGGTCTAGTGTACAAATAGTCATTATTTTTCTTGTCAGTTCACTCTTCAGCTATAGATTAGAACCCATG